>NC_000011.10:92802896-93430109 GCF_000001405.40 Homo sapiens
CCACAGTAGAGCAAATGTGTCAATGCTTGGGGTTGCCACACTTTTCAGCATGATTCCCTTCCTTTTTCTTCATGGGACTGTTCTCTTGGTGAAGTTTTCCCCTTGAAACACTTTATGATCTATCTGAGACCTCTTTTTTGATTAAAATATGTATTTCTGCAGTTAAAACATGAAAGATAGAAGAAAGAGGTGAGTGAAGCATGACTTTAATTCATTTGCATTTATTTTCAGGAAAAAAAAAGCTTCTTAGGCATTCTGAAGGGTCCTTTTCTATTTGGAGAAACTGTAAAATACTCAGCCTTAATTATTTATAGATAGCCTCTGAATTGTCAATGGATGATTTAAAGGGACTATCCCATCGACTTTACCAAAGTAATGAGTACAGAGTAGCTTAAAGCTACTGTTACTATTAGCAGTGCCAACCACCAACTGATTTTAATTAGATTTAACTTTTGCTCTTGATGTAACACAACTTGGCTGTGCTGCCTCCAATTAACAAAGGACCATTAATCATTTTATGTAACAAAAGAACACTGTGGGCCTGCACTGAAAGCATTTAATAGAGAGGTTAAGTTTGTGTGCACTGAAATAATATTCAACTAAAGCATAATTGAATCCTGGCCAGTGGTGAAGGAAAGTGATATCCCAGGGAGGACCCTGAAGCTCCCTAGAGCAGGGTTGCTCAGCCACACCGCTATTGACATATGGGGCCAGATCATTCTTTGCTGAGGAAGGCTGTCCTGTGCACTGTAGGATGTGTGGCAGCATCCCTGGCCTCTACCCACTAAATGCCAGTAGCACATACCACCACCATCACTTCCCTCCCACCAATGTGACAAGCAAAAATGTCTCCAGACATATGTAATGTCAATACACATATCCCCACAGAGGGGAAGGGCACAGTTGTCCCCAGTTGAGAACCACTGCCCCAGAGGAATAGGCAGCTCTCACCTTTTCTGCACTGTCTGGCTGATTTGGTTTCATTGTATTCCACTGTGGCTTGCCCCCACTCCCAGTGCTGAGGCCCTCAGACTGAGCAGCCCCTTGCATTATAAGCAAGAATGCAGTCTGGCACTCAGAATCCCACCCCTTCCCACTCAGTCTCTTCAGTAGGACCCCGATATTTGCCCTCTGCTTTTTAAAGATTCATTGTAAGTGTGAGATATGGCTCCAAGTTTTCAATGAAGTAGCAGTTGGCATGCAGTATACTTTCCTTACTTGTTTATTTTCAGTCTTTCCCTCCAGAATGTGATCTCTGCTGAGACAGCAGATATTTTTGCTGGTTTTGTCCACTGATGTAGCCCTGCTGCCTAGAACAATGCCTGGCCCAGGGTATATGATAAATACTTGAATGCCCAAATAAATGAAATAGTGATCATCAAACCTGACTCCTGACTTACCGCCAGTGGTCTTCTCAGTCTTTCTCGGTGTCTGAAATGACATTTTTCCCTTCTTACGGATTACATCAAGGTCATCATCTTCTTCCTTCCTCCTCCTATCTTGTTCCCCAAGCTGCTTTTGCCCCCATGTAGCTTAATGATGTGGAAAAGTCATATTGCTGGGACCACTGTCCATGCTTCAGCATCTTAGAAAGCTGTTCCACTTCATCTGTTTTCTTTTCTTCCATGTTCCCCAGCTTCACTCTGATACATTTGGTCTAATTGCAGTGCTTATCTTTGAACTGCTTTTTAAATGACCCCTCGTTAGGGCTATTTAACACTAATGGGCCCTCCTCTGTCGTGAAAACTTTTCTCCGCCAAACTCCAGTTCTTATGAGAAGAGCGCAGCTGTATGATAAAGGCTTCATTAAAAGATTCCTTAATAGAACTAACTGCCTTTCCTTGACTGCATAATCAACGGCTAATGAAATTGTCTTGGTAACAAGAGCTAGAGTGTATTACATCCTCTCTTGAGACTAAGTGGAAAGACGATTGTGTCAGCCTGAGAAGACGATTGATTGTTCACAGTTTGAATTTGATTGTTCTTAAGGGGAACTAAACAAGAGATCATCTCCAGCTTCTCTAAGTGGATTTTATTATCTTGGAAAGTTACTGTTTTGCTTTCCACAGAAGCCAAGCATATAAATATCATGCTTTGTTGCCCAAGAATCAAAGGGAGTCTCAGTATCTTTGTAGTATCCTAAATGATACAGTTTAAGGAGTACCTGGATGACTCCACATGCACCTCTCAAGGTAGATGTAGATTAAGACATTTCATTGCACATCTTCAAAAGCTCTTTTGTTTTTTTAACTGCAGGAGGAAACCCTCGAGGAAGGTTTGCTCTGGGCCTGGTGCAAAGTGAGTGGAAGGTCTATGTGAAGAGGCCTCTAGACAGAGAAGAACAGGACATTTACTTTCTCAATATCACTGCCACTGATGGGCTTTTTGTCACACAGGCCATGGTGGAAGTGAGCGTCAGTGATGTGAATGACAATAGCCCAGTGTGTGATCAGGTGAGATTTGGGGATAGGGTTCTGCTTTTACTCTGCTTCTCCAAAATAAAATAAAAACCCATTTCACTTTTCTTCTTAAGGCCAGGCAAACTTCTGCTCTTATCTGCAATTGGGTGTGGGTATAAGAGGGTAGGAGGTGAAGTTTAGGAAGAAATATTGAAAACATGAAAAGAGTATAGGTAGCAAGATCAGATACCTAATTTTGTACCCTGCCCCCAACAAAAAAAAAAAAAAGAAAGAAACCAATGTCTTAAATAATTTTTTGAGTAATTCATAAAGGACTTTAGGACTTATTCTGTTTAAATCACTGATATCATAAAAGAGAAATGGACCACTCTACAGGATGTTAACTTGTTTATATAAGTTTACACATTTGGTTAGTGGCAATGTTGGTGCTGAACACTGGTCTCCAGGCTCCTTATGAAGTGGCCTTTCTACTACTATATAAAATATAATGCCATTGCAAGGTACAAGTACTAGATTTTATTTTCTCTCATACTGAAATTAAATCACTATTTATTCTTTTCTATCATGTGGACCAAGAGACAATATTGGTGTCCTATAGATTAGAAAAGTATTGCAAATAGATTTAATCTCTCATACTAATGCCAAATGCTGGTAGTGGCTCTTTAAAGAGTTGAAGAGAATTCCTAGGACTTACTGGGGCTCAAGAGAAAAACAGACAGCCATGGTCAATGTGTGGTGTGTGTTATGGTTCCACAAGAGTGGGGATGTTCCTCTGTTTTCTTTGCCGTGGTACTCTTAGTGCTTAGAATGGTACATATAGTGGATGCTCAATAAATATTTGTTAAATGAATAAGCATGGGAGTGGAAGAGCAGCAGATATACTGTGTTTCATAATATATTGAAATATGTTTCTGTAGTGAAGGAAAAAAATAACAAAAGCTAAATTATATAAATGAATTTTTAAAGAAATCCTATATAATGCTAAATATGGCAATTGCCCCCACAAATACTAATGATTTTATTACCTTTCTTCACCTTTGTCCAGGTTGCATATACAGCATTACTTCCTGAAGACATTCCATCAAATAAAATCATCCTGAAAGTCAGTGCAAAGGATGCTGATATTGGATCCAATGGATATATACGATACTCACTCTATGGATCTGGAAACAGTGAATTTTTTCTAGATCCAGAAAGTGGTAAGCTAAAATTTATTATTGAGATAAATGTCATTGTTAATTCATGAGAGAAGTTAAACTTATGTGGTCTCATCACTAGTAAATAGTTAGTAGTATACTTACTCTTATAGGGATGGAGGGAAATTTTCCCTTCCATCCTTTCTGAATGTTTGCTGAAATGAACTGACCACAGACAGATTAACAGGAGAAAAGGCATATGGATTTACTTATGTGAACGTGGGTAACACAGCCCCAAAAATAAGAGACCCAAAGAAAAGCCAGATGGTTAAGGCTGTTGCTAGGGGAGAGGGAAGTTGGGGGACTGTAGGCAATTTTAGAGGAGTAGTCAATGATTTTTAGGGGAAATGAATAATCTGGAGGGCATCCATTATTTTGTAAATAATTCTCCTAGGAAACTCAATGGAACTGGAAAATGTGGGGAGGTGACGGATTGAACTGACTGTGAACAAAGGTTATCTAGTTATGCAGATAAAGTCTCCCAGTTAATCTCTAGGAGCTTCCCTCAGAAGAAGAGATGAAAAATCTGTCTGGACATGGTGATGACTTTTAGTCTCTTTTCTCTTCTCTGGTGGTGAATCTTTCCCAGTTATTTGATGAGATTTCTATGGAGGGGGATCTTAAGACAAATGCATTTCTTTTGGAAAGAAGTTTTCTTAGTCAGATGAGGAAATTTCAAAGAGAGTCTTCACCTGCACTTGAGAGAGATGAGGGAAATAAGAGAAAGTTTGAAAGTTCTTGGTTCTAAGGCAGCTTTAAGGCCTTCCAAATTTTTTTTAATTCAAGGTGCTCAGCATGTCAAAGCACCATACTTTGGGGTATCATTCTCTGTACCCCAAGAATATGATGCTCAGTATCTTGGGCTCTAAGAAATTGTAGGGACATATCCAAATATGGGTACTCTGGACCACAGAAACTTTTTATTTTCTTTGTAAAACTTGCCCAGACTTTACCTACATTTATTAGCATCAAGTAAGCGGACATCTCTGTTTGCTTCTCTTGTTTCTCGTATCTGTAAGTTTTAAGGTATATGCTCGTAACAGGTATAAATGAAGTTGTATCACAAATGCAGGTTGCCACGAAAACCAGACAGCAATTTATAGGAAGGAGAATTTTTCTCACTTTGAAATGGCTTTAGGGTCCTTTTCTGATTCTTATTAACACAGTTGTCTAGTTTTTATTAAACTTTCTTGCCTAGTTTCTCCAAACCTATAAGCCCTCAGATTTGCTTGGTTGTATATTCAGGTAAAACTGACAAGGTGCAAGGTTATGTAAGCTAAAGGCAGATGCCTGCATTGAAGGCCAGAGCTAATGGAAAAACCTTTTATATGGTAGCAAATTATTTTAGTTTTGTAGATTAGATGACCCATCCAATGACATTTTAAATTTAAGCGTAAAGATTGGCTGGCTTGCATATTTCCAGTGTTGTGTTGGTTCTAGTGAACAATAACTGACTATTGAGTCTCCAGAAAGGTAGTGGCTCCTCCCTGCCCCAGTCTTGTAAGAGGTTGCATCCTACAAGGAAGCACTGACTTAGCTACATGGGAATATACTACTCAGCTATATGGGCCTGGTGATTATTTATTCAAAAGGTAACATTTATTGAGTAGCCAGTAGACATAAAAGTATTTTATGGGATATTTGTGGTAGACTCCAAGATAAACAAAATAAATCATGCCCAGGGGATATTGTAATCCAGTAGGGAAGACAGGCAAGTTAACCAATAATAACAATCAAGGCACAATGAAATGAGTGTTCAGGAGAAACATAAGGGGAGCTATATCTGGGCACAGATGAAGATGTAACTAATATTCTGATAAGAGGAAAAAGGAAACTGCTTAAAGGAAGAACTAGCATTTGAACTCAGCCAGGATTCTCAGTGGCTTAAACAGGACACTGCAAGTTATAGGAACAGCATGAGCAGAGAGCATAGCGCATCCAGGTAATGTCATATACAAAAGTGGAGGGAAAACTACTTTAGGCCAGATTGTGGAGTGTCTTGAATGTCCCAATGAAAATCCCTGGATGCTTTTTGAGTAGGAGAGGGAAATGATCCAACCTGTATCTGAGAACTGGCTGGCCATAGCCAGGAAGCTAAAAGATGAACTGCCTTAATAAATATAGGTAGCTTTGGCCAGCACGGTGGCTCACATCTGTAATCCCCGCACTTTGGGAGGCCGAGGTGGGTGGATCACAAAGTCAGGAGATCAAGACCATCCTGGTTAACACAGTGAAACCCCGTCTCCACTAAAAATACAAAAAAATTAGCCAGGCATGGTGGCGGGCACCTGTAGTCCCAGCTACTTGGGAGGCTGAGGCAGGAGAATGGCGTGAACCCAGGAGGCAGAGCTTGCAGTGAGCCGAGATCATGCCACTGCACTCCAGCCTGGGCGACAGAGCAAGACTCAGTCTCAAAAAAATAAATAAATAAAATAAATAAATAAATGAATATAGGTAGCTTCATCCAAATAATATCTACTAATTTTATTTAAGATTGATAATATTTCATGAGTCATACTTTCCACCAAATAACATTTATTCAGGTTTGTCACTGTGCTTGTTGTCATTATCTTATGAAACTTAAACAACAAAAATATCTCCACAAAAGCTGGTTTCCAGCACCAATGCAGCTATTCCAGTGGTTAAAATATAGACATAACATTACTCCACGCGGGATGCTAAGGAACTGCTTTTCCATGCTCCTCAAGTTTTCTCCGACTTGACTCCTCCCCAAGCAATGTCAGGCCCTTCCACAATCCAGCAAGTTAAGGGTTAACCCTTACACAATAGGGGTCCTTCAAGACCCTGCCCCGCTAAAGCCAGCTTCTGTTTTCATTACCTGTTTTCCTGTAAATGATAGAGCAAAAAGTTGAGTATCTGGAGGCAAAGAGACTGCCTTTCTGGGTCTATGGGTTGTTGACAATATTGACCATCAGAGAACCAGATATACCAGTCCATTCTCTGTGTGTTTTCTGGACATATAGCAGAAATCCAGAGACTGATCTCCAGAGTAGATCTTGAGAGGTTTAAAGAGGTTTGAAGCTTCTCCGTGTAGCCAAAAGAAAGAGCCCCTTATACCAGCGGTTTCAAAAAGGGATTAATTAATTTGAAGGTCACACAGCTGTTTTGTTTTTGCATCTAGAATCCCATACATTTTTCCCTGACACATAAACTGTTGAATTTGCTACATTTTTAAAGTATGGGACACTTGGGCCAAATGATGTTAGTCCTTCCTATGTTGAGAATTGTTTGTATAATTGGTCCTCTGCTCTCCAAAGAAAGACAGTTTTTAAAAACTCAGACCAATCATGCTGCCATTTATTTTCACAGGCGAGTTAAAAACCTTGGCTCTGTTGGACCGGGAGAGGATCCCCGTGTACAGCCTGATGGCCAAGGCCACTGACGGGGGTGGCAGGTTCTGCCAGTCCAACATCCACCTAATCCTGGAGGATGTGAATGATAACCCCCCTGTGTTTTCTTCTGACCACTACAACACCTGTGTCTATGAGAACACAGCCACCAAGGCTCTGTTGACCAGAGTTCAAGCCGTGGACCCCGACATTGGTAAGTCAGTTGCAGGCATCTCCCTGTCACACAGTGGACACTTTGTCTTCAGGTGCTGCCATTCCTTTAGTTTTATAAGAACCTTAATCAACCCCCTTGGTTCTTTACCACGAGAACATGTACATTAAACCCCATTTCAGCTATTCAGCTAATACACTTCATATGCATGAGAAAAGTCTGCAAGTTGGCCCTCCTCTTTCTCGAGTTTGAAGAAGAGATACTAAGAAGTCTTTTACCTTTTAGCAAAGGAGTTTGGGTTGGTTTGTTTGGGTTTTGTTTTGTTGTTTTTAGATTTTGACCTTTTGAATAAAAATGATAGATTTCCTCATTGTCTTTTCCTCCTAAACATAGTCAAAAGGCTATGTTGTGAAGCAAGGAGAATTTGATTTGTTTCCATGTCTATGAAGAACTCGGTCACATGCTTTAGCTGAAATATGACAATCTCGATTTAATATAGTGCCCCGTAGTGCAAAGACTAATTACTAAATGTGCTGCCAGTCCAACGTGGATTTTTTAAACTGCCATTTTACAAAGCATTTTTGTCACATATAAACTGACATTGTTTGACAGAGTGGGGGTGGGGGAGATAAGGAATTAGAATTGAAAGTTGCTAATAAAGTTTATGCTCAGATCCACTTTACATAATGAGATGGTGAGTTAGAAAAGACTGGAGTTAATTGCTAGGTAGACCTTCTGAGAATGCATAAGTTATTGAGGTGACTGCATGATGGAATATAAATACAAAAGGGCATATAGACAGCTTCTCGGTTGTGCATTTTAAGAGCTGTAAATCAGAGTACTAGGAAATGATGAGGTGTGTCTGCTATGCTAAACAGACCTTTATATAATTCAGTGTCATATTGCTTAATTCTGAATTGAAAGAAAAATTATTGGACTAATGGAAAAGTAAATACATGATAATTAGTTGAAAACAAACGTAGAGCCTGGGGCCTCTGCATATTTTCCCTTAGAGAAATTAGTGGCTACAATTTGAATTATTGCTGTTACCTCATTAGCATAATTTTCAAGGCTGAGAACCAACCCTTTAAAAGTCTACATATTAAAGAGCTTTGTGAAAAATGGTAAACAAGAAAGACCTCTTATTGATATATATTTATGTAATACCTACAAATAGTCTCTTTTTTAAAGGAGGATTAGAAAACATTCTCTGGACTCTTATTAGCAGATGACTTTGGGGAAAGAGAACAGAATTAATGGAAATGAATCACTTAATCATTTTAAATTTGATTTTGAGAATGTATAATTAGGCCATAGATGATATTTTAAAAGCTGAAAGATTGGAATTTTTCTCCACACTCCATGAAGGAATTGAGTGTACCCAGGCTACTAGACTGGACATGGACGTCTGATTAGTGCACATGGTGTTTTTTGAAACATGAGGGGGTGGAGTGGGGTGTTACTGACTCACAGACGGTGTGCTTGGAGCTGTTTTGCAAGTTGTGAAGAACATACTATGTCCTCCTTTCACTTATTTTGAGTCAGATGGCCAGGTTGGGAGTTGGGGAGGAAGGAATGTCTAGATTCTAGGCATTTAACAGGGCAGAGATGATAAAGACTTTAAGGAACCAAAACTGGAATGAGGATCTTACCAGTACCTTGATCTACTCATTTTTTGCTAATGAGTAAGAGCTTATATTCAAAGCTTCAAATAGAGACAGAGATTATAGGGGTGCTGCTGGCATCTATGTATAAAGTATACTCACCAGGCCATTGCATCAGCCACAGGAAAACTGTGGCATAAGATACCAGATTTTAGTTCATTTTCTCAGTTTTTGTAGATTTCTTTTAGCTTTAAAATGTAAAAGAACTAAGACAGCTGAGGAAGAACCAATGAATATTTCTAACAACACAGACTGAGCACCTACTGTGCCTTAGCCAGCATACTGACGAAGTGGTTGTGAAGGTCTTGGTCAGAGTAGACAGGAGATTCCAGTTGCAGCAGCGTCAGTCTGAGCTGCAATCAAATGAATGCTGACATTCTTCAGAATCCCTGGGTATCAATGATTGGTACACTAATTTTCATTAGTGGCCTGATCAGAACACTTACTGCCTCAAAAGTGACAATTTCTCCGTTTCCTAAGAGATTACAAACCAGTGTGAGCTGTGCACTAAGATTACCAGGTTGTTGAAGGTAGAATTTATCTTGGAGCCAAACTGAACCTCTGTCTGGAAGCTGAGTTTGCACATCAATAGCCATTGCACACAAATCTGGCTTTCTAGTTTGGCCTCTATAGTGTTCAAAAGAGAGGCCGAAGTGGGCGGATCACGAGGTCAGGAGTTCATGACCAGCCCGGCCAATATGGTGAAACCCCATCTCTACTAAAAATACAAAAATTAGCCAGGCATGGTGGTACTACGCCTGTAGTCCCAGCTACTCGGGAAGCTGAGGCAGAAGAATTGCTTGAACCCGGGAGGCGGAGGTTGCAGTGAGCCAATATTGTGCCAGTGCACTCCAGCCTGGGCAACAGAGCAAGACTCCATCTCAAAAAAAAAAAAGAAAGAAGGAAACAAGGAAAGAAAAAAAAACTTATAATAGCTGTTAATATTTAAAAGTCAGAATTTTATTAGAAATTTAGATTTCCAGCATTTTATAAAAACAACAGCACTCAGAAGGCCCTGCAATTCCAGGTACACAGGTCCCACATGGCAGGAGCTAAAGAGCAACTGCATCCTTGACACTGGCCACAGCACTAACCTTGCCTCCTGCTAGCCACTTTACTTGCTTATTGATATGGTTTGGCTGTGACCCCACCCAAATCATATCTTGAATTGTAGTTTCCATAATCCCCATGTGTCGTGGGAGACACCTGGTGGGAGGTAATTTAATCATGGGGGCGGTTATCCTCATGCTGTTCTCATGATAGTGAGTGAGTTCTCATGAGACCTGATGGTTTTATGAGGGGCTTTTCCCCCTTTTGTTTGGCACTTCCCCTTTCTGCCATCATGTGAAAAAGGATGTGTTTGCTTCCCTTTGACCTTCTGCTGTGATTGTAAGTTTCCTGAGGCCTCTCTAGCCATGCAGAACTGTGAGTCAATTAAACCTTTTCCCTTTATAAATTACCCAGTCTCCGGTATATCTTTATTAGCAGCATGAGAACGGACTAATATACTTGTGTTACCTCCTGACCTCGTTTGCAGATCCTTCTCTAGAATGACAAGGAAAGGTCTTATTTTTAAGCTTTTTATTTTGAAATAATTACAGGTTCACAGGAAGTTGCAAAATAATATATAGGGAATTCAAGTGCCCCTTCACCCAGCCCTTCTCCCACTGGTAACATCTTGCTTAACTATAGTAAACCATCAGAGCTAGGAAATTGATCTTGGTACAATCCACAGAGTTTATTCAAATTTCAGGGTGTTTGCCTGTATATATTTCTATGCAATGTTATCACCTGTGCAGCTTCATTTAAGCACCACATTCATACATCACACGCCTCCCACTTGCTGCCCCTTTGGAGCCACACCCACCCACTCCCTGCACCTGCTTCCCAATCCCTAACCCCTGACAACCACTGACTTCCATATCTATAATTCTCTTATTTCAAAAATGCTATTTAAGTTAAATTATATAGTTTGTAACCTTTTGAGATTGGTCTTATTTTTTCACTCAGCATAATTCTCTTAAGATTCATCCAAGTTGTCTAATTGGTTTTTGATCCTGCTGAAGATCATTGGCTACATTTGTGTAAATGACAGGCATATTTGATTCATGAAACTTCTTTGGTTAAGCACATTGCTTTACCAGAAGTTGTAAATTATTCCACCAGTGCTATGATCTGAAATTTGTGTCCCTCTAAAATTCATACGTTGGAACCTAATTCCTCATGTGTCCATATTAAGAGATGCATCCTTTGGGAGGTGATTAGGTCCTGAGGGCTCTTCAGTGCCCTTATAAAAGAGGCTTCAGGGAGCCTGTTCTTCTCTTCTGTCATGCAAGAACATCTAGTGTCTGGTGGAGGCCCATTTCAAATAGAACGTGCCCCCACCAACACCAAATCTGCTGGTGCCTTGATCTTGGACTTCCCAGCCTCCAGAACTATGAGCAATAAATTTCTGTTGTTTATAAATTACGAAGTCTCAGGTATTTTTTATAGCCCAAACAGATTAAGACAGCCAGCGATTGACTACAAAATATACCGTTCATTATGAATTGCAGAGAAAAGACAAGGATATAATCTGAAATCTGACTCTGTGACTTGCTAAACCTTCATATCCTGATTTAAGAAATTTAAAATATATTATTGCTTTTAGCCAAACAACTCTTTTTCTATGAATCACTTATAATGAACTAACATTATTGTTAGAGTCATTGCCTGGGTCAGGAATAAAATAAAAACAGAAGAGGACAAGATAATTTTACACCTATTTTATGAGTTCTAAGAAATACCGTGGCAACTCTCTAGATTTTAGCATGAAGTTCTTAGTTTTCCTGTCAATTGGAAATATCTTTGCCCCCATAAACTGGTGACATGACTTCATGACCCAACATTTATAAAAAAAGGGAAGTTAAAGGGTGAATAGTAGTAAAATGAATAGTTGTTAAAGGGAACACACATACCGTTAATAACACATGGACACAGGGAGGGGAACATTACACACTGGGGCCTGTTGGAGTGTAGGGGACAAGGGGAGGAAGAACATCAGGACAAATACCTAATGCATGTGGGAATTGAAAGCTAGATGATGGGTTGATAGGTGCAGCAAACCACCATGGCACATATATACCTGTGTAACAAACCTACACGTTCTGCACATGTATCCCAGAACTTAAAGTAAAATTTTAAAAGAGCAAATTTCCCAGAATGAATAGGATTTCCACAGTCAGGGGTAGGAACACATTCAGGAAGATAGGAGCCAGGAAGTTGGGAAAGTGTGGACCCAACTAAATAGTTGAGAGAACATCATGTAGTCCAAGAGGGAGGAGAGATTAATGAGATAGGAAAAGTAGACCGGGCCTGATTGTGGTTGTTTGTGAAGGCCACTTAATTAAACAGATGGAAATGAACCATTGAGCACATTTGAGAAAAGAAATAATGAATTTGGAGTTTGGGGGATGCTAATCTGATAGGAGCTTCTGAAATGAATTGGAACAAGGAAAACCAGGGACTAGGAAAGCTCCTAGGAGTGTATTAAGAAAAACAATAAGGGCCAAAATGAGAGTGGTGGCTTTGAGATTTAAAAATAAGGAGCTGGTGGGCTGGGCACGGTGGCTCACACCTGTAATCCCAGCACTTTGGAGGCTGAGGAGGGCAGATCACAAGGTCAGGAGATCGAGACCATCCTGGCTAACACAGTGAAACCCTGTCTCTACTAAAAATACAAAAAATTCGCCGGGCGTGGCAGTGGGCACCTGTAGTCCCAGCTACTTGGGAGGCTGAGGCAGGAGAATGGCATGAACCCAGAAGGCAGAGCTTGCTGTGAGCAGAGATCACGCCACCGCACTCCAGCCTGGGAGACAGAGCGAGACTCCATCTCAAAAAAAAACCAAGTAAATAAATAAATAAGGAGCTGGTGAAAGCCAGATTGAGATTTCAGATGTGAAATCTGTAGATTTTGGCAACTGACTAGACTAAAAGCAAGGTAGGCTATTTAGTCAAAATTTCAAACATGGGCACCAGGTGAAGGTGCTGCATGAGCAGAAGTAGCATAGACGGTCAACAGTACCACCTGGCATGGAGAGGAAGATGAAACATGGGGACACATTGGGAATTCAAGTGTGAACCTCCAGAAGGAAGTCAGGAATAAAGACATGTTTGCTCATCGTGACAGTCTTGCCTTCAAGGGGTTTACAGTCATAGGGAGAAACAGATTTGCACAACAAGATTCCAAGAAAACAATGAAGAATGTGGTAATAAAGTCACATCTGTAAAACTAATGATTTTGTAAGGATTGGTCAGATAGCACATGTAAAATGCTACATAGGTCCATGTGGGAACATTACAATGTAAGCAATGAATTTTCAACTGGGACAACTCAGGAAGGATTCACCAAATGGTATTAGCACTTACCAAAATGCTAAGAGTTGGGACTTGAACTTGGATGGAGATAGACAGAGGAGTGAGACAGAGAGACAGATAGATGGAAAGATGAGTGTTAGCCAGGACAGGCTTGGCAAGACTGAGATCATTTGTAGGAAGTCTGAGTGGCTTAGCAAAGCAAAAGCTTATTTCTTGCCCAGGTGAAGGACAGGTCAGTGCGAGTCTATCTAGTGACTCAGAAATCTGGTCCCTCCATCCTGTCATCTCCACCTTCTGACCTTTGGCTTCCAAGGTCACAGCAGAGGGGAAGAGAGAGATGAAGGCAGCATGCCAGCTGTCAGCTGCCTCAGCCTGGGAGAGACCACATCACTCCACCACTATCCACTGCCCAGAAGGAGTCCCTCAGGCTGGCCCACCTGCACAGGAGCAGGGACACATAGGGGAGGACTGGGGAGACTTGGTGAGCACTCATTACCTCTGCTGCAATGATGAAAGCAGGAAAGAACAACTGCCACAGTGGGTCCCAAAGAGGTCAGAGAAGGTGACATCACTCATGAGCAGGGAAAGTTAGCCTCAAGGGTGTGGAGGGACCACTTGGCTTTAGAAGTAAAAGGAAAGAGCTGGGTGTGGTGGCTCATGCCTGTAATCCCAGCACTTTGGGAGGCGGAGGCGGGCAGATCACTTCAGGTCAGTAGTTCAAGACCAGCCTGACCAACATGGTAAAACCCCATCTCTACTAAAAATACAAAAATTAGCCAGGTGTGGTGACGTGCGCCTGTAATCCCAGCTACTCGGGAGGCTGAGGCAGGAGAATCACTTGAGCCAAGGAGGTGGAGGTTGCAGTGAGCCGAGATCACCCCACTGCATTCCAGCCCAGGTGACAGAGTGAGACTCCATCTCAAAAAAAATCAAAACAAAAATAAAAAAGAAGTAAAAGGAAAGAGAGGCAGAAAGGGAAAATTGAAACACAAAGGAAGATGCTCAAAGGGAGATGCTAAGGAAACCCACTGAGAGGCACACACATGCCCTCGGATGTCTCTATACAGGAAGGGACTGCCATCTGAGATAAGCAGGGCAGCAGCTGGGCTGAGTGCCCTGAGGAGATGCAGGAGTTTGTTTCAGGGTGAGGGGAAAGGTGAGCGGGAGTCAGTAAGAAATGAAGAAGAGAACATCTCACCCAGTGAGGGCTCTGTAGGTGCCAGATTATTTAATACATGAATGGGCAGTGGTCCCAATCAGTAAATTGCATTAATAGAAAATATGAAAAATTCTGAGTCTTCCAGAATACTGCCTTTCCCCTAAAGTTAATAGTTTGATCCTCATATTAACAGAAAATTGGAAAGACACTAAGAGAACTTATCTTTTGATAGAGCTTCCCTGTTTTGCCCCGAGTGTGTATCTCAGCTGTCCTCAGCTTCCTCCATTTTGTGCTGGCATTCACTAATAATGGTGTAAGCTTGCTGTCTATGTTGGGAATTTGTTTAGTGAGTATTTCATGAGAGAGATAGCGTCTTGAACCCTGCACTTTGCTCTCAGAGGGAAGATACTGGAATGAACTGGGTTTTCCAAAGCAAAGCTCTTTTCAGAGGAAGTACAGGGCTGGCCCAGGGTCATGGGGCACCATTTGCCCTGACAGCATAGCTGCCTATGAAGGAGGAATGTATTTATTTGAGAGGAATGTGCATGAAAGTGACCACTAACGATTGTTAGATGGAGATTTTTCTGACCAAACCACCTTCAGTGAATCTCTCCAGTGGTTTTCCTGCCTCTTCTGACACATCTCGCCTTTTTTGTCTGCCACTTTTTGAGAGCCATTAACCGAGACTTAGGAAGAAAAGCTTGGAGGTGACAAAAGTCCACTGGAAATGTGGACGAGATGCTGCAACTCTAGTGGAAAAGCATCTCACATGCCCTGGGTTCTCAGTTTCCTGTATCTTCTTGGGACAGAGTCTGAGGAAGTGTTGCTCAAACCAATCTGTAAGAATCAAAAATGCTTGTCTATACCTGCAGCCCTAGACACTCCACTTTAAATTTGATAGCCAAAGCAAAGTTCCAACTCTCTGTGATGGTGTTTGATGTCAAATCTTCTATCGTCAGCCTTCTGATTTCCCGAAGGAAAACAAACAAGGAAAACAATATACATTCAGCATTTACTCTCTAAAACTCCAGTCTATAAGGGACTTTACTAAATATACTACCTTTGCACTGTGCCTCAAAAGCAAAAAAAAAAAGAGGCACATCTGACAGAAGAGGTGAATCCTGAAGCATCCTTTTTCACTGGCATCAGTATGTGAGTGTGTGGGACAGAGAGAAGGGGCAGTCTGTGGCATCTGGAAGAAACTGGCTCTGTCCGTGTCTTCCATAGTGGAGGCATGCAAACATCCTGCCATTTCTCCCTTTTAGGATTTTCTAAGTAGACAGCTTCCTCGCAGCCTCATCCCTCAGCTGAGACAGCACCCCTGGGTTTCTCCAGACCCTGGAGATCAGGTCACAGGGATATCCCCAAATGTACCCAAGAAACACATCTAGTAACTGGATTGATCAAGAGCTCACAAGAGCATGGGGAAAGCTCTGATGATTAGTGACCTGGGGCAAGTCTTCAGCTTCTCCGAGCCTTTAGTTTCCTCTTCTGTAATGTAAGAATGACAGTAATGTTCCCTTTGCCGACCTCAAAGCATCAGTGTGAGATTGGCCCAAGACTGAATGAAAAGCACTTTGAACTTGTAAGGCCACATTTTCCTTCTCTGGAGTTAGACCTCCCTGTTCTGAGCTCCTGCGCATGTCCTGATTATCCCGACAGAGAGCTGCATGCACGTTTCTTCTCTACTAGTCTTGGACCCTCCTAGGCAAGCTCAGTTACTTAATAAGAATTTTAAATGATAATCATAATATGGCTAATAACATCTGCTTTCAGAGCTTCTGCTCCACTTCAGGCACTGCGCCAAGTGCCTTAGATACATTATTCCCATTTCTCATAATAGCCCTGCAAGTTAGCGTACTTTTTCATTCTATTTAATATATGAATAAACTCTGAGGGGTTAAGTAACTTGCCCTGAGCCACAGCTAGTTAGTTGCAGGGCTGCAGACAACATGATAGGGGCCACAGGAGGGTTGGTTAACAGACATTCAATTAATAGTGATGCTATAGTCAAGGGTAGGACAGTGGTACTCAAAAAGTCTGGACCAACAGTCTCAGTATCACCTGGGAGCTTGTGGAAAATGCAATTTCTGAATAAGACTCTAGATCAGTGGTTCTCAAACTTCAGTGAGCATAAGAGCCACCTCGAGGGTGTATTTGAACAGATTGCTGGGTCCCTCCGCCAGAGTTTCTGACTCAGTAGGTCAGGGAAGGAACCTCCTGATAATTTGCGTTTCAGACTAGTTCCCAGGTGATGTTGATGCTGCTGTTCCCAGAACCACACTTTGAATATCACTTGCTTAGGGATTCTTAATATTTTTGTGTCACAAACGCCTTAACAGTTTGGTAATACCTGTGGATCACCTCTCAGAATAATATTTTACATCTCATAAAATAAAATACAAAAAGTTACAAATAAAATAGTTTTGTCCAAGCATTTTTTAAGTTGTTGTATAGTAATGTGAATTTCTTTTTATATATTAAATAACAAAATCTAGTGCAGTAGGTCTAATAACTCCCATATTTCAAAGTAGTGGTAAGTAGAGGCAGGTACAACAACCATAAAATAATAAGAAAATATCTGATTTATACTGGTTACAAAACCACAGGTGCTGTTCATACCACAGTGACTTGTTGCCTACATTTATTGTAGAATGTGACACTAAAGCCAGTTAGAGGTTAATGAAAATAAAGATGCCAATATTCCTCCGTTATGGTAGCAGCCTCTAAGATAACCCCAGTGATTCCCCACTTCCTGATATTCACACCCCTTCCCTTGAGAGTGGGCTGGACTTACTGACTCACATCTAATGAACAGGATATAGCAGAAGTGATGATATCACTTCAGAGATTAGGTTATAAGAAGACTGTGGCATCCATCTTGACAATGCTTTCTGTATTAGTCTGCTCAGACTGCCATAACGAAGTACCTGAGACTGGATGACTTAAACAACAAACATTTACTTTCTCACAGTTCTGGAGTCTGGGAATTTAAGTTCAGGGTGTCAGCATTGGTCAGGTTTTGTCCAGGGCTCTCTCCTTGGTTTGTAGACAGCTCCTTCTCCCATTGTGTTCACATGGCCTTTCCTAGGTGCACCTGGATGTAGAGAGATCTGTCTTTCTTCTCTTCTTATGGGTCACTAATCCTATCACATTAGGACCCCACCCTTAAGACCTCATTTAACATTAATTGCCTCCTAAAAGCCTTATCTCCAAAGCAGTCTCAGTGGAGATTAGGGCCTCAACATATGAATTTTGGGAGATCACAATTCAGTCTATAACACTCTTTCCTACTGTCTGTGGGATCACTTGCCCCAGGGGAAGACAGCTGTGGTATTGTGAGGCAGCCCTGAGAGAGGCTCACATGGTGAGGGGTCAAGGTCTATCAACAACTGCTCTTGAAAATGGACCCACCCTCCAACCTCCATTTGAGCTTCCAGATGAGACTGCAGCCCTGCCTGACAGCTTGACTGCAACCTCAAGAGAAATGCTGAGCCATAGATAACCAGCTAAAAAATGCCTGGATTCCTGATCCATAGAAACCATGAAATAATAAATATTTGTTTTGTTATGCTGTTAAGTTCTGGGGCAATTTAGCATGGAACAAGAGAGAACTAGTATACTAATGCAAGTTCATGGGCATCTTCAAGTCTATCCACACATCCTTAAGATTCCCTGATCATAGCCATTATCTTTTCACAGGTTCTACTCTCCAAGGAACAAGGGCTCTTGTGCAGATCAATGGCAATTAAAACAGGGCCCACCTTGGGAAGGAGCAGTGCATCTGTGTTGGGAGCACAGCTATTTGACATAGGCAGGGATGAGTGATGGTGGAAAGCTATTGGCTGCTCCTTGTTGCTATTCTCATGGATTCATGGGCCTTCCATGGGGCACTAGGTCCACTTCTTATGGAAATGCCATCCTATTAGATCTTAGGATGTTACCACTGAAAAGACCCTGAGACAAAATCCAGTCAAATCCTGAGGTCCAGAGACAAAGAGACTTTCCCAAGATGACTTAATTAGTGGCAAAGCTGGATTGAAAAGGAGATTATCATCACTTCAGCCTAATGCTTTTTTGTATACTCCAGTAATTTCTACAAGAAAATGTTTTGAAAGAGATTGATTCTATTCTGATTTCAGCCTGTTTTCTCTTAAGTAGCATCTATTCTTTGTTTTTCCTACTGCCTTAGATATTGTTATTTCTAACCTGCATAGGTCACTGATTTAATGTATTTTACCCCCTTCCCCAAAGCTGTTATTCTCCGAAGTGTTGAATCTTTGAAGGTGGCTAAGGGACTATTAAAATGTCAGTAAAAATTAAATAATCCTCCCTACAGACTGAAAAACATAAGTCATTTTCTGGAGTACACTGTGGTCAAAGCCTTTTGTCTGTTGTAGATATCAAAAATATCATCTTCTGTTTTAAGTCTTTCTCTAGAAAGCTCCAAAAACACGCATGTGATGTTACCAGGGAATGAACAGATCTGGATGCTCCCACCTATAGATGGAGAAATTAAGGTTCAAAAACGTTAAGTGGCCCCTCCCAAGGCATCTGTTAAATGGAGTGATCTGAGCAAAGGGCTCTGGGCTCCATAAACCCCTCCCTGAATTATTTACCTCCTACCAGTGTTAGGACACCTTCTACAGTGTCTGCAACCAGATGCAGGGCCATGACACTCTACGATTTCTGTGTCAGAATCCTCTGGAGAGTTTTTAAAAATAAACAGGCTAAACAAACAAACAAGCAAGGGCTCCATCTCCAGAACCTGATTTAGAAAGTCTGGGAGAGAGCTGGACATTTTTTTTTTCTCTGCAGTTGATTATAATGCCTTTCCCTATTTAGAAGTTTTTGCCTTTGACACACGTAAGTTCTTGTTATCATTACCCTTTTAAACATCCAGTTTCTTCCAAACAGGGATCAAAACACTAGCTGTCAAAGGAAACAGCTAATTCCTTCCAAAAAGGAGGTATCTTAAGCAAGTGTTTTAGCACAGTCCCCCATTAGCAGGGAATTCTGACCCATATCAGTTGATCATAGTGGTTCTTTCGCAGAAGCTCCCTCACTCATGTGCTACCTCATTTGTAGACGCCACAGGTTGGTTAAAAAAAAAAAAAGCCTCTGAACTGCTAATTTGGATCAGTCTGGATCGAACACTCGGCAATGCAGAGGACGGATTTAAGGCAGTACTAATATAGCTAGGAAAATCTCCATCCACCCCTGGGCATTTTCTGCAGAAAATCCAAGGACCCCAAGCTTTGACTCCCTGCCTCTCCAGGGCATGTTGAGGCTTTGTGAAATGTGCTTATCAGCTTTGCTGCAGGATACATCCTACCACTTCACCTTGTGAGGCCTCCTTGACAGGCACGATTATGTTGTCCATCATCTGCTCGTAAGCTCTTTTAATAACTTCTCACATATTACAAAACACTTTCCACCCACGCATCCTCTCCACCTTGCTCCTTCCAATCTTTCTTTTTCTCTTTCTGCTAATTTATCCATTAACTTAGGCCCAGTTTCTAGTTTATGCTAACTATAATTGGTTATAACACCTCTGGTAACTTGCAGTTGCCTCTGAAAATAGACAGTTTCAGCTTCTACTGTTGTAAACTTAGGGATTTAACAATGCTGAACCATTTATCCTTCTCTGAGTATACCTTGCAATTTCAGCATTGTTAACTTCACACATGTTCTCACCATTTGTAATGCCCTTTCTTCTTGTCACTCTTCCACCTTATTTTGCTACTGACAACTCCTATCTTTCCTTCAGGACTCAATCCATTTGTTTTCTTCTCTGAGAAACTTCCCTTGACCACCCCTCTCCAACAATCAACTCTATACATGCTTGTCTCCTGAGAAATGAGAGCCGTTTGAGAGCACATAAGTGGTGGGAGCCATCCTTCTTTGTATCCCCAGTGCCTGCCATGCAGCAGGAGTTAAGTATTTCTTGGATGAATGAATGAATGGATCCAGTGGTCACACTTAGTGGCCCATATAGAAAACCCGTTGCATGATCGTTGGGTAGCTATCCAGCACAGACATTCCATGTACCAATAAACATGGAGTTTTGAGTATTTAGTTGATGAATTAGTTTACTTACACTTAATCATCCCAGGTGTAGCTTCATGCCAAGCCATAGATAGTTGAAAAAGTTTAACCCAGATAAGCTGCAGCTTTTTAGGTATCACAGAAGGTATAACTATAGTCTTATCCAGCAATGGGGCCAGTTTTATAGGTGTGCAGTCAAACAGAACTCCTTGCTTAGAAGGGCCCTGTGTTTCACTTAGTGCTCTCTTCTGGCTTGTGTTGAGTGTCTTAATACTGTTTAAACAAGAGTCCCTGTATTTTTATTTTGCATGGGAGCCCACAATCATGTTGTTGCTCCTACCCAGCAGAGCTACAGCCAGCCCAATTGGGAAGTCCTCAACAGATTTTTGGTGCAGTCATCAGGGTCTCCTGGACTCTGTGACTGATGTTACCTTCTGTGTTTTTTGACTTCAAAAAACCGAGGGGCTACTGACTGACCCCAGGAGCTGGTATTCTGCCCATGGGAATGTGCCAGTTTTAGTCATCACCCAATGAAGAACTTTTAAAAGGCACTTAAAACAGAAGTAATTAGGGAGTCTATTTAAAATTAATTGCCAACTGAAAAAGTAATTGCTAATTCCATGGGCCTCTTCATGGCAACTTCCTGTTTTATTTCATATTATCCACAGGCATATTTCAAACAGAGGAAAAAGGAGCCATTAATTTAAGCTGTTTCATTGTAGTGGGATTTTATTTGCCTTCCACAGAGAATGAGAGAAGAATTTTAGGCTAGCCATTTTGTTTGCTTAATTTAAGTATGAAAATCATTTTTAAGGCTGGGTGTGGTGGCTCACCCCTGTAATCCCAACACTTTGGGAGGCTGAGGTGGGTGGATCACCTGAGGTCAGGAGTTTGAGACCAGCCTGGCCAACATAGTGAAACCCCATCTCTACTAAAAATACAAAAATTAGCCGGGCATGGTGGTGTGTGCCTGTAATCCCAGCTACTCCGGAGGCTGAGGCAGGAGAAACGCTTGAACCCAGGAGGCAGAGGTTTCAGTGAGCTGAGATCACACCACTGCACTCCAGCCTGGGTGACAGAGTGAGACTCTGTCTCAAAAAAAAGAAAGAAAGAAAGAAAATCATTTTTAAATCACATTTCTTTAAATAACTTTATAATGAGACCTTGACAAAAGTGATTTTCTAAGTAAAGCCAGTGTCTTTCTGAAGACAAACTATAATGGAGAATAGAAATATCCAGAAAAAGTAGCCTATACAATATGTATCTTTTCTGCATTTTCGAGTGGTATGGATGTTGACAATTAAACTGGCCTGCAAAATAAATTGAGTATTTGATTGCACTCCAAAATTGATATTAAAGAATTATTTCTCATGTACATAATTTTTATAATAGTTCTTTTATTTATTACAAACATAGTGTGTGTTTACAAACATGCTCTTAACCTAGAAGGGTAAACAAAAAAGAAAACAAGTCATTTTTAACCATGGTTACCACTTTGATAGAAATCCCTTCTGCCTTTTTTTTTTCCACAAAACTAGGCTCATAAACTAGATATTATTTTGTAACTTGCTTTTTTGATGACCTGCAACTATATTTCTATGCCATTATATATTCTTTTACATCTTTATTGTGACATTGTACATAGTATTCTATATACATCATATGACCGTGGGATGATGGATTCAACCAGTCCTCATTGTTGGAAAATTGGGTAAGTACCAGTTTTTTTTCACAAATGCAAACATCTATTTAGCAGAAGCTTTGTGTATGTATATGAATGTTTTATATACATTGTTAAATATTAAAAAACTAAATGTTCCTTAATAAAAGAAAGCAGTTTTTTCCACATTGTCCTTTTTCAAGGTTATTTAATTCTTTCAGCACATGCATTTGCAATGGACATATATGTGTACTGTGTGCATCACCTGCATATGTTATGTTAGCAGGAACGTATACTTGCTTTGGTCCCCTAGTTGTTTCTTCTGCGGTTCAACATTCATTGCTCTCTATGTGCCAGGGTCTGTGCTCAGTATTGGGGTTCAAAGATAATAAGACACAGTTCCTTTACCTAAAAGGTACATTAATCTACTGGGAGAGGGGATATGCATATAACTAATGATAATGCAAAAAATAGAGGCAAAAATAACATTAAGGGAACACAGAGGAGGAAATAACTGAGGAAATTAAGGAAGCTGTTCCAGAGGAGACCCTGCAAAGCATATGTAGGATTTTGACAAGAGAAAGAGGTAAGAGAACATTCGGAGAAGAGGGCAAAGCACAAATGCAGACCAGGGAAGGAGATGTGTGGGGGGCCTTCAGGCAGCACTGGGGTAGACAGTACAGGATGGAAGTGGAGCTGGAAATGACACTGGAAAGGGGGGTTGGGACCAGATTGCAAAGGACTAGAATGCCATTCTCAAAAGTTTTTGCTTCTGTTTGTAGGAAGTTGGAAGTCAGTTACTGTCTGAGAAGCTGGGGCAAGCCTGGATCCAGAATTTTAGAAACTTAACACTGGTTAAGTTTAGAGGACAGGGTATCAACTCTGCTGCAGTTTGCAATTAGGAGTCCCTTAAGGCAGTCTAGGCAAGAGAGAATGAGAGCCTCACCTGGCCACAAGACATTCAAGAGATATCTCAGAGGCAGAATCAAAACAACCCAGCATTCCAATTTATGTGAGAGAGGAAGTTAGAAGGTGACATGCAGAAAAGTAAACCTCTAAACTACTATGTCCAGTTCAAATAATTCTTCACCAAGTTGCTAAGCTTCCAGAGTTAGGGATCATGTCTTTGGGACTCCACTTACTCTCAAGTCAATGCCTAGAGTAGTCAAGCAGACAGGTGGCACTTGGCAAGTCCTTATTAAATGGAAGTGTCATAGCCTGTGTCTCCTGCAAGAAAGACAGAAACCTTCCACTTCTCAAAAGAAACAAAACACTGTCTTTTAAGAATAAGGCCATGGCAAAGGAATGCAGTGACATAGTCAAGAACCCAAGCTTTGTTGATCATTTTTCTTCAAAGGATAATTCTTACAGTTTAAATAAGAGCATGAGTTAATCACCAAGCCTGGGTCATAAAGACTGAAATCTAAACATACTTGTGGTATTTCAAGCACTGATGAATACGTATTAATAAAGCCAGGAGAAAGTGTTGGCTCAAAACCAACTTATTAGATAGCCTGCAGCATGGGATTGAGAAACTAACTGCAACAGGACAAGAAGGAACCTAAACAGGGATTGAAATGTTCTAGATCTTGATGAGGGCAGTGGATCCATGAAGGTAGACATTTGTCAGAATGTATGAGGTAGAGACTTAAAATGTACTAATGTTATGATATGTGATTATGACACCTCAATAAAGTTAATATAAAAATTAGAGATTAGAACCCACATTAAAAGTGTTACTAAAATATGATTGTTGAAATTGCTTCACATTATTTCTTCCCAAGATACTTGCTCCTTTGAAGTTTAAATCCCTTTGTAAAAACCAGTTTACTGCAACTTAGTGCAACCCACATTTTTTGTGTGCCACCTGCAGGCTAGATCCCGTGCAGGCAATGAGAGACATAGGAGTGAATGTCAGAGACAAGACCCTGCAGAGAAGTCAGGGCAGCTGCCAGCACAAGACACCAAACCAGGCAGAACATAGCTCTTTCTGGTTCCTTAAGTTTAGGGATCCTGATCTTAGGAGGAGGAGAGAAAATACTTTTTAAAGACCAGATCAAAAACAGCTCAGTGTATATGCTGTGTTGGTGACTCTTGCCATTTGGTTTCAGTGCTGATTTTAACACCTTTAGCAATCTCAGATTTAAAACTAAGTTATTCTGGCACCTGGTAGGTTAGATCCCCAGGGATGATCCTCTCACTGGGGGTTATTTCTCACTGAAGTGTAAGGACCTGTATAACTGTAAGCTGTATGTGTGAATTCTGAGCATTTAACCGAATGGTATGAATCTGCTGTGTTAACTTTTCCTTCCATCCTGAAGATTCTAATAGCTTGTCATGATCCAGCTGAATGTGGATTTTTCCTTTGTTGATTCTGGCCCACTTAGGCCCAGGTCCAGCAACTTAATGAGCAGTTGCAGGGAGCATCCACTGGAAATAGAAATGAAACCAACTCCCTTTATTTAACTTGGAAAGGAGTCATAGTGCTGGAAAATAATCTTAGACCTCAACTGACCAGGGTTCTGCCACTCTAGAAATGCAGACCCAGGGAAACGAAGTGACTTGCCCAAGGACACTTGTGTAGTTTGGGCAGGCTGTGGCCTAGAGGTAAAGTCCCCTGTCTTCCAGTACTAGACCACATTGCCTTCATTTTAATGCATTTTAAACTGACTTTTATGTACAGTCCCACGTCCAAAAAGTCCAACTTTCCATTTGGCCCATTGAGAGGAACATGGACTCCATTTATAAACCTTCCGAGAGGCAGAATATAGATGTCTTTCACAACCCATTCCTGAATTTCACAGCCTTCCCTACTAGGAATTTGTATGTGCTATTTTCTTTCTCCTATCCCACTCCACAAATTGCCACTACCTATTACTTTCTTTGAGCAAAAGGGATTTTAATCATTCTCCTTTTCCTTGATTTCAATTCTCTGAAGGCCTGTCTGCTCCATTTGCCACAGATAACATGCAGAAACCTCACTTGCAATGAAAGTCACACTTCTCTTGGTAACCTGGCATTTCAGCATTTAAAGAAGCTAAGTATCTCCATCCTCATTAAATTAGGCTCAAATTGGAGAAGAGAATTACATAGTTAAAAACACAGAGGCAAAATGATGGATTAATGTTATACCTTAATGTAACACATCATGACATGCAGTAGGAGCATTAGACCAATTAGCAAGCAAGTCTTCTGCTTGGGTTCATCATTTCTGCTGTGTATGTAGAAAGGGATAGCAATTTGAAGGATGGCATTTATCAAATCCCTTTGGATAAAAAGTGTCCACTTTAGCAACATGACCTGCATTCCTTATAAAGATGGCACCCCATTGCCCAGGAACATGGCAAAGACCCAAATGCTATCCCAAAAATACTATTTCCAAATTGGCGACTATGCTTCTGACTTTATTTCTAAAACTTATTGAAATCCATTGCAATTGTGTCTAAATTGGAGGTTTAATATGCTACAAAAATATATCCTGCTCTTTTCTTGAGAGGTAGCAAATCCTAAGTGATGCCATTTAGCAGGTTTTTTGTCCTGGGTCTCCCCCACCCCTTTCTGGTTATGCTTCCTTATCAGTCTGATTGGTAACAGAAAGAAGAGAGGAACAATATATCTTCCAGTTCCTCCTGGTGTGAATGCCCAAGATATTGTCAGAAGGAAAATGTATGAGGAGGTGGGGGGAGTGTGGGTCAGCAACTTGCAGGGGGAAGGGATGGTTTTCTGCTATGGTAAAGCAGAAAAACCCTGTCATGGAGTTAAAATTAACAGAATCTGCCCGGAGGGGAGCCATGGTCTTTGTGTGGCTGATTAATGTCAGTCCTGTAAACGCAGCACTCCAACAACAGGGCTAGTCAGCTGAGCAGGAAGCTTGGAGAATGCAGAATCTCCTGCCTAGGGGATCAGAGCCCAGATGAGTGCCTCTAAACAGGGCTGAAGAGAAGGCTGCAGGCCTGGAACAGAGGTGATAGAATTAGATTTCAGCTTTGTGTCTCAGTGAAGGAAACACAGGCATCCATTAAAAGCACCTTCCCTTCTGGCCTTGCTGCTGCGGAGAGCGGCAGCGTGCAAATCCAGCCCCTACCTCTCCTCACTCATCTGT
This sequence comes from Homo sapiens, assembly GCF_000001405.40. NCBI lineage: Eukaryota > Metazoa > Chordata > Mammalia > Primates > Hominidae > Homo > Homo sapiens. The sequence goes on from NC_000011.10 coordinate 92,829,024, forward strand.
TCACAGCACTGTGGCCTTCAGAACAGTGTGTCAGAAATTACCTTCTTCCATAACTGATCTTCAGGCCTGAAAAGGAAAAATTTCCAAGCATAGATCTCCTGAAATCCCTAAGGAGATTGGGCAAAGAGCCTAAGGAAAACAGGACTTTGCATGTTGTTCCTCATGCCTACCTAAAAATGCTGGTTGCACCAGGCAAGTCCTTGGTTAATGCATCAGTGAAATGGATTTTGTAGTTCCCAGCACATGCACTAATGGAAGTCCCTGCATGAATTTCATGCCTGCACTTCTTATTGGCAAGAGCAGCGTACCATATGCTGGAGGTGGAAGTTAATTCTGTAGGGAATGTGTGTGATTTGAAAACCTGTGTGCTGTATTTATGTCAATCGCTGATGTGTTTCCATAAATGCATTTTTGTGACTTGGAGAGGCATCCTGAGACCACTGAATCAGTGAAGGCAGCTTCCGGGGCACACAACCTATTCTGACACCCAGACAGGGCCATTGTTTTCCAGGTGCAAGCTTGATCACCTATGCAACCCGTGTGTGTATTCACCTCAGGAATTCATGTTGAAGAATTTAATCTTGCAGCCACTCCAACAATAGCCAGAAAGCACCCCTAAATGTCTGCTCTGAAGCCTTATTTCAAGGAGACAGCAAGAGAAGAGGAAAGCTTTCTTATTTTTAATCCCAGCATCAATAAAATCACAGGTTGATGTGTATACATCACAGGGCAGTTGTTTTGAAAAAGAAATAAAAGTAAATGATGAAACTTTGGAAAAAATGGACTCTCTGGAATGGAACCAAGAACAGGCTCTCAGTGTTGACCTTTTGGTTAAAGCCACATAATGCAATTTATGTCATCCCTCAAGATATATGATTTTATTGGTTTGCTGGGAACTTGGGCTTAAGGGAAATTGTACATTGGGAAAGTAAAATGTTTAGCTCTTATTATTGCCAAATGAGGTGTTATAATAAGAAAAAAAAAATGTCTAAGCCCTCCCCTCTAAGAGCTTATATTCTATGGTTCCACAATTCTCAAAAGACATTTTCAGATGGTTGTCATAACTAAAGACCTCTGACTAATGACCGTCTTCTTTAAGGGTATTTAGGATCAGAATGGTGCTTTTTCAGCCCACAAAGCTGTTACAATTTACTTCTTATAAATCCTAACAAACAACTAAAGTGAACATGAGGTTTCTAAACTGTTTTGAAGTGCTGAAATCCTCTAATGAAACCAGTTAAATCAATATTCAGAAGTAGAAGTCAATCCAACCGTTATTCAATAATTAATTGGTTGTTAATAGACATTTCCTAGTTTGTATGTTTTAGCTTTAGTACATAGTAACATAAAATGGTATTTTGGTAACTAGGTACATTTCTTGAAATCGTAGAGCAGGAGAGCACCCTTGGACTAGATCCTCTCCCTTCCTTGATGGAGTATTCCAGGCTCACTGACCCTTAGATTTCTTTTTTTCCCTCTATAATCCCTTATGACCTCATTCATTTGCATGGCTTTGCATGACATCTGTACACCAATGACACTCAAATTTATGGCTCCAGCTTGGCCCTCTCCTCTGAACTGCAGCCTCTTCTATCTAACTTCCTGCTTGACATCTGCACTTGAATATCAAATGCACATCTCACACTTAATCTGTCCAGAATAGGGCTTCTGCATTCAAAACCTAGTCTTTCTGCAGCCCTCCCCATCTCAGCTAATGACAACCCCCTCTTTCCAATTGCTCAGGCCAAAACCTAAGGGTCATTCTAGAAGCCTCTGTTTCTCTCACATCCTGTATCCTGCCAGCTCCACAATCAGAAAACACTCTCGCCACCTCCAAGTTCAGAATACATCCAGGAACCCTTCATTTCTCACCACCTGGGTGCTTAGAATAGATGTGGAACCTGACCCCTTCTCACCACTTCCGACACCATCTGCCTTGTTCAGGCCGCCAAGATCACGTGCTTATGTTGCTGTAGGAGGCTGCTGACTGGTCTCCCTCCTTCCTCTCTGGCTGCCCTTCCATCTGTTCAGGAGCAGAAGCCAGAGGGATCCTGTTAAAATCTACATCACATCTCATGACTCCCATCTCACAGCTCACCAGTGGCTTCCCCCTCACCACCACTACAGCCCCACTATAATGTAAAATCTCTTCAAGAAATGTTGGACTTGCCCATTGCTAGACCCTCAAGCCCCTAGAAAGTGCCTGGTAGATTCTAAATACATCTGTGTTGAAGTAATTAATTAATTAATTGGTTTTGGTTGGTTTCTATTTCTCTTTCTGTGCCACATCTTTACCCCTGCATCTATTAGCCTCACAGTTTTTCTTAAAGATTTGTGGGGGGCGAGTTGTATATTAAGAATATCCAACTATTTCTGATATTTGTTGCCAGTATTTTCCCAGTTTCTTTGCCTTTTAATTCCATTGTCTTTTTTTTCCCATAAACTGAAATTTACATTTTTGTAGAGCCACAGCTGTCTGTTTCTGTAATAACTATTTTTCTTGTTGTGGCCCTTCAAAAGTCTGCAAAGCTGTAACATTCTAGTGCAGATCATCTGGCCATGTTCTTGCCCACTCATTTTCCTGTGTCTCTCCCACAGGCATCAATAGGAAGGTCGTGTACTCCCTGGCAGACTCAGCTGGTGGGGTCTTCTCCATTGACAGCTCATCTGGCATCATCATCCTGGAGCAGCCACTGGACCGTGAGCAGCAGTCTTCGTACAACATCAGCGTGCGGGCCACTGACCAGAGTCCTGGACAGTCCCTGTCCTCTCTCACTACTGTCACCATCACCGTTCTGGACATTAATGACAACCCCCCTGTGTTTGAGAGGAGGGACTACCTGGTGACGGTGCCTGAGGACACCTCCCCTGGCACCCAAGTCCTTGCTGTTTTTGCCACCAGCAAAGATATTGGCACAAATGCTGAGATCACTTATCTCATCCGGTCTGGGAACGAACAAGGGAAATTTAAGATCAACCCCAAGACAGGTGGGTAAATAGCACTGTACTTAGAATACAGAGCTTCAGCTTGGCACGGTGGCTCACACCTGTAAACCTAGCACTTTGGGAGGCTGAGGCAAGAAGATCGAGTGAGTCCAGGAGTTCAGGACTAGCCTGGACAACAGAGTGAGACCCTGTCTCTACAAAAATTTAAAAAAATATATTAGCCAAGCATGGTGGTATGCACCTGTGGTCCCTACTGCTTGGGACGTTGAGATGGGAGAATTACTTGAGCCCAGGAGCTAGAGGCTCTAGTGAGCAACATTCCTGCCATTGCACTGCAGCCTGGGCAGCAGGGGAAGACTGTGTCCAAAAAAAATAATAATAGTAAGAATGCAGGACTTCACTATATCCTGCTTCTCCCGAAAACACTCTGCCAGCCCTTCTTGGTGGACTCTTTTTCCTCCTCCTACCTCCTTCACAGAGGAAACAAATCTGTTAGCAGGGCCCACATTCAGACCACAGAGTGCCCTCCAGCTTCTAAAGATGGCTCCTGCTAAATTTTAAGCTCCTTGTTGTGGGCTTACTTAGCAAATATCTGACCCCCAGGTTGGCTCCAGGATTTCTAGGTGGGAGGGCTCAGGGGCAGCAATGTGGTTTCTCAATGGAGAGAGGAAATAGTATTTGTATTCCAAGAACAAGAGTTTGTTTGATTTTCTCTCTTTTCTGTTTGATGTTGTTGGGTTTTTTAAACTTAAGTCATATGTGCACATGTTGGAAAATGTTCATGGGGATGAGCCTCCGTGTGCAACTGTCCACACTTGGACTACCACTCCTTCATCACATGCACAGGCAGACACTGATAAGTGATCTGCATGGTGATATGCAGCCTTCTCAACCCAGCACCCCAAGTAGACTCCATCGGTGAGCTGGAACTGGTGCTCTGTTTGAACCCAGTTCACAATTCATGGTCAGAACACTCATTTCTCACCACATCCTTTTCCAACTCTGGGGAACATGTAGCATCACCTAGGAAATAAAAAGGTGCTTCGAAATAAAGCAACAGAATAAGAGAGAACCCTGGGGCTTTCTCTTCACCAGCGAGTTAATAAGTATTAGACGTGCTTCAGGCAAATAAAGGTCGTAATTCTAGAAAACAAGCTTGGATGTTCTTTGAAGACTAAACATACTCATCCTTGTATTTTCATAGACTGTATGGATTTCTATCCCAAAGCCCTTTGGTGAATATTCTCACTTATTTCCCAATTCCCCTATGAATAGTCAAGGAAGTTCCCATTTTGCAGAGAACAAAGGTGAGTCTCTCACCTTCCAGCCTTTGCACATAGTTCCCTCATCACTCAAGGAGTATGCACCTGTTGAACAAGGTGGCAAAGGAGGTCCATTTTCCTTTGGGTAGTCCAGTAAATATAAACAAGAAATCATTATAATTAGCAATGTTTATTTAACATGGCAAATATACCAGGCTCTTACTAAGTACAAAACAGAATTTCAGAGAAGTTAAATAATTACCGCAGTGTCCACTGTTAATAAGTGGTTTATCCAACATTCGAACTCAGATCTTTCTGACTCTAGAATGCGTATTCTAATATAATATAATATAACACTGCTATACTGTAGGGATACCAAAAATGTAAGAAATACAGTCCTGGCCCGTGGTAAGTATTGGAAGGTGAAAATATTGATGGAGGAATTGCATCACAGTCTCTCCTGGCAGTAACTGTTTATTAAGGTCATTATCTCAAATAAAATGTATGGGGGTTTCCCTCATTTAAATATGTGTTGTCCCTAGCCTGTCTAGTTATGACCATTGTATATAAACACCATGGGGAAATGGCTAAGTACTATTTAAATTTAGCACTAGTTAGCAAGACTGGGATGCAAAATAAGCACTAGGGGTGGTAAGTTCCAGAAAACTTAATTATGGGGAGAAAGAGGCTCTTGTTACAGGTATGATTTCTGTGTTTTGCCTTAGGTAGAAGGAGCCTATTGGCAGTCTTAGCAACTAGAGAAGTTGCCTGTCTGGAAATGTGAATGGTCATGACCTTCTCACCAGTCCTCATGATTGTTTACTAGGTGGGAGGAAAATAAATGCCCTTGAGAAGTGTTCTGCAGGCAATACAATGACTGCAGAATGCAGGATTGGGTTACCTCCCAAGAAAGGGCTAGGATGGGAAGGATATAGCACCAACACCCAGCTAGCTGCTTTCACATGTTCTACTTATTTAAGCAATTCTGTGACATGGACATTATCATCTCTCTTCTGTAGTTGTGGGCACTAAACTCAATATGTGGCTGCTGGGCTGTTTGATTTCCAGGTAGTTCCTTTTCTATTCTGTCACTATACCTTGAGATTTCTGAGATCTTTGCCCTCTTTGTGCCACAATTGTTTTAGATAAGTGCATTTTAACTTGGCAAGGCACCTTTGTGGTTAATTCAATTCAGTGAAGTCTGCAAGTATTTACTTGCTGACAAGAATGAGGTCATACCATCACATCCCCAAATCTCAGCTCATTCTTGGTCTTCCTCTGTCCACCTGAGGAATCAGAAGACACCTATCAGGGATGCTTGTTTCTGTTCCTACTCGTTAGTTGTGTGAGAGTGAAGATGCCAGAGATTTTCAAGCTGCCTGAGAGATGTTCATAAACTGTTACAGAAACATGTAAAGACTTTTCATTTCTTCAGTGTTATGTTTGATGGATAGCTATGCTCTCACTGACAGCATTAATCAGACGTCTGTAATACTTTCAGTAAGGCATTAAATAAACAAATTCCTGAATGTTTAAATTCTTGGCTGGAGAGGATGTTAGAAATATTACCATGATTATAGAATTGCTGACCAGTGTTTTTTCCTAATGAAATATAAAGCTCCCCATTTTTCTTCAAAGGGGGTATTTCTGTCTCTGAAGTCCTGGACTATGAATTATGCAAAAGGTTTTACCTGGTAGTGGAAGCCAAAGATGGGGGCACCCCAGCTCTCAGCGCTGTGGCCACTGTCAACATCAACCTCACAGATGTTAATGACAACCCTCCCAAGTTCAGCCAAGACGTCTACAGTGCGGTTATCAGTGAAGACGCCTTGGTGGGAGACTCTGTCATTTTGGTAGGTACCTGGGGTTGGGGATGGTTCTAGATGTTTGGGACTAGTCATCCACAATAAAGTGAAGAAGAAAGCAAAGTCCGTCTTGGGTTTTCTTCACACTTCCCCCTTTCAGTGTCCATTTGTCCCCAAGAATAGGAGCCATCTTTCTATGGCTCCTTCTGTAATTTGTATATTAGGAAGAGTCTGATAGATTAATTTATATCAAGGTGTTAGTGATTGATAATCACTTATTTCCCAGGAGCATATCTTTTTTGAGAAAATAAAACAGACCATGGGATGAATTTTTAATGATGGCCCCCTATGTAGATGTGAACTTATATGACAGGTTATTAGGTGGCTAGGAGGAATATATTCTTTTTTTCTTTTTTTTGAGATCTGTTGCACAGCATGATGAATATAGTTAATAGTGGTATATTGTACATTTCAAAACGGCTAAGAGTAAGTTTCAAATGTTCTTACCACAAAAAATGCTAGGTTTTTGAGATGGTTCATGTGTTAATTAGCTTGATTTAATTATTCCACATTGTATTCATAAATCATAACATCACTTTGTACCCCATAAATATATGCAACTATGATTTGTCAATTTACAATTTAAAATTATTAGATTGCTGAGGATCAAATAAAATCCCTGTCCCCCTTTCCCCCTACACACACAGACACACAGAGTTGGGCAGCTACAATTTGGAGCAAACCTAAGATTGACTAGCCACTCTTAAAGGAGACTTTTCCAGGGGGAACTCTGTCTAACAGTAAGAACAAGCCATGTATCCTGAGAACACAGATTCTGTTAGACCGCAAATTACATTTTGGAACAAAGAGTCCCCTCCTCACCATCCTTCCCCATCCCTTGGCTGGCAGGTCCCTTCCATCCAAGTCATCTCATTGCAGGATGAGGGTGGAGCCGCTCTCTGCTGGAGGACAGTACATTTCTTATACATCAGAAGTGCACCCCTCAGGCCCACTCTGCTTCCTGGAAAGTACATGACTGTTTCCATACATATAAATTTCAACATCATCAACCTGGAGCAATAGACAGAGGGGCGGTATATTTGCTGTGTGGGAAGGGGAACTTTCTTGGCTTCCTTAACATGGAAATGCATAGGCCTAGAGAATCCCTCACTCAATGGCAGAGACCATTACTTGCAGGATTGGGAAGAAATCAAAGCGTTCCTGTCCATTAGCTTTGGGCTCTAACCATACTGTCTCAAACCCTGAGGAAAATCAGGCCTAACAGGCATCAGGCTGTGGGCAGGTAAAAAATTAACATAAAAATAAAATGGCAGCTGCGGGCCTGGTGCCACCCTCCTTCAGCTGATTAATCATCTCTTCTGCTGGGGGCGTGGTCACTAACATTAGAGAGCAGAGCTCCCGAGAAAACTGTCACAGCTGCACCCATTTAAACAGACCTGGGACCCTAAGAATCAACCTTTGCTGCCTTATGTCATGTCTTTTCTTTGTTTTGCTTGTTTTCCATGAAGCTAATAGCAGAAGATGTAGACAGCCAGCCCAACGGACAGATTCATTTTTCCATTGTGAATGGAGATCGGGACAATGAATTTACTGTAGATCCTGTCTTGGGACTTGTGAAAGTTAAGAAGAAATTGGACCGGGAACGGGTAAGCTAGTTTAGGACAGTTTCCTTCCCATCCACATCCACCACTTTCCTAGAATCAGGGGCACAAGCTCCACGGGTGTAAATAGGAAAGTTCTCCATTCTAAGTAATGAGAGTAAATAAGGATGGGCTAAAATGCAGCATGAAATATTAGGGTTAGACCTTTGATAGAATTTTCTACCTATAATAGATGCTGGTTATGGAGGTTTTAAAGAAAAGATAAATATGTATCTTTCTAGGTGGTTTGAATTTTAGCCCTTCCTAGAGCAAAGGGACAGAAAAATACTTTCAGGGTGTTGGGACCCTGTGATCCTGACTTTATGAGCAACTTTAGCCCTCGGTGAGCAGGTACAAAAAGATCACCTGAAGGCATCTAGGTCAGAAAAAATAGTCCAAAAAATTTCTCTGTCCAAGGTTAAGTGAAGTTTCTAAACATTGTCTTTCTTGACCAAAAAATATTCATCTTCGAAGGGAAATTAAATATGGAAAAGGATGACATGGCAATGATGCTAAAAAGCAGATAGACTCTACTGGGTGATACATGCTCATAACCCCAGAAATATTAACATTGATAAATAAGACAGATCAGCAGTGACAACTATTGCACTGAGCAAAGGCCCAGAGCCTGGGTACTAACCAGGGTGGTTTTGTCCCCCAGGGACGTTTGGCAACGTTTGGAGACATTTTTGGCTGTCATAACTGGGCAGGGGGTGATACTGCCTCCCACTTGACAGAAGTCAGGGTTGCTGTTAAACATCCTAAAATGCACAGGTCAGCCCCCAACAACAAAGAATTATCCAGACCCAAATGTCAGTGGTGCCAAGAATCACCCGGTCTGGAAAATCAAACTAAAGATGGTTGCTCTTTAACAAAGCACAGCCTGTAGCTCCAGTTCCTCTGTGTGTGCACAGAAGGAAGGAAGCGCTACACCTCTTTACTGTCACCTCTTTGTACCTTGGCAGGTGTCTGGATACTCTCTGCTTGTCCAGGCCGTAGACAGTGGCATTCCTGCAATGTCATCAACTGCAACTGTCAACATTGATATTTCTGATGTGAATGACAACAGCCCGGTGTTTACACCTGCCAACTATACTGCTGTGATTCAGGTGAGAAAATCTTGCCTGCCAAGCACTTGTCCCTTTGCATTCAGCTTTCTTCCTCTGCTGTGGTTTACTCATTGTGGTTTATTGCTACTATTACTTAATGTCATCTCATCCCTTCATAGGGCAGGTATGAAAAAGAACCTAGTTCTTCTACCACAGATGATTAATAAATGTGAGTAAGAGCTATTGAGGGGTGGATTTTTTTCAACTGTCAGGTGCTTTATGCACTCTGTCTCTCCCCACAACAACACTGTGAAGAGGGATGGTGGATTGGTCCCCACTTTATAATGGAAAGAGCTAAGGATCTGTGAGGTTAAGTAATTCACCAAAGATCATGCAGCTGGTAAGTGGCAGAGTCAGGATTTGAACTTGGGGCTGTCTTCTGCAAAAGAATTCTCTTTCCCCAGTGGCAGGCTACCTTTAAGCAACTTTATGCTATTCTGGCAGATGACAGAGATTGATACGCATTGTCTCATCAGTCAAAGACAGATTGGGCATCAGGATAGAGCTGGTACTCATTAAAATTAATCTTCCATAAGCAATTTGTTTAACACTTTAAATCCACCTGCTCTTTAAAATCAGACTGCAGGATAGAGTAACTTACTGCTGGTATTCTGCTATAAGAGAGAGTGACTCTTCTTCCCATCTATTTTTTATTCCACGGGCACAGTGCTAGGTACTGAGCGTCCTCTACTTCTCAGTATTTCTAGGAGCTGAAAGCCCAACTTTAGGAGGATCAGGAAATCTAGCCCAGGAAAACTGTCAGTGTAGAGGACTTAGAGAAGACAGAGTGATATGCATGACTTGGAGGGCCACAGGTATTCTAGAGAATTAGTTCTTGCATGATCCAGTTTGGCCTCAGAATCACCCCAAAGGAGTCCCAGGGCTTTGTGGGTGGAAGGTGAAATGTGAGTGGGCCAGCTCTTGAGGGTCCCCTTTGGAATAACATTCAAGAATTTGAGCCTGACCATCCATAGCTGGCCTCCTCAGACCCCAGGGCCACTGAGCTGTCCAGCAATCAGACTGGGAGGCAGCCTTGAAGGAAGCAGCTGTCTGCTGGTTCCCACCCCTTTGTCAGCGAAATCTGATTCCTTCCCTGGTGGTGTTTTGGTTTTCTCCTCCTCTCTGATGCTTTTTCCAGCAGCTCTGCATTCTCACCACACTCCTGCTTCCCCAGAGCTTCGCCCAGAGTCCACACCTTCCTCCATTTCTCTTTCTCTCAGCTCACTCTTCTCCATGACTGTTGCTCACAAGGGTGCTCTCTGCCCTCATGGCCTCTGTTTGCTAACCCCAAAACAAAGTGGGTTTCTCCTACTCAACATTCAGTTTTATGACACACATCAATCAGCTTGACAGACTGTTTTCAAATGCGCAACAGGAGGTCAACAGTGAAAGCACGGAGAGGCTCAGCCCATGAGTGATGGTGGGGCCCCTATCCGCAGGGCAGGCATGTCTATGTTACCTTATACCCTTCTTCTCAGATGCTGACCCTGAGGGCCACATTGTCTCTCTCCCTCTCTTCTATGCAGGAAGCGGCCTTTAGAGAGTAAGCAAACAAATCAGTCAGTGTGAAATAGTAAATATATGTGGGGCTATGGTGGTCCCACGACTGATTCCAGAGGGAGACACTGTCTAGTTTTTGATGACCAAAAGGACACTTGTGAAAAGGAGCAAAATAAGAGGTCTATGCAGTCCTTTTCTCTTTCTTCTTCAAAAAATATGCCTCCTTTTTCCCAACCCTGAATGACGTTCTTATTTCCACACATGGTTTTCATAAGACTAATTCAACACATAAAACTTGACTGGGCCTGCCCTCCAAACTGTAGTGTATCATCGTCTCCATCTCTGCAACCCAAACTGGTTTAATCCTTAGGTCGATGGCATCAGGAGGCCTGAGCTGATACAACTGATTTCAGGCCCAAGCTGTGGTATTGCTGAAGTCTAAACAGAGTAGGGGAAAGGACAGCAATACCTGAGCTACAGAGGATTTAATTTGCCGTTTTCAACGTGAGGATGACCTTTGACCCAAGAAGGAGCTTTGCATTCCCATTTGGGGAAAAAAGCAGAGAAGTTCTGCAAAATAATGCTTATGTAATAGAATCAGGACTTCCAAGAATTCTGACAAAATTAAGGATTCCTGTTCTGTTCATTGTCAAATGGAGGAATGTTTTACCCCGATTCGCTTCCCTAAAGGAACATGGCAAAACCGTGTTCTAGAGAATTAGGTAAGGTATAAAGCCCCATTTTCCACCAGGAATATGCCTTTGTATATTGACTAGGAAGTTGCCAGGATGTCCCCCCAAAAAATCTAATGCTGTGACATTGTATCTAGTGTTGGGCCTCAGCATAATTGTGTTGTGACATGTGTGTGTGAGGAAGTGCCTCCCCATCCCAGTGGAGCTCTTCAGGTCAGCTCGGGCATTGCCAGCTAACCCAGGACAAGGTGCACCCAGCACCATGCTCGGAACCTGTAAACCCAGGCAGCTCCAAGTCCTTGTGTTCACACCAGTAGAGGATTGTCCCATAGGTGGTTGTGGGAAGCAGCCAAAGATAAGGAACATGACACTTACAGACACCAACATGTTTTCAGAAGACAAGGTAATGTCACAGGGAATCCCTTCTGCTGAAAGCCCTGTTTTCTAGCTCAGCACTCTCAGCCTGAAATGATGGTATTTTTGATTTGTTTTGTTTTGTTTTAATGAATGTGAAGAGAAGTGTAATTTTTATCTTCATTTTTACTATATACTCTTTTATGCAGGAAAATAAGCCAGTGGGCACCAGCATCTTGCAGCTGGTGGTGACAGACAGAGACTCCTTTCACAATGGGCCTCCCTTTTCATTCTCTATTTTGTCGGGAAATGAAGAGGAGGAGTTTGTGTTGGACCCTCATGGGATCTTGCGGTCGGCTGTGGTCTTCCAGCACACAGAGTCTCTGGAATACGTGTTGTGTGTCCAGGTATGGCATCGCACTCTGTCTCCGTCGTGCTGTCTTTCTTTCTCATGCTTGTTTCTGTCCCCTTTGGTGGATTTTTTTCTTTGCTGAGTAAGTCAACATAATTCATTACCATGCGGGAATGTTCCCCCTTTTAATCTCAAATTCAATTTCACACCAGTAAAAGCTGCCTCTGTGTGTGAAACTGAACAGGAAGGAAGGGAAGCATCATTGTTCAGGAAGGACATTCCTGTAGAGTATGCCCAACAGATGGTCACTGGGCTTAAATCTGCATTCTAAAAACTCCTGCTGCTTTATGCTATTGCCCATCACATTACCCCACTTGGGACAGCTACCAATCCCTGTCATAAGGGGACTTAGCCATTTCATGCCTCTGCTTGATAGGCCTTCCCCAGTGAGGCAGGAGGGGACCAAGGACTCAGCTGGCAGTGGCCCCCAGCATGTCAGTTCCTCATGTTCATTGGCCTGTGTGACGTAAAATGGGCCAAAGAGGCAAACGTGGCAGGTATGCAGAGTATAGAAGGAGCAGGAAATGAGAGGGCCTCCGAAAGTTCCCATGTATGATTTCTGCAAATACCAAGATTTGGATCCCATCAGGGAAACTGAGTGACTTTTTCTATCCACTGTTGCTTACAGAGGGCAACCTAGACTCATTATTAATGGTGACAATAATAGCAATAGTAATTATTGGTATTGGTATAGCATTGGCTTAAATATACATTGTCTCTTTGGATAAATTACACCTTACTTTACTCCATGAAACCTTCTAAATTAATGACTGCCAGCTCCAAGCACATCAATGAACTCTTCAATTGCCATCTGCTCCTCCAACAATATTGTGTAAATAATTTTATATCACAGGGTAGTACTCAAGGCAAGAAGAGCTTTTCAGTGCCTTCTCACAGAAACTAGGACAGTTTGCCTATCCTCTCCGGATATGGAGCAGATTTCACATCTCAGGTTTTAGAATCTTTGTAAAAGGCTCCCTCCCCCAGTCCCTTGTATTAAACTACCACTGAGTCCTGTGTTTTCTTCCTTTCTTCAGTCACATTCCCATTGCCACTGCCTCACTGTATTCTGCACAGCCCCTTCATCATGCTACTGTGGCAGGAGCCTCCTGGGTGCTTCCTCTGGCTTCAGCTTCATTCTCTTCTGACCCAACTCTTCACCCCTCCCATATTAATCATTCCACTTAGAGTACATCATTTCCCTTAGTCAGGGACCAGCAAACTACAGCCCTTAGACCAAATCCTGCCCTCAGCCTGTTTTTAGCATTGAAGTTTTACTGGCACACAGCCTCCTTCATTCAGGTATGCTCCGTGACTGCTTCCTTGCATAGGACAGCCTGGCATGGTTGTGATAAAGGCTGTAAAACCCACAAAGCTGAAAATATTTATTATCCAGTGCTTTACAGAAAATGATTGCTGATCACTGCCATAAAGTAAAACTATCTGTTGGTTTTCTAGTGTTTGAAAACTTAGGCCCTGCAGGCTGAATTCTGCCCCAGACTTTCAGATTTTGAATTTCAGGACCTTTTGACAGGCAGCACTCTCCAGTCCTTCTCTGGCCACAGGTCCATTCCTCTCTCACCTTATACCCAGCAGCTTCATGCCTTTCTTTCATCTTTCTGGCCTCTGACATGTGAACGGGCAACCTCTGGCCTATAAAGTCTAAACTTGTCACTCTCCTTTGAAGCACTCCACAGTTTGACTTCAAGTTCAGTCTCATCTGCTAAAGTTATATCCTTCTCCATGAATTTTACATTCCAGCATCTCTTGTTCACATCATCCATCAAATAAAGCATGTGATGATGGCAATAATAAAAATAACAACAGATGGACACAGTGGCTCACACCTGTAATCCCAGTACTTTGGTAGGCCAAGGCAGGAGGATTGCTTGTGCTCAAGAGTTCAAGACCAGCCTTGGCAACATAGTGAGGCCTCATCTCTACAAAAACAAAAACAAAAAAAAAGTAGCCTGGTGTGGTGGTGCACACCTATATTCCCAGCTACTCAGGAGGCTGAGGTGGGAGGATCACTTGAGCTCAGGAGGTTGAGGCTGCAGTGAGCTGTGATTGTACCACCACTGCACTGCAGCCTAGGTGGCAGGACGAGACCATGCCTCTAAATAAACAAAACAAATAAACAAATAAAAATAACAATCACATGAAACATCAAGTACTAAGTGTGTCTATGGATTAGCCTTGGGTTTAGTGCTTTGCACTGACTCTCTTTTAATCCCCACAATAGAAGGACCCTGTGAAGTTGATGCTGCTATTTTACTCATATTAAAAATACAAAAACTGAGGCTTAGAGAAGTTAACTAACATACTCAAAGCCAGATATGTAGTGGGTGACAGAGACAAGATTCAAACTCAGGTCTGTGTGATGCCCAGGCACCGGCTCTTTCACTGGCTTCCACATACAAGGACACATCTCTCCCCAGATCCCACCTGGTCTGCAGGGTTCACTGCAGCTCCACATCTTCAGATACCTGCTCCATAAACCCAGCCCATGGGAATCTGCCCTTCTCCTGAAGCTCTGCACTACTGAATACCTCCACCTTGCATGCGATGGGTGTTCAGTAAAGACCTGTTGCCAGAGTGGATGTTCTGTTCATTCTTACACATGGAAGGAAGAGAAAAAGGGTTTTTATCAAGCTACTTAGCTTTTCTTTTCAGTGTATTATATTTTATTTGAAACCTTACCATGATATAATTCCCACTTAAACTATGTCATTTCTTAAATATGCAGAAAGGTGCTATCTGGGTCCAGTCAAAAGGAAATAATCCAACAGAAAACAGAAATTTCTCCTCCAAGTGGAAAGACCACTTTATGAGGTTTCCCCTGTGGTTGCTGCATACAATTAAAACAAGCTCAGCCTGTTGTGGGCATGTTGAGTCTTGTAGCCCTCTGTCCTCCTTCTCTCTTCACCCCAGCCGGCTTTATTGTGTTGATACATTTTATTGTCCATAACAGAGTGTACATATGGGGATAGAAGGTGATAAATCACTCCTCTTACTTAAACGCACATCCTCAGCATTTTTCAGAATAGTGGCAAGGAATGAAGGAAGAAGCAAACGTAAAGGTACAGACGTCTTCTATCTGCGGGTTTTTAAAAACTTACTATGATTAGTTTTCTTCCTTTGTTGCCTTTTCACCTCTTGGTTGTTTTAGGCAAAGGATTCAGGCAAACCCCAGCAAGTTTCTCACACTTACATCCGCGTGCGAGTCATTGAGGAAAGCACCCACAAGCCCACAGCCATTCCCCTGGAAATTTTCATTGTCACCATGGAGGATGACTTTCCTGGTGGGGTCATTGGGAAGATTCATGCCACAGATCAAGACATGTATGATGTGCTCACATTTGCCCTGAAATCGGAGCAGAAAAGCTTATTTAAAGTGAACAGTCACGATGGGAAAATCATCGCCCTGGGAGGCCTGGACAGCGGCAAGTATGTCCTGAATGTGTCTGTGAGTGATGGTCGCTTCCAGGTACCCATTGATGTGGTCGTGCATGTGGAGCAGTTGGTGCATGAGATGCTGCAGAACACTGTCACCATCCGCTTTGAAAATGTGTCCCCTGAGGACTTCGTGGGGCTGCACATGCATGGGTTCCGGCGCACCCTGCGGAATGCAGTCCTCACCCAGAAGCAGGACAGCCTGCGCATCATCAGCATCCAGCCCGTGGCAGGCACCAACCAACTGGACATGCTGTTTGCGGTGGAGATGCACAGCAGCGAGTTCTACAAGCCAGCCTACCTGATCCAGAAGCTGTCCAATGCTAGAAGACACCTGGAGAATATCATGCGCATCTCAGCCATCTTGGAGAAGAACTGCTCAGGGCTGGACTGTCAGGAACAGCATTGTGAGCAAGGCTTGTCACTCGATTCCCACGCGCTCATGACCTACAGCACGGCTCGCATCAGCTTTGTGTGTCCGCGTTTCTACAGGAACGTGCGTTGCACCTGCAATGGTGAGTGCAGTTTTGAGTGTTCCCTCTCAACTCCTGAGATTGTAGGAGTAGAATGAGTTACCATTCCAGCATGCCTGCATTCAATCATTCGTTCAACTAAATATTAAATGATCAATTACTGTGTGCCCAAAAGCCATGATAGATGCTGGGGCTGCAGGAGGTACAGTCCCATGTAGCTGTGCCTAAGTGAGCAGCACAGACAGACAAACAGGCGAGCCTATTTTATACATATTGTCAAGAAACATACAAAGTCCTGTGGAGGACCCAGCCGATAGGGATTTCCCCAAAGGGAGTATCCTCTAGGTAGAGATAAGGGTCAAGTAGGAATCAGGGTAGGGGAGGGAGAGCCTTCTAGGCAAGGGGCAGCTTGCATGAGGAAGGCTTAGGGGCATAAGAGGAACCTACACTGGGGATGGAAAGAGCTTTCCTCTGGCTGCAATAAGCAGGGCTGGGATGTGAAATAAGGCTTGAGAGCAGGCCCAGTCATCACACAAGGGCCATTAGCCAAGATGAAGAGTTTAGAAATTATCCCAAGGCAGTGAGAGCCATTGGCTGATGAGAAGCGAAGAAATGGCAGGATCAGATCTGTCTTTCACAGAGGGTGTGCTGATTGCAGAGGGGAATGGATTAGAGGAGGCCAGGCCAGAGGCAGGGAAACAAGTTAGGAAGCTGTTGCCAAGGGTAAGGGCAGTTCGATTTGCTTCAGTGAGAAACAGAGGCCAGATGTCCAGGAGCACAGTCAAGGGATGGATTCAGCCCTCAGAGTGGCAGGGAAGGAATGGTTCATGTTTGTTGATGTAACTGGAGTCACTGAACTTTGACCTTTACTAGTCAAAGCCATAGCTGCACAGAGTCACATGCCCGTAGTGATCGATGAGAAGCATTGCCCTCTCTCTCTTTTCCTCCGTCTGACATGTGGAGCCATAAATTCACTGCCCCCTTCTAAGAAAATTGCAGCCAGAGTTTTTCTAGCCAGTGTGAATTTGGTCCAAAGGGACCATGGCCAGAGGGAGGCCATTTGTAAAACATCCTTTAGGTAATTGGGGACAGGCAGGGCCCCGGCCTCTTCCCTTGCAGAAAGTTCTTGGTTGCAGTTTGGAGAATGAGCTCATCACAGGGAGGCCCTAGGGGTCATAACTCCCTCTGAGAGACACTTTGACAGGCTCCAAGCAGCCCATCAGTGTGCCAGCTGCTCTCTGTGGTATCCAGTGAATTCTGTTTGTGATTGCATCAGGTAGAAGCAGGGATGTCCAGACTTGTTTAATATGTAAATTAGCTGCAAAGTAACTCAAAGCATGCATGCTAGGTGAAATGCATTTCTGGCAGATGTCACCAACATGCAGAATTTATGAATGCCAGCTGTCTGGGCCTTATCTAGATTTCCTTTGTTGACAAACTGATACACCAAAGCTCTGCTAGGGTCTGTATGCGGTGATTCACACCAGGGTTCAAAACGGGTTCAGGACAGGACAGGGTAGACCCTGAAGACGAAACTATACCAGCTAATTAATCCTTGTACTCTGAGAACTCATTTATTTCTGAAAAAAATCTGTGAAGGCAGCAATGTCCTAGGCACTAAAGATTCAAAGCAAAAAAGATACAGTTACTGCCCTTAGGAGCTGACAATTGTAAAGTCAGCTTGCAAGCACCTACTTGCTGTAACAGTGCTACAGTAAATGCTAGGGCATGGAAGGGACAGAATCCCTTCTATGGTCAAAGGAAAGCTGTCTGCAGTATCTGTACACAGAGACCACCAATGTGCTAGGTCTTCAGGGATGACTTCATCAAGAAGAGACTGGGGTGGGAGCAGGGAGCAGACTGAATAATTCTTTAAAAGAAGGATTTAGAGGAGTGGTTTTGATGGAGATAGAGGGGTTGCTCTTGATTTTACATAAGACACTAATGTCTTAAATGCAATATGTTTCAAAGTGATGTTTTGGCCCTGTTCTCTAGTCTCCATAAACCTTTCTACTCCCAGTAAATTTAGAATGCCAGAAGGTTTTGTGAGTCAGGCCCCAGCCATCCCAAGAGGAGGCCTTCTGGGTTTGAAAAGCCAGCATTTGCTCAAGAAGAGCTTTGTGCAGAGTCAGGCCAAGCTCTCAGCCTTTTCTCACCTTCAAGTCACTCTTATAATTAAGCTATAAAATGAAATTCTAGATTTTAGTGGTAAAGGAGCTCCAAAGGTCATCTAGCCCAGCCCTATCTTCAGCAGGTGATACATGATAATCTTTGTTTTATAGATGTGGTAGCTTTGTGCCTTGCCCAGGGCCATACAGCTGATGAGAGTAGCATACTGATTCAAGAAAGGGCCCTCTTGGGCCCCTACTTTATTATCTGCATCTTAAGAACAGGGACTCTTCCTTTTTAAATGTGAATCATAACCTCAGTGCTATGTACTGTATAAGAATCCTCAAATATAGTCATGCATGGCATAACAACGTTTCATCAACAAGGGACCATGTATACAGTGGTAGTCCCATACGATTATAATACCATATTTTTATTATGCCTTTTCTATGTTTAGATTTGTTTAGATATAAAAATACTTACCATTGTGTTACAATTGCTTACAGTGTTCAGTACAGTAGCATGCTGTACAAGCCTGTAGCCTAGGAGCCATAGGCTGTACCATATAGCCTGGGTGCATAGTAGGCTGTGCTATCTAGGTTTGTGTAAGCGCACTCTATGATGTTTGCACAATGACGAAATAGCCCAACGATGCATTTCACAGAATATATCCCCATTATTAAGCAATTCATGACCGTAATGTGATTTTCCTAGCAGAATGATCGCCAGCCTCACAATACAATCCCAGTAAGGCAGAAGTTCTCTCAGACTCCTGTGTGCATGGGGCTTACTAAATGCCCATTGCTGAGCCCCACACTTAGATATGGACAGTTGGGGTGGAGCCTAGGATTCTACACATGTAGCCTGGATGACTCTAATGTTACTGGTCAGGAAACCAAACTTTGAGAAATCACACAGCAAGATAAAGAGGAAAGCGTTTCCTCCAGGGGCAGGAGCAGGCTCTTTGTTTTAATAGCAATAGCTTTCTCACTTCTAGAATTATCTTTCAAATAAAAATACAACCATGAATTGTTAAGGTAAGCGTTAGGCATTTTTAGGCATTTTCTTGTTTATTGGAAAGGAAAAATAATTGAATTCAATAAATGCCCCTCCCCCCAAACACACACACACACACACACACAGACGTGCACCCACAGGTGCACACACTCACATGCAATTAGTATTGGCTGCTCTTCTGTTTACTCTAGGAGGTCGGCAGATTCATTAGATGGAGTTTCCCACCACTTGGTGGAATAATTAGCATGATAAATAGAGGTAACTGTCCACTCTGGGCTGTGTAGTAATGTATAGACAAATTTGGCCTCAATATTCTATCCTCCTCCCAACTTCCAGCTCATCTTTTTCTCATACAGAGAGTTTTTGGTCCAATTATCATCATTAGCATCTTGAACCAAAATGCTGAGTTGTTTTAACAAAATGAAAGCAGACTTGAATTTTGGTGCCAAATAAGCTTATTAGACTCCAGCTACAAACAAGCATCGTGTCTGAACAAACTTCAAGAGATACAAAGGTCTGATGTTGTGAGGTGGTTCCTGGTGAACTTCAGAGGTGCAATGAACATTATCACTTCAGTAAGAAAGACTGACACCAACTTAAATTAATTGAGGATGATAGATGTCCTCGAGCCCGTATAGGAGATGTGCAAGAGAAAGGGGTGTCACGGCAGCCTATGGGGCCTTGTTGATTGTCCATTTTTGAAAAATTGCATTCAAAAATCTAATACATAAATATATCAAAAAGGACACACTTGTCCAGTTGGATGGACTGCCAGTGAGACCATCAGAGTTTACAACCAGTGTGTTTATGGGTGTGGTGGAAGAAGTGGATGCCTGATTTGTCAAGTCTTTATTAAGAAATGTAATATAGAATGGAACCTAGTGCTCCAAATGAAATGGATGGAGTGTTTGCCATGGGCGAAGCCCTGCGATGTACAGAAATGAGTCAGACACCAGCCATGCCCTCAACCAGTGGGGGATGGCACTGTCATAGGGTTTGCTCAGTGTATAAAGAGGAATCACTGGAGGTGGTGCTGCCTGAGCAAGGTCTGAAAGGATGCCTGGAATTATCTAGGTGACCAGGATAGGGGATTCCAAACCAAAGGGCATGAGAGCCAAGGCATGGAGTTAAGAACTGGTGTGCAATTCAGTGCACGGATCGAGGTACGGACAGAGAGAACAGATAATGTTTATCAAGCCATGACCAGTTCGCATGCTGTTTTTCACATACATGTAATTGCATTTAACTCTTACTATAATCCTAAAGAGTAGGTCTCATTAACTTTTTTCAAAAATTAAGGAAACCAAAACTTGGAAAGGTCAATTGACTCACTCAGAATCACAGAGCTACAGAGCTAGTCAATGACAGAGCCAGGATTCATCCTTGACTCTCTTATTCAAAGCATTTTTTAACCACAGCAGCTTACCACTTCTGCACAGATTTGAAAGAAACTCAGAAGTTTCCTAATCCAAACTCCCACCCACAGCAGACATCCTATTTTCTATATTCCTGGCATAGTAATTCAGCCAAAGTTTGAGCACCAGTACTGGGAGCTCACAAGGCAGCACTGAGATGATCTTCTGCCTTATAGCACACCAGGACCTCTCTCCTTGTCACATCATCTAGCTGTATCCCTCAGAGCCACGCAGACCCAACCTGGCTAACCCTGCTTCTACAAGCTGCCCTCTGGATAACTAAGGATAATTGTTATGACCCTTTGAATCCTCTTCCTAGCCAAACACAAGAAGTTCCTTTGCTCCTTGACTGTAAACAAATATGTGCTGTAAAAAGTTATAGATGGTGTTATTGGGGCACGGAGGAAGCATAAAGGAGGGAGTTATCAGCTCTACTTGGAGGAGTACAAGAAAGACATTGGAAGCAATGAAGCATGTCACAATAGGTCTTTACCAGGTAGAGGATGCATTTTAAGCATCCTTTTGTTTACTTATTCTCTCAGCAGTTAATTGAATACTGTTTTGCACCAGGCCCTGGGTGGGGTGCTGGAGATACAGTGGTGAAAGAGGCTGATGTGATCCCCATTCCCATGGAGCATGAAACAGCATCATGCATTGGGCAAATGACAGAGAGCTCAGTGGGGTGGGTGGTAAGAAGTCAGGACAGTCCTTCGGAGGGATAAGGTAGGATAGGTAAAGCAGGCCTGCTGACAGGTGGCCACTGCACTTCTAATAAGCACTGTAAAATAAAATGATGACAGCTTCTGTGAGGTAGTCAGACACTTAAAACATGTTCGTGATGTGTTTTTATATAGCAGAGAAGAATCTGAAATTGGGTTTGCACTTTGGCCGGGGTTTGCTAATGCTAATTTTCTAAGGAGAGAGCCAATCCCAGTGGCTTTGAGTAACCCTCAGTGTTGTCTATTAATCTTAACAGGTTAACTCCCTACAAACTGGGAAGTTTCTATTTTTCATTCATAAGAAATACACCTCGGCAGATCCCTCATCTCCAGTACGCATGAGTCCCACATTGCCAGGAGAGGTGTGGAGGTCCCCATCCTGGTGGTGATACCAGCTTCTCAGTGTATGTGTATTCCTTTCTATAGTCCACCCATACACAGCTGCCCCAGAGAGGAGGTCTTGAATGAAATTGCACTTGGCCTTTAGTGAAATCATACAGAAAATATGGCTGAGTCAAGCAAACACCATCTGGAGGATTCTCTGCTTCCGAGAGAACCATAAGAAATGACTTCAAAGTTGAGACTTCCGTTTTTTAAAACTTCTCACAGGCCATGAATTAAGAAGGGAGCTTATTGACTTATGTGGCATTTGCCAGGACATGGCATGTGGGTAAAGCACGTGAATTCAGGGCATGGGATGTTTACCATTAGTTATTGGATTATTCAATGTATGAGGCAGCAACATAAATCAAGAGGTTGAATCAGCTTAAAGTGGCAGCATAATAATCACAGCTAGATACTGAAATATTGGCTAAAAGCAGAGACTTAATCCAGGGGGCTGCGGGAATGCTGGGGAGATAGGAGAGGAGAGTCATAAATATGGTAGCGAAACCTTATAAAACTTCCAGAGGATCACCCTTCTCCTCCCTGCATGTTCCAAAGCTTTGATGCTTCTGCTGAAGTGAATTGCCTGTTGTCACCTCTACAGAAAGTGACCTAAATTTCCACCTGAGCAAAAAATCAGGAGGTGGAAAACCTTTCAGGGAATGGTCACATGGTGTGCGTGTTTCTCCTGGTGGACAAGGTGCATGAAAAAACACCTGCACCTGAGATGGAGAAGGTGGTGATGGGGTCAACACAGGTGCATGTTCCTGTGACGCGGATGAGTAACAAGCCCCAGGCTTTATTCTGTGCCTACAGTGCACACAGAATTTCATATTTCGTATCACCTACTGCGGACTTACAAATCATGAATCTGATCAAAAAAGGACAACAAGGGAAAAGTTACACCTGAGTTCAGGTCTCTGCCATGTTGCTGGGTCAAATTAGTGTTTCTGGTTTTGAGACCCTGTAGTAATTTGTTTTTATAATAAATGTTTTTCTTTACAAGTTGCTTTCACATACACTAGCCCATTTCATTCTCACAGCACTATAAAGAATCATTATCTTAATTTTTCAGAAAAGGAAATCGAGACCTAGAAAAGACAAGTGAGTAGTTCAAGGCCACACAGTGACTAAATTAAAAAAATTAGCCAGGGCCAAAATCCAGGTCTGCGTCTATGTCAATGCAGTATTGTTTACTTATCTTACTACCCCACCTTCCCAAGAGAAACTGGGAATGGGGAACAGAGCTTACTCTGCCATTTTTGTGACAGGAGCTAAACACATCTGATCCTGCCCTGACATACCATAAATGGCGTCAGTTGGTTTGATGAAGTGGGACCCTTCCCCCTTCATGCTTACTGTGGTACCAAATTGATGGATGTCGAAGATGCAGAGCATGTCAGCCTATGAGCCCACATCCCCCAAGCTGTCACCAAACACAGCACAAGTTAATTAAATCTGCATTACTTCATGATAGCTAATAAGATAAACTTTCTCCCAGAAGCCAGCAGGAGTTGATACTGCCTTCTCTTAACTGGTACTCTGAAGCCAATGGAGCAGTGTTTGCCACCAGAGAGGGGGTCTTTAAGGCTCTTAACAATAACAGGTGTATACACTTCCTGAAAAGGAGATGACAGAAACATGTGATTTCTAAAAGCGAGTTAACCCTTCAGCATCCATTTAAAGCTTACTAGCTTCTATTTAGATAAAGATTGTAGGGCTTTGGCTGGAAAGAGGGTTGCTATCCCCAGAAAAGTGTTTCCTGGACCCAGACATGGGTATATCTGAGACCAAGGGGACACATAACATTGTTCAGGGTTGGCATACAAAGGTTAAGTCTCTCTAACAATATATATTTCATAAAGGACTTAATTTTTTACAATAGTTCATAGAGAGGAAAGAACTGCAATGTGGCATATGGGTGTTATTTCCTTTTGAGGAATCTGTTTTTCAAAAACTAAAAGTTTTTCTAGGCATACACTGCAGTTTGCACACATGATCACATCTGTCCCCTGCTAAGGAGGATGTTACATTTACACTGGCCTGCAGATTCTAATCTGCCTTCATACTTCCTTGAGCCACAAGAGAGTGGGCCCATGAGCAAAGCAAACAGACAACAGCAGCCAGAGCCCAAATGTTTATGGCTGAGCATTTCCAGGCTGGAACTCAGGGAGGAGTCCCCAGAGGATTTTTAAAACATCAAGAGGTACAAAAACTATCCTTGCCAAAAACTATCCCCTTAATCCTAAAGAACCTATTAAAAACAGAAAGAAAGAAAAGGAACCTAGAAAAGTCATTGCTGCTGGAATGAATGTAAATACTCATGATTATATATCTAATATTTATATTGATATTATTCATCTTAGAATGTACTTATAATATTTATATTTGAGTATTTTTTTACACATCCTCAAACTACAGTTTTCACAGTGGGGACTGGATCTAACATAATCCATTAATTAATGACCATGATTTAATTACATGTCATGCTATGGGTTATGACAGAAGGAAATAAGAAAAAGAGCTATGAGGCTGAGCTCCAGTTGCTGGTCTAATTACCTCTGTGCTTTAATCTAAAACAGGAGATATGGGTAAGAAAGTGAGGAACCCTGTTGTCACAGGATCCTTGGGGTGTTGCTTCTCCAGCTGAAAACCTCTATGGCTGGTGACACCTTTTGCCTGAGTATTTCTCACACCCACTGGGCTTATTCTGCCCACTCAGCCCAGCAGACTGCACTTGACTCACACTACTGGCCCAGATCCCACACCTGCCAAGGGCGAGCCAGGCGTGGAGTAGTGAGGGGTGTGTGGGCCACTGCGCACAGCCAGGCATGCTGGCACATGAGCAAGCATGGGGTTCGGCCACTGTGCACAGCAAGGCACGCCCACTGCTATGGCAGGGCAGGCAGCTCCAGGCGCCAGCTCAGGTACCAGCTCTGTGTGAGGCTGCAGCTGGACCAGATGTACCACACATGGCTTCTGCTGCAGGCACTTGCATCCGGACATGCAGAATGCAGTGGTGCCCAGAAGCTTGGAGATACCAGGAACCACAGAACCTCAAAGAGAGTGTCACAGCCCTGACTTGGGGATCCCCTAGGTCTGGGCTTTTCTCTCCTTCTTGTCGCCCGCAATGTGGAGAGCAGGGGAGGTGTTTTTCAGCCCTGTTTGTGTTACAGCTCTTTCAGTCCCACCATTCGTCAGGTCCTGAGTTTTTGTCCTGTGTCCAGGAAGAATGAATCACACAGACAAGTGGAAGGTGAGCAAGGTGGAGAGGAGCTTCACTGAGTGACAGAACAGCTCTCAGGAGCCCCGCGGTGGGTAGCCCCTTACTGCAGGCAGGTTGTCCCAAGGAGTATCCAGCTCTCAGCAGAAAGGAGACCCACAGTGGGTAGCTCCTCTCTGCAGCTGCTAGTCTGGATATCTGTTTGAGTCTGGCAGGATCCAGGGTTTTTATGGGCTCAGAAGAGAGGACATGCATGCTGATTGGTCCATGGCTGGCCATGGCAGACCCAGAAAAAGCACCATAAGTTCTCACTCCAGTCTGTGGAATACCTGGAACTGACAGCCCAGCCCCCAGGCTTCAGATAGTCCCTGGCTTGAAGGTGGGGCATCACTGGGGACCTGCCCTTTTCTGTCCAGGAGCCCATCTGCCTCCTGCCACCATCAACATGTCATCCACCGTATCCAGGCTGTTCATTTTCTGAAGGGCGCCTGCAGGCTTGTGCTGAGCCACCCTCAGCACCCCCGCAGCTTCCCTCCCGTGCTCATCTATGCACAAAGTTGAGATGGGCCCAAGGTGGCAGCGGGACTGATGTGTTAGCACCACCCTGAATGCATGCATATCCATCCAGGTTGCGACAGAACCCAGGTTTGGCCACAACTTCGCTTCAAAATTGGAGTGGGTGCTGGGAGCAGGGAGAGGTCAAGGAGCAGGAGCAGGCACTTCTGAGCTTGCAGGGGAAAGGGGTGGGGCTTCCTGGGCATCCAAGAGTGCAGGGATGCCCAGGTCCAGAGCTGTGGCTGGGCAGCTGTGGCTGTGCCCAGGAGTGCAGGGTTCACACTTGCCAACTCAGTAGGGGGGTGGGGCTCCCACCAGCCCCGTGGAGCATGCAACCCCAGCCACGCCTTCCCTGCTGCAGCTGGCATCTTCACAGTGGCCATTCCAGACAGGCTATCGCTACCATCACTGTGCTAATTACCAGGGTGGGACTGATGGTAAAAGAAAGGGCCAAAACATGTGAATAAAAGGTAGAAGTACCCAAACGCTAGATTTGTTCTGAAATACAGAGTTTAATTTTTATTGTATTCACTTATAGCTGTTTTTTAAAAATGTTACCATTATTCCTATAGGGATAAATATCTTTGCTATCATGCATCTGAAATTATCTGGCCCTTTTTTCCCCCTTTGGAACAGTGGCTTTTAAGCTGGATTTCTGATGATTCAAGGTTTCTTTGCAATGCAGCCATTACATTAGAACAGAACAGCCTATTAATGTAATATCTATAGCTGTATCTCAGAAACACAGAAGCTTATAAAGAGGTTTAGACTTAGACTGGCTGAAATAGAAGGGAAAGGGCATGTCCACAGAATAGAAAGTAACAGATTTCTTAAATACATAAGCTGCTGTTTCCATACGTACTTGAAAGGTAATGCCCAAGTAACTCAGAAGTTACATCTATTTGATGGGATGCATGTTGTGATTCATATGTGTACATTGCCACCTCCATGTGGCTGAGGTTAGCATTGGGCTCAATTTGCATTTTAAGCATAGACTACTGGTCAATATTTAGGAGCTAGCTAGACGTGTGCAGGCTGTCAGAGACTGAGATGAAGTCACATGTGAAAACAGCAGAGTCAGCTGGTAGGGTTGTGAACTTATTATGAATAAACATTAAGGCAGGCCTGAGGTTAAGCTACTAGCTGTGGTTAGCTCGTTCCTTTGTTACTTAAAGGATCTCACCCTTCATGCCTGAGTTAAAATATTCCCTTCCTTTGGGAAGACTTCTGACATTCTCCCAGGAGACAGAATTTTTCCTCCTCTGGTCCCTCCATTGTGCTCACCTACCTGCCAAAGCAGTTATCTTATTATATTATCATCATGTGTTTTCATGTTGTTTCTTGAGGTGAGAGAAAGGAGGCATCATATCCTTTCATCTTTACATTCCCAGGCCTTATACCTCTTTGGCCCCAAACAATTATTTGTTGAATAAATGCACCAAAAGTTATTTAAAAACTAGTTTTCAAAAGTTTCTTGAAATAGATCATGAGATGGTCACACAGGTGTTTTAAGTTCCATGAATATTGATTAATACATGGCAGGACTACAGATTTGGTTGGGGAGGAAAATAGGAAGATGTATTTCAGGGCATTTAAGTATTATAGAACCATTTGTACAGCCCTTTCCAAATTTTCAGTTAAAAACGCCTTCATCTTCTAAGACTTTGTAAGCTGGATCAGTGCCAAGAGTGTCTTTTATGACTGAGCTGTAAACCAGTGGAAAATGGGATTTATGAATTCTGAGTTTGCTGGTGCTACTTATATTGCTCCTGTCAAGGATTACAGATTTTTTAATGTTTATAAGTAGTTAGCATTAAATTCCTGCTTTCTTCTGCACAAAGAAATGACTGTACCTTGGGACAATATGCTTTTTTTTTTTTTTTTTTGAGACAGGGTCTTGTTCTGTTGCCCAGGCTAGTGTGCAGTGGCATAATCATAGCTCACTGTAACCTCAAATTTCTGACCTTAAGTGATCCTCCAACCTTGGCCTCCTGAAGTGCTGGGATTACAGGCATGAACCACTGCACTTGGCTGGGACAATATGCTTAATGATAAGGAAAGACTTAGGATGAAAAGGAGCATGATCATGGGCCAGATCTGGCTGAGGAATGAGCTGCTGGTATGCTACACATTCTCAGTTCACGGGGAAAGGGCACTCCTTTAGGCTATGCCTAACTGATTTAGGAAACCACTGTTTCAGTTGTGGGTTTTTTTAAATTTGTGTCTCCTTTTTTATAATTCTTTTACCACTGAAAGTCTTACCAGATTAAAAGCAGCCTAATTACATGTGAAATACTCAGGACCTTTGGAAAATGTGCTTCCTTCAGTGGGTTCATATTTGCACAGTTCTTAAATAACTCACTTGGGTCCTGAATTCTGCCTTAATCAGTTAATCTGCTTTCCAGGATTTCCCTTCTGAGGGATTAACCTTTCATCTTACTGTGCTGTGAACATCGAACAGGTAGAAGGGAAGCCTTCCCTTGCCAAGGATAATTCTGCTGTTTTTTTGATAGCTGGTAGGGCACATTTACAGCTAATCAATAACATAGCATGTAGTAGAAGGGATTAGGAAACAATGTGAGTTGTGTTTCAACAATTTAAAATTAGTCATACTTTTCTTTAGAAATGTCTTTTTTTTTTCCCCTCTGAAATCAACCTCCAAGTTCTTGAGGGCAGGAGGGAGGTGCAGAAGAAATCTAAACTCAAGTGATACATTCAAATAGCCTCCAATCTGCAGAAACCCCACTCCAATAAATACTACAAGCCCTTGCATTGTGATCTTTCTTCAGCTGAAGTTGGTCCAGATGTAACTTAACATATTTTAGCCTAAAACAAGGAGCTCTGTTTACTCTTTGTACCTAATCTGCACCAGTCTGGCAGTGAAATTTGGCAGATGTAGGGAAATTGGATGGACACCCACACCAGGTGAAGCCCATTCAGGTGTGCCTACTTCTGAGTGGCATCTTTGTGACTCAGCTCAGAGCCCACATATCCCAGCTCTTGAGCCATTTGTGTGTTCCCTTTGAACCTTTTCTATCTTCCCTGGAGTGCAGGGTGAATCCCTTTGTGTACTGATCATGCATATTCCACCTTTGTCACAGGAGGACTGTGTCCGGGGTCCAACGATCCTTGTGTGGAGAAGCCGTGTCCAGGGGACATGCAGTGTGTCAGTTATGAAGCCAGCAGGAGACCGTTCCTCTGCCAGTGTCCACCAGGGAAGCTCGGAGAGTGCTCAGGTGCAGAGTGGAGTGGAATGATGCAGATCTAATTTCATATTCCTGAAACACTTGCCCTTGAGTAAATTACACCATCCAAGTCCTCCCAGAAAACGTTTCTTTATGCATGCAACCTTTTCCTTTAGAATGGACCACAGCTAACATCCACACTCACATTTACTTAGGATTTATCACAGCTGCAGCTTGTGCTAAGGGAGCATGTAAAGACTATGGGCTTCTTACATAATGGAGAGACTGCAACATGTGTTTTTTATCATGTCTCATGGCTGTTAAGGGTGTGAAATTGTGGAAAATAAAAGGCTGTTGGTTGGGCAGAGGAATCTGAGGATCTGTGGCATGGCCTTTGATGCTCAGGGTGCTGCACAAATCCACAGCCGCAAAACCAAGATCCACAGAAGGCATAGCTAAGCCAATCCTGTTGACCTTCCTTAGAGTCATCCCCATCTGGTGAACCAAGTAAGCAGACTCCCTACTGGAAATGTTTAACTAACTTCATGTTCCAGCTGGAGAGGTGCTCACCTCTGCATCTTAAGGAAAAAAAAATCAGTATTTAAGTTATTTTAATCTAAATGATCCTGTTTCTGATCTTCATTCAATTTCTATACTTCATTTGATTCATATATTCTCTGCCACTTCTTTACTCAGAAAAGAATATTTTTCATTTTGGGTACCAATAGAATCCTCTTTAGGTATATTTAAAATATAGGCACATTGATAACAATTTTGGGATCCAATAAATAGTTGGAATAAAAAA
This sequence comes from Homo sapiens, assembly GCF_000001405.40. NCBI lineage: Eukaryota > Metazoa > Chordata > Mammalia > Primates > Hominidae > Homo > Homo sapiens. The sequence continues at coordinate 92,858,103 of NC_000011.10, forward strand.
ATAACCATGCCTAGTATGTGCAAGGAACTTTGCAAGCATTGAGTTCTAGAAATTCAGCCTTTGCAAAGAGAAGCACTGTTCCTAAAAGTAGAAACCAAAGCTCCTTCATAGCTGATTTCAAGAATGGAGCTGCAATTAAGTAAAGGGACCACCTGGATGCTTACCTAAGTCATGTAAGGCTTAGAATTACAGGAAAATTATGCTGTCTCCTGTTTCTACATATGCACTGTGCACATAGCAGGTGGATGGGTAGGGGGATCATAAAGCCAAATCTTCTAAGTTCTGGAGTCACTTCCTGCTGACTTTTCTCCTTTCTATCTAGAAAACTTCTGATTGTCTATAATTATTGTCCATTTGGTATATTTCCACATATTCCACCTTTCCCCCCAGCAAGGCAGCTTTTCAGCCATTACTTTTCTTGTTAAAACATAAAGTTGAAGGCAATTTAAAAAAAAGAGTAAACTCAGAATTGAGCAATCGAGTTGGACAAAATTTAAGGGGAGCCTCGAAATTAATGGCCAGAAAGTGAAAGTGTGACTACATGAATTTCCTTTATATCAGTTATCTTTTTGCAACATTAGTACAAATGACATACATTAGCTATTAGGCATTAGGATACTTGGGGAACATGGATATCATTTGGAAATGGTTTTGTTTTCTTTGTTTCATGGAGCTGAAAGTTCTCGAATGCCTAAGTGATTGGGGGTTGGGGGAGGAATGAAGGGGTATCTTTTAATAATGCTCATTTTAGAAAGTGGGAGTTGGAAATTTAGTAACATTAAGAAAATCCAAGTTGTGGAATTTACCAAGTGGCTCTTGGCATGAGGCAAATAAGATGATTTGGTGGCTGACTGGTTAATATTTTTTTCACTCTGAAATTAGAGTGTGATGTGAAATGGAAAACTGGTTTTTAATCAAAAATGATTTCTCCTCATTGCCTTCATTAACTTCTCATGCATGGTCTTTAATCAACTTGGTTGGTGGTTGTTGGGTGATTTCATGTGTCTCTGTTCCTTTCTGGATGTTAAAAATATATATGTCTTCTCATAACGGTCTTTTCAGGGCACACTTCTCTCAGCTTTGCTGGAAACAGTTACATCAAATATCGGCTTTCTGAAAATAGCAAAGAAGAGGATTTCAAACTAGCTCTGCGTCTTCGAACACTGCAAAGCAATGGGATTATAATGTACACCAGAGCAAATCCCTGCATAATTCTGAAGGTAATTAAAATGGGTTATCTTTTTCTGCAGTCAGTTCTCATGTTAGTGTTTTGGCTCTTGGATTGGGGAACGGCTGAAATCATTTTGTCTTTTAAGTTCAGAAGACCAGAAGCAGACTTCTGGGCAAAGGGGAGCAGCGGCAGAACTGGGAAGGGAGCCAACATCCCATTTCCTTTTGAACATTCAGCTTCAAAATTGGCTCTTGGTACATGGGGCATCTCTCTTGAGAGCGGGTTCAAGGGCTGGCTTCCTTTGAGCTGTAATCGCTCAACAGTTCATTAGAATGTGTCTCCTAATCAATTCCACAACAGGGGTGGTCCTTTAAAAGGATTGGCTGTATCGTTTTCTACCACATGGGTCTATCCCCACTGACTTTTGAAGGCAATTTCTGTTCTTGCTCAGGGAGGAAATTGGAGACAGGGGGTATAGGAGATTTCGTATGTCCTATCATGACCCAAGTAGCCCAATTTTTCAGTCATTTCCTAGCCTCAGAAATGCTCCTAAAGCAGCCAGATTTATTTTAGAGCAAGTCTGACATCTATATTCACCTCAAGGATTCTGGTGCCTTTGTGAAAACAACAATAATAATGGTAATGGGCCAGGTGTGGTGGCTCACACCTGTAATCCCAACACTTTGGGAAGCTGAGGCAGGTGCATCACATGAGGTCAGGAGTTCGAGTTCCAGCCTGGCCAACATGGTGAAACCCTGTCTCTACTAAAAATACAAAAATTAGCTAGGCATGGTAGTCGGCACCTATAATCCCAGCTACTTGGGAGGCTGAGGCCACTGCACAGTAATCTGGGTGACAGAGACTCTTTCTCAAAACAAACAAACAAAAACAAGCAAACAAGATAACAGCTTTTTGTGCATCATTTATTTTTATTATACAGCTAATATGATAAGTTTGTTTCATGTTATCCCCATTTGATCAAGAGGAGGACAGTGGTTCAGAGAGGTTAAGTTATTTACCCAAAGTTGCACATCTAATAAGTGATGAGGCCTGGATCCCACACTCTAGTCTCTCTCACTCCATGCCGTTAATCTCCATACTATCCCTCACTCTCCATCTTGCTACTACAACTCATTTATTAAAAATCACATTCTGGGCATCTGTAGACCAGATTCAGCCTTCTAGTATGGAGGAGAGAAGGCAGGAGAAGGAGGGAGACGTGTTTCATCTCATGCTATTCTCACCAGGTTGCTATGTCAGCCTGTTGTAAATGCTCTTCAGAAACATTCAGAGTCCGTCCAGTGGAAAATGCCTTTTCACCTGGAAATGGCAAGAAATCTTTTTCTTCCCAAGGTTTCAGCTTGAAGAGTACATGGTGGACCTTTCCAGCTTCTGCCCTTTGATTGTTTGATATGTCAGATCCAAGTTGATTAGGTGGCCCAGGCTTTAGTTCTAAAGGCAGGTGAGGAAGGAGAGAAATAGAGAACATTAAATGCCAGTGGGCTTCTCTTAATGATCACATAGGGCTTTACTTACCCACGTCTGGTATTGCCAGGTATTATTTGATGGCCATAGTTGAGTGAGCAGGGAGTCGAAGTTTAAAAGTTGGTTACTTTTGTAAGCAGTCTCCCACTCTCCTTATTCATTCAACTCAGAATTCTAATTTAAGATCCAGAAAGGAAAGCAATATTTTTAAAAGAAAATAAGAAAAGTACTTTGATTGCACAGTTTTAGAGAACGATGCATTCAAATCAGATATTCATGGTGAAAGAAGAAAAACTCAAAAACCTAAGTCCTGCCTTTATTTTCTTCTGGCCCCGGAAGCAGCATGCCTTGGGTCAGTAGATCATTTTCTAAATAGCCCTGAGAGTTGAGGTTTTGTATAATTGCTGGGAAAGTGTTTGGAGCATTCAGAGCTACCAGCTCTTAGGGCTCTACGTGGGCCTCACTGACCTTTCTGTCTCCTCCTTCATGCTCTAACAGGGCTGGTGGTTGAAAATAGTTTCTATTAGTAAATCTCTTATAGAGCATTAAATTTGAGAGAGAACAAAAATATTGAACCTGAATGGCTTGATCCTAAAATGGAGCTTGTGATTTGACACTTCACTGGCAAAAGTCTAAAATGTGCAGATCCCAGAGGATACGAAAGAAGAATAATTAAGCCTTTTAGGCAGCTCCAGCTCCTAAGGTATATTGCATTTCATGAAACAAGCATGTTTCTGAAAGTTGTGTAAATTGAATCTTGGTAAATGGAATTCTAATAAACTAGAGATGGATGCTATTTGAAGGAACCCTTCCATTAATCCCTTTGTGATGTGAATAATCACTCCCAATCTGTCTGTTCTGTAAGTTTGCTTTTCATATGTTGGGTTTGCCTAAAGCAGGACACAGCTGTACTAAACTATTGCAGTTATTCTCCTACAGTCGCCAGGAATATCCACTAAGGGGATTTGAATCTGTTTGCTTAACATTTTCAGCCTCATGCAAGATTTAATTTCCTTGGCTTTAGGTACAGTATGTGCCTTGCACTTTGGTTCAACAACTAAGCTGAAATGCTTTGTTTAAATTGCACCTCTTGGTTGTTTATATTTTCCCAGTCAGAGCACATTCTCTAAAAAGTACTTAAAGTACTCAGTGGGGTGAAGGGCGCCCCTTACAGACAATTAAAGAATTGCACAGAGACCTCGAGAAGTGAAAATGCTCATGGACAAAGAATATCACTGTCTCTCAGCAATAATAAAAGGCACTCATTCTTCTGTTTACCATTGATACCCTATCTTCTTCCAAAAGAAATTCAAGGCTTACCATAAGCATCCAAATGCAATAAAATTAAAGTACCATTAAGATGAAAATACAAGGTTAAGAGCCAACCAGTGAAGTTGGGTAGAGTAGAATATCATTATGAGAAAGTCTAGACCGAGGTGAACTACTTCAGTAGAGCCCAAACCATAACTGAGGTTCCTGGCAGCCAAAGCAACAATGAAAATGGTCAGATAGGCTCTGTGACTTTCCTCACACCTATAAAAGAAACATGGCATTCTTTTTCAAAGGGAGATCTGGAAAAGATTTTTTAAAAAGAAGAAAGAAACATGACAAACCACCAGAAGAGATGTAAGGAGAAATCAGTAGGAGAACACTTTATCTCTGTGTCAGTCTTCCATCTCCAGTATCATGGCAAAAGCACAAGGAGAATATGGTTGTTAATCTATAACTATCACACATTTTATTTTCGGGGGAAGTTATAAATGATTCATTGCTACATTCTGATGATTCTCAGACATGGCTAGCTTCAGACCCCTAAACTGAAAGGAGGATAGGGAAAGCTCATTTGGTTTGTAAAACAGCCCACTTGGCATGGCCAGATCTTTCCAATATAGATCAAAAGAGTAACAAGGAAGCTCCCTACAAGATTTGAGAGTTTCAATGATCTATTTAAGAATGTCACCAAAAAATAAGTTAACCTTAATTACATTTTGTAGTAATAATAAGATAACTAAGAGTTTACAAAGTACTTTCACATACATGTAATTTCGACTCTCATTCCCCTTGCATGTAGGTATGAGTGTCTACTTTTTTTGCCTGTGAGGAAACTAAGGCTCAGAGAAAATTGAATGACTTGCTCAAAGTGACAGCCAGTCAATATCACTTTGGTTCTAGGCCTATGAAAGAGGAGAGCAAGTTGGGAGTTAGATATCTCTTGATAAACTACAGGAGTTTATCAAAAGAAGAAATTCAGAGGGCTGGGATGATTATGCATTCATTTACTCATTTAAAATACTTAATGTATACCAAATGGCTATTAATGGCAGCCTTAAAAATAGGTTTTTGTATTTTTGTTTGTGGGTTTTTTTGTTTTTTGAGATGAGATCTCACCATGTTCCCCAGGCTGGTCTCAAACTGATCACTTGATCCTCCTGCCTCAGCCTCCCAAGTAGCTAGGACTACAGGCACATGCTACTGTGCCCAACTCAGGGAAAACATAAAAAGTTTTTAAAACATCCCCTTTTCAAAGAATATTGAATAATCCTCTTACAAGTTCCATGATTATTATGCATTTGCTATAACCACATGCCAAGAATCTGAAGCAGTAAGACTTCATGCCATAATTTACATTTTTTACTCAAAATCCTACTTTCCTGCAAAAGTAGGACTTCTTAGAACTCTGATTTCTTGTCTTCCAAGCCCCAAGCTACTAAAAATCCAGGGGAAAGCACATCACTGATTTCAAATGATCCTGAGAATCTAAATATTTTATAACATTAGGGCAACACTCTCTCAATTATGTATTTCATTGAACAAATTACCTAGCTACACCCCTAACCCTAGCAAATCATTTCAGTATCGTTGCTATAGACATTTCTTACAGTTTCATGCACACCTCAATTTCTATTAAAATAGCTTCTCCTCTGATTTGAGAAAGCTTCATTCTCTTAAAGAAGATACTTAAAACTAGGTGAACCCAACTCTGAAGACAGAGAAGAATTAAATATGATCAGAATATATTTTCCAGTATAAGAGAACATAGACATGAAAAGACAGTGTTCTTTTCTCTCTCTGGAATAATATAACTGTGCAATAGCAAAAGATTATTAACTTTTCACAAGGTAACTTTTGGCATCAGTGTTCTAGTTTGTCATATAAACAAAGCTGGTAATTTCAAAGTCCTAGGATTTTGACAATCCAAATGATTTTTGTTTGTAAAAGGCTAAGAATCGTGTAGGCATCTGGCTTCCTTCATTCAGCAATGTTGCTGCTGTTATTTTTGCAACAAAAATAAAAATAAAAAGCAAGCTTAACCGTGCCGTGTTAGTATGAGATAATTTTATGTTCTTCAGTTATAGAACTCTGATATATTTGAGTACATCAGAGTCCTGTCATTTCTCCCTGGTGAATATGTAACTTGGTGATTATTCAAAGAGGTAGGAGGTGGGGGTGAGAGAGGAGAATGAACCAAGTAATATGTTAATTGAACATCTTTTTACAAAAACTTAGATAAATTGCACTCTCACCACCAATTTTTCATAATAGACTGAGGACACCAGTTTGTAGCCACAGAGTTAAAAACAGCAGGTGGACTGTGCCAGAAAAAGATACTCCCCAAAGTCACATTTGATGATTTATTACTTACATTAAAATACAAATATGGAAATTATCCAGGAGTTGCCATAGAGCAAGTATTCTGGTATGATTTACAATATCTACTCATTCAATTTTGTGGAACCGAATAAAATGACAAAGATGATAGCATAAGATTACACGTGAGGCTGAGTGCGGTGGCCCACACCTGTAATCCCAGCACTTTGAGAGGCCGAGGCAGGCAGATCACACGGTCAGGAGATCAAGACCATCCTGGCCAACCTGGTGAAACCCTGTCTCTACTGAAAATAGAAAAAATTAGCTGGGCATGGTGGCGCTTGCCTGTAATCCCAGCTACTCGGGAGGCTGAGGCAGGAGAATCCCTTGAACCAGGGAGTTGGATGTTGCAGTGAGCCGAGATCATGCCACTGCACTCCAGCCTGGTGACACAGTGAGACTCCATCTAAAAAAAAAGAAGAAGAAAGAAAGATTACACTTGAAAGCTCTCAGAGAACATAAACATTTGTCTTCAGTCTTTTTACATTTGCACATTTGCATGACAGAGCAAAGTATGTATGTTCTAACTGTGTATGATGTGGCTAACCATTCTGCAGTGGACAGAGTAGCCTTGTAAAATAAGCCATAGCAGTTCTCTCTGCTCTCCAGACCCAAACCCAGAGGGGCCAGACCATTCTCTCCAGGGTACCTGAGTGGTACATGACAAAGCCTGAATTTGATTCAGCATTCCAAAATTCCCACACCTCTGTGTGCTTCTTAAAGCCCCCTGACTTCTAGATACACATGTTTATGTGGCATGACCTACGAAATTTTATGCAGGATGAAGAACATGGAGCTACAAAGGCAGAAATGAGAGTCCCTAAGAATTCAGTTGTCTGTACTGAAGCATAGAGAAATACGTGACGTGTGAGAATGAGAGATGCTCTGATAATCCCGAATAGGTCTATTATGAGTTAAACACGTTTCACAAGGACTGCTTCAGTCTATTTCTGTGAATTCATTTTCTCTGTACCTCCTTGGCTGTTTGTGACCTGGAAGCTCTGTATTGTCCTGTCATTTCCTTTCCTTTTCTTTTTCTTTTCTTTCCTGACAAGTATCTGTTCTCTGCACAGAACTATGAATGCCAACAGACTAGTGTTAGTTGCATGACTCAGACGCTGGCCTCCACAAGGTCCTCTTGCTGGGTCATAGACATAGGCCAGAAAAGAAGCTTTTATTTCACAATTTTTGGCTGTGAATCCCTTCATGACCAAATGTACACTTGTCTAGACAAGGGTGCAGCCCTCATTCCCTGGATCCCAAAGCCACCTTGCATTTCTGAGAAATGTAGAACAAGGTGGACGACACAGGGGATTCAAAGACATGTTTTCTTTGCAGCAGTTGAGCCTGGGGCTCCATGGAGGGCCAATCCCTGCTCTGCAGCTCTCTGCCAGCAAGGATCCTCCATAGCACATGCTTTCTTCCTGTGTGTGATGTCTCCTGGGATTAGCCTCCCGGGCGCAGTGATGCCCTTGCTACACCAATGCACTCACAGCAGCAGGCTGGTCTCTGTTGTCGCACCCCAAACCATGGCTGGGAGCATTCATGAGGGCCAGGTGTCACAAACGATCCAGATATTCTAAGCAAATGGCCAAGCCCTGAGCACCTTGGAAGATAACCTTTACCTAAACCATGAGCATCATCCTAAAGGCCTATTTTAAGAATATGCTAGTGTTTAATATAGAGCAGCTTTTAAATCTTAAATGTAGACAAAGCTGAGAACTAGGAAATTTTTCATTTCTACCAGGCCTCTTTCTTTCCCCTGTGGAGCACTCATATAAATGTATTCAAGGAACATATATGTATTTGTGTGATTATTTGATTAATGGCCACCTACCCTACAGACTGTCAGCCACATGAGGGCAGAGATGATAACTCTATTCACTCAGATGATCTCCTTGGCACTTAGTACACTGCTTACCGTATAGTAGATGTTCAATAAATGCTAATGAGTTCCCGGAATTCATTCCTGTGGTGGTAATGACTAAGAAGGGTGCAGAGAATAAACAGACCCCTAAACCAGATATTGCTGGGAATTTTAAAAGGTAAAGACCCAAGGAGTAGAAACATTCTTAAATATAATTGTGGATATATGAAGGTGTGCCCATATTACTAATCACAAGATTTGTGAAATATAAGGCATGCATTTTCATGGCAGGTAAGGGGGAGGCACAGTGGTTAAAAATCAAACCACAACAGATTTATGAGTAGAGCAAAAGTCATGTCCACATTCCAGCTTTCTTGTGAAGCCCCCGGGCCGGCCAGGAGCAGGGTGTAGGGAACATATTCCCAGTTGCATGTTGAAAAGTGCTGCACTGTTCCTTCCCCACGCAGATTGTGGATGGCAAGCTGTGGTTCCAGCTGGACTGCGGCAGCGGCCCTGGAATCTTGGGCATCTCGGGCCGTGCTGTCAACGACGGGAGCTGGCACTCGGTCTTCCTGGAGCTCAACCGCAATTTCACGAGCCTGTCCCTGGATGACAGCTACGTGGAGCGGCGCCGGGCGCCCCTCTACTTCCAGACGCTGAGCACTGAGAGTAGCATCTACTTCGGCGCCCTGGTGCAAGCGGATAACATCCGCAGCCTGACTGACACGCGGGTCACGCAGGTGCTCAGCGGCTTCCAGGGCTGCCTGGACTCGGTGATACTGAATAACAATGAGCTGCCGCTGCAGAACAAGCGCAGCAGCTTCGCGGAGGTGGTGGGCCTGACGGAGCTGAAGCTGGGCTGCGTGCTCTATCCCGACGCCTGCAAGCGCAGCCCGTGCCAGCACGGGGGCAGCTGCACTGGCCTGCCATCGGGGGGTGAGTGTGGCTACGCAGTGGGCACTGGCCTGGGGGTTTGAGGGGAGAGTGAATGAACTGCAGGGGGATCCCTGCCCTCCCAACGCAAGGACTCTACTAGAGAGGAGTATTCACACCCAAGATGCTCGCCAACCTTCTTAATCTGCTTTAGGGAAGTCTCAGCTCTTGACAATTACAGGAGTGTCCAGTTTTGCCAATCGTTTGCAGCTTCCCATAGGTGCAGTGCAGTGGCACAGGGGCCCAGAGAGGCCATCAACTCTGCCCACTCCCCTGTCCAACCCCTGGCCTTTCAAGCCAGAGGAGGTTGGGCGAATGGAACCCCCTTTTAAATATGCCCTCATGAGCCACCTGCATGTCACTGCAGAATGATAGTAGCACTATGAGTTATGATGCCCATGCACATGAAATTGCTGACCAGACGTAGACATAAAACCTTACTAGAAGCTAAGACTTACAACCTTACTAGAAGCTAAAGCTTACTAGAAGCTGTCCCCCAGGAATAGGAGATCTTGGAACATACTTTTGCAATGTGTATATTAAAAATAAGTCTAGTTACAGCTTTACAAAGGAGTAGAAAGTCAAGAATAAGGAGAAGGGAATTTACTAAAATCTCAGGACAAATAAGCAGGCAATGAAGGCATGATCTTTACTCTAATATTTTTTTCCCACAAGGTACATCATGAAAGAGGAGAGTAGGCATTAAAAAAAAGCAAAAGATTTATAGAGAGTTTCTTTTGTTTGAGGGGAAAGCCAAGATTATTTAAGTCCTAGGAGTCTAGAGATAAAAGAATCCCTGACTTTACCAAGATGCAGTGTCTGTGTTAATGTAAACTAGGTCAGACATGCTCCCGGTTGAAGGCTTGCCACCTCGCAACAGCCCAACCACTGATTCCACTTCAGTCCCTTTGCAGAGTCGCTCAGCAGTCGTGTCATTAGGAAATTTAAACCTTCCTCACAAATCACTTAGAGATTCTGCTGTGCACATTACCATCTAATGTTCGTGAAATCCAACTCCAAATTTAGAGTCCATTTTATTATTAGAATGTTATAAACTGTCCATGAAATGATGCACTATCGAAATACAGACACCAAAGTTGTTTAGACTTGCATATGTTACTACCACAATGAGGGCCAAGTACCCTGGGGGGAAATTTCTGTCGTCTCGATTTAAGAAATCTATTTGCTGTTTTTACTGTCTCAGCAGTGTATGTAAATAAAGGGTTGTTATGGTGCCATAATTCCCAAATGATGGGCAGTAACTATACTTCAGTGGTTCTATAAACCAGCCCATTATGACAAGTCATGGCTAGTTTTTCACCAGGCAAAACAATTCTGCTAGTGTGAGCCATCTACGATATATAAAAGGAGCATATAATTAAATTGGGTTGAAATAGAACACCACTCCATGTCAAATGCTGGGTACATAGCCACAAATTGTAACATACTTTTAACGATGGCAGGACGTTGTTTTTGCTGGCAGGGCTATGGGCTTCCACAATGGATTATCTTTAAAATAATAATAATAATCACTGTATGAGGGAAAGAGACTAGGGAATCTTGCTTTGCAGTGTGCATTTTAATTTTTAAAAAAATTTCATGAAATCCTTAAGCTAAGTATTCAGTGGAACTATGTTAATTAAATGGCTACGACCCACATGGGGAATAGCAATTTTCTCTATTTTTAAATCTCTTCATTTAACCATATTTCAGCACTGATGACCCACTTGCCATATACTTTTCATATAACCTAGAGAACTTGTCTTGCCCTCCCTAGGGCCCCAGCCTTGCCTATAGAGCACACTCTCCAATCTACCTCTTTGTCTTCCTGTTCCCTTCTTCCTTCTGTGATTGGGCATTGGATCAGGATTCTACAACAGGTATTCTTTCTTCCAAGGAGAAATAGCCTCTTATCAGTTCAAGTTTCTCTTTTGTCTGGGGGGACTTACGTTTTCCTAAAATGAAGATGGTATCTTTCCTCACCTTCATCTACACAGTTCCCTTCTCACAGGCCTACTACCTCTGTTCTCTGTTCCGTTGAGGGAGCCCTGCAGGAGCATCCCGCACCAAGGCTACTCCCAAGCCTAGCCAATGGGTTCTTATCTCAGTAGACACCCGGACGTGTCCCAGGTGGGGAAATTTGGGACTCTCATGCACAGCAGTGCTGGGCCCAAGGCTAGCAAACTCCTTGCCACTCACCAGGAGATCCAAGAAATCCAGGACTTCTGTTGCTTTCCTGGGGAGCCAAGGGCATGAGATTCCTCTTCTGATGTGTGAGGGGGTATCTACCTCTTCCTGGCTATAGGGATGAAGCCTTGGCTTCTAAGAAAAGCAGAAAGAGAACCCATTTTCTTGCCCCTATTGTCTATACCAATAGTATATCAATAGAGGAAGTTTTGCTAGAGCCTATATCCTATCTGCAAATTCCTTAAATTCGTGCCAAACAGGGGAGAGAAAAAAGGGAAGAAAAGAAAGAATCAAAATTTGGCCTTTACTTCATATCTATGAAACTATGTAGCTAATTAAAAGGTTACTTAAAAGAAAAATCCTCTGAGCTGTGAGTGATAGTTTAAAAAGAACAATAAGACTGAGTCTTTAATGAAAGAATATTTATGCCTTCAAGAATTCCCTCTGGCTGCCAGGGAAGTCTAATCACAGGAAGAGACAGTGTTGTGCCCCCAGATCAAAGACTAGGCTGCGTGAAGTGTTCAAAGGGGAAATTTGGGCTAGAGATAGTAGAAGGAGGAGCTTGAAATGAGACTGCTTGCACATGAGGCTGATAACAAAACTTAATTGTTTGAACATTTTCTGTTGTTTGGACCCTCTGCTATGTGTTGCTCTAAAATTTCAGGACACATATTTTAGCATAAGCATCCCCTTGACCACTGAAGAATTCTGGAGTATTGGTCATCGGTTCTCCTGGCGGCAGACTCCACTCTCAAACTGAGGCTATCTTAGTACATTCAGAATTGTTAAAGCAGGCAACACACAACAAGAAGCATTTTTCTTTTAGGGATACAGGATTCTGCCCCAACCATCTCTAAGCCCAATCAAACCCTTGGCGTGAAAGTCAGGGAAGCCACAATTACTAGCTTGGAATGACACAGTCAGCAGGTTTGATCAGCATTATAACTCTTGCTGTCCCAGGAGCAGGCCATAGGAACCTCAGGGGAGTCAGATTCCAGAACACTGACTTGTAATGAGAGTATAAATATGACTCTATAAACCAACCACAGAGAGAAGGCTCTCTCTCGGTAAAGCCTTAAAATTATATGTATTTCATAAACATGAACTGGAAATAGCAACCACTGTGGAGAAGCCATGACTAGGTCCCATTGTGATCCCTGCATTTCCAGATGCAGTGGGCAGGGATCAGCCCAATGTCTGAATGTAATATGTCAACACCCACAGTCTGAATAAGGAGTCCTCAGTCCTCCACGCCTTATCATGCTTAGCTCAAGCCCATTAATGGAAAACACATTTGAAGCCAGGCAGTCACCATGCCATAAATAGTCATTCAGGCAGCATGGCATGAAACCAGAAGCCTAACTCCTGAGCTCCTGAGATGGAAACTTGGGGAGATTCTTAATGGTAAGAGCTACCGCTTGTTAGACTCTTACTATGTGCTTGGTACTGTGATAAGTGCTTACCTTGAAAGTGCTTATGCCCTGGGACATTTAATTCTCACCACAGTACTCTGAGGTCAATACTATTCTTCTCTCCCACCTACCCACCCTCATTTTACAGATAAAGAAATAGGCCAGAGGGGCTAAGTCGGTAGCCTAGTATCACATAGCTAGTAAAGTGGTGAAAGCACACTGGCTGGGTGCAGTGGCTCACACCTGTAATCCCAGAGATTTGGGAGGCCAGGAGTTCAAGGTTATAGTGAGCTATGACCATACCACTGCACTTCAGCCTGAATGACAGAGCAAGACCTTTTCTCTAAACAAAAAACAAAAATTAGTTTCCCAAAACAGTGTGTAGTGGTATTGGTTTATATTTTTTTCCTTGAAAATGCAATGGTTAAAAAGAAAACCAAAAAATATTTAAAAAGTGGGAAAGGTGGGATTTGACCCAGGTTTGTAGACCCCTTCCCCACCAGCCTGTACCCTTAACCCTTGCTACTCAAAGTGTTCCAGGGACCAACAGCATTGGCATCACTGGGAATGTTGGAAAGGCAGTATCTCAGATCCCACCCCAAATCCACTGAATCGGAATCTGTATTTTAACAAGATCCCTAGGTGCTATAGTGATTTATCTCCCTGTCTCTGAACTGCCCTGAATCCTGGGGAAACTTTGACTCTTTTTTTCTTACATTGTATGTAGTGTTCTCAAACTCTAAGATGCATCAGCATCACCTAAGGACCTTGTTTAAATGACACCTTGTTATAGAAGACCCATTTGATTGCTATTTACTTGCCTCCAGTATTTGCTGTCCACATCAGGAACTTTCTGCTAGGTCACTGAATCATATTTGCACATTTCTGAACTTTCCTACCGAGAAAATTTATCAGTTGGAAGTTAAGGGGAAACAAACAAACAAACATACAGAATCTGAATTGGCAAGAGTGGAATTCAAGCATCTCTATTTTTAACAAGCCTCCAAGGAGTTTCTATGCACACCCATTGTTTAAGAACCACTGACATTTGGGAATCCTGAAAACTCTATATTTGAAGAAATGCAAGTCAGTGGATTCCAGGAAAGGTAAACAGACATAGGACATTCAGGAATTGAGAGTCGGATGCGCAGCCTGCACTTAAAAAAAAAAATTAGTATAAAGGTGGAGCTTTGTACCCCAGTCAGGAGATTTTGGTAACTCTGAGCTCCCCTTCAAAGATAAGAGTAATAGTGTCTGCCACTCCCTCTAGGCAATTGTGAGTATTCTGCCTGTCAAGTTGGATGAAACAAGTTCTTGGATGTTGCAAATAGTTTGCATAAAACTGTTTTCAGTAGCACTTTGGGGCCACTTTGGATATGTTTTGCTGAATACTTTGTGTTCCTAACTTGTAAGAATCGAGATAAATTTAGTCCATCAAACTTTAATTAAGTACCTCCTTGGTGCTGAGCTCTGTGTTGAATTCTGGGTCTCATTGCTTTCTCTGTGACCAATGGATGCCACTGGTGTGGCCTCCCTCTCCTCACAGCTGGTTTAAGGGAACTGAACAGGGTTCCCCTACATGCTCCACCCACTGGCTTACTGAGCTTCGAGAAGGGAGATGTCAAACTCCCAGTAAATATGCTGTGGACATAATTTGGCTGAGCTTTTCAGCTTATGGAAAAAAATTTTTCTGGGTGACTGTCTTCTAAATGCTGACTTACTCTTATATTTTTGGTACCTTGGAAAAAAACCTCATGGTAACAGCATTAATAATTATAGACACTAATAGAAAAGCTCAAACCCTAAAGTAGGTTATGTGCAGATACATACTAGAAGGTGAGAATTTACTGTGTGGATAATGTTAACACATTAAAGGTTTCCAGATCCTCAAAGAAAATATTAGAGGCTTGGCCCAATATACAATATATAAAATGTGAGCCAGCTTTCCTAGGGAAAAAGTCTCACCTTCAAATTTTTATTTTACAAGGTCTAAAGGTTTTGAATGTACCCTGTTTGGTGAAAGAGAAGAATCGGAATGACTGAAAGTTGAAATGGCAAAGTAACTTCAACTGTAACAGAGCTCATCCTCACTCATAATTAGAATCTCACATGATAACCTATCCACCAGTTTTCTCATACTAATTGAGGCTCACATGGACTAGAGGTTTGGATGTTTCCCAGTCTTCAGCCTAAACATCAGAATAAAAAAACTCCCATGATTTCCAGTTGTTTGGTTTATGAGCAATATAGAGAGGAAGCTGATTTCAGGATCTATAGTAATTACAATAATTACAACAATAAAGCACCTAATGTTGTGTGCTGCATTGTGGTTTATGAATCCAGAAACCTTATTGTTCCCGATGAAGTGAGTATTAGTGAGTCTCATTTATCAGATAAAATAAGGAAGTTCCTAGAGGTCAGGCCATGGTCACACCCAGGTAGTGGGTAACAGCCAGAATCTAAACTTGTACCCAGTGCCTCACCACCACATCACAGCCACTTCCCCGAGCCATGTAAGTTCTTGGAGTTTGTAAATGAAATCCATAACTCAGCAAGCAGAGTGGCTGATGCTGACTTCAGATCCCAGGTGCTACTTACACATTTGTCATTATTTCCACCTTTGTGCAGCAGGCAGATCTTTCCTTATCAAGGCAGCCAAACCTGATCAGAATGATGTTTACCTACACTGGCAAGCAGGGTAGAGCGTTTAAGCCATAACCTGGATGAATCAGGTTGGAAAATGACTACTAAGTCAAAGGAATAAGACAGGAATTATCTTGATTATTTGCCTACACAGCCCAAATTAATGCTATAATTGCTTATACCATTTCCATTTTTGCATTTAATATGTTTTGCAATGCTCTTCTTTGAGCAAGGAAAGGAGGATTCATTTTAAGTTGGTCTGGATGCAGATTTCAAAACCATCTGCATCTGCTATAACTAGAAGGATTGTAAACAGAAACACAGCTTTGAGGCAAGGCTTAAAAATACACTTCTCATTTTGCCAGGATTTGAGGGGAAAGAAGCTATGACTTTTCGGTACATGTATCTCCACACTAGTAGGACCATTTCCTTTCTAAAATCTGAGAACTGGCATGAAGTGCATCTGCCACTCATTGACTGTGTAACCTCGTGAAACCCATCTTATTGACGCTTCAGTTTTCTCATTTGTAAAATAACTATAATAACAATACTTATGGCATAGGGTTGTTGTAAGAATTAAATGAGACAGAATGCACAGAAAGTTCTTAGAATTTTTCACATCACATAAGCTATTGTTCTTGCTAATTATTTCCTTATTTGATATTCTCCCCTCTGAACAAGAAAAAAAATCAATTTTTTAAGAATACGTTGAGATCAACCATTGATATTTTTCTTTCACATTTACAAAAGTGGTAAATATTATTTGTGATCAAAAAATCCCTAGATATCTCTTAGAATTTTGTTCACTTTATTTGTGTTTTATAACAACATATGGTAATGCTTGGGAAGAGTAGAAACTTTTTATTCTATTATCTTTATTATTTAATGATGATTGGATTCCCAGAAGGAGTTTCTAAAATTGTCCATCTCACTGTATCTTATCTGCTTCCCAGAGACTGATGGGAAGTAACAACAAGCTCTTCTTTCTTATCCCTAGAAACTAATGAGCTTGGGCTCAGTGATAAGTTCTAATACAGTCTTGTAGAAAGATTTGAGAATCAGAAAGCCTAGAGTCAAGTTTAAACTCAATCTCTTACTAATGTATGTTGAGATGGAGTTTCGCTCTTGTTGCCTAGGCTGAAGTGCAATGGCGTGATCTCGGCTCACCACAACCTCCGCCTCCTGGATTCAAGTGATTCTCCTGCCTCAGCCTCCCAAGTAGCTGGGATTATAGGCATGCACCACCATGCCCGGCTAATTTTGTATTTTTAGTAGAGACGGGGTTTCACCATATTGGTCAGGCTGGTCTCAAACCCCCGAACTCAGGTGATCCGCCCACCTTGGCCTCCTAAAATGCTGGCATTACAGGCATGAGCCACCACACCCGGCCTAGTATACGCTCTTGAACAAACAGCTTAACCTCTCCAGCAGCCCCAGGAGTTGAGATGTTAATGAGACCTCTTCTTTTTCCTTCATAGGATCACTGTGATCCTTCAGAGAATGAAAGTGATTTAAAAACACTAAAGCATTAGATTACTTAGTATCATTATGGCTACTAATGAATGATAATAATCATTATTGATATTTTTGAAAGTATTAATAATAGGGCTAATACCAGGATAATGAGATTATAAATAATATTTTGTGAGAACAGGTTAATTTTCATAAACAAGCCTTTTCACAGAGGCTGAACAATAGATATCACTCTTCTTTCACTAAAAAAAAAATCTGACCACTTTTAAAAAATTCCAATTGCTTTTCCCTCTCATTGTGTTAACATAAAACTCCTCCGAATTTAAAGTTCTAAAAGCAAGACTTCTTCCAAAAGGCTCTGCCTCCTATGCCCCAAGGGTTTGCAATCATAAGATCCTAGACAGTTTGCTGCTCTTTCTGATAAACAGAATGGGTAATGAAGTGTGGTTGTTAGAAATACAGTTCAGGACTGCAGGAGCCAGACTTCCTGGGTTCAAATCCACACCCACTTTGTGACCATGACAAAGCAATCAGCTTCTCTGTACCTCAGCTGCCTCTTCTATAGCGTGCTTCTAAATGGAGTTTTTCTGTCTTTGTATCCCCAGTGCTTGCCACAGTCCCTATTCCAGGGGTGTGCTGGTAAACCAGTTCTCTAAAAATAAAAGCCCTGATTTGTAGCATTTGCTGATGACTGCAGTGTAAGTACTTCCACCATGGCTGATGTCAGGCTACCCGTGGTTTAACAACTGACCTGCCAAATTCCTGAATATTTAACAGTTACCTCTTGGGACCCTGTATGAGTTGGCACCAGCCACACCACCATCTATGACTTAGGCACTCAGTCGATGTGGATATGTTAATCAGCCAAGCTAGCTGCTGCATCAAGTAGTGCTAGATACTCCACAAAAGATGATGAAAACGGCAAAATTCAGAAGGAACTGTGTATAAGTAAAATTGTGCTCTAGAGGTAGTGTCTTATTTTAAATTCTGATTTTCCAAGGCACAGAGACATCAAATTGCTTCTCTGCCATCAGATCAAAAATCAGTCCCATGACCTGAGTTAGAATCCAGTTTCCATGATAGTGATTTAAATGTCCCTCAGATCTGGACCGCCCCTCCTTGACCCTCCCCTGCCCCCAGGTGCTTCTGATGTAGTTTTATTTAAGAAACTGTCAGAGGCTTGCCAAAGAGGAGCTGGAGAGGGAGTTTTCGCCAAGTTTACCTACCTTGCCTTGGACTCCCCCCATTCCTGACTTCCCTCCCCATCATTGATGTGCTTTTCAGAGTCCTGTACTGTGGTTGTCTAAGATTATATTCTAAAAAAGAATCTAATTCCTCCTCCCAAGTTACTGTTTGTCTAAAGACATGCCATCATAGCCAACAACTAGCCAGGTGACACAAAGAAGCGTTTTTCCCAATCCCAGCTGCCTTCAACAATTTTCAACTCTATTAAAGTGAGCAATTTCCCAAAATGAAAAAAATAACCCCAAGTCAACATAACTTCAAGCAAGCATACCTCAGACTTCTGCCTCTACCCAGAGACCTCAGGCTGGCCTTCTGTAGACATAGCTGGCATCAACAATGGCCTTTCCTTAGGAGCTCCTTGGTCTTTCCTTGGCTTTGCGTTTAAGGGCATTCTTTTTCTAATATCTATGTGTCACTCTCTGAGTCTCAGTCTCTTTCCCTCTGTGTTTCTTGCTGCCAGGAAGGCTGGGGCTGCATAGTCTCCTCCACTTGGAAATATATAGATTGCTCTCTTGGCTCCTGCATCTGTCTCTTGAAGATAAGATTTTCTCTCTGTGAACCTATGAACACACAATCATTCTTCCTTCTGTACCTGGGAGTTATCTGTAATGGGTATTCAGCAAAACATCCATAAGAGCATATGTTCATTTCAAACTATTCATTTTTAACTATCTTTTATCTGTAGAGATCAAGCTTTATAATCCCAACATCAGTCACTGACAAATTTGAAGAGGAGAAACCCAAGAGTCCTTCAAGTAAGAGTGAGAATGGTTCCTTGCAGTAGTTACAAAAGGTCTTAGATATGGGGAAAGCCTTTTTGGCCACTTCAGGGTAAGGGTGGCAGCTTGCTGTTACAACCCCACTGCTATGGAATTAAAGTTATTTTTAAATGAGTCATAAGCCCATAGAAGTGAGGAGAATAGGGAAGTAGACAACACCAACACAGGTTTGGAGGTGGAAGGCAGAGAGACAGGTGGTAAGGAAGAGAGAGAGAAAAGAAGCTCTTAGAGACCTAAATTCCAGCTGGTAGAAGGGACCGAATTCCCAAAAACTCGGGGGACTGAATCCCCAAAAACTCAGGAACTGGAGGCACCAGTCACTTCTGAAGGGGGAGAGATGGGGAAAAGAGCTTAAAATAAGAATTGCTCAAAACGGTTTAGAGGCAGTCAGGATTCAATCTGGATTCCCACCTTCCCTCTGCACAACCAGGCAATTGTTCCCCCAATGCTGTGACGAGGCCTGCAGGTGATGTTGAAATGCAGGGTCTCAGGACTGGAGCATGCCAGACACTGTGCTGTACAGGGGTTAAAGTAAATATGATGTGCTTATTGGATGCTGAAACTCACAACCACCCCTCCTCTGCCACCACCCAACCTCCCAGTATTAGAAACCAGGCCTTTACCTTCCCTCTGAACAGACGATAAGATGAGCTGTTGCTAGGGAAACTGACCATGACAAAGCTACTGACTCAGTTTTACAGTTGCTGAGCCCCATTAATGTGCTCAGAGCTTCTCATCAGATTTCTAGTTTTCTATTGCTATACTCTTCAATGTGAACTAATAAGCAATGGTTACAAGTAAAGAAATCATCTCATTTGGAAGATAGAAAATGTATTAGAGTTCTTCAGAGAAGCAGAACCAATAGGAGATATATGCAGCTACTCCTCAACTTATGATGGGGTTACATCTCAATAAACTCATCATAAGTTGGAAATACCTTAAGTAAAAAATGCATCTAATACACCTAACCTACCAAACATTATAGCTTAGCCTAGCCTACCTGAAACACATTTCTACTGAGTATATATTGCTTTCACACCTTCATAAAGTCAAAAAATCATAAGTTGAACAATCATAAGGCAGAGACCATTTGTGTATATACATGAGCATGTGCACATACATGTATGTGGAGAGAGACTGATTTCAAAGAATTGGCTTATGACTGAGCAGGCTGGCTGGTTGAAAATTCATGTAAGAGTTGATTTTGCAGTCTTGAATTCAAAATCTGCAGAGTAAGCCAGCAGGCTGGAAATTTGGGTAAAATTTATTCTATGTTACAGTCTTGAGGCAGGATTCTTTCTTCATAAGGCCTTGAACTGAATAATGAGGCCCACCCATATTATGGAGAGTAATATGTTTCATTTTAAGGTAACTGATTATACATTTTGTCATACCCAAGTGAGACTCACAGCTAAAAATAGAAATAAATAAATAAATTGATAACATCCACAAATACCCAAATACCTTCACTGCAACATCTAGACTAGTGTTTGACCCAACATCTGGCTACCAATAGGCTACCCAAGTTGACACATAAGGTTAAATATCACAGAGACCAAAACAAAGAAACAGAGAAAAGCAACTTGGAAAAAACTGCAGGGAGAAAACTTCATAAAAGTATTATTAATATCCTCAGACAGATAAGAGAAGATACTATAACCACAACACAGGAGCAGGATGTTATGTGTTAAAAAAAAAAAAAAAAAAAAAAAAAAAAAAAAAGCTCCGCACAAAAAAAGTTCTTGGAAAATGACAAATTAATGAAATCTCAATAAAAGTGAAGGAGATAAGAAACTGTCATAAAAAGTAAAGCAAAACCTCATAGAGATGTAACATAAGAGAGAAAAAATAAAGTTAGAGGAAGGTCCAGGAGATCTGAGATCCAAAAAATAGAAGTTCCATAAAAATAGAATAGAGAAAACAGAGGAAAATAAATTACCAAAGAAATAATAAAAGAAATTTTCCTAAAGTGAAAACACAAAAATTTCCAGATTGCAAGAGCCCACTGAGTATCCAGTATTGGCTGAAAATAAACCCATATAAAGTACATCACTGCAAAATCTCAGAAAATTGGAGGCAAAAAGATCCTCCAAGATGTTAAAGAGAGGGGAAAAAAAAAACAAGTTACATACAAACTCCAAGAGCCAAAATGACTTTGGATTTCTCAAAAGCGACATGGAGGGATTGCTTATAATTTTTTACACAACCTGTCAAAGAGGTATCAGGGTGAAGTAAAGACATGTTCAGCTATGCAAAGTCTCACAAGATTTCCTTCCTATAAACCCTTTTGGAGGAAGTAACTGTGGAATGCGTTCTAGTGAAATGAGAGAGTAAACCAAGAAATAGGCAGACAGGTGATACAGGAATCACCAGATCCAACACAGGACAGCAGGAAAGCAGGGCCAGAGGACAACATTCAGGGTGAAGCCAGTCAGAGGGCCTCAGGAGAGACTAATTCAGGGGATGAAAATACAGGGAAGCAGAGGCAACTAAACTCGGAGAGACCGGGTTGGTGAAGAGTTTCTAGTTAAATTAACAATCAATATTCAGAAATAAGCAAGCAAAAACACTGGACATTTTTTAACTCCAGGGAAAACCAGTTATGCATGAATATAAAAATACAATCGAGCTTACTACATGGCTTAGCTGCAAATAACGTTTCATTGTCATCATAATGCAAACACTGCATTGACTTAACCAAAATTATAATACTATAATATATTGTGAGATAGGGGCATCACAAGAGGTGTTCCTATGTGGTGAGGCTGAAGGTTTGAAATAAAAAAAAGCATAGTGGAAAGCTAATAGAAAATGCCTAACACTAAAATAATCACAAAAATAGTCAAATACTATGGAAGGAAATATTGAAATACCAAAAGGGATACCCAGGTTGCTTCGGAGGAAGTGTAAATGGGAGAGAAGACTGCTAGTGGACAAAATAAAACTTGTAGAACTGCCTTCCTCTTTACTATGTGCATGTATATCTGTAATTTAAAAAAACAAATCTTACGGTTTTTTTTAAAGGAGGGAAGAAAGAACACCCTTACTAGTTATTCATCCCTTCCATCTCAAGAGATAATGCATCTCAAGAGGTCGATAATGCCTCTTTCCACATCTGATATTTCATATTCTCTGTAGTGAGGATATTATATTACTACCAATTTCTGCATGATGGGCTTATGAGGGGAGAAAGTGAAAAAAATGCAAAAATCAGGATCGGACCAGGGGAGCTGGGCAAAGGCTGGAATTCCTTCCATTTCCCTGTGCCTTTGCCAATCTGGGGTTCATTTGAGTTGACAAATATCCTTTTACCTGCTCTCCCCTCATTCCCTCTCTGGGTGGGATTTCAGTACTTGGCTAAGGAGAAGGGGCACACGAGATAGGACAGTGACTCAGGAAAAGAGGTAGCATGGTATCAATAGTAAACCACTCCTGTCTGGAGGCATCTGCCTTGTGCAGTAATAGTGCCGGGGAGAAAACATCTTCCTCCCCATCTTGGGTTCTGCTCTTGAAATCTGTCCCTTGGGTGGGTCTTACAGTTCTCACTAGCATTCATGTATGTGGTTAATTAGGTGAATTTTTGTGGGCTAGCAGGAAATCCCAACTGTAACTTGGCATTTTTGTGGCAAGATGTTTCAAGCAATCAATTTGCTAACCACCTTTGGAATTTGGGCCCTTCCTATTATACGGTTCAACAAAGAATTAGGAGGACATGTTATAGCTGAGTCCAAGCACTCAGCCCTAGCAGTGGCATCCATGGCTCATGAGGTCCTCTGTTTCCCCAGGCTATCAGTGTACCTGTCTCTCACAGTTTACGGGGAGAAACTGTGAATCTGAGATTACAGCCTGCTTCCCAAACCCCTGCCGGAATGGAGGATCCTGCGATCCAATAGGAAACACTTTCATCTGCAATTGTAAAGCTGGGCTCACTGGAGTCACGTAAGTGAGATTACATAAGTGTCTTTCTCTACACTGTTCTTTATTGCTACAACAAACCAGTAAACAACTAATGAGGGTAAAATATTTACCACTAATAGTACAGGCAAAGGGTTAACATCTGCACGATACGTATAAGGAGTGCTTACAGGTGACTAAAATGTTAATAGGAATTATCTCTGGGTAGTAGGGTCATGAGTAATTCATATTTTCTACTTTATGTTTCCCTATACCTTCAAAATTGTGTATGATTACTATGTAGTCTGTAACTAGGGAGAAAAGAAAGTCATCTAGGCCACCTAATATTTCTATTATAATTCGGAGGCAGACATACTACCCATTTCCGCAGAATCCATTAACTGGACTCTACGGCCTATTGTTTTTTGATCATTCTGAGATACTGAAACTTACCTTCCCTTTGCAAACCTTTCTTTCATAAGAAAGAAACAAAATTAAATATTTGCCAAAAGGAAAGAGACCGTTTTAAATTCCTAGTAAAATGCCACTTTCAGCCATCCTTGATCGTTTTAGAAGTATATGTATGTAATCTCAAGCAAGTGATATTCTAATTACAGATCAGTCTTACTTATTCATTAGAGCAAATCTCCCGAGGACTTTACCAGGAAATACTTAACTGATTTTGAATCGTTGGATGTAATTTAAAGTAATAAAGCGGCATTTATTTTTAAATACTCTGTGATTCTGACTAATTTCCGGCTGTCCTCACCTCTATCTGTTCAAATTAGGTTTCGTTTGGCTACATTTTAAAAGGTAGATTACCAAAAATATAGGTGATTGGACCTTTTAAATATCAGAAAAATTGCTGAAATAGAGAAAAGTGAAAAAGAAGGTCTATGTTCTCAAATAATACTAAGCTAAGAAAGAATAAGACTGAAACACTTGCCTTATAATTATACTCAAAGTGAGTCATGGATTGCTTTAAAGAGAATAAAATTGATTTAATTATTTTTCATTAGAATGCTTTAGTCATTCTTCCTGAAAATCTACATGAGTATTAGCCTTTAACATAAGCACAGAATGTTGAAGACATGTAGCCCTTCACCCACCCACCTGCAGCCCCCAGCTTCCCAGAGGGACCAAAAATTACTGTAGCCATTAGAGGAAAATGTCAGAACCAAAGACTTTCCTCTGGGGAAAACCTATAACCGATATATAGATTCACAGCTCTTTGTCTGCAATTCTACAATCCCAAAAGCTCTGAGAACTTAAAGGGTTTGGAGTATGTTAGTGGCAAACTAATTTGGTGGCAAAACCTGTTCAAAACTGTTTTGAGGCTCTTTCTACTCTTTATTTCTCTCATTTAGTGTGAATATCCATATGTTTCACTGCAGAAACACTGGTATTTTTGATTATGGGATACTACGGCCAGCACCAATTTCTGTGAGGGGGAGGAGTATTTTACATAATGTGAAAGATATGTGCTGCATGTCCTTGCTAAAACTGCACAATTTTAAATTCTGAGATGCATCTGCTCCCGCGGATTTGGAGTCCAGTACCTTTTCAATAGCATCTGTTATTCTTTCTCTTTCTCCTCCTCTCCTCTCCCACCTCAGTCTCTTCCTTTCCCCCAACCCAGGTAGGAAAGGAAGACCTGGGAGAGATTGGGTTGGGAGGAACACCTTAAGGCAAGGTGATGACTTGGGGACCACAGTGGCCACAGAAATGCCTAAATTAACTCCCCCTCCCCCCCCCCACCAACCATCTTTGTCCTGCTTCATCTGTACCCTTTAGGTGCATCGTTTTCTTTTAAAGATGTCTGTGTTTTCTCGAGTTCCCGTATACCAACGTGTGTGCACTGGTCCTGACGGTGGGGAGGGGCTTCTGTGTCGCCGCAGGTGTGAGGAGGACATCAATGAGTGCGAACGAGAGGAGTGTGAGAACGGAGGCTCCTGCGTGAACGTGTTCGGCTCCTTCCTCTGCAACTGCACGCCGGGCTACGTGGGCCAGTACTGCGGGCTGCGCCCCGTGGTGGTACCCAATATCCAGGCTGGCCACTCCTACGTGGGGAAGGAGGAGCTCATCGGCATCGCCGTGGTCCTCTTCGTCATCTTCATCCTGGTGGTTCTCTTCATAGTCTTCCGCAAGAAGGTCTTCCGCAAGAACTACTCCCGCAACAACATCACGCTAGTGCAGGACCCGGCCACCGCCGCCCTGCTTAACAAGAGCAATGGCATCCCGTTCCGGAACCTGCGCGGCAGTGGGGACGGCCGCAACGTCTACCAGGAGGTGGGGCCCCCGCAGGTCCCCGTGCGCCCCATGGCCTACACACCCTGCTTCCAGAGTGACTCCAGGAGCAACCTGGATAAGATCGTGGACGGGCTGGGAGGCGAGCACCAGGAAATGACCACGTTTCACCCTGAGTCGCCCCGCATCCTGACAGCCCGGCGGGGCGTGGTCGTGTGCAGTGTGGCCCCCAACCTCCCCGCCGTGTCACCCTGCCGCTCCGACTGCGACTCCATCCGGAAGAATGGCTGGGACGCGGGAACTGAGAGTGAGTAGGAAGTGGTAATGCTCACCCCTCGGTGCTTACAGGGAACCTGCAGGGGCGCTGTGCGAGGACGCTACGGGAAGGGAGAGAGACCCCGCATGCAGAGCATTCGCTATGACATGTGCTGATGTCGAATGTGCACACCAGCTCTGGAAAATTGTCCTGGTTCTGGTTCCCATTTACAGATGGGAGAAATGAAGCTCAGAGAGGGTAACATCATGAGCCCAAGGTGAGGCAGCTAGTAAGAGGCAGTCAGTACCCCAACTCAAGTCTTCCAGGCTCCAAAACCCATCCTCTTCTCACAATAGCGGGCCACTGGTCAAAGTGCAAAAGAAAAGAAGAAAGTATACTAGTTATTGTGTATAAATTATAATAGTGTGTGTGTGTCTGGGCCTATGTACAAAGTGCAAAAAGCCACTTGAGTGATGTCCAGAAGTGTGCTCTGGAAGGCTGGAAGAAGAGAGTATTTCCAGTCTTAGAATGAAGACTTGAGAGAAGCAGAGGGACACTTCAATTGGACCATGATGAGTTAAAGAGTCTGGGGAAAGGAGGATATTCCACCGTAGGGGGACCCATGTGATCAGAAGAAAAGCAAGTCATTTCTTCTTGGCTGGAATGTAGAGACCATGAAACAAGAGGGGGATCCACAAGGCAGAAAGGTGGTCTGGGCCAGATGGAGGTGTTTGCCTCTTCACTTGGCCTCACACAGCAACATTCTAGGCACAGGGAAGAGCCACAGGTGCAAAAGTCCTGGGGTGGGAAGGAGCTTGGTGTGTAGAAGAACACAGAGGAGGTCGGTGCAGTTGGAGCTTGCTGAGCACCAGAGAACGGATACATTTTAACAGCAGCACTATTGCAGGTTTTTAAGTAAGTGACTGGCATGATAATTTACATTTTTTAAAGCTGGCTCTGGCTGATCCTAGGAGAAGAAATTGAACAGGCTTTCTTCCCAAAAAGGGAAGAAAGCAGAGGGCCAGTAAGGTACTCTCTGTGAACATCTCTGTGAGAGATTGTTTTCCCTGCTGTAGTGTCCATCACAAGGAGACTAAAGGAAGCTTTGCTGTAACCTATAACTTCATCAGGACAAATGGCTTTGTATCGCAGTAGCAGCTGTGTCCTAGGTAGCCTAGAAGGCTATGGTTATAGCACTGTGGCATATGCTGAGGGAGAAGGAGGAAACAGGAAGTTTTCAGATGGAGCTAGAGACCATGGGCAGCCAGGGAGATAAAGGTTTTCTTCATGGAGGAAGGGGATATTCCTACTGATATCTTTAAGCATGAGTAAGATTTCAGTAGGACACTTTGGAGATGCCCTCCCAGGAACAGGAAGCAGCTCAGTGTAGAGGACAAGTAAAGGGTTACCCGAGAGATGTCTGGCTCTGTTGTTCAGGTGAGAGGTCAAGGTTAGAAGTGAAAGTTTGAACAACATCTGCATGTAGGATGGTGGACTCTGTAGGAGGGTGAACTCACCAAGGGAACAAGAACAGAGAGGATGGTCAAACCAGGCCTCCAAAAGAACCCTGGAGATGACTACATGTGGGCTTTGGGCAGAAGGGGAGAAGCCAGGCAAGGAGACAAACACTTGCCAACAAAGAAAGAGGAGGGAAAAGGAGAGGACCCTTGTGCAGAAGCCAAGAGAATGTCAGTAAGGTCATCAGTGTTGAATGCTGTGAAACCGCCAAGGAGGACACAGGCTAAAATAGATGTATAGTGAGCCTGATGACGAGAGGAGTCAGCATCTCAAGAGCTTCTCAGTAGAGCCATCAAGGCAGAAGCCAGAATGCAAGGGTTGAGAACCAAGAGGTTTGATGAGAAAGTCAGGGCAGCAGGTGAATGTGAAGCACACTGCTGTGTGTTGCATCATCTCCTTAAACCATCATAGTGCCCCCATGTTGGTACCATTACCAGGCCATCATTCCACGGAGGAAAAAACTCCCTTCAATGGGTGAAATACGCACCTGAAGGCACCTAACTAGCAAAAGGAGAAGTTAGGATTAAAACCTGTGCTCTTACCAGCACTGTTCTTGGGAGCTTTGGCAGGAAGGAGGGTGAGCGGTATTAGAGGAAGAGGATTTCTTGGTGATAACAGAGGGCCAAGAATGAATTCTTTCTATTCTAGTGCTGCCCCAACTTGCTATCTGCTGATTGTCTTTCTGTAGACACATGTATTTTAAGCAGTTGCCCTTGAATTTCAGCCATAAATATACTCCCTCTCAAATTATCTGTTGAGTTAGACTCCACTATAATCTTGCCAATCCACTAGCTAATAGGCTCTTTTTTATTTAGCAATAAAAAAGGGGGGAGTTAATAAATGAAGGAGTGGAGAAAGGAGTTTTATGCTCAGCACTTCATTCACCAGAGTGGATTATTTGTCATTTCCTTCCTTGTGTTCAGGGCTAAGCTTGTGCACACCTTGTGGTTTTCTGAAGCTCATCGTCATATTTTCTGCAACATGGCTGTTAGGAGGTGAATGTCTCCCTGGCATATCTCTCCACTTACATCGGTCGTTTAGCCAACTCCTGTGGCCTCAGCCTCTGACAGCAGATGCAGAGCCACCATGCCTGTTCCTGACACCACCCTTTTTGGAAGAAACGTGATTTCTGTGGCCACGGAGAGGAACAAATGTTCCTTTAATCACAAGTCTGTATCTCTTTGTACCATTGCGTTACATGATGATTTGCAGCTCTTCCTGGTGATCACTGCCCTCACTCCTTGCTGATGTGACAGCTTTATTTCCAGAATTCACCTCAGGCCAAAACTCACATTTCCCCCCAAAGTATTGTTGGGTTGTATTGAATACATTTCCTTCTTTGTTAAGCAAGGCAGAGTTAGCTGGTGAGACAATTTCTGGGCTACTAATTCATTTTGCACTTGGCAACCTCAAGATATAGGCTGTTTTTATTGCTTCCTTTAGTCCATCAAATAAGAAAGTAGCCCTGGTGTGTGTGTGTGTGTGTGTGTGCACGCATGTGCATCTGTGTGTTTCTGACTGTCTTTGTACGGTAAAGAAGGAGGACATATGTGGTTAAGGGCATATCCACACCACTGCCAGCCCTCCTACCTGACACAGGGTGCAGAACATGGTCACTCCCAAAAATGATACAATGCTGCCCTCTAGGAGGCAAAGCTGAAAATTCCACTTACTGTCCAGAGATGGAAGTTAGGATAAATGTAAAGGCATTCTTGCCTATAAAATATTTATACCCCATTTTAAAAGTTATCTCATTTAACCTGGTGTTGACACCTCATCAGTTCATGTAAATGATGTAAATTAACTCTGAATGGCAAAGAGCAATGCAGCCACTTCATCCTCATTTCACTCTTCACTCAGTTGCTTCACTTCGAGGAAGAAACAGCCACTTTTGGCTGTCAGCTGTTTGGAAGCTCATTTACTATGGGCTAAGGGTTTCGAATCCATAATGTAAATCACTTGATTGACAGAACTTTGCCCCCAGTGGCACAGTCAATTTTCTACTGTGGAGCTAAATTATTTTCTCTAAGCAAATGAAAGTGCCTCGAGAAGTGAACTAGCTGAGAGGGGTGGGTGGGACTGGAAATAGGCACAAGGTAACCAGTGTAATTTCTGCTTTCTCTTTCACTGTCCATGAAGACAAAGGGGTTGATGACCCGGGAGAAGTGACCTGCTTTGCAGGTAGTAATAAAGGCAGCAACTCTGAAGTTCAGTCCCTCAGCTCCTTCCAGTCAGATTCTGGTGACGACAATGGTAAGAAGTCATCAGATTTGTTCGGAGCGGGTGGGTTCTGCTTCCTGTTCTGGAAGACCATGGTTGGGAGGAGGGTGGTGCAACTGGCTTTGTTTCTCAACCTGTTCATGGGCTTTTGAGCGTGTTCACCAGGTCCCTGGTTTACTCCATTGTTGGGTGTCATTGCCAAAGGAGCCCCCATTGAGCTGTAGCTGTGAGCAGGCCCAGAGATCTGTATCAGGGGTTGATGTAGTTACCCTGGGCCTCCAGTAGTGAGTCCTCTTTTATTTGGTTTGTGGTGGAACTACTTCATCCCAAATGATATTCTCTAGCAGACAGAGTAATTTCTTTCTTTTTTTATTTTACCAATGATCTCTTCCCTCTTCACTGTACATCCAACATCCCCGTCATTAGAAATTAGTTCAGAGACAAAAACCTTCTTATAGAACCAGTGGAATCTTCATTCAATTGAATCCCCCTTGTAATCATTTGGGTTATGGGCTGTTGGAGAATTTATTAAAAACTGTGAAGCAGCTCCTTAGAAAAATGCACATACACCCAAAATGTTGCATGCAATTTCTCGTGGTTCACAGACTTTGTTGACACTCCAAAGCTGCTACCTCTACCTCTTGTGAACTTATGCTTATGGAGAGGGTGCTAATGTTGGACTGGGTTTTCTGAGCTGAGGAACCAGCTTCGGAGGATGGGTTGTTCTCCCCAGGGCAGGGGAGGGAAGCAGGAACAGTCATAAAACAGTGAGTGTTTTCAACGTGCTGGGTAAACTAAGAATAATTTCAAACAGTCATCCACAGAGACAAGCAGCCTTACCTTAGGTCATTTTCCCATTTGTCAGCAACTAGCAACAAATGGATACTTATTAATTTATGTAATCATTCAATCTATAAATCCTTGCTGAATTTTTTGCATGTGCTGAGTCCTTTTCCCAGAGTACAAAATGAGAAAGGCATAGCCCTTGTCTTCAAGGCAAATACAGAAACAGGTGAGCTCCAAGACCATAGAAGCAATCATGGAAGTAAAAGAGCCTATTTTCATCACCACTTTCAAATGATGGCACTTCTGAGAAGTGCAGATGCCTTCAGTGTATCTATCTACTGGGACAACAAATCACCTAACAGTGGACTTTTTCTGACCATTATCGGAAGGTCAAAGACACACTCCCAGATCTGTCTGCCTTGATGTATCCTCTTTTCCTCCTCCCTAGCCAGAAGAAAAGCTGTGGCTAGTTTGCACTTTATATAGAAATACCTAAGAATATAGAGTCCAGAGTCCAGGCAGCAGCTCCAACAATGATGCCTGGTTAACTGTTCTCATGGGCTCTGCTGTGTGCACCCTGAGGATCACACTCTTGCCCTTTTAGGGTTAACCTTCCAAGTTGGTCCCAAATGAGGCAGGTGGTGTTAGGAACTTTCATCAAATTGGTTTTAAGCCTGATCACCTCTCCACAAGCCTTTGTACTGAGCATTAAGGCAACCCATATAGACCACAGATATCTCCTTCTCTATTCTAATTATTCGAGAGGCCAAATGCTGACTTCTGTCCACACTTTACTGGTGGGAGCTAGGCCTTGGGTCGTTCTGGGCTGTCAGTGGCATTATGTGACCGTGAAGCCATCAACCCTGCAAAGGTTATCCTCTATCACTGGCATTTGGTTCAGAGCAGCATGACTGACCAACAAATAATTATCCCCGGAAATAGTGAGGTCTTCCTCTGAGAGCCTTTGGGAGTTGTTAACGATAAATTAGCAAGAGCTTGATGAGCCACTGCCTTCCTAAATTGATTTTGCTGAGTCATGAGGGGTGACTTTATGACTCAGCAATCATGACCTATCCTGCCTTTCAGGAGGACTGGCATTGGATTTGCTGCCATTTATCTTCCATTCCACAAATCCCGGGACCCTCTAGATAAAGGTGTCCACTGATACACTTCCTAACAGATTGTGGGGAGGCTTTGGGTGTTTGCATGCCGCACCTTCATTGTTGCTGTTGTTGTTGTTGTTAAAATAAGGTGTGTTTAAAATATACAACTAACCTGAAGCTGTCCTTCCCCTACCTCCGACTTCTTTTCCTGACCACAAGCCTCCATAGTGACTGTCATTCAGCTTGTCAACAATGTAGTTGACACTATAGAGAATGAAGGTATTTACTTTTTTTCTTCCATAGCATTTCTTGAAATTTTGCTTCCTTGTTACTTTGGACTAGGAGTGATTTTAATGGATTGGCCACAGAGGGGGCAATAAACAGCTGGTTTCTGATGAGATGTGGGATATTTATGGATCTGTTTTAAAATTTTGAAAAAAAAAAAACCCAGTTCATAATTTGTAAAAAATATATAAGGTACCCTCTTTATAAAATCCCTTTCAAGAAAAGAGCACCCAATTAGTTGCAATCCAGATTAATACTAAATTTATCTTTATATTCAACATGTGTTCATTGAGCACCTATTATGAGCTGGGAATCCTTAAGAAATCATTCACAGCTGCAATATTATGGATACTTATTTCAACCACGTAACTTTTATTAGTAACTTAATAAAATTAGGGCCTGGCATAAATGTGATTTATCTGTTTTGTTTTGCTTTGTTTTTTCCCTAAATAACAATGGGAAGAAATAAAAAAGGCTAAACTTAGTCGTAGCCCACAGGCCTTTAGGAGTATGTTTTTAAAAGTCATCTCAAATGTTCTGTTTTATCCCTCTTCACATGGTTTGGACTGTCAGTTTTACTTTTCACTTTGTATTTAAACAGTGTCTGTCATGGACCAAGGACAGAACTACAACCGAGGTGACTGTGCCGCAACCCTAGCATAACTTTTTGTGTGTTTGTTTTGAATTGCTGAGTTCATTCTTACCCTGTTCCTGTGCCTCTGCCCTGATCTGAATTTTGCATGTCTCAGGTGTCTCGTGCGCTCAGTATTGGAGGTGAAAGCTCCACCAGCATTCCCCTCCTAGCCTCATCCTCTGTGCGTGTGTTTCACCCATTTGCCTGCACGCCTTCCTGCCTCCTGTGGTCCACAGCACAGCTGATGGACCTCTCTGCAAGCATGTTGCCAGTCTGGCTCTGCAATAGCATGTGTCTAGGAAGAGGGAGTGGGGACAGTACTCAGGGGTCCTGGAACTGTCTCCTCGGCGTGCCCTCGCTCTTCGTCTCATGGCATGGCTGAGTGTGAGGCTCTGCAGCAACCAGGCATCAACCTGTCAGAGTTGCCATCACCTTGTTGTCCGCAGGCCAAAGCATGGCTGGCCCCATAGACCCTTGTAATAAGCTTCTTAGGGTTTCTTGGATGCTAAAAATTGCATGTCAGGTCCCTTCCCTGCTCCTTTCCCAGCAAAGCACCAACTCCAGTCTAGAGGAAATTAACTGTCATGGTTTTTCTCTTGCAGCCTATCACTGGGACACCTCTGATTGGATGCCAGGGGCCCGCCTGTCGGACATAGAGGAAGTGCCCAACTATGAGAACCAGGATGGAGGGTCTGCACACCAGGGGAGCACACGGGAGCTGGAGAGCGATTACTACCTGGGTGGTTATGACATTGACAGTGAATACCCACCCCCTCATGAAGAGGAGTTCTTGAGTCAGGACCAGCTGCCTCCTCCTCTCCCGGAGGACTTCCCAGACCAATATGAGGCCCTGCCACCCTCCCAGCCTGTCTCCCTGGCCAGCACACTGAGCCCAGACTGCAGGAGAAGGCCCCAGTTTCATCCTAGCCAGTATCTCCCTCCTCACCCATTCCCCAACGAAACGGATTTGGTGGGCCCGCCTGCCAGCTGTGAATTTAGTACTTTTGCTGTGAGCATGAACCAGGGCACAGAGCCCACAGGCCCAGCAGACAGCGTGTCTCTGTCCTTGCACAATTCCAGAGGCACCTCATCCTCGGATGTGTCTGCCAACTGCGGCTTTGACGATTCCGAAGTAGCCATGAGTGACTACGAGAGCGTGGGAGAGCTCAGCCTCGCCAGCCTTCACATTCCCTTTGTGGAGACTCAGCATCAGACTCAAGTGTAGACATCACATCTTGGGTACTTCACCCTGTTTGTTACAGAAAAGTGGAAGCAGATTGGCTGGGCTTCTGTCCCAGTGGAGCATTGTCTGTGGAATGAGAAGGGAATACTGTATTTTTCCACTAGAAACTTCTTCACAAGTCATACTGTCCCAACAAGCAAGCTTGATTCCAGTTGGGTGAAAATGAAAGGCTCAGAAATTGTTTTTGAGAGGTGACTGGTAATCCTTGATGTAGGTACCTATGTTCACAGCTAAAAATGCAAAGAGGGAAAAATTATTTCACCCACTAAGTTATACAGCCAGTCTTGTATGGCTTTGTGCAGTATTGTGCCCTGGAAAGTGTTACAGCATCAGTCCTTGCAGTATTAAAAACTGGCAACAATCAAAGAGGCATTGTTGCATGTAATTTTGAGCCAATGAAATGAAAATAGTAGTAATGATTGTTGGAAAAGTTAGTCTCTTAGGCGAAAGAGAAGAGAAACAAATATTATTAAACAAACCAGAAAATGGGCTGAAGCCTTTTAAATCAACTCTATTTTTTTGATAAGCTGCCCAATTTTCAGCTATAAAATTAGGCTTGAATAACATGTTTAGTATGCTCAGTTATTTCTGTTTGTTTGTGTTAAGCATCCAATCTAATATAGTTGGGTTTTATGATCTTCAAGAAAGGTATCAATGAAGAGCAACATGAGGCTTTTTGGGTTCCATTTGGTGGGTGGGGGAGGAAGTTAAAGTTGTTTGAACATTAGAAAGAATGTGATTATCTGGTTGGTTTTGTGTTTTCTGGTAAATATTCCAGTTGGTAAATCTAACATTGCTACAGAAGTTGGCTTTGTTCATATAGCTTCTCTACAATTAGATATTTTTAGAAGTTTAAGCAAAACTCACAAATTCAGGGGGGAAAAAAGAAAAAACGATACCTTCAAAGTTTGCGGCCTAGATAATCACAATTCTTCATAATGCAGAGGAAAGGTGTCTGTTATTCTAAATCGGTAGCATCACCATTATAAATACAATTATGTTAAGAAAAGAGGAAAGTAGACTAGTTATTGTGTATAAATTATAATAGTGTGTGTGTGTCTGGGCCTATGTACAAATATGTGCTTGCACTCAGTAAGGCTGCTCTTGAGGAAAGCTAATGTGAAGGTTTTGGGAAATGGACCATGTTGAAAATTCTGCCGGCGAGCATGGCATACCTTTCAATTTCTCTGATCTCTATGGTGTTAGAGAAACATCAAATGCCATATTTTACTCTGGTTCAGTTAACTTTATTTTGGTACTGCCAATAAAGCAAAATTGTGCTTTTTTTTTTTTTTCTCAAGACAGAGTCTTGCTCTGTCACCCAGGCTAGAGTGCAATGGCATGATCTCAGCTCACTGCAATCTCCACCTCCTGGGTTCAAGCGATTCTCCTGCCTCAGCCTCCCAGGTTGCTGGGGTTACAGGTGTGTGCCACCACGCCTGGCTAATTTTTTGTATTTTTAGTAGAGATGGGGTTTCACCATGTTGGCCAGGCTGGTCTCAAACTCCTGACCTCGTAATCCACCTGCCGTGGCCTCCCAAAGTGCTGGGATTACAGGCATGAGCCACCGTGCCCAGCCCAAAACTGTGCTTTTTAAAAACAGTATTTTGTTATAATTTTCCAGAACTTACCTCTGTTTTAAAAGTGTGTAATGTTTGATTACACCCTGGGATTCCCTTCTCATCTGTGGGCTTTGGCCATGATTTCCAAAATTAACAGGAGAATCATTCCACTGGAAATATAACAATCCAGTCCTCAAAACTGAAAGTTGACAGGTTGAGGGACTTTCCTTTTTTGCTTCAATCAGATTACGGCCGCCTGTGCAGTGGCCATGGTAAATATATGCATATTTGCACTATCTGCTTAATGAGCAAATCTGTGTCCACAGTTTCTGATGACATATGGCATTGGTGTGTAAATTGTACTGTCCCTAGTCTGTGCATTATTCACTCAGACATATTTTTAGTTATTTCAATTGCGTTTAATCCACTTCTTTTTTATGAGTCAGTGTTTCTGAATGTTTATGCAAAAAAAAAAATCCTTTTTCATTCCCAAACTTTCTAAGTAAGTGGATACACTACACTTCACAAGTTTTCCAGCCTTTCTCTTCCTGTCTCTTGGTCAGACCTACTCATGGAGGTATTATCCACACTGTGATCTTGAAATAAATGAATTTCACTAAGGCTGCTTTCGAGAACAAAGTCTTTGGTATTTTTCTTATGTAAGAAGCACATTTGCAAGAATCATGGAAAAAAATGACAAACTAATGGCCTAGAATAGAGTGACTGCTACACTTTAAGTAATGCAATGACATAAAAACCATCAAAGTAAAACCAACATGTCATTTCCTGCCCCCAGGAAATATTAGAATGAGATTAATGCTGATGAGTCCCTACTGCTTACACAGCATCTCTTTGAGGGAGAATGCCTGACTGACACAGTAATGAAAGAATAAATAGATCCTAATGCAGTCATGAAGCCACTGAAGAAAATTGTGCCCACCCTTTGCTGTGACCTATATAAAATATCTCTTTCTTTGGGATATCATCCCCTGATTTTCTGCAGAATAGCTCTGCAGCTAAATATATACCAGGCAAGCATGTATTGTGTTTTGATTTATTATCTTTAAACACATGATATCTCTTCACTTTTTGGAAAGTTAGATTTCTCTGTAGATTATGAAATGCTTTGCAGTCAGGCCAAGATGCTACTAGGTGGGGATGATCACTAATTCAAAAAAGCTGGAAGAATCCTATTTGCTAGTCCAAACTCCTTATTTTATCAAAGAGGAAACATACCCAGAGTGGGAAAGAGACTTGCCCAAGCCCACAGAGGAAGTTAATTCGCTTAACAAGGAGTAGAACCCATCCATCTAGCCAATATTCTTTTTACATCATATTGTTCACCCCTACACTGCCTTGAGCATGGGAGTCACCTGGTTCTGATGGACCCTCTGACTTCCACCATTCCTTCTTTGGAATATGCTATAAAAGAAAATTCATGGAGAATATTTTTCTGAAAGCCTCATGATCTTATGTTTCCTTGCAGTCCCCCTAGGGAGAGGGGTTATAGAATTCATACATTTCTGTAGACATTCATCGAAATGCTGCTTTTGCCAAATGAATGTTTGTATAATAGGGATGAAATGATAATTACAGAGTTCAGCTCAGACCAGTCATCAGTTGTAGTGAAACTTTGATTATACTGTTACCTACTGGTTGCATTTTTGGTTTTGGTTTTGCATTTTTTTCTTCCCACAAACACTGGCTACTCTTTGTCCTACCCCCTCCACCATGATGAACCATGTGGAAACTATTTAAATCAATTAATGTCTTTCTCATTTTTCGAACATGTATGTGCCACCTCCTGGAAGCCATTTCCCATAATCTGTTGTAGGCACTTTACTAGTATTGCACACATTCTGGTTAGGTTGAGAATAGCTAGACTCTTGGTGCTCGTCATATAGTAAGCAAGAACTTGGGAGTAATAAAAGGTGAATAAAATGCATGCTTCATTTATTCCCTTTCCTCTATGAATATTTTGCTGCTGCATTCTAGTCTATGCCAGCTTTCCATGTACCCTTGGCCTGCCTATTCATGAAATGCCATATAAAAGACTTAGGAACATGAGTAGGTGGTCCATGCTTTGAGGTTCATCCAATTAGGGAATAAATGTGAAAGGCTGGAAAGGGAACTAGTTTCTGGGATTTGCCTGGAACTTCCCTTGGACATTACTAGCACATTCTGGAAAAAAAGCAAGTTGAACATATCTACCATCAGTCCTCTCCTACTTACTTCCCACCCCACCCTATCCACTACCCCCACTGATGCTATGTTTGCATCATCAAAGTCAGGGGAATTGAGAAAAGAGATTATCAAAATAAATTATTAAAATCCAGAAAACAGTTTTATGTGAAGTAATTCAGGAAGATCTAGTGTTCATTTTGCATGGATTGTCCAGATAATTGGCTCTTCACTCCGCTGCCTTCCCAGTGCACAGGTATTGCTAAAGTGGTTAGGCTTTAATGTTTTATGTTTTTAGTTTCAAACTATGGGAAATGGAGATTTGAAGAGGCATTTATTCCTTGTCATCATTTTGTGTGCTCTGTGAGAAGGTGGTTATATGTTTTTGCTGGTTTGTGTCCCACAGTGTTCAACTGCACATTATTCTGATGAAAATCCACAATGTCTTTGAGCTTCTGGTTGTGTAATGCTGGGGTTTAAAGTCACCATTTGTGGGTTTGGCATCAATTAATATTTAGCCAGCTGGCTAAGAGATAGGAAAAGAATATGATATTTCTTTCCTTATGTAATAATGAAAAGCAATAATTACAAGTAGGTAATAATACACAAAGGCCATAATTAGTCTCTTCTAGTGTTTAGAATGCACTTGAGAATCGTAGAGTCATTTGGAGCGTGTTTGGACCAATTAGTATGTACTGTAGTACCCTTCTGGCAAACAAATAACTGAATTGCTACTATTTAACAATCTTATGAGCCCACACTACTGCATTTTGGGAGTGGCAAATGTGTTTGGAAATGGAAGCAGTTCTTTTTAAGCACTGTATCAGAGAGATTGTCTTGTACGTTTGCCTGTTGCAAACAGGCTGGTTTGTAAAAGATGTATGTTTTGGTGTTTGAAATGTTTATAAAATTGTATATAAATGGTTTCAATTTTCCAGGCTTTTGTAGATACTATATTTGATGCCTATCAGGATGCTTTAATTTGGGGGGTCGAATATAATTGTAAGTCATCCACGCTGTTGGTCTGCAAACTTTTGAGGTAACTACACACACACACACACACACAAGGATTTTAGATTTGAAAATGATGTTTTTTACTCATTTCAAAATGTACTGTAACCTTTCTTTGGTTCTTACTGTTTTCATTTAACTTTCTCTGTTTTCAAGAAAAATTGTCTTTATTGACATTTGTAAAAAAGAATGTGTTTTGCCCAGTTATTAAGTATTTTATTTTTATGCAATTTCAGAATCACAATGAGGTATGCCATTTCTTCATATACATGCACATTCACCTCAACTTGCACACACATCACACACCAAACCTTATGCAAAGGGGAAAGCTAACACTTAGAGTGGATTTTGTCCCTTAAGGAAATGGATTGTTCCTGCATATATTGCTGGTGGCAGTATTCAGTCTTGTGTTCTTTTTCTAAAAAAAAAGAAAAGAAAAGAAAAAAAAAACAAAAGCAAACAAAAAAAAAGACAGCCAAAAAAAAGAAACAACAACAACAAAAAAAAACACAACAGTGTACAGGTTTGTAACTGCCAAAATTTGATGGTTAAAACAAGTTTTCAAGTAAAAAGAAAAAAATGAAACTAGCAATTGTGTTGACTCTTTTTAAGTGTTTCCTTTTCTTTGTCTTTAGTTCATTGCTCGCATGGTATTTAGAGGTGTATTCCACAGGGCATGGTAGAAAGACGTGGTACAGAGCAAAAAAGCTCTTTAGCCCTAGTCTACCTCTCAAAGAGAGGGGTCTCTGGTCTGACAGGGACATTTTAGTTTTGTTGTGTTAGTGTGGCTTCCCCAACCCCCTGAGACTTTTTACCTCCAGAAAAACTTCTATCTGTCCTGGTACACATGTTGAAATCTTATGTAACTTCTTACTGAGCACACGCCTTGTGAGATTTTTTCCCTGGTGGGAAAATTGAAAAGAGTGCTGGAGGCTTGAACAAATAAAGATCATCGAGTCCTACATCTGTGGAAATCTAAGCACATCCCCACCTCTTCTAGACAGCAGCTCCAGCACTCCTCTCCCTCAAAAATAAATAAATAAATAAATAAGGTTTTTTCCAAAAGTTTTCCAAAGGTTTGGGGCACAATTGAGTTTTCCTCCAAAAAGCTCCCGAAAATGTTCCATATGGAGTGAAGGTCTGTTAAAATATACACAGAAGAGGTTACAGACAGGGAGTAGGGCTCAAATTGATACAGCTGACCTTGAGCAAGGGAGGTTTGAACTGCACAGGTACACTTAAGCGCAGATTTTCTTCTGCCTCTGCCCACCCCCCCCCGAGACAGCAAGACCATCCACTCCTTTTCCTCCTCCTCTTCTGTCCACTCAATGTGAAGACGATGATGAAGAACTTTATAGTGATCAACTTCCACTGAATAAATAGTAAATATGTTTTCTCTTATGATTTTCTTAATAACATTTTCTTTTCTCTGGCTTACTTCATTGTAAGAATATGGAAAATAATACATGTAACATACAAAATATGTGTTAATCAACTGTTTATGGTACTGGTCAGGCTTCTAATCAACAGTGGGCTATCAGTAGTTAAGTTTTGGAGTCAAAAGTTATGCATGGGTTTTTACTATGAGTGGGTTGGCACCCCTAACACCCATGCTGTGCAAGAGTTAATTGTAATTTGCAGAAGTGACATCACAAGGAGTTAGCGTGGGACCAGGAAGAACTCCAGAAAGGGAGGAATGCCCTCTGCCTTGCCTCTGCAGTCTGCGCACAAGCAAGGAAAGGCCCCTCTATGGACCTCGCTGGCCGCCACCACAGTGTGTCCCTACCTGCGCCAGCAGCAGAGCTCACCTGCCCCACCCAACCAGGATCCTGGAACTGTGAGGCCACTCCCTGGGGAATGGCCCCTAGCTACATATTCACCTACTCTTTGCTTGAAATCTATGTTGATTTCCAGAGCTCATCTTTGGCAGTACTCACCGCACTGCAGTTCTCTGGATGCTTGTCTGTTCCTCCAGGTAAATGTTTCACA
The DNA here is from genome assembly GCF_000001405.40 of Homo sapiens. Taxonomy (NCBI): domain Eukaryota; kingdom Metazoa; phylum Chordata; class Mammalia; order Primates; family Hominidae; genus Homo; species Homo sapiens. Next base: position 92,897,875 of record NC_000011.10, read on the forward strand.
AACTTCTGAAAGAGGAAGAGCACCAATCTGTTGCCTCTGCCAATTTCCATTGTATAAATACTCCGATCATGGCTGATTTCAGGCTACCAAAGTAATAGGAACTAGTTCACAAAATTCCTGACAGTCTAACAGTCAGCTCTCACAAGCCAGTGTGAGCTGACTCCAGCACACCCAGGCTCCCCCATACACTAGTAGCCGTTTGAGATGGAGTCATGTCTTTTCTTTTTATGCCAGATTCCCACTACCTATGTGGTCTTCGTTTTTAATTGAAAAACTAATCAATGATGTCTCCAGATAAATTTCCTTGTCCTCTTAAAACCTACCTAATTTTAGTAAATTTGGCAACTTCAGTGAGAAGGATTTAGAGGGGCAAGTGGAAGTCTCCTGCCTTTCAACCTCACACCACAGTGATGTGTTCATAAATTAAGCATCAGGAAAATATTGATGACTATGTCTATCATGTGGCCATCCTTAGCAGAAAGAGAATTATCGTAAATCTCCATCCATGCCTCAGAACTGATAGAGCAATTCAGAGGTGTCAGTTAAGAAATAGCATTGATTGGCTGGGTGCAGTGGCTCACGCCTGTAATCCCAACACTTTGGGAGGCCAAGGCAGGAGGATCACTTGAGGCCAGGAGTTAAATCAGCCAGAGCAACACAGCAAGACCCCATGTCTGCAAAAACTTTAAAAAAAAATTAGCCAGGTACGGTGGCATATGCTTGTAGTCCTAGCTACTCAGAAGGCTGAGGTGGGAGGATTGCTTGAGCACAGGAATTCAAGGCTGCAGTTAGCCATGTTCATGCCACTGCATTCTAGCCTGGTTGACAGAGCAAGACCCTGTCTAAAAAAAAAAAAAAAAAAAAAAAAAATTAAATAGTATTGATCTCTTGTGGGGAGAGGAAAAAAAAACATTTTATGTCTATCTTCATTCTCTGTTGGTTCATTAGGTTAAAAGGGCTGGCTCCTAGCTTGGAAATAATTATCTAAAGAAAGGTCACTTTTTTCTTCTGTCCCTGGGTCGGGGTCCCCAAGACTATTCCTAGTTTTAGTGATTCACTAGGATGATTTACAAGACTCAGAACATAGTCGTACTCACAGATATGATTTAGTAAAATGAAAGGAAACCAAGAAAATCAGCAAAAAGAAAGGCACATACTATGCGAAGTCCAAGGGGAACAAGTTTCCAAGGGTCCTGTCTCAGTGGAGTCACACAGGACATGCTTAATCCACCCCCAGCAACAAGTTGTGACAACATGTGAAATGTTGCCAACCAGGGAAGCTCATTAGAAACTCAACACCCAGGGCTGGGCACAGTGGCTCATGCCTGTAATCCCAGCACTTTAGGAGGCTGAGGCTGACAAATCACCTGAGGTCAGGAGTTCGAGACCAGCCTGGCCAACATGGTGAAACCCCATCTCTACCAAAAATACAAAAATCAGCCAAGCATGGTGGCGGGTGCCTGTAATTTCAGCTACTTGGGAGGCTGAGGCACGAGAATCACTTGAACTCAGGAGGTGGAGGTTGCAGTGAGCCAAGATGGCACCACTGCACTGCAGCCTAGGTGACAGAGTGAGACTCTGTCTCAAAAAAGAAAGAAAAAGAAAAAGAAAACCCTCAGCACTCAGGGTTTTTACTGGGGGCTGGTCACATGGCAGCCTCTGCCTGGGATGTACTAAATTTCTAGACTCCTAGAAGGAAATTAGGTGTTCAGCATGAACAATATTGTTTGCACAGTTTAGGAATAGTGAACCCCTCTTGTTATTCTAGAAACAACAGGAACCCTCCTGAAGTCCAAGTTCCCAGATGCCAGCCAAAGGCCCACCTTGTAAGCAGGCCTTCCAAAGGATAGCAGTCAGACATGCTATGTGAACTCCTTCATGTACAGTCCTTCTGACTTGTCTACCAAATTGACACTCCTCTGTTGTCCAAACTCTTGGCAATTAACAAGCTCCATTTTCCACAATATCTATTTTGAGAAGTTGAGGCCATGTAGCCCACATGGGGCTGCTCTTCCAATCTTCACCTGTCCTTTTCTGCTGGAGCAAAGGATCTGGCCAACACAATTCTATCAAAACTATCATGGGTGAATGCAAGCTGGTCGATAGAATGACTCTGTCAAATCAGTGAGTCAAGGGAAAATTATCATTTTTGGTGATGAGTTTTGAATAACTGGTAGTTTGGGTGTACAACAGATCAGTTTTCCAACCTACATATGCAGCTTGAAGCAGTTTGGTCTATTTCTCAAAATCCTTCCATTTTGGTCTACATTCTTTTGCTTTTAAAATTCTAATTAATTTTCAGTCAGTTATGCCTACTGTATAATGTTTGTGATAAAGAGAATTTGGAACAACGTGACTATCTAATAATAAGTGATAACTTGGAACTGTCACTAAATTAAGACAGCCTAACAAGCCAAACAGGAACAAGCGGCTTAAAAATGAAAAATTCTTAAACTTTAAAAAAAAAAAAAGGTTCCTTTAATTTTTTTGTACTGTTACTCGAGAAGTTGGCAGTCTTCAACCTGCTAGGGGGCCCTCACCGGAGCCCCACCATGCTGGAGCCAAACTTCCAACTTCTAGAACTGTGAAAAATAAATTTCTGCTGTTTATAAAGAACTTAGTCTATGGTACATTGTTATAGCAGCCCGAACTTATTAAAACAATGTACAAATACACATAGGTAGATGAGAGTTATATAATATATATTTTATATTAAAATATGCTATGTTTTATATATATATAAATGTGCTATATTTTATATGTTGCTCTGAAACTTGCTGTGTTTACTTAGTAGTATGTCTGGGACATCTTCATGGATCAATGCCATATCCTTTTTAATGGCTATATTTCTTACCATGTAATGGTCATTCCATAATTTATTGAATCACACTCTTATTGATGGACTGTTTTATGTTTTGCTATTACAGATCTTCCTATGAACATCTTTGTGCAGATGTGCACAAGTGTTAGGATTTTTGAAGGATAGAGTTCTGGAAGCAGAATTTTTAGGTCAAAGGGAATGTCCGTTTTTAAGTCTGAGAGTTTCTCCCCATTTTTCCTCTTATTTTGTTGAGTTTTTAATTTTTGTAAATGGAGGAAAGCCTTAATGGTTTTCCCAGATAATAATCCCACCAAGTTACACACACTAGGCAGCAATCTATGTAGCTCACTGTCTTCCCAAGGGTGTGGAGCTGGCCCAGTGGACTGGAAGCCACACTGCTGCTGTAGATTCCCAGGTGACCCTGGGCTTGGGACTACCATGGCACCTTGATGCCACCATGAGGACTGGCTCTCTGTCTCAACTTCTATGAACATTATCACCTGTGCTACTCCTCTCTGCCTGTCCAGGGACAGGTGCGCAGAGGAGAGCCAGATAGCAGAACCCCTTCTCTGAAGCACCAAATGCCAGGCTCCCAGGCCGTGCATTTGGATAGGAAGGTCCAGGAAAGATAGATGCTATCCAGAAAAACTTAAGCAATTCTCCAGAGCCTAAATGCTGAGCTCTACTCATAACATCAGGCCATGTATGGATGGTCATAATTCTATAACCTTGAGATTGTTTATCTCTATCATGTAGAAAAACATAAAGGAATTCTTAAAGCATGACTTTCCCTATGAGGTTCATCAGGAGCAATTGTACTACTTAGGCTGTAGAGTTAAGGTCTCCACCTATTTCCTCAAATTGTGGTCCACAGACCAGCAGCATTAGCCTTACTAGGGGGTTTGCTGGAAATACAGAATGCCAGACCCACTGAATCAGAATCTGCATGTCAACAGGTTCTCCAGGAGATCCGTATGCACTTTAACATCTGGGAAGCACTGCTTTAGATTTTTCACTTGGAACAGACACTGAATAGTTGTGTGAACTTGGATGAGTTAATCACTCTGTTGCTCATTTGCTGCATCTGCAAGACAGGATGATTACAAGAAGACAATGATGCAGCACATACAAAGAGCTTAGTACAGTGTCTGACAGTAATAAGCATGTAAATAGTTACTACATGTTATTTTTCTTAATTTTCATTCAGCTTCCACTGTGTAGAATGGGCTTTAATCATTTCCAGGCGTCGCATCTAGCCTGGCTGCTGGAGAAACAGTTCAGTTCATAATGATTTTAAAAATTTATAAAAAAGAAAAATCCTTTGACTTAAAGCTCAGGTAATCTCTGGAGCCATAATTTCTGAGAAAATTATTTGGAGCATTATCCAACATCTTTAAATAAAAGTGTTTTATGCAGATAGGAGTTCCAGGGCTTTGATGCAGTTGTGTATCTGTATTGAGGCTCATCACCCCTCTCACCCAGTGATTTTCTGATGAAGCCAAGGCTCTGATCAATTTCAGGAGCTGCTTCTTAAAGTGGAGACTTAAGACTGTATCATTTCTGTGACCCAGAAAGAAACAGCATTTAACTAGGTCACAAGAGAATTCAGTGACAGGTGAAGGGATCTTGGTGTATGAGAAAGCTAGCAGTTTGGATGCTTGTTGTAAATTGTAGGAAGTTGACTTTGAGAGGAATGGGATTTAAATGACCAAAAAGGACAGCAACTTGAAGGACAAAACTGAAATTCAGTGATAAGATTTACTGTGTACGTAATTCACCTAGCACAGAAAAGTCTTAGAATGGGCTCTAAACACAAAGGGACTTTTACATGTCTCAGAATATAATTAATTAAGAATTCAGGATACAAGGTAATTAGAGAAACCATAACCTGGAGGCATACTGCTGAATTATTCTGATCATTTTTAACAATGAGAAAATCTAATTTTCTGGTCATGTGCCATAGATTTTAAATTTAGATAATGTGAAGAGCAATGTTCATACAGTGCAGTCAGCAAATTAAATTATTTATTTTGATTTTGACTTTCCAGCAAAAATCAGGATCAAATGATTAAATCTAAGTCATGAAAATTATTGTGGAACTGAAAAAATACTTGAGAGAAAAATGTAGAAATTGCAATTGAATCTCATGTCATCCTTAACATAAAGCTGCCAGTGTTGCTCCCTTTGTAATAACTGTGCACATGTGTGCGTGTGTGTGTGTAAATCTATTTCACTATCTGATGTTATACACTGGGGCAACGGAAAATGAATGAACTATTTCTGTATATAATGGAGGTGATGTTGAGTTACTGATGAATTACGCCAGCTTCTCCAGACAGGAAGAGGTTGTACATTTTTTTATCTCCAATTAGTGCTCATTGAGTTAAAAATTAAAAACTAAATTCACTTTTTGATGAACCCAATATTCACAGATGTGCTCCAATCTACTGTAATTACTGAATTACCCATTTTTACATTATTTCAGGCATTGCTTATAGAAATATTTCCAAGTATCTTTGTGATGCTTTGTATTAATTAGTTGTCTAGCATGCATTTTCAAGACTGCTAGAATGATTTTACAATCATCTAACCTCATTTTGTATCTGTAAATTCCTATTTTAATTGCACTATCAAGATTTCCCAGTGCCCCACTGAGAGCTTTGGTTTCAGAGAGACCTAGATTTGACTCTCCCTGCTGTGGGTTACATTGTATTCTCCAAAAAAGACATGTTGAGGTCCCAGCCCCCAGTGTCAGTGGATGTGATCTTATTTGGAAAGAGGGTATTTGCAAATGTATTATAGTTAAAAATGAGATCATATTATATTAAGGAGTTCCCAATCCAAAATGACCATTATCATTATAAGAAGAAGGAAGGAGACATAAACACACAGATGGAGATGGGGGCAATGCCATGTGAAGATGGAGACAGAGATCGAACAGATGTGTCTGCAGGACAAGGAATACCAAAGACTCCAGACTCTAGGAGAGAAGCACAGAACAGTTTCTCCCTCAGACCCTCCAGAAGGAACCAACCGTGCTGACATCTTGATTTTGGAATTCTAGCCTCCAGAACTGTGAAAGAATCAATTTACATTGTTTTAAAACCACCCAGTTTGTGGTATTTTGTAATGGCAGCTCTAGAAAATGGATACACCTTCTGGCCAGGTCTGAGACCTTGCAAGAGTTTTTTTTTTTTTTTTTTTTTGAGACAGAGTCTCGCTCTGTCACCCAGGCTGGAGTGCAGTGGCGCTATCTCAGCTCACTGCAAGCTCTGCCTCCCGGGTTCATGCCATTCTCCTGCCTCAGCCTCCTGAGTACCTGGGACTACAGGTGCCCGCCACCATGCCCGGCTAATTTTTTTTTGTATTTTTAGTAGAGACAGGGTTTCACCATGTTAGCCAGGGTGGTCTCGATCTCCTGACCTCGTGATCCACCCGCCTTGGCCTCCCAAATTGCTGGGATTGCAGGCATGAACCACCACGCCCGGCCGCAAGAGTATTTTTAACTTCTCTGGATTTCTGATTTCTTTTTTTTTCTTTCTCTTTTTTTCATTGTTATTGTTGAATTTCTCTTCAGAATACTGAGTTTGACAACCAAAACTATATCTACCTTACAGAATCAGAATGGTGGTTAAATTAGATGAGGTTTATATGAGTGCTTAGCACTGTGCCTGGCACATGCTGTGCTGTGATTCTAGTTTCTCCTCAGTTCAAGAAGCCTGGAGATAAGAAATACAGCCCAATAGTGAGCCAGCTCGGTCAGTCCATTCTGCATCGCTATAAAGGAATACCTGACACTGGGTAATTCGTAAAGAAAAGAGGTTTATTAAGACTCATGGTTCTGCAGGCTATAAAGGAAGCAGGGCACCAGCATCTGCTCCTGATGAGGGCCTCAGGAATCCTACAATCATGGCAAAAGGTAGAGGAGAGTCAATGAGTCACATGGTGAGAGAAGAAGCAAGAGAGAGACGCAGAGGAGCCAGGCTCCTTTAAACAACCAGCTCTCTTGTAAACTAACAGAGTGAGAACTCATTATTATTCCTCACAAGGAATATATTCTATTTTTTATTGTGTATATTTTAAATAATTTTCTTGAGCTTACAAAGTCATCATAACCAAGTTTTAATGATTTGGCTTCTTTATATTTGAAAGCCATGGATAAGTTTATGGAAGTTGAAGCTTTCAAGATGGAGAGCTGAGGGGAAGTGGTGGTAAGGAGAATCCTTAACCTTCTAAAACTGGCATCAAGGAGGACTTCTGTCCCTTTACCTGGGACATCCCTGGATCATTGGCCTGTCCACTGGGGTAGGGGCTTGTGCTCAAGAATGAGAGCCTTTGGAGATGTGGATGCTGCCAAGGGGCCATGGGAGACCTTCAGGCCAGGGCCTAGCACCTTACTGGTCACAAGGAATGGGAACTTCCCAAAACTTCATACTTTGTTCAGAGGCAACTTCCTCGAATTTCTATGAGGGCTTTCTTGAAGCCGCTTTGGTAGGGCCAACACCTTCTCGGGGTTCATGTTTGTTTGGGGTGGCTGAAGGAGATCATGGAGCTCTAGCCCCTCCCCCAACCAAGTCACCCGTTGGCGTGCCCACTAATAACATGCTTAGTCTCAGGGGACACTCAGAAGAACCACTCCTCTCCTCTCCCTGATGTGTCACTACACAACTAAACCCCAAGCTTCTTATATTAGTCAGGGTTCTCCAAAGAAACAGAACCAATGTATATATACATATATATATGTAGAGAGAGGGAGAGAGAGAGAGACGGAGAGAGAGAGAGACAGAGAGAGACAGAGAGAGATTTAGTCTAAGGAATTTGCACAAGTGATTGTGGGGAAGTTTGGTGAGTCCAAAATCCAGTGGGGTAGGCCCACAGGCTGGAGACTCCAGCAAGAGTTGTGATGCAGTCTGTCGGCAGAATTCCTTCTTGCTCAGGGGAGCTCCTCAGTCTTTGTCTTACTAAGGCCTTCATTTGACTGGATGAGACCCACCCATATTATGAAGGATAATTTGCTTTACTCAAAGCCCACCAATTTAAATGTGAGCCTCATCTAAAAACATTTTCACAGAATAATGTTTCACCAAATATCTGCCAAGCTGGTACAAAAAGTTAATCATCACACTCCTCAAAAGCAGGAAACCCCACTCTCCTAGTAGCCTGAGGCTGGGGGGATGATCCATATTCTTTCTATACAGTTGACCCTCGAACAAGGTCGAGTTTAGGGACACACATTTCCTCAAAGTCAAAAATTCACACATGACTTCTGACTCTCCCCAAAATTAATTACTAATAGCCTATTGTTGACCACAAGCCTTACCAATAGCATAAACAGTCTATTAACACATATTTTGTGTACATATATAAAATATATATATACACACATATATATAAATTATAGTGTATTCTTACAATAAACTAGTGAAAAATGTTATTAAGAAAATTATAAGGAAGAGAAAATATACTTACTATTTATTAAGTAGAAGTGGGTCATTATAAAGGTCTTCATCCTCGTTGCCTTCACATTGAGTAGGCTGAGGAGGAAAAGGAAGAGGAGGAGGGGTTGGTCTTGCTGTCTCATGGGTGGAGAGGTGAAAGAAGTAGAGGAGGTGGAAGGGGAGGCAGGTACATTTGGTGTAACTTTTATTGATTAAAATCCACTAAAGATGAACCCAAGCACTTCAAACCCATATTGTTCAAGAGTCAAATGTATTTTTATTTAACTATAAAAGTAATCTATACAAATTTTAAATCAGAAGACAAATAAAGAAGAAAACAAAAGTCTTTGCTATCCCCAACTTACTCCCAAGAGGCACCCCAGATACTGCTTTGATGCATATCCTTCCTGTCATTTTTCTTCTGTATGTGTGAAATTTGTTTTACAAATATGGGATCCAACTGTACACATTATTCTGAAACTTGCCTTTTTAACCTGGTGGGAGTCTCTGGACATCATTCCATTCTTATCACATTCTTTTAGCAGCTGCATAATATCCCACCAGATGAATGCACCCTAATTTATTTAATAGCCCCCACTTATTTATATACATTTTTCATTATTTTCAGTTTGGGACAATCACAAACAATACTGCAATGAATATCATTCAACATATTTTAGCAATCCTATTCCAGTATGTTGTACAATGAAGATCTAATAATAAACTTGTTATATCAATGAGTATAACTATTTTAAATGTTGCTAGATATTGTCAAGTTAATAGGTGCTTAAGAAATGCGTGTTGAATTGATTTGAAAAGACACATAGTTCTAAAGCCACGATAGAAGAGGGGGAAAGGATAGTGACATGGAAAGGGAAGGAAAGAATCCAGAAAGTTGAGAATATTTCGATCCCAATTTGCATCTTGCTCTGCTGATGCTATAGACAGTACATTGTACCTTTCAGGCCTCTGATGGTTGTGCAAAATTACTCCAATTAGGGAAGCTTCATAAAGGCAGAGCTCCATTTTGTCATTAATGTAACTCAATCTCCTAGAACAGAACCTAATACAAAGATGTTAGATAAATATTTGTTAAATAAATAAATGCATGAAAACCAGGAACCTTGGAGGTTAACTTAAAGAGGATATGCAAACTATCTTGCATGTCATATGCACTGAGTGCATCTTCTAATTATAAGGGTATCATGGTACCTACCCTTATACTAGCAGATGCTGAATTGCACCATCAGTATTAGAACAGTGAGTAAATCCCAGCTTGCTGCCTGCAAAGCACGTACCTTCTTCCCACTGCCACATTTGTAGTGCCCTTGGCTAAGAGACTGCATCTGGAAGTAGGATTCAGGCTCCAGGCATAGGCTGAAATTCACACAAGGACAGGGTCAAATAACTGACAGCAGCACAGTTTGGCATAAGCAAGACAAGGGTTCCTGCAAGATTTAAGCCTGGCCTAGGGCTACATTTTTCACCGAGCCTCTGGTTGCTTGCTGTGTGGGGCATGAGGGGAGGGAATATGCATGTTTTCTTCTGCAGAATTTCCTCTTGCAATGTACAGACCGGTTTTCATCATGGCACTGAAAAAGGTGGCAAGAACATGGTGTAGGTTCTGCCACACACCCTGTAACTGTGGCAATTATACCATTTTGGATAATTGCCTTGTAATTGCTGCTGTGAGTTAAAATCTAATGTTATCCTCCAATTGTTCTGATGTCTTTTCATGAATAATGCAATCACCCCGTGAGCCCTCTGCCAGTTTCTCGTTTAGATTGGCCCTGTGTTTGAGTTATGCACCATTATCCTACTCACCATTGTCTCACAAAACAAATGCGGCAGAGACAATACAGGAAATAATTGGGACTTGGCTGATTATGGAAAATGGGAATGTGAGTGAGTAAGATGTGAAGTTTTTCTGTGGAAATATTTCCAAACCCCAGTTGACCCTACAGGTATACAGGATGGAGAGGGGCAGGTTTTTCTTCATGGGTCTTAGTCTGCTGCTGTCTATGTATGCTGGACACACTTGTTCTGGCTGATGCAGTGGGACTTTTCTTAGAACAGAAGGAAAACATATTTTTCCATAGGGCGATTTTCTCAGTTATACTGTTGTCATCATCAAATGTAAACAGCTCTGTAAACATAAGCTGGTGTGTCTCCCTGCAAGGCCAAAATACCAATTGTTCAATGAATGGGCAATGGCAGCTGGGATTTCTGTTTCCAGTGTCTGGAACTTGGTTTAATATGACAAAAAGAAGTCAACTGCGTTCAGAAGAATGGCAATAGAGTCATTTTAAAATTTCAATTTAGCTTCTACCCAGAAAAGGGACAACCTCAGGTGGTAGAGTATTGCTTAGTTATTTCTATGCCAGTGAAACTGATGCCATCATTACTGGGCCTTCTGAGGCCTAATGAAAGTGGACAGAGGTACCCCGGCAGCCAATGGAGCTTTCAGGTCAGGTCTAGTCTTGATGTTCTTTTTGCATAAGGGCCCAAGTTAAGTTTCTGAGAAAGCTCAAAGCCTGCACTTCTCATTTAAAGGAAAGGCACCCACCTGAGCACCCTATGACTCCTCTCTGCCCTCAGCACTAAGCCTAGATGCCATAGCTTGGCATCAAGGGCCTTCAAGAACTTGGCCGGGCACAGTAGCTCACACCTGTAATCCCCTTTGGGAGGCCGAGGTGGGAGAATCACGAGGTCAAGAATTTGAGACCAGCCTGGACCGAGAGACAGAGAAACCCTGTCTCTACCAAAAAAAATACAAAAATTAGCTGGGCACAGTTGCGGGCACCTGTAATCCCAGCTACTCGGGAGGCTAAGGCAGGAGAATCGCTTGAACCTGGGAGGTGGAGGTTGCAGTGAGCCGAGATCATGCCACTGCACTCCAGCCCTGGAGACAAAGTGAGACTTTGTTTCAAAGAACAAACAAACAAGGAACTTGGCCTTCTGTTCATGTTACCAACCTGCAGTCAGAGCCAGCCATACTGGCCTCCCTGCTGAGTCCTGTATGGGCCATTCTACATGTTTTTTTAGAGGTTGACTTTTTTACCTCTAGAATCAGTTTTCTCTGATTCCTCGAGCTTCACTGTGGCCCCTGTTATGTTCTTCCATAGCCTCCTGAAGTTAGCCCTATCACGGCATTTCTAACATCACATTATAATTTTCAGAATACTTATTTGTCTTCTTTGCCAGACAGTGAGACCTAGGTGGGCAAGACAGTGTTCAACGCAGCTCAACCACAGTTTTCATCAATGAAATCTGGTAAAAGAGGAAGTGAATGAATGAATGGATAGGTGACACCCCATCCTCCTTGCTTTAGTTGGGTGGAGTAAGCCGGGTGCCCGCTGTGAGTCTGAAGGATCAGGAGCCATAAGTGCTAGCCTGGGGTGCCAAGTGGCTGGTGCTGGTGAGGTCTGTGTGTCTTCCCAGGGCAAGGTCCCTTCCCACAGGCATAGACCACCCCAGGGAGTCAGGTGTGAGCTGCACAGCCTCCCAAACTGGCTTGAGGAGATGGGTTTAGAGTCAGCCAGAAAGAAACTTTGTTCGAGCTCTGGAGTCTGACAGGGACAAACAAAAATCTGATTGCCAGAGCATTTTCTCTTGGGTCTGAGATAATTCAGGTAAGCTCTGCAGCCAGGGGCTGCCGGGAAGAGAGGAAACTATAGGGCGCAGCAGGCTGTCACCAGAGAAGGTGATGGGAGGAGAGCCAGGGAGCTCCCCCACTGCTGACCCATGACTGGCAGGAAAGCTCATGCCAGGAAAGTAAATCTGGGCTTCTGGGAAGTGGGCTGGCTATGTTGGGGGCAGCATGACCTCTCAGAGAAGAGTGCATCCAAGGACTTCGAATGCAGTGTCCCCATGAGATATGTGGTCTGCAAGATAGTTTTATTCTAGACCATAGGGGTGGTTGTTTAACATTTGAAGCACCATAATTGGGAACACACACTCTAGAGGTGGTTATGTAGCATGTGACAGAGTAATCAGAAGCCCCCACTCCAGGAGCTTTATTACCGCAAGCCTCAGACAAGCTCAACCTTATTTATCTCCAGTCAGCACCAGATGGTTTGTTGTTTGTCATATTGGATATTAGAAAAGATTTTGTGTTGGTGAAATGAGCGGAGTTCAAGACCTGTAGATTAACTAGAACTATTGTACAGGTGTCTCTGTGGATAAACAGGTGAGCCCAGTAGCCCTGACCCTTTGAACTGGCAGCCAAGACCTAAGGACTCCATCCTGCTGAGAGCCATTTCCAGAGGATTGTCCCCACCCGAAGGCCAGCTGAAGCCTGCTGCCAGGATCCGGTCACACCTGCATGCAAAATGCTCATCAGAGACTGAAAGGGTAGGATGCCGAGACTTCAAACCACACAACAGACATGTGATTGTTTTGTACCTGCTAATTCAGTCTGAGACGTGTTTCATTGTGCTACCTGGTGGCAGGGGTGGGGTGAGGAGGATCTAGCAAGCGATGGCCTCCAATATCTGTCAGAAAAGAACCTAATAATTGTAACTGGCCAATATGGCTTGTATCCATTTCCCACATTACAAAGAGGCCCTGGACCAGCAGGCACTGGAGTTGTGGCCTAAGATGACTACAAAGTTTTTTCTCAGATAAAAAGTCAGAACTCTTACGTCCTAGTGTACATTGCTGTAGCTACAGTTTGGTACAAAACTTTGGCCAGTTCTGCGGCGCTATGCTTGCAGTGCTGCACAGAAGTGTTCTTGGAGTTTCTAATGAGATGACATTCCCCACTTACCAGTATTTTCTGTTATGTTCATTCTACTAGGTGTTTTGAGGCTCCCCCTTCTTCCTGAGCAGTGAGAAATGACAGAGTAGAGAATATGACACTTGGGCTAGGTATAGTGTCTCATGCTTGTAATCCCAGCACTTTGGGAGGCTGAGGCGGGAGAATCCCTTGAATCCAGGAGTTCAAGACCAGCCCCTGGGCAACAAAATGAGACCCCCTATCGATAAATAAAAAAGTAATTAAATTAAAATAATGTTAAAAATAATATGGCACTTGGAGGATTAACCCTGATAGTTTTAGTTTTCTTTTTAAATTAAATTGTTATGATATCCTTAAGAAACAAGCACTAAAACCATGATTATTCTTGAGAACTAAGAGTAAATTGACATTCAGTCATTCACTTGCTTTAGCACATATATAGTGACATTCATTCCCTACTGAGCAAATGTTCATTGAGTACATATTAGAGACCCAGACACTGATAGGTTATATGTTTAGCTCCCCAGTCATTTTTAGCAAAGCTGTAGTTGTGATTTGTAGAAGACAAAATAAAGTGTTCTGGACAAAAAAGACTGTATTGAACAGGCCCGGGAAGGAAGTGAGGAATACAACAGGTGAGCATTCTGCATTCTGTCCCTGCACAGCTCCTGCACCTGCCTGGCTCTCCCGTGCAGGCTGAATGGCCTTTGATGACATTGACAGGCTTGAGGTGTTCCAAAGCTTGGTCCAGCTCCCATTAGGCACTGATTCATGCTGATAACAGCTGGAATTTTGACAGGCTTCCCAGCACTGAAGACAGGTGAGCTTCTTAATGCCTGGCCTAGTGACAGCTCTGATATGTCATCCTGCTATTATTTCCAGGTTTGTGCTGGGTCTCAGGTTTCCCAAGAGATTTGCACTTGAGAGGGAAGCAACATGACAGACAGGAACAGGTAAGGTTATAGTTATTGATCAGTGAGAGAAATAGCCCACTGCACTCCTAGTCTAACCCTGGGACACCAGAATCTCAGGAATGGGCAGGAAATGATGGCATTCCCAATCTGACCCAGAAAGGACTCCAACAGTCCTCCTGGGAATAAAACCATTTTCATAGTCAGCATTCTCAATGTTTGAAGCTTAATTGTTTTCCCAATCATAAAACAGATCACAATCATGCAGTTGATTAATTTCCCTTTCCAGGTGGAACAGAATCTATGTGCACATCCTAGCACCTCCTAGCAGATGCTTAGGAACAAAAGATACTCTTTCCATGTAGAATTGCTCCCCTGATTATGTCATCCCTTTATTCCAGACCATTTCTAACCACCCCAGCATCTCTAATAACAGGCAATGCATCCCCACATCTCATCGGGCAAACTCCATTCTTCTAATTCCTCAGGCCAAAGACCTGGATGTCACTCTGGACTTCCCTTCCTCATACCCCACATCCAATCTTTAGAGATTTCTGTCAGCTCCACCTAAAAAATATATTCAGAACCACCTCTCACCATTTAACTCCATGACTACTCCTCTGGTCCAAGTCATCATCTTGCTTGGATTATTGTTGTAGACTCCATTTGTCTCCATAATTTCCATTCTTCATGGTCTGCTCCCCATCTCTACTATTTTCTTTGCTTATTTTCTTCATGCACTATCACCTGATATTTGCCTTCTGTCTCCACCCACTCAATAAGTACATGGGATCAGAACAGCATCTGGTGCATGGTAAGTGCCAATATTTGATGGACGAATGGGTTAAGAACACATTGCTGGCAGACCCTGGGTCCTGTCTCCCAGGATATGCTGAATGAGCACATAATTTAGCTTAGTAAGCTCCATGAAAAGTTATCCTGTTGCACCCATTAATTGACAACAACAAGATCAAAGATTGTAAGAACTGCAACTGTTCATTCCTTACCCTCTAGGCATATTAACCTAACTTAAATTTAACATGTTGGGCACCAGCTTCTGAGCCCAAGTTCTAAATGAGCTAGTTAGAGTCTCCACCTCACTGCATTAGCTGAATAACCTTCAGCACTGAATGATGGTTATACCAAAAATCATACAATAGAGTTGGACCAATCTATTGGCACTAAGATCCTACCCCAGTGTTGTTATGAGTATGCTTTTCACACCTCAAAACCATCCACCTACTTTATAGGGAGGAGACACCACAGAGGGAACGAAATGGGAGAGAGGTTGGAATGATACCCTGGGTATGAGAATAAGGTAGACAACCCTGAATTGTTTTATGACCCTGGGAAGCCTATGGGCTTTAAATAATAATTATCCTGCCTAGAAGTTCTCCATCTACCCATGCTTTCTTCTTTGAAAGAAACCAGGGCAGCTAGTCAAGTTTTATCCACTTTATTTAGGAAATACATACATTCATTGAATGTTTAGTTATTGGGGGGGAAGGAGGAGCTGAGGACACTGCAGAGAGGAGGGTGGGCTTCATTTCTTGCTGGCTTTTGCTGCAAACTTGGTGACCTTGCCAGCAGTGGAGGACTTCTTGGGGATTCAATTAAGGATCAATTCCAGAATCCCTAACAGAGTAGTCTACCCTCAGCCCCACTCAGGCCTGGGTCACCTCCCATCTTGCACACATCTTGTAGGGGCAGCCTCCTACCACCGCTCCTGCATTGCCTCTTCCCACTTCGGTGCCTAGCTCAGAGCCAGGGACATGAAAGGTTAAACTGAAAAGTAAAACTGATTTGCCCAGGCTCACATCTCCTGGACTAATTCCTTGGCTATATCGGGTACTTCCAAGCAGTCCTGACCCTGACCTTTCTCCTGCATTGGCCATCCCCTGACCACTGGGAGCTTAGACAGCCCCTGTTCATCCAATCAACTTCTATCCCCCCACCTCTGACCCATTTCTAGTACAAGAGATCCTGACCCTCTGTAGTCTGCAGCTTGCTCCTTTAAGTCCTACTTCTAAAAAAGAAGCAGCAGAACTGATCCAGAGATCAACAAGAACCACAACAACTGTCAACAGAGTGAACTCTTTGCCTCCTGCTTTTATGAGCCCAGCCCTACCTGCACTGCCCCTCCTTCTGGTTCTCACCAAATCTGAAATGAGAACCTGTTCAGCTTAAAAAATGCCACTCCTTACCCTTAGGCCCAATGTCAGAGACTTCTTCCTTGACTGGGTGATTGGATAAAGGGAGGGTGGGTGAGGCTGAATATACTTTTTTTGCCCAAATCTTGCAGAATTAAGCAGAACCCCCTTTTTTTTTTTTTTTTTTTTTTTTTTTTACTTTTTTGATACAGTGTTTCACTCTGTCACCCAGAATGGAGTGCAGTCATGTGATCTTGGCACACTGCAACCTCTGCTTCCCAGGCTCAAGTGATTCTCCCACTTCAGCCCCCTCAGGTGCACACTACTGTGCCTGGCTAATTTTTCTTTTCTCTATTTTTAATTTTTTGTAGAGATGGGTTAAATCATATTGCCCAGGCTGGCCTTCTTTTCCTAAGTTCAAGTGATCCTCCTGCTTCAGGCTCCCAAAGTGCTGAGATTACAGGCGTGAGCAACTGTGCCCAGCCCACTGTAATTTTATGGGGACCAAACTTCTGGACATGTGGAGACGGGAAGGAAAAGGATCTGAAAATAAGATAAAAAACATAAATTAATTATTCAGTAAGAGGGAATAGAAGAAGACAGGCCTGGAATAATCTAGTCTCACCACCTGGCTGTCTTGACCAGCAGTTATTCTAGTAAACCTACTGCCATGAGCAAAGAGAAGGCCTTTATCAATATCATCATCATTGGCCATGTGGACTCTGGCAAGTCCACCACCACTGGGCCTCTCACAAATGTGAGGGCATTGACAAGAGAATCATTGAGAAGTTTGAAAAGGAGCCGGCAGAGGTAAGGCTCCCTCTGTGTCTGGAAGTGTGTGGAGGGGAAGCCTCTTTCTTGTGGGTAGTTCTAGCTACAGAGTACAGAAAACCATGCACTCTGCAAGCCTAAAATGCTGCTGTTTGAGGTAGATTTATCTGCTGTCCATCAGTGCATTTATTCTCCCACCCCTTCCCAGGTGGGCGAGGGCTCCTTCAAGTATGCCTGGGTGTTGGACAAGCTGAGGGCAGAAAGAGAACGCAGGATCACCATTGATATCTCCCTGTGGAAGTTCAAGACTAGCACATACTACAGCATTATCATCGATGCTCCAGGCCACAGAGACTTCATCATGACCATGATCAGGGGCACTTCCCAGGTAAAGCAGTCCATGCCTTCAGAAACATTCCTATAGAGGGGGAAACTCAAGATTTATTTCTGAAGCTTGGAGAAGGAAGGTATCATAAGGCTTGTAAGCCTTTTCCTCACCTATGGCCATCATCCATCAATCCTGAAAGAATTAGGGAGGACAGGACTGAAAGTCCCATCACTCTCATGAAGCTCAGATCCTGTTGTCCTGGGGGGGCCTAGAGGGACCAGGTTTTCTTACACTCAGACTAGTAGATCAGTTGGTCCAGAAAGAAGGGACTAAAAGCTGATTTAGATGAGATTAAATGAGAGGAACTGGGAAGCAGGACCCCCATGCACCGCATCTAGGGTGGTCCATGAATCCCATTTGGCCATCTGAGTTCTGGAGGGCATTCCCCAGCTTTACAATGGGATTCGGAACCTCCCAAAGTCAGTCCGATGCCCCCTCCCGCAACCCGGTGTGTTTGTGTATCCCCGCGGTGCAGGCCGACTGCGCGGTGCTCTTCGTGGCAGGCGGCTGGGCGGAGGCCGGCATCTTCAAGAACCCGCAGACCCACGAGCTCGCGCTGCTGGCCAACTGGCGGGACGTCACGCAGCTCATCGTGATCTTCAACGAAATTGACTCCACCGAGCCCGCCTACAGCGGCTCGCGCCTCCAGGTGATCACCAAGGAAGTAAGCGCCTGCATCAAGAAGATCGGCTACAACTGGCTGCCTGGCCTTCAGTCCATCTCGAGCTGGCACGGCGACAGCATGCTGGAGCCCAGCACTGACGCGAGTGTGGCGCGGGTCGGCAGGGACAGCCGGGGTGGAGGCGAGCGGACCACACCCCGGACTCACCTCCCCTCGACATCCCGAAGATGCCCTGGTTCAAGTGCTGGAAGGTAGAGTGGAAGGAGGGGAACGCCATGGGGGTGACTCTGCTGGAAGCTTTGAACTCCATCCTCCCAACAACGCGCAGGGTCGACAATCCCCTGAGGCTGCCCCTGCAAGATGTGTACAAGATGGGAGGTGACCCAGGCCTGAGTGGAGCTGAGGGTAGACTACTCTGTTAGGGATTCTGGAGTTGATCCTTAATTGAATCCCCGAGGGAGTCCACAGGTGTATGATTGCCAGGGTTCAAATCCTGACTCCACCTCTTCCCTGAGCAAGGATAAAGTGGAAAAGCACCTAGCATTTCCAAGCTATCCACTACACAGTTTTAAACAGTCAGAGATCCATCTAGTGCTTTCTACCAATTCCACAGGTGGTCCTTTGTCCTTGAACTCAAAAGCCAAGGGGCCTCCCAGGAAGCCAGTTCTCACTGGGTGTGTCTGGGACTGACTTCCCTTCCTGGGTTGAACAGGCATTGGCAGTGTGCCAGTGGGCCGTGTGGAGGGTGGCTTTTTCAAATTCGGGATAGTGGTCACATTTGCCCCCAGCAATGTCACCACTAAGGTTAAATCTGTGGAGATGCACCATGAGGTCCTGGCGGAAGCCCTGTGGTTAACAATGTAGGATTCCATGTGAAGAATGCAACCACTGCTTGGCTCTGCCCTGGGAACTGTGGATGCAAATATGAGTGACACAGCGCCTGTCTTTGAGGGGGCTCCCACTCTGGTAGGGGAAACAGATGACTACAAAGGAGCTATTTCCGTGTAATGAACGAGGGCTGCAAAGGGGGCACACTGGGGAGATTCCCATGTGTATGGGGAGGTGAGGACACCTTCAGAGAGGAGAAGCTGTATCTGGTCTTCAAGATGAGACAGCACCTCAGGGCCCACATGGGAGGAGGTGCTTGCCAGGCAGAAGAATCGGAGGTGGAGTCCTGTGCTCTTTTTGCCTGGAGGGCAGGAAATGGTGGGAGAAAGTATTGGCTAAAGAGGTGAGGGGAAAAGGGAGGATCATAATGCATGAACTCCTCAGGTTTAATTTTCCTACACTGTAAATCTAATTATATAATCCCTTTGCTTAAATTTTCTGATTACTCTTTTTATTTATTTATTCATTTATTTGGAGATAGGGTCTCGCTTTGTTGCCAAAATGCAGTGGCATGATCATAGCTCACTGTAGCCTTGGCCTCCCAAATCGCTAGGATTATAGGCATGAGCCACCTCTCCAGGCCTCTTGATTACTAGTACTGCCCACAGGGGTAAATTGTAATCTCTTGGCTGTATGGTAAGGAGCTCAGTGGCAACTGAGACTGGAGGCAGGGATCCCTTTAGGGGCCCATGCAGGAGTCCTGGAGGGAGGTGATGGAGCCTGAGCCAGGCAGAACAGTTGAGTGCATTGGACATATTTAGAAAGGGCGATGGGAAGAGAGGGAGGCAAGGCCACGGTGCTAACTAGAGCACATAGCCATGAGGATGGGGAACACTCCTCTGTCAAGATATTCTCCCTTCTCCCAAAGCCAGGCTTGAGCCCCTCCCTGCAGCTCCCAGAAGACTTCGTTGTTCAAATCTAGGTTCCTTCCTTATTCTGCAGCCTATCTGCATGGTAGAAATTAGCTGGTCACTGTCCTCTCTGGGACTAAAATTCCCCAGTTTTACCATGACATTATACAGTAATCCCCATTTATCTGAGATTTTGTTTTCTCTGATTTCAGTTACCTGCAGCATAATACAATAGGATATTTTGAAAGAGACAGAGAGAACATATTTATATAACTTTTATTATAGCATATTGTTTAAATTGTTCTATTTTGTTAATTGTTGTTATTAATATTACTGTACCTAATTTATAAATTAAACTCTATCATAGGTACATATGTAGAGAACAATACAGTACATATAATGCATAGGGTTGGTAACTGTGCCATCCAAGGTTTCAGACATCCACTGGAGGTCTTGGACATATCCCCCACGTATAAGGGGGAACTACTGGAATACCATGCAGAGTTTCAGCCCCTGAAACAGCAGAAAGGCAAATTAAATACAGTATATAAGACAAGTTCACTTTCAAGTCAGATAGACCTAGGTCTAAATCTTGCTTTCTCTACTTACTAACTGTGTGAACTTAGTAACTCTGAACTTCCTCTGCAAACTAGGAATGAAACTGACTTCCTGCTTAGCATAAGAATTAGATGAGGTCATGCAGGCACAGGGCTTAGCACATGGTAATGATCAATAACTGGTATCTACTATTGTAGATACTACTATTTTCTCTACTGTCTTGTATTGCTGGATTGCACTCACTGGGACGTAAAGTACTCACACATAGACAAAATGATTTGCTCAAGGTTATAGAATAAGTTAATGAAGAAATAATATGATACCTCTCAGTACATAGGTTTCCAGCCTTCTGAGCCAGGCTGTCTCCTCATTAAGAATTATTATTATACTTATTCTATTTAAGTTATAGTATGTAGTATCTCTGTGGTGTTGGCTGACTCAGAACTGAAGGAATAATCAGAATTAGAGGTTTCCTGACATTGAAATAAGCTAAAGGGTAACTGTTCCCGATAGAATGACATTCTCTGTCTAGTGCAATTGGCTGTTGCTAGGGAAATATCCCCATTATTTACAAATTTGAAGGGTCAATTCTTTATCATTTTATTAGAAATAATATTCACAATTCATAAATGTAAAGTCATCAGAGTTTCTGGAATGGGATGGTTAAGAGTTAGAAATGAATCTATAGTGACTGTAATGCAGGCTTCAGATGGTTACGATGAAATAAAATCATTTGGAATGAAAAGCACAATGCACTGAGGAGTCACCGAGATAAAACAAGTTACATGATTAAGATGTGCTCATTGGGAAACTGCATAAATACAAGAAAAGGTCATTTTCCAGTGAAAACCAAGGAGGGAGGGTTAATTCCTAAATGACTAGATGATGTAGCCACTATTGGCATAGGGACTAAACACACCTATTAATTAATTTATCGATCTGGAGAACTACTAACCAAAGCCCTTTGTCAGTTATAGTTAGTGAGCAGCAGTGTAGCTACTGGATTCCTCGCATTATCCAAGTTTCTAGACACAGAGAACCCATTGCAGACATAGATTGAGTCTGCATAATAGCACCAGTGTATTTTAGAAATAGCAAAACATAACAAAGTGAAGATGGTGATGGGGAATTTTAAAGGTGAAGTTTTAACACAATATTAAGAAGAGCCACAGCCCTTTGTTAGGACAAGCACAAAAATTTGTTTTTGTTAAGCTATGCAAATAGAACTAATTTACACAAAGTGATGAAATTACTGCATGGTACACATGACTTTTGTGTCCTTGGTAGGGATAAAATCTTTCCATTTGGGGAAAGTTTGGATTCTGGTTGTCTCCTGGGAGGGAAGTGATGGAGGTGGATATGTGGAGGGCCTTTTCTCTGATTCCTCTACTAACCAGGTGTCACCTATCCAATTTGGAAAATAGAATGTTTACAGTTAAAGAATTATTTGACTTAGTTTGCTCCAGTTTCAAGTGTGGGAACATGCAGGGACAGGCAATTTTCCCAGAATCTGCTGCCTGAATAAGGAGATACTCAGTTTGCAGACCTGCAGAAATAAGAAATCAAGTCCTAAGTAGGAAGGAGATGTTTCCTTGCAACAAATACTTATGAAGCATCTTTCATGTGGCAGTCTTGGAGCACAAAAACAGACCATAATATCTGCCCTCCCTGAGTAAATAGCCTATGGGGGAAAATAAGGGCAGATTCACCCGCACCGCACCTCAGAAGCTAGTCATAGCATTGGAGGAGACAAAGGACTTAATAATTTGGTGATTTTATAGTAATGATTTTCTGCTCAAATAACTCTTGCTTGGGGAATGGAGGCAGAGAGAGCCTTTTCGTTTATGTTCCACAGCTTGACAACCTTCAGGAGCCATGGCAGTGTGGGGAGTTCTGGTAAAGCCCTTTTAGAATGGAAAGCTTTTCTTCTGAGCCATCCAAGTATCATTCATCAGCAAATATTTCCTGAGCACTTTCTCTGTGTTACTGAATCTCCACCCCAATGCTATAGACGGGCGTTTTCCCCTGAGCTCCATTTTGCAGATGGGTTGGAGAAGTAAAATGTAGGCAATGGAGGTGGAATTTTAATTTTAAATTTTAAAGCAAGAAATTTAACAAGATGTGTTTTTTTCTAAACCCCTTCTAAAGACAACATTCTTACTCCAGCCTAGACATGCTGCCTCTTTAGAAGTCCCCTAGGCATCATTCTAGTAAAGCATCTTCATCTTAGATGTGGAAACTGAGACCCAGGCAAGTCAGATTATGTCTGATTTGAGTCCAAAAATATTTATATGCCAAGAACAATGCCAAAAGAATCCCTGCCAAGCCAGCTGGGTTGCACACTCACACCCACATACAGTAGGCTATTATAACCCAGAGGTCTGCACACACGTGGTGAGAGCACAGGCCCACAACAGATCCTAAAGATTGATTTGACCAAGTGCCCTCTACTAAGCAGTCATCCAATGAAGGAAGCCCCCAGTAATATTTACATAATCATTTTTCTCCTCTAATGCTTTGGAGGCAACATCTTTTCTGCCAGGACTGCAGAGTTAATTTTAAGGGTCCTAATCTCCACTCACTTTGGATCACGAGCCAGATAGGGATATAAATCTAAAAATAATTGGATTCTGAACCTCAGCCCAGAGCCAGGACAAGGCAGCAGATGGAGACTGAGAGTGTAAAGGCTGCCCCTCTCTCAATGCCAGGGTTTGTTCAAGGAAGTGTCTGAAGGAAGAACCAGGACTCCTTTCCTCTGGTTTGAAGAGAAGGAGAATAAAGAAGCAGGATGAGGAGGTGGTGAGGATGATAAAGGCACAGTTAAAGTTGAATGTCCCAGGGCTTTTTTTGGGTGAGGGAGGAGTCTGATAAGTCAGTGGAGAATGTCATCAAAGAACTTTCTATTCATTAATTCATTCATGGAGCAATGGGAAAAATATACGCAGATGTTCCTTGACTAACCATGGTGTTACATCCCAATAAACCTATTGTAAGTTGAAATATCATAAGTGGAAAGTGCATTTAATATACTTAACTTATCTAACTTCATAGCTTACCTAGTCTGCCTCAAACATGCCCAGGACACTTACATTAGCCTATAGATGGGCAAAATCATGTAACACTGATATGGTTTGGCTGTGTCCCAACTCAAGTTTTATCTTGAATTGTAGTTCCCATAATCCCCATGTGTAATGGGAGGGACCAGGTGGAGATAATTGAATCATGGGGGTGGTTTCCCCATCCTGTTCTCATGATAGTGTGTTAGTTCTCATGAGATCTGATGGTTTTATAGGGGCTTCCCCCTTCCCTGGGCACTCATTCTTCTCTTTTCTGCCACCTTGTGAATAAAGACATGTTTGCTCCCCTTCTGCCATGATTGTAAGTTTTCTGAGTACTCCGAAGCCCTGAGGAACTGTGAGTCAATTAAACCTCTTTCTTTTATAAATTATGCAGTCTTGGGTATGTCCTGATAGCAGCATGAGAATGGACTAATACAAACACAAAGCCTATTTTATAATAAAGTGTTGAATATTTCATGTGATTTATTGAATATTGTACTAGAAGTGAAAAACAGAATTGTTGTATGGGTACTTGAATTAGGTTTCTACTGAATGCATGGGACTTTTGGAACATCATAAAGTTGAGTCATCTTAAGTTGAGGACCATCTGTATTTCCAGTTTTAATTTTTTTAGTTGCAAAGTCTGTAATGTAGAGGAAATCATATTATAGATATATCCCATATTTGTAAGCACCCTTCCCTCCCTCATTTCTAGAAATCTGAGTTCAGGTTCTATCTCCTGTTTATTTTGTGTGACTTTGAATAAGCCATTGATACCGTAACTTTTAAGCTCTTCACCTGTAGGACTGATAACCACTCCTGCCTTGCTCCTGTACCAGTCTTTAGAACAATCAATAATGGGTTGGAAATAAAACCACAGACTCCGTGAGGAAACCACAGAGCAACTACACTCAAAGTGAGTAGAGGTTGGGAGCCCTAAATTTCACTCTGCAGTGATGGTGAATATAGATGTTACTTCCAGAGCACTGGAGGAGAAAAGAGATTATGTAAATATTACCAGGGACTAACTTTGTTGCATTGATGCTGAAAGATCATGACTGACTCATTGATTGCTGTTTCCAAGGTGCCATTCACAGTGCTTTGCAAAGAGTAGACCAATTCTATTGGTGAAGGATAGAATGAAATGCTCAGATATCTATGGAGTGTTCATTTATTAGTATTTAAAACACCTTGTACATTTGAACTCACATTGTTAGCCTGTGAACACATACATGCTTTGTGACTATCTTGTCAGACACAGAAAAAAATCAAAGGGTAAAACAGGAGATGCTTCTAACGTAAGTGCACACTCCCTCTTCCCTCCCCAGACACACATCTGTCCTAATCCAGATGTTAATGATTCAGAGTTGACTACATCAATCAGGTGAGCAACTAAAATATTATCCTGAGAAATGTCAGATTCTATTGCATTGTCTTTGCAATTTAACTGTTATTTACCATTTATGAATAACATATACACTTGCAAATTATTTCACAATCATTTTTATAGCTGCTCTGTGAGAGATAATTAAAGCAAAACCACTTTAAATGAAGCTGCTCAAAGGGACAAAGTTGTTGTGCCAATAATGTGCTATATAAATGCAAATTATCAGGATTCATATTATAGTGAAAACTGCTGGTATCATTTTTCATGAGACCAACATGTAAATATTATAATACTCCTCTGATTTATAGAGCACTTTTCTTCCTAAAAGATAAACATGCCTAGCCATGTATTATTTAACAGATATTTCCAACTCTGAGGGATGAGTAAAACCATTCATTCACTAATCCTTTCACTAAGATACTACAACAATGCACAACTTAAAATAGGTACTCAATG
Source organism: Homo sapiens (assembly GCF_000001405.40). Lineage (NCBI taxonomy): Eukaryota > Metazoa > Chordata > Mammalia > Primates > Hominidae > Homo > Homo sapiens. The sequence continues at coordinate 92,922,913 of NC_000011.10, forward strand.
TTTGACAGCTGAATGAATGAGGTGGCATTTAACACAGCACATACACATCAGTAGCCTTCGTGCAGAGAATGAGGGGTGTGGTGGAGCAGGGTATGGTCAATAGAAATGGTGGAAACATTTAGGGAAGTACTGAGGAATTCAAAAGACTCAACCAAAGTAGAAGGGAAAGAATGGAAGCAACAAGGGATAAGGTTGGACAGGTGAACTGAGGCTATCATCAGTATGTGGAAGACATCTAGTTTTCTACCTCTCAGAAAATAAAACTGTGAAAAAGAAGAAATGATGGGAAAATTTACTTGTAATTGGTGAGGTTAATGTTCTGGAGAAATAACCCCAACGGAGCCATAATCTGTACATTTTAAGTGCCTGAGAAGCCAATAAAAATGTAATCTCAAGAGAGCTGTGTCTTCATTAGCATGGATAAAGCAGCAGCCTCATCAGTGGTATCAGCAGAGCAATCCACACTTTGTATTTCACAGGAACCCTGGTTCATAGAAAGAAAAGTCAGAGTTCACCACATGGATTTGACTGGGGAATGCTTTTTTAGAGTCACATTATTAAGCACTCATGGAAATAATGTACTGAGGAATAGTTTTGGAAAATACTGGTTTATAGCACAGAAAAATAGGACAGAAGATAGCTGGGCATGGTGGTGTGTGCCTGTAGTCCCAGCTACTCGGGAGTCTGAGGCAGGAGAATTGCTTGAACCCAGGAGGCGGAGGTTGCAGTGAGCCAAGATTGCACCACTACACTCCAGCCTGGCGACAGAGCAAGACTCCATGTCAAAAAAAAAAAGAAGGAAAGAAAAATAGGACAGAAGAGCAGCCCTCTTGCCCTTCTACCAACCCTTAGAAGAATTAGATAATGGTCATATTTCTTGTAAAAAAAAAATCACATCCTGTTTATCTTTGGCACTAATCACAAGTGATGCCCCCAAACCTTCTCAAATCCCCAGATTTCTGAATACCACCTACAGCATATCAACTTCTGTGTAAATTGTACTGGGAATATAACTGAGATGTTTAAATGATTGCATTAGCCATTGTTGATTCTATAAACATGGGAATAATCTTTTCATTAAATTTACTGATGTCATTTTTTCATATCATTAAAACACAAAATTGTCCTCTGCCTGCAACCACTGGAAACAAGTAGGCTATATCTGGGCAGATCTGTGAGGCCCACACACCATGTAGCCATCTTGGGCCTGGACTGGGAAAATAAATGGCTCATGCTTCTGATTAATTGATATGGTTTAAACTTGTGCTCCTGCCCAAATCTCATGTCTAATTGTAATCCCCAATGTTGGAGGAGGAGCCTGGTGAGAGGTGATTGGATCATGGGGGCAGACTTCCCCTTTGCTGCACTCATGATAGTGAGTGTGTTCCCGTGATAGTGCATGAGTTCTCATGAGATCTTGTTCTTTAAAAGTGTATGACACACACCCCCCCAACTCTCTTTCCTTCTGCTCTGGCCATGTAAGATGTGTCTACTTCCTCTTTGCTTTCCACCATGACTGTAAGTTTCCTGAGACCTCCTCAGCCATGGTTCCTGTATAGCCTGTGGAACTGTAAGCCAATTAAACCTGCTTTCTTTATAAATTACCCAGTCTCAGGTAGTTCTTTATAGCAATGTGAGAATGGACTAATACAGAAAATTAGTACCTAGGAGTGGGGCACTGCTGTAAAGATACCTGAAAATGTGGAAGCAACTTTGGAACTGAGTAAGAGGTAGAAGTTGGAACAGTTTGGAAAGCTCAGAAGACAGGAAGATGAGGGAAAGTTTGGAACTTTCTAGAGACTTGTTAAATTGTTGTGACCAAAATGCTGATAGTGACATGGACAATGAAGTCCAGGCTGAGGTGGTCTCAGATGGAGATGAGGAACTTATTGGGAAATGAAATAAAGGTCACTCTTACTATGCTTTAGCAAAGTGACTGGCAGCATTATGTCCCTGCCCTAGAGATCTGTGGAACGCTAAACTTGACAGAGATTAGGCTATCTAGCAGAAAAAGTTTCTAAGCAGCAAAGCATTGAAGACATGGCTTGGCGGCTTCTAACAGCATATGCTCATATGGATGAGCAAAGATATTATCTACAACTGGAACTTACATTTAAAAGGGAAGCAGAGCAAAAAAGTTTGGAAAATTTGTAGCCTGATAATGTGGTAAAAAAGTAAAACCCATTTTCTTGGAAAGAATTAAAGTCAGCTGCAGAAATTTACTGCATAAGTAAAGAGGAGCCAAATGTTAATAGCCAAGACAATGGGAAAAATGCCTCAAAGGCATTTCAGAGACCTTCATGGCATCCCCTCCCATACAGGCCCAGAGGCCTAGGAGGGAAAAATGCTTTCATATGTCAGGCCCAGGGTCCTGCTGCCCTGTGCAACCTTGGGACACTGATCCCTGCATCCCAGCCACCCTAGCTCCAGTTATGGCTAAAAGGGCCCCAGATATGTCACAGGCTGCTGCTCCAGAGGGTACAAGCCTTAAGCCTTGGCAGCTTCCACATGGTAATAAGCATGTATGTGCACAGAAGGCAAGAGTTGAGGTTTGGGAGCCTCTGCATAGATTTCAGAGGCAGTACAGAAATGCCTGGATGTCCAGGAAGAAGTCTGCTGCAGGGATGGAGCCCTCATGAAGAACCTCTACCAGGGCAATGCAGAGGGGAAACACAGAGTCCCCACTGGGGCACTGCCTAGTGGAGCTGTGAGAAGATTGCCACCATCCTCCAGACCCCAGAATGGTAGATCCACCAACAGCTTGCACCATGTACCTGGAAAAGCCACGGCACTCAACATTTGCCCATGAAAGCAGCTGAGGGGGCATTGTACCCTGCATAGCCACAAGGGCGGAGATGCCTAGGGCCTTGGGAGCCCACCTTTTGCATCAGTGTGGCCTGGATGTGAGACATGGAGTCAAAGGAGATTATTTTGGAGCTTTAAGATTTAATGACTGCCCTGCTGGGTTTTGAACTTGCATGGGGCCTGTAGCCCCTTTGTTTTGGCTGATTTCTCCTTTTGGGAATTGGGCATTTACCCAATGCCTGTACCCCCATTATATCTTGCAAGTAACTAAATTATTTTTTATTTCACAGGCTCATAGGCAGCAGGGACTTGACTTGTCTCAGATGAGACTTTGGACTGTGGACTTTTGAGTTAATGCTGAAATGAGTTAAGACTCGGGGAACTGTGGAAAAGTGATGATTGTATTTTGCAATGAGAGAAGGACATAAAATTTTGGAGGTGCCAGGGGCAGAATGATATGATTTGCATTTGTGCGCTTGCCCAAATCTCATGTTGGATTGTATACCCATTGTTGGAGGAGGGTCCTGATAGCAGGTGACTGGATCATGGGGATGGACTTCCCCCTTACTGTTCTCATGATAGTGAGTGAGTTTTCATGAGACTTGGTTGTTTAAAAGTGTGTGGCACATCCCTCCTCTCTCTCTCTTTTCTTCTGCTCTTACTGTGTAAGGGTTGCCTACTTCCCCTTAGCCCTCTGCCATGATTGAAAGTTTCCTGAGGCCTCCCCAGCCATGCTTCCTGTGCAGCCTGCAGAGCTGTGAGTCAATTAAACCTTTTTTCTTTATAAATTACCCAGTCTCAGGTAGTTCTTTATAGCAGTGCAAAAATGGACTAATACACCAATTTTGATGATGGACTTTGTAAAATTGCAAAGATCATTACTGCAGTTGCCACTTCTAAGATTTGGTTACTTGTAAAACAGCAACAATTATTAAGAGCATGTTGACTTTCCCCATGCCTGACATATTTGGGGGCACTTTTCATGTACTGCTTTATTTCGCCCTCACTATAGCCCTATGAGCTGGGCACTGTTGCAATCCCTCTTTCACAACTGTGGCTGCTGAGATACAGAAACCTCATTTGAATATTGCTTTCCTGATACAACGCAAATGCATTTCATTATCCCCAGGTCTTCATGGCATAAGTGGCATTTAACCTAGCCTCAGGAGAGAACATTGGATATTTTTAAATGTAAGAAATAGGCTGAGATCCTAAGCAAAGAGCTTTAAAAGATCCTCTGAACTTGAAATGAAGGTCACCAGGTCAACTGTTGAAACCTTAATAGTCCTTTCCCCTCCAATAATTTTATCAACTGGTGCCACAGGATAGATAAAATTACTGCAGCTTTCAAGTTCAAGGTAATAAAGGAGATGGGGAAGATGCCATGGTGATGGTGGGAGAAATACAGACTTTTCAATGAATAGGGAAGACTACAGAAATAGAAAAATAACATAAAGGGCTTGATGCCTGGAATCCCAGCACTTTGGGAGGCTGAGCCTGACGTGGGAGCATTGTTTGAAGCCAAGAGTTTGAGAGCAGCCTGAGAAACACAGTGAGACTCCACCTCTACCAAAAAAATTAAACAATTAGCTGGGCATGATGGCACGTGCCTGTAGTACTGGCTACTCAGGAGGATGCAGTGAGATGATTGTCTGAGCCCAGGAGTTTGAGGCTGCAATGAGCTATGATCATGACACTACACTCCAGCCTGGGTGACAGAGCGAGGCCCCGTCTCCAAAAATAAATAACATAAAGGAAGGTGGTGAGAAGACCCAGCAAGTACTTCAGAATGGTGATAGTAAAATGTCAAAATGCACTCATGGCTTTAAAATTTTGGGGCAGAATTATTAGAAGTTAGGAGGAGGCTCAGAATCAGACTGCCTAGGTCAAAACTTCACTCTACTATTTTCTAGCTAAATTACTGAAACAGTTAGTTAGCTTTCTTTCTTTCTTTCTTTCTTTCTTTCCTTTTATTTATTTATTTATATTTTTTGAGACGGAGTCTCACTCTGTCACTAAGGCTGGAGCTGGAGTGCAGAGGCACTATCTCTGCTCACTGCAACCTCCGCTTCCTGGGTTCAAGCATTCTCCTGCCTCAGCTTCCAGCATAGCTAGGATTATAGGCACACACCACCACACCCAGCTAATTTTTGTATTTTTAGTAGAGACGAGGTTTCACCATGTTGACCAGGCTGGTCTTGAACTCCTGACCTCAAATGATATGCCTGCCTCCCAAAGTGCTGGGATTATAGCGCTTTGATTATAGGTGTGAGCCACCATGCCCAGCCAAGTTAGTTGGCTTTCATAAGCCTTGGTTTGCACCAAAAATTGAAGTAATAATATTATCTACTCCAATGGAAGAATTCATAAAATGGTGCCTTATATATGTTAAACTCTCAATAAATGATAGTTTATTATAGTCTCCATCTCAAAAAAATCTATTCATACAGATTTGGATGAAAAATGGTCTTTACAAACCTTCCTATGTTAAATAGGTCTTGAAAAAGGAAGAAGCCAATCTTAGTGATGGATACCTCAATTCTACTTCAAAATCATTTCATAAATGAGATAAGATATGAAAAATTTCTTAGAATAATGTTGAACACATAGTAAGTGCTCCATAAATGGCAGATATTATAATATGAATTATTATTTATGATTGCACAATGGATATTTATGTATGTGGATGGCTGATTTGGGGCTACACCAGCTCTTACCCCAATTCTAAACCAAATTGCATGTCCAAAGAATGTCAGAACCTTTGTAACCCTTATTCTGTGAAAGCATGGACAGCTCACATGTGACCCCCTGTTGGGAAGATGACCAGTGTGGTGAGGGCCAGCCCAGGCACCCCAGGGGTAGGAAGGCCACAGAGCCTTTGTTGGGACAGAGTGAGGGGAAGGCAGTGGATCACATTCTCAGAAGGACAGAGCGGCAGGTGAAAAGTGGAGATTCTCTGTGACTGTGAGAGACATAGGCATGATGTCACACACTTGACACATATCATTATCTAAAATGTGAAAGTAAAGAGATCATGGGCAATCTCAATAATATCTGTAATAAAACCAATATCTAGGCTGGGCATGGTGGCTCATGCCTATAATCCTAGCACTTTGGGAGGCTGAGGCAGGAGGATCGCTTGAGGCCAGGAATTTGAGGCCAGCCTGGGCAACATAGTGAGACCCTGTCTCTACAAAATAAATAAGTAAATAATGTGTAATGTCTATCATATATATATATATATTTGTTTTTTAAAAAATCAATATTTACTATTACTTTGGTGCAGGAATTGGCAAACTATGGCCTGAAGGCCAAAATCTGGCTCTCCTCTAGCTTTTGTACAGCCCATGTGCAAAGAATGGTTTTTATATTTTGATGTGGTTGAAAAAAATCAAAGGAGGAATGATAGTTTATGATGTGTGAAAATCAAATGATATTCAAATTTAAGTGTCCATAAATAAAATTTCATTGGAATACAGCCACACTCATTCATTTATGTATGTGGATGGCTGATTTGGGGCTACACCAGCAGAGTTGAGTAGTTACAACAGCCCCGCAAATCCTGAAACACTAACTCTATTAATCATCTGTACCTTTACAGAAGAAGTTTACCCTGATCTAGGGCATTGTGCAATTCGGTGTCTTCTCATTCATTCACTCATTTAACAAATATTTTGTCCAGGCACCAAGGAGACTGAGATCCAAAGAGGCAGGGAAGAGAAATGAAACTGAGTTATAGCATCCATAGTGCTTCAACAGAGATAAATACATGCCAAAGACAGCAGTGCCATGAGGGAGTGGCTAGCTGATGGGGAGGGTTGCAAGGGTTTAGTCAAGGTTTCAGAAATGAAATAACAGTTCACCGGGTTCTCAAACATACAACACACAATGGGCAGTAGCCAGACAGTCTGCTGTCCCAATTTTGCAGATGAGAATACAGGAGCGCAGAAAGGCCAATGGCATCCTTAAGGTTAACTGGTAAAGCAGGATCAGGGCAAGGTCAGAACCTCCAGCCTTCCCACTCCAGGCCCTTGTGCACTCCAGAAGCAGGCTGTGTGACAACCAGGGAAGAACCCTCTATGCAAGGGTGGGAAGCCAGCAGAGGGGAAAGACAAGATGACTAACACAAGGCATAGATCAGATTTGGTCACGGAGACTGTTACCAGCAGCAAATTCATATGGGTATGAGTCTGCAGACACCACAATTCTTGCCTCCTTAGAAAAAAGAATTCAAAAGCCGGGCGCGGTGGCTCACGCCTGTAATCCTAGCACTTTGGGAGGCCGAGGCGGGCGGATCTCGGGGTCAGGAGATCGAGACCATCCTGGCTAACATGGTGAAACCCCGTCTCTACTAAAAATACAAAAAAAATCAGCCGGGCATGGTAGCGGGTGCCTGTAGTCCCAGCTACTTGGGAGGCTGAGGCAGGAGAATGGCGTGAACCCAGGAGGCGGAGCTTGCAGTGAGCCGAGATTGCGCCATTGCACTCCAGCCTGGGCTAGAGCAAGACTCCGTCTCAAAAAAAAAAAAAAAAAAAAAAGAATTCAACTGGAAGGTCGTAAGGCAGAAGGAGAAACCAAGGCAAGTTTTAGAAAGTTTATTAAAAAGCTTTAGAGCAGAAATGAAAAGAAGTAAAGTACACTTGGAAGAAGGCCAAGCAGGCAACTTGAAAGATCAAGTGTGCATTCTGGCCATTTGACTTGGGGTTTTATATGTTGGCATACTTCTGGGGTCTCCTGTTACCTCTCCCCTGATTCTTCCCTTGGGGTGGGCTCTCCACATGTGCAGTGGCCTGCTAGCACTTGGGAGGGGAGCACATGCAGGGTGTATATTGGAGTTGTATGCATGCTCACCTGAGGCTTCTTCCCCCACCAGTCTAGTTTTCCTAGAGGAAGGTCATATGCCAGTTAAACTTTGCCATTTTGCCTCCTGATGCATGCGCTTAAGCCCACTTGCTCAACTCCTGAGATCTTATCAGGAAGCTGTTGATCACCAGTTTCAGGTTTTTCTATCTATTGGGAAACTGCCTTTCCCTAGCCCCAACTGTAACCAATTATTATTTGAAAGAGACAGTTAACAACCACCTGACCATCACCTGATGGTCAGCTGACATTCCTGGTTTGTGTGGGGGGGTGTTGAAGGTATCTCTCTTCTCCCCTACTCATCCCTAACTAGCTACGTACTATAACAGATACAACCACTGGCAGTGGAAGCTCAAAGTGCATGCTGGTGCAGGACAAGTGGACCTTCCAAATGACCACCTGAGAACATGAGCAATTGCTTTATGGACTGTAAGTTACTATTCTGAGTACTTTATGCTGTTTGTGTTTTAGGAGAACTGATGCCAAAGCCTGCATTTTGTTACCTTCTTTGGAATCATTGGGAATATCCCAAGTTTGAAGTCTGATTTGTTTCTATTGCTCTGGTTTGGGACACATCCATGGAAGCCTAGAAGAGGAGAGGATTATCCTTTTAAATTTAGCCATTTTCCAACCTTTTTTTTAAATTTGCTTTGTTTTGTTTTCTTTCAGCAAATGTGTTAAATGCCTACCATGTGTTAGGAATTTTTACATTATGTCATTTCAATAAATTATGGTTACTAGTAAATGGCAATTGTGCTGAACATATAAATGTTTTATTTTATTTTATTGTATTATCAAAACAGTCCTATGAAATACAGGTTTGTAAATTTGGAAGTGGAAGATCAGAATGAGTGAAAAAGGAAAAACAAACTGACGTTATTTCAGTGCCAGTGACAAAATTCAAAAGGCATGTCATTTTTTTTTTGCTATCATAAATAAGGCAGCAGAGAATAACACTGAAATAAAGAAAAAACTTTTTATTATGCAAAAAATTATATCCAAATTTTTAATTAACATTGATGCTGCCTGATACTCCAGTGGCTACTGATTACCCCTGGAGATGGACATTTGTTAATGTGATATTGAACTTTCCCCTCACACAGAGGAGACCCTGAGTATCTGCTGAAAATGTGCAGTTGGGGATGTAAGGACTCTCGGGGCTCCATAATCTTGAATCTATGCTCAGTCCTTCCTCCCATCTTTCTCCCTCATCCTTGTTCTCTCCATCTCTGGTCCTCATCTGGCTTAGACTATCTCTGGGGGTCCTTCTTAGAGCTGCTGCTGGTGATCCTACAGCTGGAGAGCAGGAAGGGGATACTTAGCTTTCCTATTTTAACAACAGTAATCCACTCAGGTGGAACGAGAGCATTTGCAGGCTGTTAATGTTCTTACTAATTAAAGTTTACAGCATGTGAGAAATTCACCTTTAAGGAGTTACAATTTATTTTCCCATTCACAACCCTTGGTATCATGACCAGTAAATGAAAATCTAATAACTTTCTTTATCATGAGATGCTCTTTGTCTTTTCTTTGTTTTCTTCTAAAGCTGTAGGAGGAAATTGAAGTAAAAATTGGATGAACTGCTTCCCTGTGGGGGTATTAGTCATCCTGCTGACTGAACTCCAGATTTAATCCCTTATCATTTCTCACCCATTACAAAGGCAACTCGGCCATTAGAGAGTATGGCCCTGACACCCATAGATCCTGGCTCAGACTCCAAGAGACCCTGGGTATTGATAACAAGGGGGAGACACAGGAGGACTTTAACTTCTGCAAATACCGTAGCATAATGTATGCAGCACAGGCTGCCTGGGAACTTAGCTCTAGCTTTGTAATTTACTAGCTGTGTGACCTAGAGTAAGTTACTCTCGGGTCTTCATAACCTTGAATCTATGCTCAGTCCTTCCTCCCTTCTTTCTCCCTCATCCTTGTTCTCTCCATCTCTGGTCCTCATCTGGCTTTATGAGCCTCAGTTTCCTCATCTGTCAAATGGGAATGATAATAGCACCTGCCTCATAGAATTGTGAGTATTTAGTTAATCTATATGGTGGGCTTAAAACCGTCCTGAACATAGAGCCCACTAAATGTTCACTATTATTACTTATACTTGTCACTGGCTTATAAAATGGAAGCATCCAAGTCAGAGCTGCCCTGAGAAAAAATATTTCAACCTAGGTAGACAGATTAATTCTCTTGGCAGCTGCATTTGCCTTTGTGGGGATTTATTTGCATGAAGCATTCATTCATTTTTTTCATCCAGTCACTACAAATGGCAAATGGTGAGATCCAGGAATAAACCTATTCATTTATTTATTCATTCAATAAATACTCATTATCAGGTTTTGATGTCCACATAGCAAGTGTATAGATATTTCACAATTACAAATCTAGGTAACAAATCATTATATAAAATGTTTTATACTACTTTGACCCATTCACTTTCAAGATGACCTGAAAAACTAGGTTTGAATATAGAATTCTTGGAACGCTCACAGTTCTGTGCTCAAATGTGACAGTGCGAGGATTGCTGGCCCTAGCCCTCCAACCATGGCCTGACAACTTTTTTCCCACCCAAGCTGAGTTCTGTACCATGTATCCTTGCACACAGGTGTGTGGATGCTCTACCTTGCATGTCCAAGCTGCACACACAGCTTCACCCACCACTCCATGGACATGCCTCAGGCCTAAAGGCACTCATTCTAATGGCATCATCCACCTTCCTGAGAATAGGCCCAGGTAAGAGGCACATAGAGACCATGGACGTGGGTCCTGGGCCTTTGGGGTAGAAATTTTAGAGTCCTGGGCACTTAGAAGGAGGATGTAGCCTTGGGTGGACAATTCCCCTTGGACCTATAGACTTTTTACCTCACACAGCTGGAGGAGGGCAGGAGCAGGATTCAGGCAAAGGCCTCCTTGTTTGGATCTAAGGGCATCATCATTTAGTAAGCCCCTCTGTGTGCACGCACTGTCCTCAAAACTGGAGATACCATGGTGAGAAGATAGACGTGGTATAGAGCTTATAAGATGGAAAAACATTCACCAACCCTTGATATAAACAATACATTCTAATTGTGATGACACCATGAAAAAGAAATCCAAGGTGGTGTGAGCTTGTGGAGAGAGACAGCTCTAATCTCATCTGGGGTTGCACATGCTTTCCTGGGAAAGCTACATAAGCTGAGACCTGGAGGAGACAGAAGGTAAAGAGGGTGTGAGGGAGCCTTCTAAGCACAGGGAGCATCACGTGCAAAGGTACTGCAGTGGAAAGGACCCAAAGAAAGTTAATACTTCTGGAGTGAATAGAAAGACTGGGCTGGGCGCGGTGGCTCACGCCTGTAATCCCAGCACTTTGGGAGGCCAAGGCGGGCGGATCACAAGGTCAGGAGATTGAGACCATCCTGGCAAACACGGTGAAACCCCGTCTCCACTAAAAAATACAAAAAAAATAGCCAGGCGTGGTGGCAGGCACCTGTAGTCCCAGCTACTGGGGAGGCTGAGGCAGGAGAACGGCGTGAACCTGGGAGGCGTAGCTTGCAGTGAGCCGAGATCACGCTACTGCACCCCAGCCTGGGCGACGGAGAGAGACTCGTCTCAAAAAAAAGAAAGAAAGACTGACAGGGTATAGAATATGACTAGGGATGAAGGAAAGGGTAAGATACTTCAGGGTGGGATGGGGATTTTGTTTTGTAAGGACTTTGGTATTTATCTAGGAGCAATGGGAAGGCATTTAAAGATTTTAATCAGGGGTGTAATCTGATGAGATCTGAATTTTTAAAGGTTCTCTTTGCCTGCAGCTTAGAGAAGGGACTGGGGAGAAAGGGCACAGGAGTGGACATCATGAGTCCAGTTGGGAGACTAATGCAAACACAGTGGTGGCTTAGAAAGGATGTGGAGAGAAATGGTGGATGAATAAAACCATTCATTTAGTGCAGAGCTAAATGAATGTGGAGGTGAAGTGCGGGGAAGTATCGCAGATAAACTTCCAAGTGTCTGGCTTAGCACTGGGTGGCTTGTGGGGCATGTTTGGTGGGGACAAGATAGGCTGTGTTTGAGGTGATGGTGAGAAAGCCAAATGGAAACAATGACAGGGAGCTCGGAGAAGATGCCTGGGTTGGACTTGGCAATGAGTAGAAGGCGACTGGCATCACGGGAGGAGATGGGGTCACATAAGCAACGTCTCACTGCAGGACTCTCACCTCAGGGAGAAGAGACCAGGGGCGGCTGAGCCCTCAGGAGTTCCACAATTTCCTGTTGGACTCAATGACTTCCATCATCCTGGTCCAAGCCGCAGTCCTCCCTGTTCCCACGTGGCAGTCAGACTGATCCTTATAGAAAACATGTCAGATGAGCTTAAAACCTTCTCCTCAGCCTAAAACCCTCCAGCAGCCCCCAGTCACTCAGGAGAAAAGCCAGAAACCTCACAGAGGAGCATAAGGCCTTGCAGAATTCAGCACATACACTACTTCCCCCGTTAACTCTCTGACATGATTGTCAAGTGCTCACCCTCTCATCCCTGCACCAGGGCGTTTGCACTGATGTTCCCTCTGCCTGAAATGCTTTTCCCTCTCGTGTTACATGGCTCACTTCCTTAGCTCCATGTGACCTTTTCAGGTTCCTGCTAAACAGTGAGCTTCATGAGGACAAGAGTTTTTCTCTCTCCCTTCATTGCTATTTTCTAGCACCTAGAAAAGTGACTAACACATACTCTGTCTTCAACAAAAATTTGTTGGATGAAAAAAATGAATGAAAAAATTTTAAAAAGTCTGTGTGAGACAAAGTAGCAAACTTAAGAAGCCAAATTTGCTCATTTCTGCTTAAACTTCTGACTCTGTGACACCATGCAGCTCTCTGAAAGATAGTTTGAGGACAAAACAGGAGATAGCACATGGCCCCCATGTCTCTTGCCTGAGTCAACATAATTCCTTAAAAGGATAAATGATCCTGGCCCTTGGCTTTTCTTACACATAAGATGTCTGACCGGGTTAGTGATCATACTTTTACAATCTATAACCAAAAGTACTTTAGTAATCTATGACCAGATGTACTCTTACACTGAAGCCTTGATTTGATTCTGCTATAATACAACTTCTGAGCCAGTTTGATGTGATTTTGCATGTACTGAACCTCCACCACCTGTATCTAAACAGTGGGCTGAAGCCCTGTGTCACAGCGGTCTGACAGAACCTCTGACAGAGCAGAAGGGCTGTTCCTGGGCTGTCGGCCTCTGTCTATAATCCTCAGGAAGCCTTCTGAATAAAACTAACTTTAATTATTTAAAAGTTTTGCCAGGCGTGGTGGCTCATGCCTGTAATCCCAGCACTTTGGGAGTCCAAGGCAGGCGGATCACCTTAAGTCAGGAGTTCGAGACCAGCCTGGCCAACATAGTGAAACCCTGTCTCTACTAAAAATACAAAAATTAGCTGGGTGTGGTGGTGTGTGTTTGTAATCCCAGCTACTCAGGAGGCTCAGGCAGGAGAATCGCTTGAACCCGGGAGGAGGAGGTTGCAATGAGCCGAGATGGTGCCACTGCATTCCAGCCTGGGCCAGAGAGTGAGACTCTGTTAAGAAAAAAAAAAAAAAAAAGGCTGGGCGCGGTGGCTCACGCCTGTAATCCCAGCACTTTGGGAGCCTGAGGAGGGTGGATCACGAGGTCAGGAGATCGAGATCAACCTGGCTAACACGGTGAAACCCCGTCTCTACTAAAAATAAAAAAAAATTAGCCGGGCTTGGTGGCGGGTGCCTGCAGTCCCAGCTACTCAGGAGGCTGAGGCAGGACAATGGTGTGAACTCAGGAGGCGGAGCTTGCAGTGAGCTGAGATCGCACCACTGCACTCCAGCCTGGGCAACAGAGCGAGACTCCGTCTCAAAAAAAAAAAAAAAAAAAAAAAAGCTGCAACTGTTACTATAGGGGGGAAGCTCTTCTCCAGTTCAAGCTGGTTGAGACCACTGATCCTTCAACTGGGCCTGTGCAGGTGACCAAAGAATGACCTTTCAATGTCAGAGAGCCAAAAACTCCACCCTCAGATCATGCTAACACTGCCATTTTCTGCACACATGTCATGTGATGAACTGTGTAGCTCAATTATGCTTGCAGAAATCCCAACAACCTCACCTTTCCTACCCGCCAATCATCTTTTCCAACTCTTTAGACCATCCTGCTTTCTTTCTCATAAGCATCTCCAAGCTCTATTTTTGGGGAGGCCTGCTGGAGATTTGTTCTTCTGCTTCCTTGCATTACAGTGTTGTGAATACAATTTTTCCTCTTAGGCAGAAATCCATCATCACAGTGATTGGATTGCTGTGTGATGGCAGAATGAACCTGGTCACTAACAAAAGAGGTAAAGAAGTAGCTAAAGGGGGATATGAGATCAAGGAGGGTTTTTATTAGGTTTTTAAGAGGGAGAGGTGGAAACTTGCCCAAATGCTTATTGGAAGGAGCCAGGAGAGTCTGAGATACAGATTTACGAGAGAACAGATAAAATTAATATAGTGTAAGCTCCTCAAGAAGGCAGGCTGAGACCCAGACATTGCCTAGGAAGAGAGCCTCTCTTCTCCAGGAACAGGACAGATTGAGGGGTTGACACAGTAGAAGGTGAGTCTGTGGAAGCAATGAGCATTTCCTATGATAGCTTCTGTTTTCTCTGTGTAGTAGGAAGGGGGTCATGGGCTTGGAGAAAGCAAGGGAGGAGGGAAGCTTGGAGGTTTGCAGGCAAAGGAGAAGACTTGAAATTTTGGACACAGGCCCACGATCAATTGGCTAATAGAATGAGTGACATCAGACACTAAACACTGGGCCTATCTGTGAAGTGTGATGGAGGCCATAAATTCCATTTCAGTGCATCTCTGAGCCTGCTCAGTAGACACCATGAACAAAGCTCACTCTCTCAAGTTGAAAAAACTTATGGACAAGTTGTCACTGAAATTAAATGGTGGTAGATGTGTCCAAGGAATACTGTGGGGATTCAGTCATTTTATGAATCTTATGATAGATGAATGTGTGAAGATGGCAATTAGTGGGCAACAGAACAATATTAGAACAGTGGAAATAGGAGGAAACAGTATCATCACGTTAAAAGCCTTGGAACAAGTCTAAATAATGGCTATCCAGCAGAGGAATTCATGTCCCCTCTCCAAAGGGTCTGTTCTCTATGATGTAAAAATTAGATCGTGTACATTTTCATATTAAACTTTTTATTAAATAAACTTTTGTAATAGTCAAAAAAGTTGGACACAGAATGACAGAGGGTAGGTGGTAGTGTTAAATAGGTGGGTGTGATATTGCTATGTACTAAGAAATATACAATTTTATTTTCATCCTCCCCTAAAACCCTTGGAATCATTCCTAAAATCCTTGGAGTCTCCAAAGGGATAAATGTCTCTTTGCATGCAAATAAAATTATTTTTGGCTACGGTGTCCTATAGTGTCTGCGAGTGGGGGTTGGTTGGCAGGGAAACCAACCATGTGATTAGAAGGTTGGAACTTTCAGCCCCCTGTCTCCAGGGAGGGTAAAAAAACTGAAGGTTGAGTTGATCACCAGTGGCCAATTATTTAATCAATCGGCACTACATAAATGAAGCCTCCATAAAAACTCAGAAGGACAGATTCTGAGAGCTTCCAGGTTGCTGAACACATGGAGATACCTGGAGCATGGTGCATCCTGGGAGGGTATGGAAGATCTGTAGCCTTCCCACATACCTCTTATGTACCTCTTCATCTGGCAGTTCATCTACATCCTCCATAACTTTATTTATTTATTTATTTATTTATTTGTTTATTTATTTTTATTTATTTATTTTTGAGACGGAGTCTGACCCTGTCGCCCTGGCTGGAGTGCAGTGGCGCGATCTTGACTCACAGCAGGCTCTGCCTCCCAGGTTCACGCCATTCTCCTGCCTCAGCCCCCGGAGTAGCTGGACTACAGGTGCCCGCCACCACGCCCGGCTAATTTTTTTGTATTTTTAGTAGAGACGGGGTTTCGCCGTATTAGCCAGGATGGTCTCCATCTCCTGACCTCGTGATCCACCTGCCTCGGCCTCCCAAAGTGCTGGGATTACAGGCGTGAGCCACCATGTCTTGCCCATGCTCCATAACTTTGTAACAAACTGGTAAACATAAGTATTTCTCTGAGTTCTGTGAGCTATTCTAGCAAATGGTTAAACCCAAGGAGGAGGTCATGGGAACCGTTGATTTATGGCTAGTTGCTCAGAAGTACAGGTAACAACCTTGTGCTTGCAATTGGTATCTGAAGTTGGGGGCCATCTCGTGGGGCTGAGCCCGTTAGTGGTGGGGTCTGTGCTAACTCTCAGAATTAAATTGTAAGACACCCAGTTAATGCCTACAGAGGATTGGAGAATTGTTGATGTGAAAAACCCACACATCTGGTGTCAAAAGTGAAGTAACTGAGTAAAGAAAAACAGTTTGTTTTTCCCTTTTGAGTGGGGGAGGATGCATGGTGGGGCCCAAATGAGGAAGCCTCTGGTTATTAAATAGAATAGATCAAACAAATATAGCTTGTAGGTCAAGGGGTCTAAGAGCCATAGACCTCAATTTCCTTATTATTTGGAGAAAATAATTATGAGACGAAGTAGCAAACATCTGCCTCTGGCCAGTCTCACAGCCAGCCCTTGCAGTGAAGAAGCCATGCCTCAGGTTTTCATGTCTCTTACCTGAATCACTGTGTTTTTTAGAAAAGATAAGCTCAATGATCTCAGCCCTTGCCTTTTCTTGTACGTAACGTCTGACAGTATTAATGATTTTCCCTCTGCAATCTATAATCAGATGTGCTCTCACACCCAGGCTTTGATGAGATTTTGCTTTAATGTAACTTCTGAGCACATGTAGAACCTCCACCATCTAATACGTAAGTTATGGGTTCATACACTGCTTTGGAGCAGTCTAACCAAAACTGAAAGATTCACCTGGATTGCCATCTGAGGGAAGACTCAGTGAAACTAACTTTAATTCTGTAAAAGCCTAGGTTTCTCTTTCATTGACACAATCTGTGATCTCTCACAGTTTTTACATTTTACAACTCTGCTGGGCCCATATAGTATCAGGATAATGTTGGCTTCTTCTAACATCTTAAGGTAACTGAGAAGGTTGCTTCATCTCCGACAGAAATTCCATTAGAGTCACGGGGCACAGAGGTTTTTTTCTATTCTCCGACCTCTCCAGGAAGCAATAATGCATTATTTCATGAACTAGAAGTAAGTAACCTGAGAATCTCTGCTATTCATATTTGGCATCACTGTGTGGGCATTGACCTCTATGTGTGTGCCCGAGTGATTCAAGGCTTGCAGTGGAAGATAAACTACTATAGGACGTGCAACCCCCACTCCTGTGTGGGGCATGGTGAAAAAGACCACTGGTTCTGGAATCAGGGAATCTGGGTTCAAATACTAGATCTTCCACTTGGGGAAGAGAAGTCATGTTGATGGAGGAGAACCTCTCTAAGCCTCTGGTTTCCTAACCAAAGAGGCCAATGATAAGGCCAGCCAACTGTGCACAGGTACTTACTGGAATACTCAACATTCTGAGCCAGCAGCTATTGTGAGTGTGTCTTATAGTAACTCATTTTATCTTCGCAACTTTCTAAGAAGGTACTATTTTCATCCTTATTTAACAGGTAAAAGAAACTGAGACACAAAGATGTTAAGTGATTTGCCCAAGGACACCCAGTTAGTGAGAGTCAAGCCTGTCTGACTTGGGTTGGTGTTCTCACCCACTCACAGCAGCTGCTCCAGGCACTAGTGAGATGTGCCACTTACTGAAGCCTGCACACCTTATGTGTGTTTAGTTATCACAATAACCCACAGCGTCATTATGACACCTCTTTCATGAATAAGGCTGTGGAAGCTCACAAAAGTTACTCCATTTGCCCAAGACCAACAGAGCCACTCTGGCAAAGCCAAGATTAACTGGCTTCCAGATCTGCTCTCTTCCTATGAAAATAAGGTAACACATGGAAAATGCTTGGTAACTTGTAAAACTCTGTATTGACAATGGTATTACCATTCTCAGTGGTCCTTACTCTCTCTAGAGCTCACAACTTTGTGTTGCTTTTACAGATAAGAAAATTGAGTTCCAGGGCAGTAAGTTAATTTGCTAGCATTCCACAGACAGAGTTGGGTTTGGAACCAGGTCTGTGCTTCTCAAAATGGAGGCTCTTAGGCCCAGGGGTAATGGATAAGGTGTTCTGCATAAAGGTGGTGTATCCTTCTACAGAATTTATTTTATTCAGATATTTGGGTAAAAATATCATTTTTATGTTAAGCATAGTGATATATTAGTGCCTCAGAATGCAACACTCATATTGGTTTTTATAGTAAAATATGAGACTTCAATTCTGCTTTTCCTCCTGCAGCATAGGACTATCTCCTCAGGTCCCTGAGATATGGATTAGCCCCTTTGGTCAGGAGGGGTACTTGGGCGGATGTTGGAGAAGCTTCTGCTACACTGGGCAGCCTCTCGCTGTGCCATGTGCCTCTGCTCCCCTCACCCACAGAGGATGCTTCTAGATGAATCCTGCCTGAACTCAGGGAGGCAGAAAAGACAGTCTCATAAGAAGTCTGTGAGTCCCTGAGAGTACTTTGCTTTTTAACCAAAAGATATAATTACTTCTCTTTACCTGATTCATTCGCCAGTTGATGAAATTGATGTATTAAAATATGTTCGCTCACTAGGTTTCTAACTTTCCCAAAATGCTTCCAGACAGACAGCTTTGTGCCCACAGCTGTGAGTGTCTTGACATTTATCTCTAGCTGGGACGCTGGGATCTAGTCTAGAGTCTGTTGTGTCTTCTTCTGTGACCTCAGGCCGGGCACATTACCTCAGTGGGCTTCAGTAACCTCACTTACAGGGGACAGGAGTTGGAGAATCACTAAGATTTCTTTCCATTTGGGCAGGTTTTGGGACCCAGGGGTTAAGTAAAGACAAGAACATGAGGTTCAGTAGCTGGGAATGTAAGTTCCCTGAGAGCAAGGCCTTTTTTGTTCATTGCCTGAAACAATGCAGGACATACAGTAGACAGTGAGTTACTATTTGTTAAATGAAATGAATAAATCTCCTCAACTTCTTGCCTGGCAGAATCAGTAAATACAAAGGAGGGGACATCCAGACAGATGACCTGAACAGAGTGGGCAGCTGGCTCACCTTTGCTCCACTCCACTCAATGCTAGCCCAGAGCCTGGCATAGGTGGCTGCTCATGGATTGAGCTTTTAAACAGCACTGAGGGTGTTCGGCAGGCAGGAGTAGGGGTGGTCTCAGTGGATTGTGGTCATTAACAGTCCTTAAGCTCCAAGAGGCCAAGGGCAAGATGAGGGAACAACATGACACTTATAGCTTCTGGCTGTGTTTGTACTGGTGGAGGTGACTATTGCTACCTGACTTAGATGTGAATAAAACTGCGGAGGATAAGGGATGAGAGGTGGAAGTGTTTTCTTATTTGTGTGTGTTGTTTTAGCCCCCTAGAGACATTGTTTTGCATTTGTAGTGTAAGCAAAGGCTCCGGAGAGCTGGTGAAAGATGCTTCCTTCCCTTCTCTCCTACCCCGACATCACTGAATGTATTTTCCCTTCTCTACCACTGGGAGTCGCAAGTGCCCACAATAATGCTCCGTTTCTTTTTAATAAAACAAACGGGAAGTATCTTTTTTGTGAAGATTTGTCCTTCACTGATGCACTGCCCTTTGGTTGATGAATATTCAGAAAAGGGGTAAGGGCAGGGGATATTGTGAAGGGTAGAACAGAGGAATAATACGGGGCAAAGCTTGGAGTCTGTTTCCAAAGAGCAAAAGAACGGATCTCCTCCCCAGGTAAGCTGTCACCTCCCAACTGTGGTGGGCATAAGTACATGGTAAAGCAAGTGTGGGGTGGGAGAACGGGATGCCCGGTGTCAACCACATCCCCTACATCTCCAGGTTAAATAGTCTCCCAAGGTGACGCCATCAGGCAGTCAAAGTCAAAAACCATGAGTTTAGGATGAGGCCATATTTTAAAGGTCCATCACTTTAAAGAAAAACATTGAGTTAGAAAAGATTTAAGAAGCCCATGTACATGGCCAAAACAGCGAGTGGCTGAAGCTTGGAAAACGTTATTTTACTGGACCTTTCTTCTCCACTGGGCTGCAAACCTCAGTGTTCATAAGCTTTGCATTCCCAATGCCTGGTGTAGCTCCCGGGCCACTGTAGACTTACAGTAAGCCCTGGAAGGAAGAAGAGAGAATGAGGAAGGAAGGGAAGAGGTAAGGAAGGAAAGAATGGAAGGTGTGCGTAGTAAGAAGGTAAATGTGGCAGATGGCCCCAATGACTCCTGCCCTCTGGTGTTCATGCCTTTGCGTGATCCCTCCGCCGGGAGGTATGGGCTGGACCTAGTGACTGCCGCCCAATAGAGACTACTTCAATAGTGATGGTATCTTACTTACCAGCTTGCAAAAAGGCTGTCACTTCTGTCTTCAGCACCTTTCTCACTCTCTTACTCTTTTGTTTTGAAGAAAGCCAGCTGTCAAGTTGTGAGCTGCCAACAACCAGGTGAGTGAGCTTGGAAGCTTGGAAGAGGGTTTTCCCCCATGTGTCTTGGGATGGCCGCAGCCCCATCCAACATCTTGATTACAGCCTTGTGAGAAACCCTGAGCCAGAGACATCAGCTAACCACACTCAGATTCTGGCCCCACAGAAACTGTGAGATAGTAAGTGTTTCTTCTTTTCAGATGCTAATTTTATGATGACAGTCTTAGGCAGCAATAGGTACCTAATACAGATTTTGGTACCTAGAAGTGATATCTAGAAATGTAGGAGTGTAGGCAGTGGATGGAACCTGGAAGGGTTTTGAAGAGAGGGTTAGAGAAAGCCTAAATTGCCACAGACTTTTTATAGAAATCTGGGTTTTGAAATCACTGCTCTTAATTATTATAACTTCCATGCATCTCAAAAAATGCAGATACTCTGCACATAGAGAAAAAACTTTAGGCAAATACTTGTGTTCCTCTTTAGCTATTGCGGGATCTGGCCAGCAGCCCGCAATGCAATGGGGCTCTCTCTTTGTTCCCAGGCAGATCAGCAGGTTGAGAAATAATAGACACACACAAGATAGTGAAAGCTGGGTCCAGGGGGGGTCACTGCCTTCTGGTCCCACGGTGCCAACGATGCACTGGATATGCCAGCATTTATTATTAAGTTTAGTGAGGAGGGGGTAGGTTAGTGAGGGATTTAGGGTCATTTGATTATGAGGTGAGATGGTCACATGGGGATGAAGTAATTCTTTAACATAACATTTGTATGTAGAAGTACAGTACATTTGTATGTAGAAGTACAGTATACAGAGATAAGAATTTACAATATAGTGTGTGCATCAGTAATTTCTAACAGAGGCTTAAAACAGAAACACAATCTTTCCATAACCTATGATTAGCAAGATATTAATCAGCAGTAACAGTTGCAACAAAAGCTGGTTACAAACAATCCATAGAAACAGGACATGAAGCTAGACAACCGGTTAGACCAGAAATTCTCAGAAGGGAGTATGCCTTAACCCTCAAGAGGCCTAGAAGAGCCGTGGCAAGATGAGGGCATTTATAGCCCTATCTTATCCATATGGACAGGCACCCCCCATGCATCCGTTTATAGGCTCTCCACAAAGGTCGCATTCCATTCCTAGAGCTATGAACATCTGCTTTTCTGGGATAGGAATCTTGATGATGTGAAACCTCCCTGACTGCACGTCCATTCATAGGCTCTCTGCAGGGGGAAGCACATCACATGCTGTTGGCTCATTCTGGCAGTCCAACCTGGCATTGTCTTTACACAATCCTGCATGCAATTTTTTATTTACAATAATCAGGAGCATTTCATCTTTTATTCCATAGCAATAGTTTCAGGGGGTCTCCCTACATCTCCCCCTTTTCTCTGATTTAAATGAACCATAGCAATCATAGCTTGGTGCTGATCACAATTGGATTGAAGAATATTTTTTCCAATTTTACACATGAACAATAAACCAATAGCACAAATTATATACAAAACAAAATTAACGATAGTGGATCCTCCCAAAGATTTTACCTATTGAATGGGGTTGAGATTAGATAATCCCTCAGAGATACCACCTAAAACTTCAGCACCAGGTAAAGCAGTTAAGTGTGCTTGTGAGGCCTCAAAAATCTGTTCTTTTAGCTTGCTTATGTCTAAACTTAAATTATCTTCACTTCCTTGTAAATGACAGTTTACTGATTCCCTATTGTAAACAGACTCATTTTATTGAAACGGAGTTGTACAAAAATTAGAAGTATTCCAATCACATTGCATTTGTAATCTATGTTCTAAACTCATAATTTTATCTCCCATCCATGTAACAGTTTGTCTTAGGTCATTAATTTGGTTAGCCAATTTTTTATCAATACCTGACTGAGAATTCCATATCTGAGTAGAATTTTTTTGCCATTTATCCACAAAATGAACAGTTTGAATAGATTGATGTAATGCAACTCCAGCAGTAGCAGCAGTCGCAGTTACAGCAATCAAGCCCATTATTATTGCAATTAATGTAAAAATAAATCATTTACTCCTTTTAAGAATTTTCTGTAGAATATTGTTAATAACATGGATAGAGGGGGAAGATTCCCAAGGCCCATGTAAGGCTACAGGGAGCCAAATACCTTCTCTGGCTCTGACTATTAAAATACTATGATATTGATTAAAGGATGAGTCAATACAAATACACAAGTAACAATTAACACAGGTAATTATGTTGGTTTCTGAACTATCATGCATCTTTCCTACTAATAACGTATATGGTAGTTTAACACAACTTTTAAGTGATATAGTTTTGTTGGACTCCATATAGATAGTATATATATTTTGAGGTGACAAGGTGGATTTACTTATAACACTTTCTCCAGCCCAAACTCTCATACCAGTCATAGCTATTGTTAATCTCCATAATTCTGAATGTTCAGGTTCTAAGTGCAGAACAATGAGCCTTGGCTTTGGAGGGGCAACCCCTGCCCCTTTCCACTTAAGAGGAAAAAAGGAGTTAAATCTACGATATAACAGGGGAGGGTTGTCACTACTTTTTTGATAAGTAATATCATAGAGAAAATGTTGACAATCTTTGTGACCTTGAGAGCAATCATTAGTAATATGACCTTTGGGAGCCCAGTCAACAATGGTGTACTGAGAAGAATTAAATAACACAGTTCCTTCTGAGCTAACACAATCTTTCCATATTAATTTGTCAGCATTTGAAGACAAGTTGAGAGATCATGCAGGTCCTAAAGGCTTATATTGGGTTGTGTGAATATATTCAGTGATTTCTGTTTTGATCTGCCTTAGAGGTTTTAATGAGAGCCCTGATACCAAGTGTCCCAAAGGAGGGACAGAGTGACCAGATGGTAGTGTGACCGCCCAAGTTTGAATATCTAATGAGAGACATCCATTAGTGGGTCCCAGGCACAAAGGTGGACACCTAAAACCTAAAGTGATATTGAAAGGGATTCCTTCTTCTGAAGGTTGGGCAGGACAACGATCATCTACAGAACCAGGCATCCAAATACTATCATTAACATAGACCTCGATAGGAGCGTCCATCTATGTCATGGCTCGAATAAGAGGAGGAAAAGGAATATAGGCCCAATGTGTATAGTTTTTAACAGTCTGTGGGGCAACAGAGGGTAGAAGGATCAGTGTCATCAGGAGGAGGCAGAGGTTGAGCCAGACCTGGATCTCTGGAGACAAGTTGTTCAGGAAGGCTGACTGGATTGTCTGTTGTAAAGGAGTTAGCGTGGTCATTTTCTTCTTTTTGACGATTGGATGTGTTAGTTGTTTCTTGCTGTGGTGCTTTTTCAGCAAATTTCTCTGTCTCGTTGTTGTATGCATTTTCAGGACACAATTTCATGTGTCTAGCAGGAATCCAAACAGGAGATTGATGTTCACCTGGGGAAACACAAGCATAACCTCTTCCCCACGTTAAAATAGAATTTTTTGACCATATATTAGATTGAACATCTTTCCACCATACTTCTCTTCCTTGGTTTACTGTAGGACGGTTACCAGAGAAATGTTTTTCTGGCATTAGTATAAGTGAGTTGATGAAATTGTTCTGCATCTGTAATGGCTAGAGAAACTAGAGTATCAACTTTATGATTACCACTGGATAAAGGTCCAGGCAAATTAGTATGAGAACGAATGTGAGTGAAGAAAAAAGAGTGGTTTCGGTTTTTTGTAACAAAGACAGTTTTTTGTAACAAAGAGAAAAAGGAAAACAGATTAGTGTCAGTAATATTTTTGATGGTAGCTGTTTCTATTGCCTTAGTGGCATGCACTACATATGCTGAGTCAGAGAAAATATTAAGAGACTGATCAAAATCCTGTAATGCAGAGATAACAGCAAACAACTCAGCTTTTTGAGCAGAATTGTATGGAGTAGAAATGACTTTATCTTTTGGTCCTACATACCCTGCCTTTCCATTACTGGATCCATCACTAAAAATGGTAATGGCTGTCTCTAGTGGTGATGAACGAGTAAGTTTTGGTAGAATCCAGGAAGTATTTCTTAGAAATTGAAAGAATTTTGACTTAGGCAAATGATCATCAATAGTGCCAATGAAGTCAGCCAGATTAGTCTGCCAGCACAAGGATGTAGAAAAGGCATTTTTAACTTCATTTTTTGACAAAGGGACTACAATAATGTTTGGATCAAAGCTGGAAACTTTAGTGATATGTTGACATCCTAACCCAATCAAAGTGGCTATTTGATCAAGATATATTGAAAGAGTTTTAAAGGCTGAATTAGGAAGAAATACCCATTCAACTAGAGAATCATTTTGTACTATAAGTCCCGTAGGAGAGTGGATGGAAGGAAAAACTAAAAATTGTAAAGTCAAATTTGGGTCAATATGAGAGACTTGTGCCTCTCTCACTCTTTGTTTTACAAAAGACAACTCTTGTTTTGCTGGCTCAGATAGAGAGCAAGGACTGTTTAAATCTGTATCTCCTGATAAAGTGGCAAATAGATGAAATAATGCATAAGTAGGGATGCCTAGGGTTGGTCTGAGATAATTGATGTCACCTCGTAATGTTTGAAAATCATTTAAGGTGTTTAAATTGTCAGTATGAAGTTGGACTTTTTGGGGCTTAATGGAGTGAGCTTCTAGCTGCATTCCTAAGTACAGAAAAGGAGTGGCTTGTTGAATTTTATCAGGAGCAATGTGGAGTCCTGCATTGGCATCAGCTAATTTTAAAGAGGTAAAACATTGAATTAATTCATCTTTAGTGGAGGCAGCAATTAGTATATCATCCATATAATGAAGAATGTAATTATTTTTAAAAGTCTGTTGGATAGGTTGTAACACAGTACCGACAAACAACTGACAAATAGTAGGACTGTTAATCATTCCTTGAGGTAAAACTTTCCATTGATATCTAGCTGCGGGAGCTGAATTGTTAATGGAAGGTATAGTGAAAGCAAATTTTTCACAGTCTGACTTGTCTAAAGGAATATGGAAAAAGCAGTCTTTAAGGTCAATGATAATTAAAGGCCATTCCTTAGGAATCATGGAGGGGGAGGGCATACCGGGTTGTAACACCCCCATAGGTTTAATAACTGCATTAGCAGCTCTTAAGTCTGTTACCATCCTCCATTTTCCTGACTTTTTTTGTACAACAAACACAGGAGAGTTCCATGAAGACAATGAGGGCTCAGTAGTGTTTGCTTGTAGTAAATCATTAACAATTTCAATTAAAGCCTCCAACTTGTGTTTGGACAGTGGCCACTGCTCTACCTAAACAGGTGACTCACGCATCCATTGTGCAGGGACAGAGGAAGAGAAGGAGAGTGAGGGCGCTGGGATGCGGACTGAGGGGAAGCAGGGTTCCAAGCCTCTGAAAGAAGGGGTCCCGGAGCATCAAAAGAAACAGTGGGCTTAGAAAAGGGGAGAGGTCCAAAAGGACAAGAGGAACGAGAAACAGACCATTCAGAAGAATGCCGCATGTCCTCCTCTGGCAGAGGGGGCAACAGCTTAGTAGAAGAAGAGTTAACATATACAGTTTCCATGATAGGAGGCGGAGGGAGGGGATCATCACCAGGTTCCTCCTCTTGGGGAGAAAACAAGGAGAGATCGAATTCTTCTTCATCATCAGAAAGAGGACTAGTAGGGGGGTCAGCTACCCGAGGTAAAGGGAGCAGTTCACCATCTGCATTAACTTCTGGCAGTTGAAGAGGACCACCAGACTGAAAAGGAAGTAAAGCAACACAAATGAGAGCCCAGTCAGTACAAACAGAAATAGGAAGTAAAACACCATTCTCTCTTGAGTTGGCAGAGTGTGGCACCAACTCGATCCCAGTCTAACAGGTCCATAGAACCTTTGTCAGGAAACCAAGGACAATGTTTTTCAATAGTCTGAAATAAGAGAATAAAGTTATTGGAATCAGCCTTGATTCCACCCTGTTTAAGAAGAAGTTTAATAAAAGACAGATAAGGCTGGTGTTTAAACTGTGATTGTCCCATAATAAGCCTGGAATATTACTGGTCAACAAACCTGAGAAGAGGGGAGAGTCGGAAAAACCATACCCGGAGACCTTACCGTTGAGACTGAAGACTAGTCATCACAAACTGCACTCAGAGTGCACTGCGCCGAGGAACAAAGAAGGCCATGTTGGGTGCCAGATATTGCGGGATCTGGCCAGCAGCCCGCAATGCAATGGGGCTCTCTCTTTGTTCCCAGGCAGATCAGCAGGTTGAGAAATAATAGACACACACAAGATAGTGAAAGCTGGGTCCAGGGGGTCACCGCCTTCTGGTCCCGCAGTGCCAACAATGCACTGGTTATGTCCAGCATGTATTATTAAGTTTAGTGAGGAGGGGGTAGGTTAGTGAGGGATTTAGGGTCATTTGATTATGAGGTGAGATGGTCACATGGGGATGAAGTAATTCTTTAACATAACATTTGTATGTAGAAGTACAGTACATTAGTATGTAGAAGTACAGTATACAGAGATAAGAATTTACGATATAGTGTGTGCATCAGTAATTTCTAACAGAGGCTTAAAACAGAAACACAATCTTTCCATAACCTATGATTAGCAAGATATTAATCAGCAGTAACAGTTGCAACAAAAGCTGGTTACAAACAATCCATGGAAACAGGACGTGAAGCTAGACAACCGGTTAGACCAGAAATTCTCAGAAGGGAGTATGCCTTAACCCTCAAGAGGCCTAGAAGAGCCGTGGCAAGATGAGGGCATTTATAGCCCTATCTTATCCCTATGGACAGGCACCCCACCATGCGTCCGTTTATAGGCTCTCCACAAAGGTCGCATTCCATTCCTAGAGCTATGAACATCTGCTTTTCTGGGATAGGAATCTTGGTGATGTGAAACCTCCCTGATTGCACGTCCATTCATAGGCTCTCTGCAGGGGGAAGCACATCACGTGCTGTTGGCTCGTTCTGGCAGTCCAACCTGGCATTGTCTTTACACAATCCTGCATGCAATTTTTTATTTACAATAATCAGGAGCATTTCATCTTTTATTCCATAGAAGTAGTTTCAGGGGGTCTCCCTACATTTAGCAACATGAGAGAATTTACTACTTTTTATATTTTTAAACATGAGTGTGCTATCACTGTTATTATCTAGCAGATAGTGCTAGATACGTGCCAGGCACCATGCCAGGCGCTGGCAAGACAAAGGTGTATAAATAATATTTGCCCTTGAGAATATAGGTAAATGTTTTTTGTTTGTTTTTATTTTTGTTTTAAAACTGGACCCTGCGTTGAGAAGTTCTTGCATCTTAGAGTTGTAGGTATTCATTTTATTGACAGCAATGATCATTTCAGCTGCTCTAAATTCAGGATGTTATCTGATTCGAGCCAAGTTTGTACACACAAAAGCTCTTTTTTTGTTTCTTTCTCCCTCCCTCCCTTCCTTCCTTCCTTCTTTCCTCCCTCCCTCCCTTCCTTCCTCCCTCCCTCTCTCTCACTTTCTCTCTCTTCTTTCTTTCTTTTCTTTCTTTCTTTCTCTTTCTTTCTTTCTCTTTCTTTCTTTCTTTCTTTCTTTCTTTCTTTCTTTCTTTTCCTTCTTTCCTTCCTTCCTTACTTCCTTCCTTCCTTCCTTCCTTCCTTTCTTTCTTTCTCTCTTTCTTTCTTTCAGAACAGGGTCTTGCTCTGTCACCCAAGCTGGAGTGCAGTGGCATGATCATAGCTCACTGTAACCTCAAACTCTTGGGCTCAGGTGTTCCCCCTACCTCAGCTTCCCAAGTAGCTGAGACTATTGGGGCACACCACTATGCCCAGCTAATTGTATTATTATTGTTGTTGTTGTTGTAGAGATGGAGGTCTTGCTATGTTGCCCAGGCTGAGGAGCTCTTTTCGTAGTAATCATTGCCTCCCTCTTGGTGCCATAATGTAATGTCAGCATGGTGAGTTCTAAACAATATGTTGAAGGCATCATAATGGAACAGATTCACTGAAAAATCTCAGATGTGTTTCATGAACTTCATTTGACTCAAGGGCAATTTATTAAAATGTGCAGAATCTGGAGGAAAGAGAACTGGGATGAGAGTCAGGAGACAGATGTTTAAGACTTGTCTGTGCCTTTGACTGAATGATTTGGGCTAATCACTTGGATTTTCTGTCCTTCAGGAGGATCAATAAAAATGGAGAGACAGGCTGGGCATGGTGGCTCATGCCTGTAATCCCAGCACTTTGCATGGCCAGTGTGGAAGTATTGCTTGAGGCCAGGAGCTCAAGACCAGCCTGGGAAACATAGGGAGATCCTGTCTCAGGAATAGATAAAATAAAATATATAAATGGAGAAACATGCCAACATGGTTTTTGTGAATATTACATACGATAATACAGGTGAAAATGCTTTGAAAAAAAATTTCTTCCTCATATACATGGTGGTGATCTTGCAATATTTATGGAGAACAAATTATAATTTATCTTCTTTTATGCTGGCAACAGTTTCCTGTGTTCTGAAAACCTTCCCATGGGTATTTTACAGAAAAGCACCAGCAGCCAATAAAATGTTCCAGATTGAGCAATAAGCTTATAACATTGATAAAAGTAAATGAAATGCCTCTTGTCCATCTCTTCACTGTAGAGTCATGCAGGGCACAGCATGCTCACTTGCTTTACAGGTGTCAAATTGAAAGGAATAAGCTGAAGCAAATTTAATATAAGTAGAGAGCGTATTTGAGCCAAGCTTGAGGATTGCAGCTCAGGAACATAGATTCAAGTTGCTCTGAAATACACTTCAATCAGCAGCAGTTACATGTGGATAAGCTGTTAATTGTCTATACATTGTTCTTTGTATCACAAATTCCAAGAATATGAAGATAATGGGTAAGACAGCTAGTCAGGAACAAAATGAGTTGAAACAATTGTCCCCAGGTATATGTGCTGGGGGCATGACTGAAGTCCCATACTCATGCCTGTCTGCACCTGAAAAATTTTGCAAACCTCACATAGCTCAGATTTCTCTGAGCCATTTCTCTCTTCTCACAGGTCCTTCCTCCTCTCCCCATTTCCAACTTTTCCTCTGTCCTCCTCCCCTTCTTCGCCTGAAGAAGAGGGGAAGTATAATTCGTTATAAAACAGATAATGCTTAAAGATAGAAAGGAAATAGCAAAAAAAGACACTGCCATACTATGTTGTTTAAACTAAAAATTGATATAGTCCTTTAAGAGCACCAAATGGCTGTATGTATCAAAATTTAAATGTTTATATTCTTTGACCAACCCACCCCATGAGCAAAGTCCACTTCCAGGAATTATTTCTACAGAAATTACTAACATATATGTGTATTATACATAAAGATAGATGATCAACACAATGCTGTTTGAAATATTGCAAAATAGCAAAGAATATAAATACCATGGGGTGTTTATTATGGTACACTAATACTATGCAGCCTTCAAAAGAATTCAGTATATATATATATACTGGCATGGGAAGAAGTCTAAGACATTATAAGCCAGAAAACAAGCTTACTCACTCATTTTACTCACTGAACATAGAAGTCAATATTTATTGGTTTATGATATATCAAGCACTGGCACAGGTGCAAGGAATATAGCAGTGAACAATTCAGGCAAAATTCCTGCCCTTATTCTAGAATGCCCTGCATTCTAATTGAAGATTAATGTTTAAAGTATAAATCATTGAGGTTAAAAAGAACAATATACATATATATTTATAAATGTATAGGAAATGATTTGAATGATATAAGGATGAATCCAACTAGGAGTCCCTGTTTTTTCTGGGCTTTCAGTGAGAAGGAAGGATGCTCTTTGTGAGAGCAAAAGCATGAGCTCAGAGACAGGGACATGGGGGTAGACGGGCACAGCCTGTGTGACCAGATCACAGGGAAATATGGTAAAAGTGTGGATCAGGCAGCTATGGACTGGTAGAAAGAGTATTGGATGATTAGCTTTCTCTTTATATACGGGTGACCCGTGAATAATATGGGAGTCGGGTACTGACCCCTATACAGTTGAAAATGTGTGTGTAACTTTTGACTTTTCAAAAATTTAATGACTAGTAGCCTACTGTTGACTGGAAGCCTCGCTGATACCAAAAACAGCTGATGAACACATATGTTGTATGCTATATGTATTACATGCTATATTCTTACAATAAAGTGAGCTAGAGAAAATAAAATGTTATTAAGAAAATCATAAAGAAGAGAAGCTGGGGGCACTGGCTCACGTCTCTAATTGCAGCACTTTGGGAAACCAAGGTGGGAGGATCACTTAAAGCCAGGAGTTAGAGACCAGCCTGGGCAACACAGGGAGACCCCATATCTACCAAAGAGAGAAAATATATTTACTATTCATTAAGTGGATATGGATCATCATAAAGGTCTTCATCCTCATTGCCTTCAGCTTGAGTAGCTGAGGAGGAGGAGGAAGAGGAGCAGTTGGTCTTGCCGTCTCAGGAGTGGCAGAGGCAGAAAGGAGTGGAGGTGGAGGGAGAGACAGGAGAGGCAGACACACTCACCATAACTTTTATTGAAAAAATCCACATATAAGTGGACCTGTGCAGTTCAAACCTGTGTTGCTCAAAGATCCATTGTACAAATACTATGTTATCATTGAAAAGATCCAATAATCCACAAAGAACTCTACAACCTCACAGCCCCATCTTATGTTAGGGTGGCATGTGCTCCAAATGTCTTGAAGAATAATGAATCTTTGGGGCCCCGAACTTAGATGCTTCCTGGAGCCAGGCGGGAATGATGCACAAGTGAATCAGCTTAGGCAGGGCTGCAGGCATAGGCCTTCCTCAGAGGGCAGCTGCCATGCCGCCCAGCCAATGGTGGCCATGCTGGGAGAGAGGCCATGGCTATCAGAGCTTCTGATGTTTAAAGAGGAGCCACATAGACTGTGGACATTTGTAAATGTTGCCTCAAAACTTTGTTTCATGCTATGTGGATCCAAAGATCACAGGTGCCAGCAGCACCTGGCCCACAGGCCTCCAGTTTGTGACCCATTAGTCTTTACTGCAGATAAAAAGAGCCCTGAGGGAATGAACACAGCAAGCTTTCCTACAGGCCTCCAGAAGTGGCTCCCGGCTGAGCGGTGCACACCCGACCACTGCTAAAATCTCTCCCTCCCAGTCTCCTGGCCCTGCCAGACCACCCGCAGGGAAGTATACTTTACCACCTACCCTGGCAGCTTTGCTGAAAGAAACAGCCCTCCTGGGAGTCAAGTGAATTCTCAAGTGAAATTCTCTACCTCATAGTTTTTAAATAATACAGAAGAATCCAGAAAAGATGCGAATAATCTAATTCACTCTGTTTGCTCCCACCCCACCCACCTCCAACCAAGTCCCTTTCCCTTTCATTAACTCCTCATTCTTAAAAATATATTTTTAATTGATATATAATAGTTGTACATATTTTGGGGGATACACATGATATTTTAATACCGGTATACAATGTGTAATGATTAAATCAGAGTAATTGGGATATCCGTCACCTCAAATAATTATCTTCTCCTTTTCATTTCCTTTTACTTTTTCTTCCTTTCTTATTTATTTATTTATTTTTTAGACAAGGTCTCACTATGTTGCCCAGGCTGAAGTGCAGTGACTATTCACAGGCGTGATCATGGTGCATTATAGCCTCAAACTCCTAATTTCAAGTGATCCTTCTGCCTCAGCCTCCAAAGTAAGAACTACAGGCACAGTCACTATGCCTGAAACATTTATCTTTTCTTTGTGTTGGGAACATTATAATTCTTCTCTTCTAGTTATTTTGAAATATACAATAAATTATTGTTAACCATCATTTCCTTATCAAATGCTAGAACTTATTCCTTCTATCTGACTGTACTTTTATACCCCTTAACCAGTTTCTTTTCATTCTTCCTTCTTTCTTTCCGGCCTCTGGTAATCACCATTCTACTCTCTACCTCCAGGAGTCCACACTTTTAGTTCCAACATATGAGTGAGAAAATGCAATATTTGTCTTTCTATGCTTGAATTACTTCACTTAACATGATGTCCTCCAGTTCCATCCATGTTGCTGCAAATGAAAGGATTTCATTCTTTTTTATGGCTGAAGAGGATTGTATCAAGCTGAAAAACTTATGTACAGCAAAGGAAACAATAAGTGAAGAGACAGCCTACAGAATGGAAGAAAATATTTGCAAACTCTTCATCTGGCAAGGGATTAATTACCAGAATTTACAAGGAGCTCAAACACCTCAATAGCAAAAACTCAAAAACAAGAACAAAACAAAATGAACAAAAACTGAAACAAGCCCAATTTTAAAATGGGCAAAAGATTTGAGTAGACATTTCTCAAAAGAAGACCTAGAAATGTCCAAGAAGTATATGAAACAATGCTCGACATTAGTAATCAGTGGTGTTGGGCATTGTTGAGCATCAGGGAAATGCAAATCAAAACCACAATGAGATATCATCTCACCCCAGTTAGAATGGCTATTATAAAAAAAGACCAAAAATAACAAATGTTAACATGGATATGGAGAAAGGGGAATGCTTATATACTGTTGGTGAGAATGTGAAGTAGTATAGCCACTATGGAAAACAGTATGGAAGTTCCTCAAAAAACTGCAAATAGAGCTACCATATGATGCAGCAATTTGATTGCTGGGTATCTATCTAAAAAAAAAGGAAATCAGTATATGGAAGAGAGATCTGCCCTCCTATATTGGTTGCAGCACTATTTACAATAGCCAAGATATGGAATCAACCTAAGTGTCCATCAACAGATGAATGAATAAAGAAAATTTGTATATAACTTCTTGTCTTAAGAGCACTGAATTCTGGCCTAAGCTCTATCACTTACCAGCTTTTTAATTTGGAGTTTTTGAGTTTCAGTTTCTTTGGCATAAAATGGGGAAATAAACCTCTGCCTCAAAGGGCCATAGAGATTATATCAAATGACATATGTGAGAGAGCTTTGCCATCTATAAGACATTATGAAATTATAAAATATGCCTATTACTCACATGGGGTCAGACTGAGGAACCAGTAAAAGTTTTCAAGCAGGTTTCAGCATGCTTTGGAAAGTCCCTGGTAGAATTTACAGTATGCTGTTGGGAGGAGAAGGCTGGCAGCAGAGAAAGCAGTCAGGGACTGTTGCAACAGTAGAGGTGAGAGGTGATAAAAGGCATTGATATTGGGGAGGGCTAGAGGTACCACTGTGAGAGAGGATGTGGAGAAGGGGGCAGCAGTTATGGCTCTGAAGGTGTAGTTCGAATGACCGGGATGATAACAAGGCCATTAACCAAAATGGGCAATTTAGCTATTTTATAATGTTTATGGAGTACTGATTATTCCTAGTAGCTGGTTTGGGGACTGGGAATAATCAGGCACTCAATGACCACTACACATTAAGTTCCCTGTTCTCATGGGGTTACATTCTGGAGGGGCATTGTGGATCTTTGCCTGCTGCTAAAATGAGATGTTTACAGTCCAATACAAGGATGAGTTGAGTCTGCATGATCTAAAATGTGTGTCAGAGCCTTGATATGTCTAGGATAGGCATCTGGAAATGTTGTAAGGATATTTTTCTTTCTTACTTTTTTATTATGAAAAATTTCAAACACATGCAAAAGTGGAACGATTAGTAAAATGAATGCCCACGCATGAATCACCCACCTTTAGTAATTACTAACTTATAGCCAATTCACCAACACGCCTACCCATTTTCATTCCCCATTGCCCTGCCCTGATTTATTCTGAAGCCGATCTCAGACATCATATCATTTTATCTATAAGTATTAAATATCTTAGCATGTATCTCTGAAAGATCAAGACTTTTTAGATACATAACCGCCATACCATTGGTCACACCTAAAAAATTAACAATACTTTTCTTTTTCTTTTCTTTTTTTTTTTTTTTGGTAGAGACCAGGTCTTGCTCTGTCACCCAGACTGGAATATAGTGGCTCAATCATAGCTCACTGCATTATCAAACTCCTGGGTTCAAGTGGTCCTCCTGCCTCAGCCTCCTGAGTAACTAAAATTACAGGTGTGCACCACCACCTGGCTATTTTTTTTATGTTTTTTTTGTAGAGATGGGGTCTTGCTATATTGCCCAGGCTGGTCTTGAACTCCTGTCCTCAAGTGATCCTCCCGTCAGCCTCCCAAAGTGCTGAGATTACAGGTGTGAGCCACCATGCCTGGCCAATAATAATTCTTTCATCTTTTTGTTGACCAAACCTAACTACTCTGAGGTTTCTGGTATTAATCTTTAAAGAGTTTAGGTATACAACTATAGCTTATAGGAATCCTCTCAACAAAGGAGAGGATCAACCCAGAACAATGTATCTGCAAGTATGTGTGCTGTTTGTACCTTGTTATAAGGGGGAACAAACAAAAAACAAGTAAAGAAATAAGTGAAGTAGATAAATGCAGTTAATACTAACTGCCAGAAGGAAAATGAAGCAGGGTGGCATGACAATGCTTAGGGTGGTGGGGGTATTATAATTCCTCTGGCCGTAACTTCATTTCTTAGGAAGGAGACAGTCAGGGCTGAGCAGGGAAGTGGATCATTTCAGAGAGGAGAGGCAACAGAAACAAAGATCCTGTTTCAGGAGGCCGGTGAGCTGGAATAAAGGGAGAAGACGGAACACTGGCAGAAGAGAAGGGCAGATCGTGCAGCCATGGGAAGGAGCCTGGAGTTTTTCTTCTAAGTGTGAAGGAAACCACTGGAGGATTCTGAGCAAAGGAGTTGTCTGGCTTATACTTTTAAAAAATATCCCTGTTGGCCTGGTGCAGTGGCTCACACCTGTAATCCCAGCACTTTGGGAGGCCGAGGGGCAGATCACCTGAGGTCAGGAGTTTGAGACCAGCCTGGCCAGCATAGTGGAACCCTGTCTCTACTAAAACTACAAAAATTAGCCTGGTGTGGTGGCGTTTACCTGTAATCCCAGCTACTCAGGAGGCTGAGGCAGGAAAATCGCTTGAACTTGGAAGGCGGAGGCTGCAGTGAGCAGAGGTTGCACCACTACACTCCAGACTGGGCAACAGAGCAAGACTCCATCAAAAAAAAAAAAAAAGCCCTGTGTTCTGCATGAAAAAGAGGTTGGAGGCAGGCAAGGCAGGAGGAAGGAGACTAATCAGAGGCTCTTGCAGTTGTCATCTTACACCCTATAGGAGAGTTGCAGCAAAATGGGAAGAAGTTGATGAATATGGGAATATTTAGAAGGAAATGAAAGAGCACCTGCAGGTTTGGGGATGGCTATGGTAAATTCATTTTTATAGCATAAGAATGAGGTACTGGTGGACTGGTTTGAGGTGTGGTGTGAGGCCATTTGACAGTGTCCACAAAAAAAGCTAGGTTGGTCCTGCTCTGTGAGCAGCATGCTGTACATTCAGGGGCCTGATCTGCAGCAGGCTGCCACTTCTGTGAGCCCACACCAATAGCACATGCCAGGCAATAATGCTGCAATGATGCCTATCCATGCCCCACTGTTTTCATAGAGGGGAGAGCCCTGCCTGCCAAGAAAAATATGCCATAGATACTGCCGGGGGGAAACAAATCCTCCTTGTGAGTGTTCAACTGGGGGAAATAAATCTTTTTAAAATTTTCTGTAGAGACAGGGTCTCCCTGTGTTGTCCAGGCTGGTCTCAAACTCCTAGCTTCAAGTGATACTTCTGTCTTGGCCTCCCAAAGACTTGGGATTTACAAGCGTGAGCCACTGTGCCCAGCTGGGAAATAAGTCTTCTTTATGAGTCTTCCAGATTTAGGATTAAATGGGCAGGACTTGAAGTGGGAAACCTGGAGGCAGATTTCGCCCCAGCTTCTTCCTTCCAAAGTCCCGATTCACTCAGAGTCTCCCTCGGTGCTGAGGAGGCAAGCAAGGAGAAAGAGCTGTGAGAGGGGACAGAGTGATGGAAGGTGATTCAGAGAGTTTTCACTCAGTGGGAAAACATTTTCATTCATTCAAAAAGCATTTTTAAGCACTTGGTGCATGTGTGGTACTACGGCAGGTGCTAATGAGATTAGAAAAGTCAAAAGAAGGTACAGCCCATCTTCAAACTGTTTTGGTCTAATTGAGGAAGAGAATATACATTAATTAGAGGCCAGGAGGGAGCCAACAATGGTAGAGAATAAAGGTGAAGTAGCCTATAGAAAGAGGCAGGTATAAATAAGAAATGAAGTTTCATCGACCCTAACTTTACCCCTTCATCTTAGCCTCAGAATTATCTTTCTCCAGGAAGCATCAGTTTTGCTGGGAAAGAAGCTATATAGTTGTTTTTTTTTGTTTGTTTGTTTTTTTTTTTTTTTTTGGACTAGTGACAATTTCCTTTTCTTTTTATTTTAATGTAAGTCCTGGGATACACGTGCAGCTATATAGTTTTAACTCCCACATTTTCTACAGCAAAACGTCTAGACAGATGGTGTGACAATGAATTCCCTTCTCCCTCATTCTTAAAATTATTTATATGAAAAGACTGACAAAGACATAAGAGTTAGATCACATTTGATTATCCAATTAGCCTATTGTGTGTTATTTTTTAACAATTTTTGTAGAGACAGGATTTCACCATGTTGCCCAGGCTGGTCTCAAATTCCTGGCCTCAAGTGATCTCCTGCCTCGGTCTCTCAAAATGCTGGGATTACAGGTGTGAGTCACTGTGCCTGGTCATCCAATTGTCTCCATTGAAAAAGGTGCTGTTAGGAATACTGGAAAATCTGCCGCAGATGTTCTCTATTCACTGTTCTCACAGAGCAGTGAATTCACTGCTCTGTCAATGCTGTTCCTTTTCCTGGACCTGATTGCCAAAACCTGACCTCTTCTCTTTGAGAAAGGAGACCCAAACTCAGTGATTTAATAGATTATAAATCAATTTGGGGCTACAGAACTGTGAATTATTCATTTCTAACACAGACTTGGCATATAACAAACTAGCTACTGAGAGTCTTCTGCCATGATTTATTGATAGAGCCCTGCTAAGATAGATAATTTTGAAATATTTCCCTTGTTTTCATGGTCACTGATGTTTCAAAAGATTTGGGACTAAGTAGGGCAAAAGGACACTGAGGTTTTCCAGGCATTGAGAAAGGGCTACTTTTCCCCAGGCCACAGCAAGGAAGAGGAAAGGAGAGGAGAGGCAAGCAGTAGAGCAAACAAACAGTGAAGCTTTCTGATTTTTTTTTTTTCCATTCATTCCAGTTCATCAGGAATTGTAGGATACCTGCCAAATATCCAGCAGCACCAGCACCATGGGAAGTACAAAAGAAGCACTCAGTAAAATGGGCTCTCGCATGCCAATGCGTACAGGGACCTGGCGGGTAAGACCAACGAACCAGTGGGTAGGAACAAGAAGCATGGAACACTCTAGGTCTCTTATTTACCTATGTTTAAAATATTTAAACTTTTCTATTTACTGTAAGGAAATAATGTAAGCATGATGATAGATAGCAATTGATTCTACTTCGTTATCAAGAACACAGTGGGGAGTGGTGGGTACTACGATGTCCTGCAGAACCAGGACCCCATCTAAGGTGGGTGGGACTGGCATCCTTTATTAGGTTCTGGCTATAGTCAGGATAGGCATACCAGATCTTCAATTTTTCAAGAGAAGCCAGACATCAATATTTTTATTTTTATGAGATCTTTATATTTCCAATTGTTGGCATCTAATGAAAATATTTAGACATTACCATAGCAGCCATAATTCTGTGGTCAAACAGAATTGGCATAATTCCCTGAAGAAATGGACACTGACCTTATGTAAGTTGCCATCTGCCTGAATGTATAAGACATACATACTAACTTGAGTACAAAATGAAAATATATCTGGCATGTACTTAATATATGTTCAACCTCTTCCTCTTTTTCCCATTATAAAACAGTATTTGTGTGATAGAAAACAAAAGTCAGCAATAGGCATTTCATATCTTTCCTACTTCTTTCTAAGAAGGGTCAATTTCCTTCCTCCAGTTGGGGAAGAAGAGAGACCAAGAAAATCAGCATCAAGCATTCGTTTTGCCAACAAGGTTGATGGGTAAGGAGGTCAGTAGAGGGCTACATTTCTCTACTCAAAGATGGACTCACAGACAAACAGTCTGGAGAGGAAGAGAAAGACTGGGGCAAAGGGGAGAAAAAGCAGAAGATAGAGATTCAGGGCAGGTGCTGATGGGCTAGGAACTTTAGGAAAAGAGAGAGGAAAGTTTAAAGGGGGGGTCCTTAAAATATTTTGCCATGTGATATATACATGACACTCTGCCCTGTATACCCAAGACATTTAAAATAAAATCCACAGTGCTCTTTAATGCATCCATAGTCATATTTGCATTTGCTTTAAGGTGAGAATGAGACAGCCAGGTGGGCTACCTGAGACTGTGCCCCAGTGAGTGGTCATGGCTAAGGAGGATAAAGGAGTGCTGACTGCACTTAACCAACTGAAAACCAAGGAACCCAAGGTCTGACAACAGAATAAGACATCTGACCATAAAGAGATTCCATGCAAAATCCTGGTCCTAGAGCTGGATATTGTAGCAAGAAGAGAAAGCTCATTGAGAGGCGAGGGCGGAGCATGGGCAGAGGTGAGGGTGTGCTTGGTGTATCCTAGCCTGGCAGGTATATGGAGCCACTGTGGTGAGCAGAGGTTTTATGTTCAGAATATGGCTCCTTTTCATGTTAGAAGGGGGATCCTCTGATATCCTCAACTGTAGCTTAGCTTTCAGTTCTGGTCAAATATATAAGCTTGCTTCTCCACCCTCAGTGTGTCAAAGCCCTGCAGGGAAGACCCACAACATCATGTTCTTAGAGACCAGACTGTCAGACATAGCAGCACCAGGTTTTGAATTTTAGAAATAATTTTTATGTGTGTGATGGGCATTTGTAGTTACACTGGCTATGCATGGGCTTTTTCAGGCCTGTGGAACGTGGGTCCAAGACACTGAATTCAGGAGCTAGCTAGTACTGCCGAGGCAGTTTCATGTGTGAGCTGGACACACAGCAAACTGTCAGTTGAGGTTGATCTGAAGGAGATTTGTTCTTTTATTTTTCTGAGACAGTCTTGCTCTGTTGCCTAGACTGCAGTGCAATGGCACAATCTAGGCTCACTGCAACCTCCGCCTCCCAGGTTCAAGTGATTCTCCTGACTCAGCCTCCCAAGTAACTAGGATTACAGGCGTGCACCACCACATCCAAAAAATACAATTTTTTTGTAGAGAAAGGGTTTTGCCACATTGTCCAGGCTCGTCTCGAACTCCTGGCCTCAAATGATCCACCTGCCTCAGCCTCTCAAAGTGCTGGGATTACAAGTGTGAGTCACTGTGCCTGGCCGATGGAGATATGTTCTAACGAAGGGTGGGCCACTTAGCTCAGTGTGTTCGCAAGAGTAAGAGAGAACAGAGGTGGATTAGAGGGGTTGGCAAGCCTGGTTCCAGCTCTGGCTTCCACAGAGGCTATAGAGCCCTTGGCAGGGCAATTAACCTCCAGGGACCTCAGTGTAAAATGAGAACATTTCTATATTAGCTCTTTGAGAAATCTCTATACTATTTTCCATAGTGACTGTGAGAAATCTCTATGCTATTTTCCATAGTGACTGTACTAATGAATATACCTATCAACAGTGTGTGAA
Source organism: Homo sapiens (assembly GCF_000001405.40). Lineage (NCBI taxonomy): Eukaryota > Metazoa > Chordata > Mammalia > Primates > Hominidae > Homo > Homo sapiens. Next base: position 92,962,644 of record NC_000011.10, read on the forward strand.
TTCTGTTTTTTCTGAGTCCTCACCAACATTTTTTTTTTTTAGTCTTTTAAATAATAGTTACCGTAACTGGGGTAAGATGATATCTCATTGTGGTTTTGATTTGCATTTCCCTGATGATAAGTGATGTTGAACACTTTTTCTTTTATTTTTGTGGTACTTTGTTATGTCAGAACATTTTTTCATATACTTTACTTGTTGGCCATTGGTATGTTTTTTTTTTTTTTTTGAGAAATATCTATGTATGATTCAGAAATCTCACTACTGGTATTTATCCAAAAGAAAGGAAATCAATATATCAAAGGGATACCTGCATGCTCATGTTTATTGCAGCTGTATTCACAATTGCAAAGATATGGACTCAACCTAAGTGTTCATCACTGGATGAATGGATAAAGAAAATGTGGTATATACACACAATGGAATATTATTCATCCATATAAAAGAATAAAATCCTGTCATTTGCAGCAACATGGATGGCACTGGAGGTTATTATGCTAAGTGAAATAAACCAGGGACAGAAAGACAAATATTGCATGTTCTTACTCATATGTGGGAGCTAAAAGAGTTGATTTCATGCAGCTAGAAAATAGGATGATAGATACCAGAGGCTAGACTCTGGGAAGGGTGTGTGTGTTTGTGTGTGTGTGTGGCGGGTGGTGGTATAGAGGTTGGTTAATGGGTACAAATATACAGTTGGATAGAAGGTGTAACTTCTAATGTTTAATAGCAAAGTAGAGTGACTATAGTTTATCAACAACGTGTAGTGTATTTCAAAATCAGCTACAATAGAAGATTTGAAATGTTCTCAGCATATAGAAATGATAAATACTAGAGGTGATGCATATCTTGAATATCCTGACTTGATCATTACACATTCTATGCATGTAACAAACTATCACATGTACCATGTACTGTGTAAATATGTTCAAATATTTGTGAACCAAAAAATTTTTAATGAAAACATTCTGGTTCTGCACTTGAGGATTAAATAAGACACAAATCTGAAAGTTCTGGAAAATGTAACAGTAATAGCTAATGTTTACCAGTGCTAATTATGAGCCAGGCATCTCATTTATTCCTCATAACATCCTTGTGATGTAGGTATACTTATCCCAATTTTTACAGATGTCCAAACTGAGGTACAGAGAGGTTATACAGCTCATCCAGGGTCACAGCTAGATCTGGACTTAACTTCCTTTGGTATAATACAAAAATATATTTGGTCTTTGTCCCAGGTTCCTGACCCAGAGCTCCTAAAACCCTTGGAATTTCCCGAGTAATAGGTATGTCTTTTGTTATTCATAAGGAGGAGATTCTTTTGATCACCCCTGAGTTTATCCTAATGAAGTGACTTAGGGTATGGCCCCTAGACAGCTTAGGATGGGGCTATTCACTAGAAATAACAAGTCATTAGAGGATTGGAACTTTCAGCTCTGTCCACAGACCTCCAGGATGTGTTTGCATTGGGTGGTACGGGGATGTTGGGGAGCACTGGAGATTGAGCTCCATAAAAACTCTTGAACCAGGATACCTGGAGAGCTTCCATGTTGGTGAACAGATCAAGGTGCCAGGTAATGGTGTGCCTCTAAAGAAGCTCTGCACACCACACACACACACACACACACACACACACACACACACCTTGCCCTGTGTAGCTATTCCTTTTGGCTGTTCCTGAGTTGTAGACTCTAGAATAAACTGGCAAACATTGAATTATACATAATTCATATGTAGATATATTTATATATTTAAATATGTATGTATTTATTTGCTAAACAATCGATTCTGGGCAGTGGGTGATAATAGAGAAACACTGACCGAGCTTACTTAGGGTCTCTGTATCCCGAGGGAAGGGTCAGACCCTTCCGCTTGAACATTGAGCTGTTAGATTAGATTCAAATCTGAAATAACCGGCACAGCAACTCCCATTCTGATTCCTCTGAAGGGAACGAAAAAGTCAGGAAAGGTAAAGATCATGCAACCAGCAGCAGAGAGAACATGCCTGCTCTGACCCCGCCCAGCCTGGCTCAACTACAGGATCGTCCGACTGGTTTCTGCCACAGGCATGTGCTGGGAAATATGAGGGAGGCTGCCCAGAAGGTGGTGGCTTTGTAGTTGTGTCTTGTTTAAACTCTTTTATTGTAGAGCATCCTTCTTTCCAGGCCATTCTTCACCTGAGGGAAAGATTAGGGCAGCTTCACGATGCTAGGCAGTGGTATATTTTTTTAGTGATCTGTATAAACCATTTTTTTTTCAAAGCTGACAGCAAGAACATCTGGAGTCTTACTCTATTTTCTCTCAGGGTTCAATCTACTCAACATTGTTGAGTTTCCCTATCTTTCTTGTGAGGTAACAAGGGTCTGTATATTTTAATATATCCCACTGCAAGAGTAAAATGGCCCCAGGTTCTAGGATCGGGCAGCCTAGGTTGCAATCCTAGCTCTGAAACCACTAGCTCAGCAACCTTGGGTAGGTTTCTTAACCTGTGTAAATCTCAGTTTCTTCACAGTACACAGTAATATGTTACATAGAGATGAGAGGATTAAACAAAAGAATGCAGATGTCCCCTATGTGTAATGCAGAGCAATTACTAGATATTAGCTGTGTGCTAGTTACTCTTTATAGCATTATTAAAAGTGCTTGTCAGCCATGCTACAAGCTGATTACCAAAAGAAAATTTTGCTTATTTTCTTTGTATATTTCATACTGAAGGAGTAAAAGCTGTCACACTTTATTTATTTATTTATTTATTTATTTATTTATTTATTTAGTGACAGGGTTTCACTGAGTTGCCCAGACTAGAGTGCCCTGGCATGATCACAGCTCGTTCAGCCTAGACCTCCCAGGCTCAAGCAACCCTCCTGCCTCAGCCTTCTGGGTAGCTAGGACCACAGGTGCATGCCATCGTGCCTGCTAATTATTTTATTTTTTGTACAGACAAGGTTTCACTTTGTTGCCTAGCCTCAACTCCTGGCCTCAAGTGATCCTCTGGCCTCAGCCTCCCAAAGTGTTGGGATTACAGGTGTGAGCCACTGTACCTGGACCTCATTACACACTTAATAAAATAAATAGATTGCATAATGCCACTGGTCACTCATCAGCCACCAACCTTGGCAATTCACTTCTCTGACAGTCTGTTTCCTTCTTTTCTAGCTGGGCCAATCACTGCTATCTCCCAAGATACCCTGGTTGAAAGATGTTTGGGAAAGGTTTCAAGTACTATCTGGAGTAAAAGGTGTTACTGTTGGGATACATGACAATGAGCTTCTACGGTCAGATATTCATTTGAGTTTGAACTTGGGATACGTGTTGAGAAAACCAGTTCTGCTCAATTTTTAAATCCTAGGACACTCGGTAAGCATTCAAAATGTTGATTTATTTCTTTGAGAAAACATCTAGTAATCTTGAAACTCTCTTGTCTTTTTTCCCTCTCCTTCTCCAGAGTTTGATTTTCTTCCCATAAAATTTCATTATACTGTTGGCAGCAACTATTATTTTTGCCTTTTGTACAAATAATCTTTTTAGTTTATATTCAGGCACAGCAGTATCTGCGATGCTATAGTTTACATTACAGTTCACTCTTGGTGTTGTACATTCTTTGGGTTTTGACAAATGTATAATGACATGTATTACCCATTATAGTATCATATGAAACAGTTCCTCTGCCTTAAAAATCCTCCGTGCTCAACCTATTCATCTTTCCCTCACCCCAAACTCTTGGCAACCACTAATCTTTTTACTGTATCCATAATTTTGCCTTTTCCAGAATGTCATATAATTGGAATCAAGAAACAGTATGTAGCCCTTTCAGACTGGCTTATTTCACTTAGTAATATGCATTTACAGTTCCTCCATGAGTGTTCATGGCATCATGGCTCATTTCTTTTTAACACAGAATAATATTCCATTGTCTGGATGTGCCACACAGTTTGTTTATTTATTCACCTATTGAAAGACATCTTGGTTGCTTCCAAGTTTGGGAATTATAAGTAAAATTGCTGTAAACATCGGTGTGCAGGTCTTTCTGTGGACATATATTTTCAACTCACTTGGGTAAGTACTAAGGAATACAATTGCTCGATGCGATGGTAAGGGTATGTGTTGTTTTGCAGTGCATCACCAAACTGCCTTCCAAAGTGGCTGTATCATTCCCCCACCATTTTAAGGCACAGCCTGGCCAGCCATGCCAGGATGTAGCATTGACTTCTTAGATAGGTGAACATCCCAATTCTTTGTGCCTATCTTGAGATATGCTATTATGGACAATCACATTCCAAGGCAGCATAGGGCAAATTCCTATGTTTCATGCTCAGTTTAACAAATGTGTGTTATTAGAGGGTGTGTCTGGATGGAGGTAACTTATACTGTGTCCAACTCACCTATTGCTATGTTGGCGTGTGAAAGTTGAGAAGTGCCACGATGTGTTTGCACCTGTAAGACAGGGAAGGCGTGGCTGTCTCTTCTTCCTGAAAAAGCCTCTTGGCTTTGACACTGCCCATTGGTGTCTCTTTCCCCTTTGCTGTTGCTCTCCTGAGGACATGTTGGTCATTCCTCCTCATTCACTGGGGATTCGCCTCCTGACTCATAGTTTTCCTTTTCTTACCCCACCATAATATCCACCCCCGACTTCTCAGTTCCTTTACCTTCTCATCTCTAACAACATTTTTCTCACCTTCCACCAGCAACCCACTACCCATAATCACCCTCAGAGCCTTCACAGCAACAGAATCTACATGCCTCAGACATCTCAGTTTCAAACAACTCACCCTTTCAGCACCACAACTTACATTTTCTGATTCACTCACCACAATTCCTTGAAGTCACAGGGCCTGCAATCTCTTGACTTTTCCTTTGTCTCACAGCCCATCAGCCCCTCTGTTTTCTCATCACCCCTCATTAATGTAAACCCCAGGATCCATCTTCTCACCAGGCCCCTGAACTTTCTTCTGTTATTTGCTCCTACCCAGCAGACCCCAATCCTGACTGAAATTCACTCTGCCTTCTCCATGCCTGTCCTGAGTAGCTCCAAGTTGCTGATTAACAACCACTGGCCAGGCTGAGTGGCATCATTTGAAGCCATCATCTCAAGCTGCAGGGGGACATTCATGCTCCTGACACGCCTGTTATACTTTACTAGTTAATGTTTCCACTTTCTGAAGTGCTCCTTCATATCTTTTTTTTGTCTTCAAATCTCCTACACTGTTCCCCTGAATCCTGGCTAATGGGTAGCCTCTATCTCCCTGAGAATACAGAAGCCAGACAAGAGTTCTCTTCTTTCCTCACACCAGTTTAGAAGTGCATCTGAATTTGCATCTGGCTTCTGATTCCTTTCTACTACAAGAAAGAAAGCCTCCCTCTCCTAACAAATAATATTTCTTCCTTGGGTTTTGGATGAGCTCACTTTAAGGAGTTCTGGATTAGCTCACTTCAAGGATGAGCTCACTTCACCTCTCCCTTCCCTCTCCCTTCCCTTCAACATCCACTCATGCCTCTGCATCATCAGCCCCTCCGTCTCCACTGCATCCTTCCTTCTTTTTTTCCCCCCTTTAAAGGAGAGGGGCAATATAACTTACGTAAAATAACATATGTAAAAATAACAATCCAGAAATTTTTTGGTGTTTGTTTCTCAATACCCACCCTCAAATGTAACCACTTTTCTGATTTCTATTAGAAAATAGATTAATTTTCCCTGATTTTGGACTTCCTATAACTGGAATAATATGGTATATATTTTTTGGTATCTGGCTTCTTTTGTTCAATACAACATATTTGTGATTAATCCATGCTGTTGTGTAGGTCAATCATCTTTATTGCTGAGTAGTATTCCATTGCAAGGTCATACCATAATTTGCTTATCCATTCTTCTGTTGGTGGAAATTGCAGGTGTTACCAGATTTGAGCTCCTATAAACAAGGCTGCTCTGGACATTCTTGTACAGGTCTTTTGGTGGAAATATACTTTCCTTTTCATTTGGAACTTCTGGTCATAGAATAGGTGTATATTTAACTTTATTAGGAGCTAACAGACAGCTCTTCAAAGTGGCTATACCATTTTGCATTCTCATAAAAGCAGTGTATGAGGGTTCTGGTTGCTTAACTTCCTCCACAAATATAGGATAATCAGTCATTTTGATTTTAGTGATTCTAATGGGTGTGAAAAGTGCTTTGGGGTCATAAGATTAGCCCCCATTAGAAGTTATCTATTATTATTATCACCAGATCACGACTCAAACATTTTTAATAAAGGGCACCTGAGTTCCTTCTTTATTGTAATCATGCCTCAATCTTCTTCTTGTCCTAACCCCTCCAAAAACCACATCATAACCCCCAATATTGGCCATACATCTATTTAAGTATTATGTGTAAATATATGTTGGTAAATATGTTAAAGTATTGGCTTTATAAAGAGGACCCAGTAGAGACATCATCAATGCCCCCCACAATACCCAGCGAGTGCTTGGAAAATGGCTAGGTTCGTATTTTTCTGCAGCTCCCTAGAATATAACAGTCTACCCTACTTTGTTCTGGGCTCTGTCCCCACATCTTAGGAGTTGCATTCTCTTTCGGGCTGCACAGCCCTATGGGACGTCAAACCTTGCCTTTCTTGACAACTGATGGGAGGTCCCTACCATCAGCACCTTCTCCAGTCTATCAACCTGGGTTGGACGTCCCTACCTAGACACAGCTTCTCTTGGGGACGCTGTGGAGGAAATCGGGGTCTCGGGTGTGGCTATATACTCAGGGACAGAAGCTAGACGCGCTCCGCAGCCTGAGGTGGGCCAGGCACCTGCTGGGCTCGGGGTGGCAGAGACAGCTGTGCGGTCCCAGCTGTTCCTGAGCGCACCGCTGAGGGACGCACTCCCTTCTACAACGGCTGCACCCCAAGTCCTCCTCCCATTCCTATATTTTTCTCCATCCCCTGCCCACGCTTAATTAGTTATCTCCTCCAGACCCCTCCCCACTGGCCTCCTCCCTTGCACACGCGAGCTGGGCAGGGAAGAGAGCGCCCGGCTCAGTACTGCGCGCGCCCTGCGGCTGTCCGGGGCCGCGCGGTGGCCAAAGCACAGCGCGGGAGAGTCTGCGATGTCAGAGAACGGCTCCTTCGCCAACTGCTGCGAGGCGGGCGGGTGGGCAGTGCGCCCGGGCTGGTCGGGGGCTGGCAGCGCGCGGCCCTCCAGGACCCCTCGACCTCCCTGGGTGGCTCCAGCGCTGTCCGCGGTGCTCATCGTCACCACCGCCGTGGACGTCGTGGGCAACCTCCTGGTGATCCTCTCCGTGCTCAGGAACCGCAAGCTCCGGAACGCAGGTGAGCACCATTCCTGATGCTGGGTGCTGGCATCGGGCCCTTCCTTGTCTTCTGATCTTGTCCCTGACCCCGGGATATGCGCTGCCTTTTCCCTCCTCAGCCCGGGCTCCCCTTTCCCTTCACTCTAACCTATTCCTTAAGTTTGACTCTGCACTCAAAAGTTAGGGTGAGTTTTGCCCCTCCGAAGTGCGGCTGCCCAGGACGCGCTTGGCACAGAGGGAATTGCGGAAAGTTTTACTGGCGCGCTTTTTGGCCGGGCGCCGGCGCTGTGGGAACCCACGCTGCTGGATGCCATCGCTACCCCGTCGCGCTCCAATGCGTGTCTTTCCAGAGGTGCCCACATCAGGCCACAGAAATCTCACCACCTGTACTTGACATCCCACTTCCTTCCTTGCCAAGCACTGTAGCTTTATGTAGTAGTCGCTTAGAAAATCCTTGCTGAAAAAATGAGTTAATCAATGGAAGCATTTCAGTAGGTTTTGTGTCAAAAACTTATCTCCAGGTCATCTGAAGACCCAATTCCAGTTGACGGAGAGTAAATGCAGAAATTGCAGATTCTGCTTGGACTGAACTAAATTGCTTTGAAATATTGTGGTCTTTTCCGAAGACTGGGAATTCCTGGGATTAACTGTGAAAATTAAAGCAATGATTTGGCTAAATCGTGTTGTAATCCTGAAAATATTTTTCCTATTTCAATCCACTCTCATTTCAATATTCCCCTAGTCAGGTCTTCAAAGAAACAAAACCAGAGTGGGGGGCAGTATCTGAACTCTAGCCCTCACAGGTCATGGGGCATGATGACCACTTCAGCTTAGGAAGGAGCTCAGTCACCTGTTTGTTAATTTTGCAGTTTCTTCAAGTTGGGCCTTGGGAGCAAATTCAAATATTAGAGTGAATTAAAATGGAAAGATAGCAGCAGTAAAACAACCATATAGCTTAAAAATGCTTTTCTAAGGAGTCAGACCATTTTTAGCAAATAGTAATATGTATTTGGTGTGGCCTGTGACTCTAGAAATTTTTTTTTTTTGAGATGGAGTCTCTCACTCTGTCACCCAGGCTGGAGTGCAGTGGCATGGTCTAGGCTCACTGCAACCTCTGCCTCCCAGGTTCAAGGGATTCTCTTGCCTCAGCCTCCCGAGTAGCTGGGATTACAGGCGCTCGCCACTACACCCAGGTAATTTTTTATATTTTTGGTAGACACAGTATTTCACCATGTTGGCCAGGCTGGTCTCGAACTCCTGACCTCAAGTGATCCACCCGCCTCGGCCTCCCAAAGTGCTGGAATTACAGGCATGAGCCACTGCGCCCGGCCAACTCTAGGATTTTTAGCTAAAAAAACAAACAAGAAACTCCTCCAACTGTGAGTATCCAGCCATCATATGGGAAACATAACATTATTAAGAAGAAGTAAACTTTCTAACTCACTTCAGTAGTGGTGGCTGTTTTCTGGAATACATTGTTCAAAATATTGTGTCCTTTGAAGAAAAGCTTATATATTAGGGAAAAACAGGTTATGATTAGAAAACTGCATTTAATATTTTTGACACATTGTCCCTTGCAGCCATCATAAACATTCATTTCCAGCACAGGGAAGCAAAAGGGAGACAACTCCTGGCTCTATGGGGGAGAAATGGGTCCTCCTGGTTCTGACATTGGCCCCTTCTGTCCCTGACTTATTGAGTATTTAGAGCAGGTCTGTCAGGCCATGGCTCCCTGCTCAGTAATTTGGATTGCCCACCATGAGAAAGGTGGTTGAGGGAAGTAGGAGTTGCTTCCTTTTGCTGGAAGGAGAAAAGCACCCCTCCCCTCCTGCATCCTACAGAGGGCTGGCCTTTTCTGTGATCCTGGCAGGGTCTGCAGAAACCTAACCAGTTTAAGAGCATCACTGGGGAGGGTCATGAGCATGTTAAATTGCTGGCATATCCTCTGTTCTATCTTTCCTACCTCCTGATGTGTCCGCTACAGCCCAGCACCCGAACAAAAAAAAATAATAATAACACTATATCTAAATGACATCAATTCCTGCCACTGCTGCAGTCTTGCAATTTAACCAGTTCTTATGTGACCTCTGGCTTTATTGGTGACAGTCACAAACAATTGTAGTACTGACTTGAACTAAATGATCTCAGCAGAGTGAGATTTCAAAAGGCGCTTAAAACCTACAGCTCTTTGAATAGTTAGCACACATTCTACTCTTAATCAGGCCTTGTCTTACTGAAGAGTTTGGATTTAATTTAAGAAACGCTTCTTCAGACCTTTCTGTACTTAAGTCTGGCTCCTTAAATCATTGGTATTAAAAAATTAAGTCTGTAACAATGAGAATACATATATTTCCAATAACCAAGATACATAGCCCATATTGAGGTCACAGCATGTTTCCCAGGAGACACCAGTATCCTTTACTTGCCTATCACAAACCCAGTTCCTCTATGGAGCAGATCTGTATCATTCCTAACAGTGCCGCTCCTGATGGCAGGGTGAGTGGTTAGATTAATTGTCTTTTTTTTTTCAGGGATATCCTATCTGTAGTGTCTGTTGCTGCATGTGGTGGGTTGACTTCAGAGATAGCACCAGAGAAAGGCAGACAGGGAGGAGTGGAGGCAAGGTGGGAGGTAGGGTCAGGGCACCGACCCAACTTAAAAGGTAAGGCCAAGTGTGTTCACTCTTTGCTACATTCTCAGAGTCTTGCACAGCCCATGGCACTGGGTTGGCACCTCACGCCTGTCAGATTGTGCTTCCCAGGGACTTGCCACACTTTTGACTCTACTGAGAGCCGTTGAGAACTTTCCCTCCTGGGCTCACCACTGCTGCCCTGACCCTTGAGCTACACCTCGCTAATATTTATCTCTTGCATTTTTGAGCTCTTCCTTTCTCTCTTCTGGAAACTTCCTCCATGTTACACACACACACGATACACAAAGTCTCCTGTTTTAAAAGAACAAAAGACTCTTTTCTTGACTTCATGTCCTCCTAACTTCATCACTACCTCTCTCCCTCCCTTTTCAGCCAGACATTTTAATGTAGTTGTGGACATCTACTGGTTCTACCCCATTGCTTCCCGTCCTTCCTCAGTCCTCTGGGCGCCATTCTCTGGAAATGTTCCTCTGTGCTGTGTGTGACACTGAGGGCCACTCCCTCTGTGGGACCTTTCATTCCCTCGGCTAACCTGGTGCTAGTTTTTGGATCTCCTTTTTCTCTTCATCTCCCGGATACCTGTGCCCTGAAAGTCATCTTTGGTTCCTCCTACTCTTTCATTCCACATGTCCTAATGATTTTACCTTCCACTATTTCTCAATTTCTCCCTTTCCTGCCTCCTTATTCTTACTGCCCCACTTCATGCCTTCATCATCTCTTGAGCAAACACTATCCATAGTGCTTGAGAGCTTTTCCTGCTCCCTCCCCCAGCCACTGTTACCACTGCCAAGAGTTTCCCTGTCTTCAGTGGCTGCCCTCCATCTCCAGAACAGTGTCCAACTCCAGAGCACAGCTCCCACGGCCATTTGCGGCTGGCCTAGCCCACCTAACTTACAGCCTCATTGCCCTCCTCTCACCAGTGTCACAGTGAGCTGCTGCTACTTCCCAAAGGGTCTGCACTCCCTGATGTACTTTCTCTACCTCTTCTGCCCAGTCAACAGCTGCTCCTCCTTCAACTCCTTCCCCAACTCCCCTGAAGGATTATCAATGTTGATTATTAATACCATGAAGGGGATAGTAAGTGTCTCCCTTGTTGGGCTTCTAAGATACCTGTGCCCTCCCCAGTACAGCATCCCCCTCACTGTACTATTGTTCTTTGTCTCTCCCCGCTGGACCGTGTACCTGCTGAGAGCAGACACTTTCATTCAGTTTCTGTCCACAGAGCCAGACACATAGTAAGAACAGAACACATCTCTGATTAAATTGGAAATGGATAAGACACCAGGTAGTGGGGGAAAATTAATTGATTTTGCTCCATGAGCTGGGATAGACCTCAGTTACAGTACTCAGCACTGCATAAGTAATCAATACAGGTTTTCATGAAACTGAACTGCTTTGAGAACAGCCCAAAGTATATCTCATGTTAAGCTGACTATTGGCACCTTCTGCATGAAGGCATGCTTGTTCTGTGATTCTCCTGTGTGAGTAAAGTTGCTCAGCAGTTTCCAGCCATGCCATGGTTGTACCCTACTGATTCCTCTTGGGGAGTTTGCCCCTGATATGCTTTGGCTGTGTCCCTACCCATGTCTCATCTTGAATTCCCACATGTTGTGGGAGGGACCTGGTGGGAGGTAATTGAATCATGAGAGCAAGTCTTTCCCATGCTGTTCTCACAATAGTGAATAAGTCTCATGAGATCTGATGGAAAAAGAGAAACTCCCCTGCACAAGCTCTCTCTCTTTGCCTGCTGCCAGCCACATAAGACATGACTTGCTCTTCCTTGCCTTCCACCATGATTGGGAGGCTTCCCCAGCCATGTAGAACTGTAAGCCCAATGAAACCTTTCTTTTGTAAGTTGTACAGCCTTGGGTATGTCTTTTGTTGTTGTTGTTTTTTGTGAGACAGAGTTTCACTCTTGTTGCCCAGGCTGGAGTGCAATGGCATGATCTCGGCTTACTGCAACCTCTCCTGCCTCAGCCTCCTGAGTAGCTGGGATTACAGGCATGAGCCACCACACCTGGCTAATTTTTTTTTTTTCTGAGACAGAGTCTTGCTGTCGCCCAGGCTGGAGTGCAGTAGCGCAATCTCGGCTCACTGCAAGCTCCGCCCCCTGGGGTTCATGCCATTCTCTTGCCTCAGCCTCCCGAGTAGCTGGGACTACAGGCGACCGCCACCTCGCCCGGCTAATTTTTTGTATTTTTAGTAGAGACAGGGTTTCACCGTGTTAGCCAGGATGGTCTCGATCTCCTGACCTCGTGATCCGCCCGCCTTGGCCTCCCAAAGTGCTGGGATTACAGGCGTGAGCCACCGCGCCCGGCCTAATTTTGTATTTTTTAGTAGAGATGGTGTTTCTCCATGTTGGTCAGGCTGGTCTCAAACTCCTGACCTCAGGTGATCCACCCACCTCAGCCTCCCAAAGTGCTGGGATGACAGGTGTGAGCCACTGTGCCCGGCCTTGGGTATGTCTTTATCAGCAGCGTGAAAACAGACTAATACAGCCCCTTTCTTGGTCTGGCCCGAGGTGGCCACTTTTAAGCTGCCTGTAATATGCTGGCCATATAAGAGAGCTGAGAGAACCATGTCCTCACTGTAACACCCAAGTACTCTCCACTATCAGAGAGGAAGTCATAACAACACCAGTTATTCCTGGCTCCATAGGCACAGCCACCTTAATTTTCCAAGTAGCAGTCAGAAGCTGTGGTCTGACAATGGATTTTTGTGCTGCAAATGGGTTAAAGAGGCTGTCTGGGAGGTTTAGTGAGTGCACGAATTGGCATTTCTGGGGTACGTTGATGATTGGTAAAGCAGAAATATATGAACTATTTGATGTTAAGATTGCCTAGGAAAACATGGAGGATTTGCTTGCTGAACACACAGATCTTTGTCCAAGGTCACTCTGTCTATGCTGGCAAAGCTGCCCCTCCTCCAGGCCCCCAGTGATGCTAAGAATTCACACCATCTCCTATCCAGAACCAGTAACTGCCTGGGAGGTTCCTGATGGGAATATTCTGCCTATGCAGGTGCTTTGCTTCCCCGGTTAGATTAGAAAACAGTCTGCACTGTGGCCCCTGTTCCTTGCCTCCTCTCTTCCAACTTGTTGACTGAGACAGCAAATGATGCTTAATAAGCAGCATGGTTCTGAACAAAGGCTCTGGAAGGCCTAGAGTGAAATGCTTAATAGGCCCACAGCCCCTACCCTCCAAGTTATAGAATGAAGTGGAGCCCACTCCATCAAGGCTTCTATCCTACCACCGACCACTCATTGAGATGTCACTTGGCATCAGGTGTCTTTTGACTTGCTCAGCCTGCAATGTTTAGAGTGCCATTATCAGCCCAAGACCAAACTGGGTAACCTTGGACTCCTTCCTGAATGTTTCTTAAGCTGTCCAACTTTGCATTTCAGCTGTGAATACCTTATTGCCTCTTCACTGAGCAAAAATGAACAGTTTTTAAATCCCATAATTATGTCTTTAGCTGAATAATCAGGAAAGCTAATAATCCTCTTTAATTCCTCCCATGTAACTTTCAGTAGCTCAAGGGTATAAAGACTTTAATGTTTGCCTGTCTTTATCTCCAGAAAGCTGGATTCTGCATTCGGATATGATATACCACAAAATTCAGAGAATACTGAAAGCTCCTACTGGCTCTTTCAATTTAAAATACTTACTGCTGGAGGAGTAGAGATAGAGAATTGGGAAGTAAAGCCCCAGTTCTTAGGGAGTTTGCCATCTAGAAGGAATGTCCTACTTTCTTCATCTTCATGTCCTTACTACTTCTCACATCTTATCTCACAGGGATCCCAGTCCAACCTTATGAGCCTCTTTCTTGATCTGTCAGTACAGCTAATAATATAAAACAGTAATAACAAATAATAGCTAATATTACTAGTGCTTGTTATATGCCAGATTCAAGTCTCTTTCCTTTAAGAGAGAAAGAAAAGGCAAAAAAAGCCCTCCACTGTCCCCTATCAAAGGGATATTCCTTCCTAAGCGCCACTCTCTATCTCCTTCTTTTGAAGGCAACACTGATAGAGCAATCTCCAGGGCAAAACTGGATCCCCAAGCTCTCAACAGAATTTGTTCTTGTTAATGTCACTACTGCCTTCCTAACTACCAAGTCCAATGAGCACTTTTCTGTCCTTTCTCACTTTTGTAGATGACCAAGAAACTCTCTACACCCTTTCTCTTAATTCCCTTGATATTTCTTTTCTTTGGTTTTCTCCTCTTCTTGTTCTTTCTCAATCCTTCTGTGTTATGGCTATGAGCAATTCACACAAACTGGGTGTCTGTTTCTTTATCTATAAAACAGAAATCATGCTGTCAACCTTAAGGAATTCTTGTGAAAAACAATGGAGTCCATTTATGTAAAACTATACTATCAACTTCACCATGTTATATCAATGGTTGTTTTGTTGCTATTAAGTGTAAAGTAATAAAATGTTACCTATCAGAATTTCAAAATGATCTCTTTTGATGGTTATTGAAGAATATTTTGTAAAGCATCTTAGTTATGTTTTTAAATGGATGCTTATGTTCTTAAATATATTTTCTTCTTTTAAGTGGTTGAAATACCCCCATATATATCTGTGTACACTATTGATTAGCCAGTTTTTGTTTTCTAATTAAATCAAAGTTAGATTTCAACTCAGCTCTTGTATGATTCATCCACACATCCTAAGATTTTCATAAATATGTGACTTTGGAAGAAAAAAATATCTGCTCTCAAGAGATTTGGGAATCTAATTACAAGCTTACAATAAATGCATTGTTTTAGTGTTTGTTTGAAAATCAAGTTGTGAATAAATTATATGGTCAATTATTTCAAATGCCCATCCCCAGAACATAATAAGAATATCTCACATTAATTTGGTGATTATTGTTATTTCTCATGACCTTTCCCATACAACATCTTATTTGAGGTAAACAGCCATTCTGGGAGTTAGGAGTTCTGTTGCAAAAGTCTTGGTAATTTTGTGTAGCTCCTTGGTGAATTGTCGTGCCTGACCAACCCCATATCCTGCCATTGTCCCCAGTCCCAAGTTGACTCACAAATTCCCCACTGTTCCCACCACCTTGTTCTGGCCTTTCTTCCAGCTCTCACCTAATTGAATGGCTACTGTTTTCTTTTGTTTCCCTAACAGTTCCATGGGCATCTCAATGGCAGGGGCCATGTCTTTCATCCATCACTGCGTCTTACTTGAATGTGGTAGGCACTCAATAAATATATTACACATTTAAACAGATGGAAGAGTGGAAGAAGACCTCAAGGCACAGAAAGTTTAACACTGTTAGAAAACATAGATCATTTGTTGACTTCCCCAACATATCCCTCTTGGCACCTTGTTTTTATTTGTTTAATGGTCTTCCCTAAGAGACCATAAACTTTATAAGGGGAGGTAGCCTGTCCATCTGGCATAGTCAAAGGCAGAACCTAGTATATACTCAGCAATATTTGTCACATAAATGACTTGATGATTCTCTCTTTCTATCTTGTCTTTTAGCTCAATGACCAAGGAGAATTTATGTCTAACCAAATTTTTCTTCTGAGCATGGAGGGTGAGCACAGAGGAGGGGGGCAAGGGTTACAGGGAGCTTTACCTTCCAGAATTCTCCTATCTGACGAATATTAGATAGCTCAGCACTGGCTGGCTCTTTCCTAGATTACCAGATCTCCATTAAGAAATACATTTTCCAGAAAGAAAGAGAGAGGAAGAGAAGAGGGAGGAGACTGTGATGGTTGTGTGTGTGAAAGGATGCGCTCTGCGTATGAATCCTGAAGGGGATTCCATGTTAGTAAACAAAGCCCTCTTGTCAAAGCCTCTCTCCACTAATACACCCTATCTGCTGGAGGCAGATGGAAACGAGTCACGCCAGGACCCATGACATAAATATTCATTATGCACACGGTGACTGCAGTGCTGTGTGCATACTGAGTGATTTCTCACCTGTCTGGGGAAGAAATGGATGGAGAACTGGATCTCCCCTTGACTATCATCCACATAGGACCTGGCTTCTTACAGATGGAAGACAAAACACAAATTTTATTCATCTAATTTGGAATTGTGCCAAGAAAGCCTGGAGACAGTGGGATGTCTGGGCAGATGAATCTATAGCAGGAAGTGGTTGATTTCAGCCTTTTAGGAACAGCCAGAGTAATAGGGGATAGTAATTGAATCACTTTCCACATGGAGTTGAATGTGTTCTTCTTACTATTTACAAGCTGTTTGCCAGCCTCTGGGGCATTATTAGGGGATAAGCCACATTAACACAGCAGAACTTGACTCTGCCTTCACAGGGAAACAGCTGGCAGAGCTGGCACCGGCTCCCAGCAGCTCTTGACTTTCTCTGCTCAGCTTGCAAGTGCCAAGAGCTTGTGTGTTGCTGGGCCAGGTGCCCAGCGGGTCCTATGGAGACTCATCTTCCTGTGCTGGAGAGAAGTGATTCTCTTCACAGAACCAACCCTATGAGTGTGCAGGGGGAAGTGATGGCAGAGCTCTGAAAGAAAAGAAAGGAGCTCATGTAGGAATAGTCACCAAGAAAGGAACTCGGGAACTCGCCCAAATTCATTCAACCATAAAGTGGCAGGACTCAGATTATCCCAGATTTCTCTGACTTCAGCACAACCCTCCAGATTTCAAAAGGACACATAAAATTCTCAGGAGACAAGGGTTCCTGATTCAGCTGAAGACAAGCAATGTGAGAGAGGGAATCCCTCATGTTCTTGGAACCAAGTGAGGTCTGTGTAGATGAGTCAGAGATGGAGATCCAGCAGTGGAGACAGCCAGCGGGCTGAGAATTAAATTAAAAGGCACAAAACCCCTCCACATCCCAAGCAGGTCCTTGTTGCACATTTTTTGCCTTGCTGTACCAACCAGAAAGGAAATGAGGTCATTTTTAACCCATGAAGTAAATAAATCTGTGAATAGTAGAGTAGGTAGGAATCCAGCAGTTCAGTTGAGTCATGATTCTCCTTTGCCATCCAACTTGCTGGACAATCTTGAGACAGGGAAACTCACTACCTCACAAGCGCTCTAATTGTCCAGACAATCTCCTTTCTATTCAGTTACATCCTGTCTCCCTGGTTTCCTAACCTAGCTGTGGACACAGTAGTATTATAGTTAGGTCTTGAGAACTCCCAGGACTCCAGTAGACTTGTGTGGGTTCTCAGTGGGGTTGACCCCATTCCTCTGAGGTCAAAATAGGCCCTTCATGAAGGCTTCCTGAGGGTCTTTCAAGTTCCCATCCCCATTCGGACCATGCTATGGGGAATCTTCTTTGAGATGGGGTGAATGTGGGAAGGCTGGAGGCAGTCCTTTTCCTACCCTTGTGGGTGAATAAGTCCAGGTGTGCCATCTACTTCACTTGAAGGGCTGACTCAGGTGAAATCCCAGCTGGGCGGCTCTCAGCCTCCCTTTTTCTGTACCCCGTGGAATCCACACAGAGCCTGGCCTCTCCAATTGCTGTGCTTTGGGGGCTCTTTCCACCTGCCTGACCCTCTAGACCCCCAAAGCCACCACAGCCTCTGTGGCAATGGGACAGACACATGGTGGCTGTGGAGTTTCCATGTCTGTGTCTTTGCTGACTTGGGAGTTCCTCCTGCACACCATCCCAGCCGCCCTCTGCATTCCGCCACCCTAAGGCTGGAGGCTTCACCATGTGGCAAGAGACCAGAAAATTTAAAATACCATGCCCAGTGCACATTGCATCACTCAGGGACCCTGCTGGAGGGAGAGTCTGTTATCTTTTGAGCATACAGTAGGTATTCAAAAAGTACAACACTTGGTGAATGAGAAGATTGGCATTAGTGATGGAACTGCTCACACTATGAGCTTTGTATTGCCCAAACGTTTAGGTTCTTGGTGCTCTATTCGTGAGTCAGTGTTGGTTTTAGAACGCAAACACTTGAGGAGCAGAGATTGTGTTCTTTTAGAGTAAGCCCTGCCTCTGCCCTGGGACTCCAGCTTAGAACATGCCTGAAGCATATTAATTGATGGGTGTATCATTTCCTGAGGCTCTCTCTGGTTGACCAAGCTTGGTGATGTTGGATAAGGCTCCATTCAAAGGATAAATGCCTAGATAGTCCAGGAAGGCCACCATGGTGCAGGCAAAGCAGGGAGGCCCCCCAGAGGCTGTGAGCTTAGGAGTGCTGACAGCCCTTTCTCACCCCACAGGGCTGGGGCTCTGTGCCGCTACTGCAAGTGTCTGTCAACATGGCCACAAGGCTGGGAGTACTGGACCCAGACAGGGCACAAATGGGAATACCAGAAACACATGGTTCCCACTCTCAACACCTTTCTTCTAGTCCAGCTGCAAAATGCAATTCACATTTACAAAACCCATGTAAAGACACTTAGAAAGTAGCCTGTTAACCAGTGGGGAGAAAATGCAAAAGGAGACAACCAGAGAGATGTGCGAGGAGGTGAGGGAATGTGAGGGAGCGATGATAGTGATGAGAAATCCACACTCCTGACTTTCAGACTCTCCTCCTCCGAAATCTTTGCTGGAGCTTAAATGGTGCAAAGCCCGTGAGCATCTGTGCCTATCATGGAAACAGTTAGCATGTGTCAGCACCTGTTAAATCCCTGAGCACTTTGTATCATTAATTCTTACAGCTATACTATGAGGTAGGTATCACTGCCCCTAGTTCACAAATGAGGAAAATGGGGCTCTGAGAGCCTAAACAGCTTGCCTCAGTCATATAGCTAGTGAGTGGCAGAAATGCAATCTGAGTCTTCAGTTCTGTGCCTCTAAGAGCCACTTGGTTTCCACTCACATTGCCAAAAGTAACTTCGTGGAGGGTAGGATGTTCTACAGAATCTAAGTCGTGGGGTCTCGTGCTGACTGTTGCTCTGTTTGCTGCTTCAGGTAATTTGTTCTTGGTGAGTCTGGCATTGGCTGACCTGGTGGTGGCCTTCTACCCCTACCCGCTAATCCTCGTGGCCATCTTCTATGACGGCTGGGCCCTGGGGGAGGAGCACTGCAAGGCCAGCGCCTTTGTGATGGGCCTGAGCGTCATCGGCTCTGTCTTCAATATCACTGCCATCGCCATTAACCGCTACTGCTACATCTGCCACAGCATGGCCTACCACCGAATCTACCGGCGCTGGCACACCCCTCTGCACATCTGCCTCATCTGGCTCCTCACCGTGGTGGCCTTGCTGCCCAACTTCTTTGTGGGGTCCCTGGAGTACGACCCACGCATCTATTCCTGCACCTTCATCCAGACCGCCAGCACCCAGTACACGGCGGCAGTGGTGGTCATCCACTTCCTCCTCCCTATCGCTGTCGTGTCCTTCTGCTACCTGCGCATCTGGGTGCTGGTGCTTCAGGCCCGCAGGAAAGCCAAGCCAGAGAGCAGGCTGTGCCTGAAGCCCAGCGACTTGCGGAGCTTTCTAACCATGTTTGTGGTGTTTGTGATCTTTGCCATCTGCTGGGCTCCACTTAACTGCATCGGCCTCGCTGTGGCCATCAACCCCCAAGAAATGGCTCCCCAGATCCCTGAGGGGCTATTTGTCACTAGCTACTTACTGGCTTATTTCAACAGCTGCCTGAATGCCATTGTCTATGGGCTCTTGAACCAAAACTTCCGCAGGGAATACAAGAGGATCCTCTTGGCCCTTTGGAACCCACGGCACTGCATTCAAGATGCTTCCAAGGGCAGCCACGCGGAGGGGCTGCAGAGCCCAGCTCCACCCATCATTGGTGTGCAGCACCAGGCAGATGCTCTCTAGCCTGGATCTGAGGCACACCAGCAGCATGACAAACTCATGAAATGGTGGGAGAGAGTCTGCTGCAAGGGTGAGACCAGGCAGCCTGCTGGGCCACACTGTCCTGTTGGCATCACAGCCCCAAGGCTGGGGGAACTTCATGCTGGGACAAGCAGCCCATCAACGCCATGGGTTCAGGCTGATCCAGGAGATGCTCACAGGCCACAGGACCTGGAAAACACTCTTGGTGGTGTCTTGGGGATTTGGTGCACACAAGACCAAGGAAAGGACAGAATGAGGAAAGGCCTGGGGCAGAAGAGCCCAACTCCTTCTCATAGCTGACCCTCATCCTCCTGCCTTGGCCTCCTGGCTGCTTTCTCCCCTTCCCCCCAGCGTGGCAGGATCTCTTCCTGTTAGCAAGGATGAAAGAGAGAGGTCAGTAGGACTGGAACTTGGTAACTGCAAGGGCCTCAGGTGGGGCAGGTGCAGAGGGCAAGCATTCCACACTCCGCCATTGACCTTCCCTACACACACACAATCACAACCACACATGCATCACACCACAGACACACCACACTATGCACACATACACTGTGTACACATACATATGTTACACACACATAGCCACCACATCACAAACACACTGCACCCCCCCCCCCCACACACACACACACAGTCACACTGCTCCAGCATCTGGAGCACAAAGTCCGCTTGGCCTCCTTTTCTGGTTCCATCATGTTCAGGTTGTGTGACTTGGGGAAAGTCTCCTAACCTCCCTGTTCCTCAGTTTACTCATCTTAAAGTGAAGATCATGCCGTAGTCAGCCTCCCAGGTTGTTGTGAGGATTCTCTGGGATAACACATCTGCAGAGCTGAGGACAGTGCCTGACATGTGGCTAGCAGGCAGTAATCATTAGCTTTTGTTATTATTATAACTACATAAAATGAAGGAGAAAAGTCATATACAAAGAAAGGAAGGGCTATCACCGGATGCGGTGCCTCACCCCTGCCTCAGCTTGAACCCAGGAGTTCAAGACCAGCCTAAGCAACATGGCAAAACCCTGTCTCTACAAAAATTAGCTGGGCATGGTGGCCCATTCCTGTGGTCCTAACTACTCAGGAGGCTGAGGTGGGAGGATCACTTCAGCTCAGCAGGTTGAGGCTACAGTGAGCTGAGATTGTGCCACTGTACCCCAGACTGGGTGACAAAGTGAGAGCAAGACCCTGTCTCAGAAAAAAAAAAAAAAAGAAGAAGAAGTAGAAGGACAGGAAGGGAAGGGGAGAAAATGGGGTAGGGGACATGGAAGTGGGGAAAGGGCAGCTGCACCCCAATTCATTTCTATGGTTATGTATTTGTGGACTTTATATTCGTAGAAATCTCAGATCTTTGTTTAGCGCCAACAGAATTAATAGCTTTCTTCAGTTCCACAAACACTGAGTGCCCTCTGTGGGCCAGGACTGGTTTGTTGCCTGCCCTCTGCAAGGTCACAGTCTGTTGATAAATTAGTATCAAGTAATATCCATTGGTGCTTTCTATGTACCAGGCATTGTGGTAAGGGCTTGATATGCATTATGTCATTTAATCCCCACAAAACTCTTGGAAAAAGATACTATGATCAATTTTCATAGTAAGAAACTGAAACTCAAAAATGTGGAATGATTGCCAGAATTCAGATAGCTATGTTCAGAGCTAGATGTGGAGCTCAAGTCTGTCTGATGACAGCACCCTACTTCTATCCCCCATCATCCCACCTCGGAATATGTGGCAGGGACAAAGTGCAGTGGGCTAAGTACTGCATGTCCACAATGTGCCTGGGGTCCTCAGCCACCCAGCGGCTTTCCTGAATGAAGAACCCAGGATTTTCTTGGTGTGCTGACCTCTTAGCATTATGCTGGATCCTCTTTCTGGCCTTGCAATGTGAGGAATCTAGGCTGGGTGCTGTGCTTAGTCCCCTAGCCACCTGGGAGCTTGCTTAAAAATGCAAATCTTCTGGGCTCTGACAACAAGGTTTTGTGGGGCAGGTCTAGGAATCTGATTCCAATACTTGAGGTCCTTGACCTAACTGTTGGGAATGAAGATGTCTTAGTCCTGATGATGGCAATGGTAGTGTGCTCCACCCAGGGAGACCTCTCAGTCCACACCTCAGTCCCAGAGAGGTGCAGAAGAGTCCTAAGGATTCTCAGCCACTTTTCCTGGCTCTGGGCAAAGTTTGCAGCGACCTGGTCAGGCATGTATTGTTTTCTGTTCTTGCTGCTTCCCCTCCCCCTAGACACAAACTACAGAGATTTGCCCTTTATTCCTAATTTGGAGGAGAAGGAGGCATCAATTTCTTGGCAACAGCATGTCCACACTTCCTCTCCTTATCCCTATCTTTCAGTGCTGAGTTGAATGCATGGCACGTGCTCAGTAAATATGGATTGAAGGCTGTCTTCAGTTTCCTGGGCCCATAGCTGTTACCTGGTTTGCCAGGGTTCGGCACTGACAATCCACTAATTGGAATTTTTTCTTGGATCCATAGGTTTTTGGTGATAAACCAGGAGCTGAGAGAATCAAAAAGAATGGTAAAGCCCAGGCCCAGGACATCAAGCAATGTACATATTTGGAATGACCTCATGCTGTGGGCCCTGATTGTAAATAAAAATGCTTTTGCGGAAACAGCAAAATTTGGGGAAGCCTGTCTTCCACCTCCTTGACTGAAAAGTCTGGTCAGAGGTGCCACCTGGCTACTTCCTCCTCATCCTTCTAGGACCTTCCTCTGGACCCCTCAGTTCTGAGCCCTCCATGAAACCCTCAGCCATCAAGGGGACTCGAATCGGGTCCAGATTTCTGCCTGGGTTGACATCTGGGGTGAACCAACACCTGGACTCACACATCAGCCACACTGGATCAAGCCCAAAGACAACGCAGACACACACACTATTTGTGCCGTCCTCTATCATCTTTTTACCATCCACTCATTTCTTCCCAGTCCCCTTTGTCCACTTCTGAAATGCTGTACTTGTTTGTGAAACTTCTTCTAGGGTCACTTTTTGCTCCATATGAGTGGCTTTCCCCTAGGGATATATATCAAGATAAGATTTTAGAGAATAAACACTACAGAATCACAGCCTATGAGGGCCGGGGTTGCGAACCCCATGTACTTTGAAAATGCTCCTCAGGTGCTTCTCATCTGTAGACCTGGTTGAGGACCCTGCTCTGTGAATGCTTCTCGGATGCTCACCTTCATCCCCATGGTGACAACGGCTGTCTCTACCTGTGGATCTCCAACTGCCTGCCACACATCTCCACCTAGCATGGACTAAGTGCTCACTATATGCCAGGCACTGTTCTAAGGACTTTATGTGGATTAATTATCATATTTAAGCCCCAAAACAATCCTGAGAGGGAGGTACTATTATTTTCTTCAATTTATAGATGAGGAAATTGAGGCACAGGGAAGTTATGTACTTTGCTGAAGGTCACATAGCTAGTAAGTTGTTAAACCAGGTTCTGAAACCAGATAATTTGACTATAGAGCCTGTATCCTTAGCCACTGGCTATATTACCTCCTTCAAACTCACATATTCACAAACGGGATTTCTGGGTCCTATGGTAGTTCCATTTTTAGTATTTTGAGGACCTTCCATACTGTTTTCCATAATGGCTGCAGTGTTTACATGCCCACCAATAGAGCGCAAGTGTTCCAATTTCTCCACATCCTAGCCAACGCTTGTTATAGGATTTGTTTTTGTAATGGCCATTGTAACAGGTATTCGGTGATATCTCATTGTGGTTTTGATTTGCATTTCCCTGGTGATTATTGACGTTGAATGTCTTTTCATATACCTGTTGTCTATATGTATGTCTTCTTTGGAGAAATGT
Source organism: Homo sapiens (assembly GCF_000001405.40). NCBI lineage: Eukaryota > Metazoa > Chordata > Mammalia > Primates > Hominidae > Homo > Homo sapiens. Next base: position 92,986,150 of record NC_000011.10, read on the forward strand.
TTATTTACATCTCCTATAGATTGAATGTTTTTGTCTCCCTAAAATTCATATGTTGAAACCTGTATTAGTCAGGGTTCTCTAGAGCGACAGAGCTAAGGAAAATATATATAGTTATAGGTCTAGAAGCAAACAGAGGTGCTGGGGGTGGCTCCTGAGGAGAATCAACATTATCTTGCCTGGCAACTGCCTCAGGAGAGGCCATCACTGTTGCCTTAGGCAGCACAGGGTTTATTTCCTCAGACAAAGGTGGAAGGGCTGATAGCAGCATGGGTTGGGGAGGGGATGTTGCCACTACTGGGGATGTGGAAGGGGAAGCTGTTTCTTCTGGCAAAAAAGGTTCATCAGAGTTTACAAACTCCGTGTCCCGAGCTTCATCAGGGTCATCCCACACATCCCCATTCCAAGTTGCAGGGTCCTATTCTTTTCTAAGCAATACCCTCACTTTAACAGTAGACACCTGGCGAGGCTGTGCATGCACCTTTGATTGCATGTCAGCCACTTGCATGATAAGAACTCGTGTCTATTTTTCCACAATTTCAACTCTTCCTCTACAGGAGATAAGACTGTCACTCTGGGCAATCTTAGCAGATTTGAGATTCAGTATCTGCTTCTGAAGCTGGGAGATAGAATTGCTGAGTTCATCATTTTCTTTCATCACTTTGTCCATGGAACTTAGCAGCAACCAACCAGCTTCATTATGTTCCTTGGTTCTCCACATATGGTCAAAGGTATTATGTATAGAGTCACTAAACTTCTTGCCTCTCATGAGTAATGAATCAGGCGTGTCAAATGCATTTATTTTGCATAACTCTCTAAACAATTCACACCAAGGACTATCAGTGTTCTCCATACTATTAGAAGTAGAGTCCTTAGCATTTTGAAGTCCTAATCATAGTAAACAGCCAACTGCAAAAACCCTAAAACCAATTAAAGAACTCCATCCTTAATATTCTGTTCCTCTAGAACGACTCTTGGTACCAAAATCTGTATTAGTCAGGGTTCTCTAGAGGGACAGAACTAATGGAATATGTATATATATATGTGTGTGTGTGTGTGTGTGTATGTGTGTGTGTGTGTGTGTTTATTAAGTATTAACTCACATGAATTGACAAGGTCCCACATGATGTCACATGATGACAAGGTCCCACAATAGGCCATCTGCAGGCTAAGGAGCAAGGAGAGCCAGTCCAAGTTCCAAAACTGAAGAACTTGGAGTCTGATGTTCAAGGGCAGGAAGCATTCAGCATAGGAGAAAGATGTAGCCTGGGAGGCTAGGCCAGTCTCTCTTTTTACATTTTTCTGCCTGCTTATATTCTGGCCAGGTGGGCAGCTTATTAGATTATGCCCACCCAGATTAAGGGAGGGTCTGCCTTTCCTGGCCCACTGACTCAAATGTTAATCTCCTTTGGCAACACACCTGCACAGACACACTCAGGATCAATACTTTGTATCCTTCAATTCAATCAAGTTGACATTCTATATTAACCATCATAAACCTTAATCCCCAATGTGATGGTGTTTAGAAATGGGAACTTTGGGAGGAGATTGGATCATAAGGATACAGTCCTCATGAATGGGATTAGTGCTTTAATAAAAGGGGCCCTGCAGAGCTCACTGTCCCTTTCACCATGTGAGATTACAATGAGAAGATTGCCATTTATGAACCAGGAAGTGTGCCCTTACCAGACATCTAATCTGCTGGCGCCTTGATCTTGAACTTCCCAGGCTTGAGGATATGAAAAATAAAATTTTGTTGTTTAAAAGCCACTCAGTCTAAGGTATTTTGTTATATCAGCCAAAATGAACTAAGACAAAGTCCTCTGTCTATTTTTTAAAATTGAGTTATTTGTGTTTTTTTTGCTGTTAAGTTGTAAAAGTTATTTATACATTATAGCAATTAACCTCTTATCAGATATGTGGTTTAAAAATATTAATATTTTCTCCCATCCCGTAGGTTGCCTTTTCCCTCTGATGAGTTTTTTCCTTTGCTGTGCATTTCCTTCGCTGGGTGTATTTAAATTTGATGTAATCCTTCTTCTCTATTTTTGCTTTTGTTTTCTGTGCTTTCTGATGTCATATCCAAGAAATGATTGCTAAGATCAATGTCATGAAGCTTTCTCCCCAAGTTTTCTTCTAAGAGTTTTACAGTGTCAAGTCTTATGTTTAAGTCCTTAACCCATTTTGAGTTGGTTTTCTATATGGTGTAAAATGGGCTCCAATTTTATCTTTTTTGCATATGCCTACTTGGTTTTCCCAAAACCACTGAAGACATTGTCCTTTCCCCATTATGTATTCTTGGCACTCTTATCAAATTAGAAATAAACTAATAGAAGGAAATTGCTTCAACTTAATAAAGCCCATATATGAAAAGCTCACATCTAACAGCATCACACTCAATGGTGAAAAACTGAAAGCTTTTTCTCTAAGATTAGGACCAAGACAATGGTGACCACTCTGGCCACTTCTACCCAAGATAATACTGGAAGTCCTAGACAGAGCAATCTGTAAGATAAAGAAATAAAAGGCATCCAAATTAGAAAGGAAGGAGTAAAATTGTCTGTTCACAGATGACATGATCTTACTTATGTCTTAGAAAATTCTAAAGATTCTTTAACAAAACTTGTTAGAATTAATAAGTAAATCCAGTAAGTTTCAGGATACAAAAAAAATCAATATACAAAAGTCAATTGCATTTTCATACACTAACAACAAATAATATGAAAATGAAATTAAGAAAATAATTATATTTATAATAGCATCAAAAAGAATAGGAGTAAACATAACTAAGGAGATGAAAGACTTGTACACTGAAAACTACAAAACATTGCTGAAATAAACATAAAAAGTCACAATTAAATAGATAGACATTCCATGTTCATGTATTGGAAGACTTAATATTGTTAAAATGTCCATACTACCCAAAGGAATATACAGATTCAATCTAATCCCTGTGTAAATCCCAATGACATTTTTTATAGAAATAGAAAAAACAATCCTAAAGTGTGTATAGAACCCACAGGACCCTGAATACTCAAAGCAATCTTGAGAAAGAACAAAGCTCGAGGCCTCACACTTCCTTTCAAAACATATTACAAAATGACAGTAATCAAAACAGTATGATACTGACATAAAGGGACATATAGACCAATAGAAAAGATTAGAACACCCAGAAATAAACCTACACATATACAGTCAATGGATCTTTGACAAGGGTATCAAGAATACACAATGGAAATGGAACTTTTAGTGACCGCGTATTACATGAGAAATTAGAATCTAAACAAACCTCAGCCATAGGGTGAGTTAGTGCTTACCTGCCAGTCCCTTCCTGTGGGCACTTACTAATGCATGAGTGTAGTACACCAAAGGCTGAGACTAAGATAAGACAGCTGAGAGAGGACCCCTGAGGCATAGCCTTCCCATAACCAGATGATGACTGAGGGAAGAGTAATAGAACACTAGGATAAGTCCTACCATGGCACTCCTTCATGGAAAGTTCTGCAGCTACACTCCAAGAAATGGGACAGGGCAGCAGAAAAGAGAGAGATTACTGAAGCATGGAAAGCAACAGTGGCACTGCGAAAAAAAGAGAACTTGACAGCTACCCAGAACCTGGCAGCTGAGCTATGAAGCAGATACAGATTTCTCATGGTTGAGAAAGCTGGTGGCTAGGATATAAAGTATAAAGCAATCTCCAGTCTCATCAATGTTCTCTCATCAAGAGAAAGTTATGTTCCCACCTTCAATATGTTTGAAGCTAACATTTTTAATTTTAATTTTATTTTTTATATTTTTTATAGAGATAGGGTCTCGCTATGCTGCCCAAGCTGTTCTCCAATTCCTGGTCTCAAGCTATCCTCTTGCCTCCACCTGCCATAGTGCTGGGATTATAGGGGTGAGCCACTGCATCAGTGGCTAGCATTAAATAGACCCTAACTAAAGCTGCAACAAAGCCTAGACCCTGGTAACTACAGATTATATTAACTCAGATCCCCACACTTGAGGCCTAACAGGAGACTGAGTGTGCCCTAGGTCCAGTCTGCTTTATATTACTTTACTTTCCTCCTCCTTATTCATAAATAAATGTAAAAGAGAAAATACAAACGTTTACCTAGACAAAGCAAAACATGTCCTCATCTCTTAAAAAAAGACAGTAGGGCTGGTGCAGTGGGCATGGTGGCTCACATCTGTAATCCTAGCACTTTGGGAGGCCAAAGCAGGTGGATCATTTGAGGTAAGGAGTTCAAGATCAGCCTGGCCAACATGGTGAAACCCCATCTCTACTAAAAGTACAAAAATTAGCCAGGCGTGGTGGCAGGCACCTATAATCCCAGCTGCTCAGGAGGCTGAGGCAGGAGAATCCCTTGAACCCCGGAGGCAGATGTTGCAGTGAGCTGAGATTGCAACACTGCACTCCAGCCTGGGCACAGAGCAAGACTCTATCTCAAAAAAAAAAAAAAAAAAACAAAGACAGTGGGAAAGGTGAACAATGAGTGTGATAGAGAATTTTAGCATATAAATGAAAACTATATTTAAAAATGGAATGTTAAAGTGAAAAAAATATTATATGAGAGGTGAAAAGTTTATTTGAAAGACAACAGAAAATTGGGCACAGCAAAGGAAATGGCACAAAACAAAATCAGGAAGGGGAAAAGGAGCATGGAGCAAAACCTGGAGAAAACAGTCATAAGTTTCCAAGAGTCCTTTCCTAGTGGAGTCATAGAGTCATACAGGAAATAATTACTTCAGCAATGAATTGTGACAACACTTGTGTGAAATGTTGTCTACCAGGGAAGCTGGCCTGGGCCTAGATGTCCAGGGTTTTTATTGGGAGATCACTCACATAGGCATCCTCTACCTACCACGGACCCAAATTCCAGAACCCAGAAAGAAAGCAGATACTTATCACAAAGCACTTATTTGTATAAAGTATAGATATAGTGAGCCACTCTTATCAGTTACAGAATGGTGGAACCCTCCTGAAAACTAAGTTCCCAGATAACAGCCAAGGGCCAATCTTGTAAGCAGACCTTTCTAGAGATAGCAGTCTCAAGCCTGCCATGTTAACTATTTCTGCACAACCCCTAATTGCAAATTAAGTATACACTTCTTCATATGTCAAAGAAAAATGATAAGGAAAATAAAATATTTTGAACTGGATCATAATGTAAAAATAGTGTATTAAAATTTGTGGGAGGCAGCTAAAGCAACACTTAGAGGGAAATTCATGACTTTCAATGCCTATATTATAAAATAAAAAAGATGTAAAATTAATAATCTAAGTTTCCACTCCAAGAAAGACTAAGAACGAATGAAAGAGAGACAGAACCCAGAAAGAAAGCAGGTACTTATCACAAAGCACTTATCTGTTTAGAGATATAGTGAGCCACTCTTATCAGTTACAGAATGGTGGAACCCTCCTGAAAACTAAGTTCCCAGATAACAGTCAAGGGCCAGTCTTGTAAGCAGACCTTTCCAGAGACAGCAGTCTCAAGCCTGCCATGTTAACTATTTCTGCACAACCCCTAATTGCAAATTAAGTATACACTTCTTCATATGTCAAAGAAAAATGATAAGGAAAATAAAATATTTTGAACTGGATCATAATGTAAAAATAGTGTATTAAAATTTGTGGGATGCAGCTAAAGCAACACTTAGAGTGAAATTCATGACTTTCAATGCCTATATTATAAAATAAAAAAGATGTAAAATTAATAATCTAAGTTTCCACTCCAAGAAAGACTAAGAATGAGTGAAAGAGAGACAGAACCCAGAAAGAAAGCAGGTACTTATCACAAAGCACTTATCTGTATAGAGATATAGTGAGCCACTCTTATCAGTTACAGAATGGTGGAACCCTCCTGAAAACTAAGTTCCCAGATAACAGCCAAGGGCCAATCTTGTAAGCAGACCTTTCTAGAGATAGCAGTCTCAAGCCTGCCATGTTACAAGATACAAATATCAGGAATAAAGAGAGTATCACTGGAAACCCTAAAGACATTACAACATAAGAGAATATCATGAACAACTTTATGCCAATGAATTTAATAACTTAGACAAAAAGGAAAAAATTCATGAAAGCCATGGATTAACAAAACTGACAAAAAGTAAAATAGAAAAAAATATGAATTTTCCCATATTTATTTTAAAAGTTGAATTTTATTTTAACCTTTATTTTAAGTTCAGGGGTACATGTGCAGTGTTGTTACGTGGGTAAAGTTGTGTCATGGGGGTTTGTTGTACAGATTATTTCCTCACCCAGGTATTAAGCCTAGTACCCATTAGTTATTTTTCCTGCTTCTCTCCCTCCTCTCATCCTTCACCCTCCCGGGGCTCCATTGTGTGTTGTTCCCCTCTATGTGTCCACATGTTCTCATCGTTTAGCTCTCCCTTATAAGTGAGAACATGGAGTATTTGATTTTCTGTTCCTGTGTTAGTTTGCTAAGGATAATGGCCTCCAGCTCCACCCGTGTCCCTGCAAAGGACACGATCTCATTAAAAAGTTGAATTTCTAATAAAAAAATCTTTCCACAAAAAAATTATCAGTCCACATTGTTTCACTTGTGAATTCTATCAAGCATTTAAGAAAGAATAATACTAACCTTATGCATACAGTCAGAAAATAGAGAAAGCACTTCCCAATACATTTTGTGTAATTAGCGTAACACGGTATTATAATAACAGGACAATAAAAATTACAAGCCAATATTTCTCATGAACAAAGATGCAAAAACCCATAATAGTATATTAATAAATTGGTCCCAGCAATATATAAAAAGGACAATATATCATGACCAAAAAAGAGATTTTTCCAGGAATGTGAGGTTTGTTTTGTATTTGAAAATTAATTAATGTAATTTATCATATTAGCAGAAAAAAAGAGAAATCTTATCTCATTAGATTCAAAATAAGTTATTTTACACAACTCAACATTGATTCATGACAAAACTTTTGGAAAACTATAATAGAAGGAATTTCCTCAATTTGATAAAAGATATCTTCAAAAGATCTATAATTAATACCATACTTAATGGTGAAACCACAAATGTTTTCTCCTTAAGACAGGGAACAAGCATGTCCACTCTCACTTTAATTCAATATGAAAGTATTTCAATAAGGCAAGAAAAAGAAATAAAAGGCATGCATATTATAAAGGAAATGCAGAACAGTTTTTTATTCTCAGATTACCTGATTGTGTGTGTAGAAAACTCCATGGAATCTTTTTTTTTCCTTCAACTTTTATTTTAAGTTCAGGGGTACATGTGCAGTTTTGTTACATAGGTAAATGTGTGCCATGGTGATTTGCTGCACAGATCATCCCATCACCTAGGTATTAAGCCCAGCATCCATTAGCTATTCTTCATGATGCTCTCCCTCTCCCCACAGCCCCCTAATAGGCCCCAGTGTGTGTTGTTTCCCTCCATGTGTCCATGTGTTCTCATCTTTCAGCTCCCACTTACAAGCAAGAACATGTGGTGTTTGGTTTTCTGTTCCTGCATTAGTTTGCTGAAGATAATGGCTTCCAACTCCATCCATGTCCCTGCAAAGAACATGACCACGTTCGTTTTTATAGCTGCATAGTATTCTGTGTTGTATATCTATCACATTTTCTCTTATCCAGTCTATCACTGATGGGCATTTAGGTTGATTCCATGTCTTTGCTATTGTGAATGGAATATCAAAAAACAACTGCTAGACCTAGTAAGTGAATTTAGTGAGGTCACAGAGTACAGGGTAAATTTACAAAAATCTATAGTGTTTCTATATACTCACGATGATTAATTGAAAATAAAATTTACCAACAATACCATCTGCAGTACAATAAAACAAGCAAATACAGAATTAATCGAATGAGAGATGTATAAAATCTCTACCCTTAACACTATAAAACACTGCTGAGAGAAATTAAGGAAGACCTGAATAAAAGAAAAAATACACCATATTCATGGATTAGAACAATATTGTTAAAATATCTATTCTCCTAAATTTGCTGACAGATTCAATGAAATCCCAATCAATATCCTAACAAGATTTTAAGAAGAAATTGACAATTTGATTCTATAATTTATATAGAAATGCAGAGGATGTGGAATAATTGAAACAATTTTGAAAAAGAAGAATAAAGTTGGAGGACTAACATAATAAACTGATTTCAAGATGTATTGTAAACTTACAGGAATAAAGGTAGTGTAGTTTTGGCATAGGGATAAGCACATAGGTCAACCGAACAGAATAGAGTCATGAAATAAACCCATGGTCAACTAATTTTGAACCAAATCACTAAGTCAACTCAATAGGAAAGTAAATCCTTTTTAATAAATGGTGCTGGAAAAACTGGAATCTGTGTGGAAAAAAGCAAATCCAAAATAAAAACCAAAACTTCAATTCCCTCCTTACCTCATACATAAAAATAATATAAGATAGGGCATGGCCCTAAATGTAATAGACAGAATCATAAAAATTCAAGACTACTTAGGAGAATATCTTCATGCCTTTTGGATAGAAAAAGATTTCTTAGCTGGGACACAAAAGAACTAATTGTAAGCTTCATCATGATACATTAGACTTCATCAAAATTAAAAATGTATGTTCATTGAGTAGATGGATGGTTACCAGAGGCTGGGAAGGGTAGTGGGGGGTGAGAGGGGAGGTAAGGATAATTAATGGGTACAAAAAAATAGAAAGAATGAATAAGACCTATTATTTAATAGTACAATAGTCAGACTACAGTCAATAATAACTTAATTGTGCATTTTAAAATAATTTAAAGAGTGTAATTGGATTATTTGTAACTCAAAGGATAAATGCTGAGGGGATGAATACCCCATTCCCCATGATGTGCTTATTTCACATTGCATGCCTGTGCAAAAAAAATCTCATGTACCCCATAAATATATACACCTACTATGTATCCATAAAATTTTTTTAAATTAAAAAAAATCTGCTCATTAAAAGAGACTATTAAGAAGATAAAGGCAACTAATGGCATTGGAAATTTTTTAAAAAAAGAAAGTACACAAACCACTTGTATCCAGAACATATAAAGAACACCTACAGTTTAACAATAAAAAGACAAACAACCCAATAAAAAAAGGGCAAAAAATAATGATTTTTGACCTAAATATCACTCCTTATATAAAAGTTAAGTCAAAATGGGTCACAAACCTAAATGTAAAATGTAAAAGTACAAAACTTTTAGAAAAATATAGAAGAAAATATTTAAGATACAAGGCTGTGCAAAGAGTTCTTAGGCTTCACACCAAAAGTGCAATCCCCAAAAAGAAAAACTGATAAACTAGATCTCATCAAAATTAAAAAGTTTTGCTCTATGAAAGACCTTTTTAAGAGGAAGAAAAGACATGCTATGAACTGAAAGAAAATATCTGAAGACCCACATACCCAACAAAAGACAAATAACTAGAACATACTAAAGAGTTTTCATACAACGTGGATGACCCTTGAGGAACCTTGAGGACATTATGTTAAGTGAAATAAGTCAGTCACAAAAAAGGAAATACTGTATGAGTCCACTAATGTGAAATATCTAGAATAGTTAGATTCATAGAAACAGCAAGTAGAATGTTGGTTGTCAGGGACTGGGGGAAGGAGCAAATGAAGAATTGTTTAATGTATATAGAATTTCAGTTTTGCAAGAAGAAAAAATTCTGGAGATTGGTTACATAACAATGTGAATATACTTAACACTACTGAACTTTACACTTAGAAATGGTTAACATGTTAAATTTTATATTATGTGTTTTTACCACAATAAAAATTATTTATTTACTATTTATTTATTTATTTATTTTTTGAGACAGACTCTCACTCTGTCGCCCAGGCTGGAGTGCAGTGGCACCATCTTGGCTCATTGCAACCTCCGCCTCCTGGGTTCAAGCAATTCTCATGCCTTGGTCTCCCAAGTGAGCCAGTTAACTTTGTATTTTTAGTAGGGATGGGATTTCACCATGTTAGCCAGGCTGGTCTCAAACTCCTGGTCTCTCAAGCAATCCATCCCCGCTTGGCCTCCCAAAGTGCTGGGACTACAGGCATGAGCCATGGCTCCTGGCCATTTTTTATTTTTTATTTTAATTTTTTACTGGTTTATTTTCATGATGTTTTCTGACAGAGGGTTGATATGATCTTGTTTTAAAAATGTATTATTTATGTTAAGTTCCAGGGTACATGTGCAGGATGTGCAGGTTTGTTACATAGGTAAATGTGTGTCTTGGTGGTTTGTTGCACCTATCAACCCATCATGTAGGTATTAAGCCTAGCATGCATTAGCTCTTTTCCCTAATGCTCTCCTACCTCCCCATACTCCCCCAACAGGCCCCAGTGAGTGTTGTTCCCCTCCCTGTGTTTATGCATTCTCATTGTTCAGCTCCCACTTATAAGTGATAATATGCGGTATTTGGTTTTCTGTTCCTGCATTAGTTTGCTGAGGATAATGGCTTCCAACTTCATCCATGTTCCTGCAAAGGACATGATTTCATTAGTTTTTATGGCTGCATACCATTCCATGGTGTATATGTATCACATTTTCTTTATCCAGTCTATCATTGATGGGCATTTGAGTTGATTCCACTTCTTTGCTATTGTGAATAGTGCTGCAATGAACATATGAGTGCATGTATCTTTATAATAGTATGATTTATATTCCTTTGGGTATATACTCAGTAATGGAATTGCTGGGTCAAATGGTATTTCCAGTTCTAAATCTTTGAGGAATCTCCATACTGTCTTCCCCATGGTTGATCTAGTTTGCTTTCCCACCAACAGTGTAAAATCGTTCCTATTTCTCTGCAACCTCGCCAGAATAGAGAACTCAGAAATAAAACCGTGCATCCACAACAATCTGTTCTTTGACAAACCTGAAAAAACCAAGCAATGGGGAAAGGATTCCCTATTTAATAAATGGTGCTGGGAAAACTGGCTAGCCATATGCACAAAATTGAAACTGGACCCCTTCCTTACACCATATACAAAAATTAACTCAAGATGGATTAAAGACTAAAATGTAAAACTCAAAATTGTAAAAACCTCAGAAGAAAATCTAGGCAATACCAATTAGGAAATAGGCACAGGCAAAGATTTTATGATGAAGATGCCAAAATCAATTGCAACAAAAGCAAAAATTGACAAATGGGATCTAATTAAACTAAAGAGCTTCTGCACAGCAAAAGAAACTATCATCAGAGTAAACAGACAACCTATAGAAAGGGAGAAAATTTTTGCAATCTATCCTTCTGACAAAGGTCTAATATCCAGAATCTACAAGGAACTTAAGCAAATTTACAAGAAAAAAAAACCCATTAAGAAGTAGACAAAGAATATGAACAGACATTTCTCAAAAAAAGACATACATGTGGCCAAGAAACATGAAACAAAGCTCAACATCACTGATCATTAGAGAAATGCAAATCAAAACCACAATGAGATACCATATCTCACCAGTCAGAATGGCGATTATTAAAGAGTCATTTTTTATTTTTTTTGAAGACAGGGTCTCACTCTGTCACCCAGGCTGGAGGGAGGTGGTGCAATCATAGTTCACTGTGCTCTCATTCTCCTGGCCTCAAGTAATCCTCCCAGCTCAGCCTCCCAAAGCACTGGTATTATAGGACTGAGCCATTGCCTTCAGCTGAAAACAATTTTAAAAATAAAATAATAAAGAACTTCCAAATCTTACAGCAAAAAGCCAATTAATACCTCCAATTAGAACAGGAGCAAATTCGACCCCTAATTAGAATATGGGCAAAAGAAACAGAGATTTTACCAAAGAGATGTACAAAAGGCAAATAAAAACATTAAAAGACAGTCAACATTATTACCCATTTGGGAAATGGAAATTAAAACTCCAATGAGATATCAATGCATATCTATCAGAATAACTAAAACGGTAACACCAAATGTTGGTGAGTATGCAGAGAAACTGGATCACTCATATATTGCTGGTAGAAATGTAAAATGGTACACCTACTCTGGAAAACAGTTTGGCAGTTTCTTATGACTCAGCAATTGCACTCTTGGGCATTTTATCCCAAAGAAATGAGAAACCAATGTTCACACAAAACCCAAATGATCATAGTACTTTTATTCATAATAGTGAAAAACTGGAAACAATCCAGATGTTCTTCAGTGGATGAATGGTTAAACAAACTAAGGTACATCCACACCACGGAATGCTGCTCAGCAATAAGAAGGAACAAACTACTGATACACGCAACTATTTGAATGAATCTCCAGGGAATTATGCTGAGGAAAAATAGCCAATCCCAAAAGGTGACATAGTTTATGATTCCATTTATGTAACTATTTAAAAATTGTGGTTTAAAAATGTGTAACATAAAATTTAACATCTTAATTATTTCTAAATGTACAATTCCATACTGTTACATATACTAATTTTTTTATTTTTTATTTTTATTTTATTTATTTATTTATTTATTTATTTATTTATTGAGACAAATTCTTGCTCTGTCACCCAGGCTGGAGTGCAGTGGTGCAATCTCAGCTCACTGCAACCTCCGCCTCCTGAGTTCAAGTGATTCTCCTACTTCAGCCTCCCAAGTTGCTGGGACCACAGGCACATGCCACTATGCCTGACTAATTTTGGGGGTTTTTTTGTTTGTTTGTTTTGAGACAGAGTTTCGCTCTTGTTGCCCAGGCTGGAGTGCAATGGCACTATCTGGGCTCACCACAACCTCCGCCTCCCAGGTTCAAGCGATTCTCCTGCCTCAGCCTCCCGAGTAGCTGGGATTACAGGCATGTGCCACCACACCCAGCTGATGTATTTTTAGTAGAGACAGGGTTTCTCCATGTTGGTCAGGCTGGTCTCGAACTCCCAACCTCAGGTGATCCACCCTCCTCGGCCTCCCAAAGTGCTAGGATTACAGGCATGAGCCACTGAGCCTGGCCTAATTTTTGTATTTTTTGTAGAGACAGGGTTTCACCATGTTGCCCAGACTGGTCTCAAACTCCTGGCCTCAACTGATCCACCCACCTCAGCCTCCCACAGTGCTGGGATTACAGGCATAAGCCACCATGCCCTGCCCCTATATTCACATTTTTATACGACCAATCTCCAGAACTTTTTCTTGCAAAATCGACATTCCACATCCATTAAACAACTCATCATTTTTCCCCAGCCTCTGGCAACCACCATCCTATTTTCTGTTCTATGAATTTTCTATTCTAGATACTTCACATAAATGAAATCATACAGTGTTTATATTTTTGTGACTGGCTTATTTCGCTCAGCATAGTAGCCTCAAGTTGCATCCATGTTGTCACAAATGACAGCATGTTCTTCCCTTTTAAGGCTGAAAAATATGTCATTGTATGTATATGCCACATTTTTGTATCCACTCATCTACTTTAATAGCCTTTTTTAAATGACAAAATTTTAGAAATGGAGAATAGATTTGTGGTTGAAGAGTTTATGAGAAGGGTCAGAAGGTAGTAGATATGGTAATAAAAGAGCAACATGAGGGGTCCTCGTGGTGATGGAACTGTCCTGTATTTTGACTGTGGTGATGGATACGGAAACCTGCATGTGTTATAAAATTGTATAAAACTAAACACGAGTTTACATAAACGAAGAAAATCTAAATGAGTTGTGGACTGTATCATGGTCAACATCCTGGTTGTGATATTGTACTACATAGTTTTGCAAGATGTTATTGTCAAGGTAAACTAAGTGTTCATAGATGTCTTTTTAAAAAATTTTCTTACAATTACATTAGAATCTACAATTATCTGAAATTTTTTTTTTTTTTTTTTTTGAGAAGGAGTCTTGCTCTGTCGCCCAGGCTGGAGTGCAGTGGCGCGATCTTGGCTCACTGCAAGCTCTGCCTCCCGGATTCACGCCATTCTCCTGCCTCAGCCTCCCGAGTAGCTGGGACTACAGGCGCCCACCACCATGCCTGGCTAATTTTTTGTTTTTTTTTAGTAGAGACAGGGTTTCACCATGTTAGCCAGGATGGTCTCGATCTCCTGACCTTGTGATCTGCCCGCCTCGGCCTCCAAAAGTGCTGGGATTACAGGCATGAGCCACCGCACCCAGCCTATCTGAAACATTTTTTAAAGTTTATAGGCAATAGGCTTGGACAGGCACTTCACCAAAGAAGATATCTAAATTGGCTATAAAAATGAGAAAAGATGCCAAATATTTAATTTTATAAATGGGCTATAAAACAAGAAAACATGCCCAATATTTCATTTTACCCACTCTTTTAGACTGGCTAAAATTAAATGTCCTGATATCACTGATAAAGAGGACACTGTTAGAGCATAAAATTACAGATAATAGTCCCTTCTTTTTTCTCTTTATTTTCGTTTTAATTTTTTTCTAAACCATTTCACATTTCTGAAGTAGTTCTCCTCTTATTCACAGTTTCAGTTACCCATGGTCAACCTTGGTCTAAAAATATTAAATGGAAAATTTCAGATATAAACAATTTGTAAGTTTTAAATTGTACACCATTCTGAGTAATGTGGTGAAATCTCCTGCCACCCTGCCCAGGATGTGACTCATTCCTTTGTCCAGCATGTCCATGCTGTAGATGCTTCTTGCCTGTTAATCACTTAGTAGCCCTCAGGGTTATCAGACTGTTGCAGTATCTCAGTGCTTGTGTTCAAGTCATCCTTACATTAGTAAATAATGGCCCCAGAGTGCAAGAGTAGAGATGCTGGCAATTTGGGTATGACACAGAGAAGCCATAAAATTCTTCCTTTAAGTGAAAAGATGAAAGTTCTTAAGTTAATAAGGAAAGAAATAAGGTTGCTAAGATCTATGATGAAAACGAATGTTCTGCCTGTAAATTGTGAAGAAGGAAAAAGAAATTCATGCGTAGTATATATAGGGCCTGGTACTATCCTTGGTTTCAGCTATCTCCTGGGGCTCTTAAAACATGTGTCCCCCCTTGGATACTGTACTGTAATCATTTTAGAGAACTATTTGACAGTCTGTTATAAATACACATTCTTAAAAAAAATTCTTTTTAAGAGATAGTGTCTCACTCTGTCACCCAGGCTGGAGTGCAATGACTCAATCACATCTCTCTGCAGTGTCCAACTCCTGTCCTCAAGCAATCCTCCCATCTTGGCCTCCCAAAGTGCTGGCATTACAGGCATAAAACACCACACTCAGCCTGAAACATACATTCTTATAAACAGCTGAGTCATGGCTCAGCTCTTTCCCTCCTAGATATTCATGCAAGAGAAATAAAAAAAAATATTTTCATGAAAGACTTGCACACAAATGTACATAGCAGCTTTTTTCATAATTACCAAAAACTTAACAACCCAGATGTTCATTAATAAGAGAATAAATGAACAACTTTGTATTTTTAAAAAGGCTTTGTACTTTTCTAAATGGTTTCCCTGGGAAGGTACATACTTATTCTAACAATAAGATCTCCTGGTTCAGAAAAATTTTGGAGCTGATTTTGGAACCTGTAGCATATTTTCTTGATGTACATTTTCAAAGGTATTAAATTTCCGCCTTTTGATAATAGGTTTAAATTTTGGAAACAGGCCAAAATTATTCAAAGAGGACCAGGCTCAGTGGCTCACACTTGTAATCCCAGTAATTTAGGAGGCCAAGGCAGGAGGATCACCTGAGATCAGGAGTTTGAGACTAGCTTGAGCAACATAGCAAGACCTTGTCTCTACAAAAAATTTTTAAAAGTTAGTCAGATGTGGTGGAGTGCACCTGTAGTCCCAGCTACTCAAGATGCTGAAATGGGAGGATATCTTGAGCCCAGGAGTTGGAGACTGCAGTGAGCTATGATTGCACAACTATACTCCAGCCTTGGTGAAGAGCAAGACTTTGTCTCAAAAAAAAAAAAATATTCAATGAGAAATTGGGTGTATCTATTGGTTAAAGAAAGAGGTGTGGTTCTCAATCTTTGCCACACATTAGTATGACCTGAAAAACCTGAAAAATTAGAATGCCCAGGTATTGTGACTTAACTGGTTTAGGGTGGGCCAGTTGTTGGTATTTTGTTAAAGCTCCCCAAATGATTCCAATAAAACCAAGTCCTAATCTTTTTAGTTGCTCACTTCTTGTTAATTTTTTTTAACCCACACAGCTGAAAGCGATACTACACTACCATGTACTGTAACTTAGCCTTCACTAGCTTCCTTATAGCTAACACCTCTGATGTATATATTACCGTGGTAATAAATGCCTAAGTTGTTTTTCAGGATCTTGGGGTCAGCCCTTGTCCAGTTTGAGTGCAGTTGAGATCACTGACCCTTAAACTGAGCCTGTGCAGATGCCGAAGAGGTGACCTTTTGGCATCAGAGGACCATAAACTCCTCTCTCAGATCATGCTAATGCCATTATTTCCTGAATACATATCCTATGAAAAGCCATGAACCCTGACTATGCTTGTGCAAATCATCAATTACGTCATTTTTCCCCACTGCCAATCACCTTTCCCCATGCCTTAGATCACCCCACTTCTTTACCCCATAAATATCACTGAGCCCTAACTTTCTGGCAGTAGATTGGAGAACTGTTCTCCCATCTCCTCACTGGGCTGCCCTGTGAAAAAATCTTTCTCTACTGCAAAACTCATCACCTCAGTGATTGGCTTCGGCACCACAGGCAGAACAAGCCTGGTTCAGTATTGCTAATATGCAGCCAAGGTTGAAAACCATGGCTGGGAGCTGACGTTAATTTTCTTCTATGGTTTATAAACTGACTTCTAAAGGCAGGTCCTAAAAAGGGGTCTCCTCACATTCTCTGAGACTACGGCATTGTAGGAACAAATGTACAGTCTCCCAAGACAGCTGTTTTGAAGAACAATTCCCATTTGGATGTATAAATTCTAGTGTGTTTTCAAACAAACGTTTGCCTCTTTATCTTACAGATGTGCTAAAGGGACAATAAATGTAAAAGATCTAGTTGACTCTCCTACTTCCCTTCAAATACATTCAGATGATTAAATATATAATTTTCAAAAATACATTTATATCTTTCTAAGGCAAACTTACTAAAATTATTCTTTATTATTTCAGTTTGTGGTGATGAATAAGGTACAAAGATATATATATTAAATAGTTATAAAGGATATACATATTAAAGGTATAGTTTGCTAATGAAAAAATATAAAAGACAGATATAGATATACAGATTAAAAGGTATAGTTATGAAGAACATATATATAAGATGTAGTTATAAAGAAAAAATATGTATATATGTGTAAAAGATAAAGTTGTAAAGAATAACTATTAATAATAACACAATTTAGTCATGAAGTCTTTGCCCATGCCTATGTCCTGAATGGTATTGCCTAGGTTTTCTTCTAGGGTTTTTATGGTTTTAGGTCTTACATTTAAGTCTTTAATCCATCTTGAGTTAATTTTTGTGTATGGTGTAAGGAAGTGGTGCAGTTTTAGTTTTCTGCATATGGCTAGCCAGTTTTCCCAATACCACTTATTAAATAGGGAATTCTTTCCCCATTGCTTGTTTTTGTCAGGTTTGTCAAAGACCAAATGGTTGTAGATGTGTGGTGTTATTTCTGATGCATCTGTTCTGTTCTCTTGGTCTATATATCTGTTTTGGTACCAGGACCATGTTGTTTTGGTTACTGTAGCCTTGTAGTATAGTTTGAAGTCAGGTAGCATGATGCCTCCAGCTTTGTTCTTTTTGCTTAGGATTGTCTTGGTAATGCGGGCTCTTTTTTTGTTCCATATGAAATTTAAAGTCGTTTTTTCTAATTCTGAGAAGAAAGTCAATAGTAGCTTCATGGGGATAGCACTGAATCTATAAATTACTATGGGCAGAATGGCCATTTTCACGATATTGATTCTTCCTATCCATGAGCATGGAATGTTTTTCCATTTGTTTGTGTCCTCTCTTATTTCCCTGAACAGTGGTAAAAGTCAAAATTGACAAATGGGTTCTAATTAAACTGCAGCGCTTCTGCACAGCAAAAGAAACTATCATTAGAGTGAACAGGCAACCTACAGAATGGGAGAAAATTTTTGCAATCTATCCATCTGACAAAGGGCTAATATCCACAATCTACAAAGAGCTTAAACAAATTTACAAGAAAAAAACAACCCCATCAAAAAGTGGGCAAAGGATATAAACAGACACTTCTCAAAAGAAGACATTTATGCAGCCAACAAAGATATGAAAGAAAGCTCATCATCACTGGTCATTAGGGAAATGCAAATCAAAACCGCAATGAGATACCATCTCATGCCAGTTAGAATGGTGATCATTAAAAAGTCAGGAAACAACAGATGCTGGAGAGGATGTGGAGAAATGGGAACACTTTCACACTGTTGGTGGGGGTATAAACTAGTTCAACCATTGTGGAAGACAGTGTGGCAACTCCTCAAGGATCTAGAACCACAAATACCATTTGAGCCAGCAATCCCAATACTGGGTATATACCCAAAGGATTATAAATCATTCTACTATAAAGACACATGCACAAATATGTTTATTGTGGTACTGTTCACAATAGCAAAGACTTGGAACCAACCCAAATGCCCATCGATGATAGACTGATTAAAGAAAATGTGGTACATATACACCATGGAATACTATGCAGCCATAAAAAAGGATCAGTTCATGTCCTTTGCATGGACATGGATGAAGCTGGAAACCATCATTCTGAGCAAACTATTGCAAGAACAGAAAACCAAACACCGCATTTGCTCACTCATAAGTGGGAGTTGACCAAAGAGAACACGTGGACACAGGGAGGGGAACATCACACACCAGGGCCTGTTGGGGATTGGGGGGCAAGGGGATGGATAGCATTAGGAGAAATACCTAATGTAGATGACAGGTTGATGGGTGCAGCAAACCACCATGGCACGTGTATACCTATGTAACAAACCTGCATGTTCTGCACATGTATCCCTGAACTTAAAGTATAATAAAAAATTTTTTTAATAAAAATAAAAATCACATTATTAATCATAAAATAATAATAATAATACAATTATCTGTTTTGTCTCTTTAGAAAATTCCATACTGACAAATTGCAGTCAGATCTGAAGCACTTTCATAGTGCATCAGTACAATTTCTTTCATGATAATAAGTTGCAAGCTTGGAAATTGATGAGCTACTTGAAATGCCCTTGGGTCAGGCCAAAATGTGCATGCTGGCTGACCCCCCTGAAGCTAGGTCAAAAAAGGGCCTGGGGAAATGAAGCAGTCTTTGATGACCTACTTCAGGCAGCCAGTGTGCAGAGCCAAACAACAGGCCAGATTTGAGAGATCAATTTTCAACAGCTGCTGCAGGAATGCAGTGCTGATCTGCCCACGCCAAGTCAGCTGCCACATCTGCCTCACCTGTGCTCAGTACCATGCATGGTATTTGGCATGGAGAAGGATGAGTCACATATGTTTCTGCCCTCCAAGCTGCTCCCAGTCCTCTGGGAAGGGACTTGAAAAGCAGGGAGAAAACCTTCCTTTTTGAGGCTTTCTTACTAGATCCCTGACTATTTTGGTCTCCAGCCACGTCCATGGGAGACAGAGGCAGTAATGATGGCAGTGATCATGAGGAAGAAGAGGAGGAGGACCACATGATAGCCACAAGGTTATTTATCATTGATTGAGTGCCTGGTGTGGGTTGGGCCCTGTAAAGTGCTTTAAAGCTGAGGACTAAGCTCTGATTTTTTTTTTATCTTGCCCAAATTTCTATCTAAGTGGTCTGGGGAGTCATGCCCCACAAACTGTAAGTTCTCATCAGATGGTTTTTATTTAACCATATGTATTGTGACTTACTTTCCAATCTGACTCTGGCATAACAGTACATGACAAAAAAGAAAATCAAAATACTTTACCCTAAATACATGTTTCTTTGCCATATTTTGAAATGGTCCTGCAAAGCTGTCCTTTGTGGGGGAAAATGTGCATCTGTAAAGAATCTCTATTAACATAGCTAGATCTTTTGCTTCCAGGCTCTCCCAATCACGAAGAAGAGATTAAGTAAGAGTCTAGCGCCTTTTAAAGGTCTAAAGAGGAAATATTTGTCATCTATTGTCTCTAAGGGCAGCCACTACAAGACTTCAAAAGAGCCTTGGTCTCCACAATCTTTTATCTTAACCTAATCATTTCTTTTCTATTGATCCCAGGTCTTTAGATGAACTCAACCAATTGTCAATCAGAAAATGTTTAAATTTACCTATAGCCTGGAAGTCCCCACTTTGAGTTGTCCTGCCTTTCTGGACCAAACCAATGTATTTCTTAAATGTAGTTGATATCTCATGGCTCCCTAAAATGTATAAAACCAAGCTGCACCCCGACCACCTTGGGCACATGCTCTCAGGACCTCCTGAGTGCTGTGTCGCAGGCTATGGTCACCCATATTTGGCTCAGAATAAATCTCTTTAATTATTTTACAGAGTTCGACTCTTTTCTTGACAAAGCCATTACTACCTTTATTGTTTCCATGGGTTAGTTATTAGTACCACCATTTTACACATGAAGAAACAGAAGCTCAAGTTAAGTAACTTGGCTACATTTATACATGGATCCAACCTGAGTTCACATGGGAGAATCTAGGGCTAACTCCAAGTCTCAGTTTTCACATCTCTATTAGTCCGTTGTCAAGCTGCTGATAAAGACATACCTGAGACTGGGTAATTTATAAAGAAAAAGAGGTTTAACGGACTCACAGTTCCACATGGCTGGGGAGGTCTCACAATCATGGTGGAAGGTGAAGGGCACGTCTTACATGGTGGACGAGAGAATGAGAACCAAGTGAAAGGGGTTTCCTCTTAAAAAAACATCAGATCTCATAAGACTTATTTACTACCATAAGAACAGCATGGAGGAAACCATCCCCATGATTCAATTATCTCCCACTGGGTCCCTCCCACAACATGTGGGAACTCTGGGAGCTAAAATTCAAGGTGAGATTTGGGTGGGGACACAGCCAAATCATATCAACATCTATAAAACAAAAATCACATCTGCCCACCACTGCAAAATTGGTATGAGGCTTCAAGATACCCTTAACTTTGCTATATTATTGAATAAGAGTATCTCAGGGGGGCTCTATACTCCCAGGAACCCCCTAATCAGGGGTTAATTGCTCTTTAACAGCTGAAGTTGCTCAATGTTTTTCTAACTGCACATCGAAGTTAAAAAAAAAAAAAAAACCCAGAACCTTCTTAATGTTTGACCAAGTTGCAATCACCAAATCAAGTTCTGAGCAGCCATCACCCCATCAACTGAGCCTCCACACTTGTTGATGATGAATACATTCTAAAGGCTTTACAATACAGAAGGAAAATTAATCTTTTTTTGTACTATACCCTTATCAGGCCAGGAAAATTGATCTTAATATGGACATAAAAATTCCCCAACCCTTGTGTTTCTTTGGCTATTTATTTCCCTTAGTATAAATTTCAAATTGCATCATTTTCTTCTCCATCCTGTGAAGAAAAATTATAGCCCAATTCTGGGCTAGTGCAACCCAGTAAGTATGGAAGTAGCCACAGTACGTATGCACCAAGCATGTTCATGTGAACAAAGCTCCCCACCTGGGCCAGGAGAAGGAAACAGATGAGATCCATGACCACTGCAAAGATGCCTGGCAGGCAGGGCTTTCTGACAGCAGTTTGGGATTAAAGGCTTCAGTGAGCCATGCATCCTTGCAAAACACTTGCTGTTTTCCCTCAGCTAAAATGGCAGATTTACTAAGGTAACCAGATACTTTTGGGAATGAAAGATGGCTCTGTTAGTCATGTAAGAACAATAGGTGGCCGGGCGCGGTGGCTCACGCCTGTAATCCCAGCACTTTGGGAGGCCGAGGCGGGCGGATCACGAGGTCAGGAGATCGAGACCATCCTGGCTAACACGGTGAAACCCCGTCTCTACTAAAAATACAAAAAATTAGCCGGGCGTGGTGGCGGGCGCCTGTAGTCCCAGCTACTCGGGAGGCTGAGGCAGGAGAATGGCGTGAACCCAGGAGGCGGAGCTTGCAGTGAGCCGAGATCGCGCCACTGCACTCCAGCCTGGGCGACAGAGCGAGACTCCGTCTCAAAAAAAAAAAAAAAAAAGAACAATAGGTGCAAACTAGACTGTCCCAGTGCCATAATTTTTCTGTGTCCCCACCCAAATCTCAACTTGAATTATATCTCCCAGAATTCCCACATGCTGTGGGAGGAATTGGACTATAAGTCCAATTAAACCTCTTTTTCTTCCCAGTCTCAGGTATGTCTTTATCAGCAGCGTGAAAACAGATTAATATACCCAGATAAACTGGACATGTGGTCTCCTTAGGTTTAGGAAAATACCACTGATACAAGGTGCAATGGACTGAAATTTTGCATCAACTCAAAATTCATATGTTGAAACCCTAATCCCAATGTGATCATATGCGAAGGTAGAGTTTTTGGGAAGTAATTAGTTCATGAAGTTAGGGTCCTCATTAATGGAATTAGTGCCCTTTTAAAAAGAGATCAGAGAGTGAACTAGCTCTCCATTGGCCATATGGAGGGTATAGTGAGAAGACAGCCATATGGAAACCAGGAATTGGGCCCTCACCAGACACTGTATCTGCCAGCACCTTGATCTTGAACATCCTATCTTGCAGAACCCTGCGAGATTTACGTTGTTTAAGCCACCTACTTCATGGTCTTTTGTTTTAGCTGACTAAGACACAAGAGAAGGCTGCAAGAAAATGTTGAGATGGCAGATCTGGCAGAACCAGGAACAAATATGCTAGCTTCTGTTTATATGAAGACAAATTCTTGCAAAAAAAAAAAAAATGGAAGAATTCAACTAACAGTTTAAACTAAAATACTTTTCTAAATGCCTCCACCCTCCACCCTCACAAGGCATGCTGAGAGGACCTGTAATAATGTTTATAGAGCACTGAGATGTGCCCGACCAGAGAGTGTACTCATTAACATTAGCCAAAAATATTATTAGAGGGAGGAGTGAGAACAGTATCAGTAGTAGCATAAGTCATGGCAAGAATAATAGCAGTAGTCATAGTGGCATCACACTGTGGGAGAGGGGTATAAGCGGAAGGCCTTTCCGAGAGATCACAGCTGGTCAACATGAGCAACCCAGTCACCTGGGGAAGGAGCAGGAATGCGAGGGCGGGAGCAGGCTGCAACAGAGTGGAGGTGGGATGCAGTGGGGGATCCTTTGCAGTTTGGGTTTGCAAACTTAGCCTTCAAGAGGCAACATGAAATGGGCATCCAACAGATCTGGAATTAAAGACTGACCTGTCACCAACTAGCAGTGAGAACTTGGCCTTGTTATCTGAATTCCCTGACCCCTGGGCTCCTCATCCATGAAATGTGAAGGATAATGGGCACTTCCTATGGTTGCAGAGAGGATTAAATGACTGCATGTAGTCAAGTGCCTGGCACAAAGGAATTGTTCAGCAAAGTACTGTCCCATCCCTGGAATTTTATATATAACGAGGAGAAAACTGTGGGAGGCACAATTGAGAGAAAACTCATGTACTGTGCACTCTTTTTTGAAACCATGGTATTTTTTTTAACTACACTGAGCACACAGCTTAGAAAGCCACTTTTAAAGAAAACAAAATCTAAAGTACATTAAACCATAGACATCATACATTAATTTCTACTTTAGTCTTAATCAAAGGCTTTGGTAGGGTTTGCCTTTGTAAATCCAACACTTCCTCCTCACTTGGAGGCCAAACCCTGCCCATAGCATCCTCTCAGCTCTGCACGCTCCCCATGTGTTAAGGCCTGATCAGACCTCAGGGTACAAGGCACAGCTGGTTCTCATGGACACACAGGATAGTATGGGGGCTGGAAATGGGTGGGGAGAGCTAGAATCTAGTAGAAGGCTTACTGATCAACAATGTTTGGGGACCCAAGTTAGATGCTGGCAAGATTAATCTGAGAGCAGCAGGTAGGATGGGTGGAAGGGAGAGAGACCAGAGGGTAGGGAGACACATAGGAGATTCCAATTCCAGTAAAAGTACAGAGAAAAATCTACCTGGAGTGGTAGCTCTGTGAATAGAAAGCAGGTGGCAAAGCTAGTAACACTGCAGTGATAAAATCTACAGATTTCAAATAGGTTATAGCAAGCTATTGATTCATTCCGTTACCTGGCACTTCAGTCACTGTGGCTTAGAACAACCCACCCTCAGGCTTCATCTCTCCTCACCTCCCAACCTATCCTAAGTGCCAACCTGAGAACTGAGAACTCCAGCACCCTCACTGCTTAACTATCAAAACAGAAATGAGACCACTTGTATCAATATGACTTAGTTATTTGTTCCATGAAAATTTTTGCCGAAGAAGTTAAGGTTTTATGCCAATAACTAATTTCACTTTTTGTTTCAGGAAATCTTTATAAACCAATAGGTTCTGACAAAGAGTTTGTTCATCTAGGCAAACAGCTCTGCTATTAGAATAATAGATATTGTTCACCTGGGAAAACAGCTTCTTAGTAGACAAGTTTATTTATCAAGACTCACTAATGCTAGATTATTATGTCACAAACCTTGCCCAATACCAATTAGTTACCCATAGTGGAAGACCTGCCTTAAACCATTTGAGCCCAGACCCCAAATATCCACACCCCTTCCAAGATATGTGGTGTCATCCCTTACTGCAGAGGTTTAATAAACTTAACTTTGATCAGAAGGCTTTCTGGTGAATTTCTGCAGAGTTGACAAGCATCAGTGCAAACCTGACAACTGAATGTACAAACATGAACTATTCCAACAGTTTTGCCCATGCACAGGAAGCCCATTCTTGCTTGAACCCTGATGTTCTGAGAGACCATGATGACTGACACAACACCTTCCTCTGGGAACATTTTTTGTTTCCCTCACTCTGTGGGGCCTCTTCCTTCTCTGAACTCACCATACACACTCTTGGTGTTGTTTCCTTTTTTTTTGCTTCATATTAGAGCTCTCTATGCATTTGTATTATTGTTGTTTCTGGACTATGAGCTCCCAGGGGTAGAGATTGCGGTGGTCAATTGTATTTCATGTGACGATCCCAACACTGTGCCTTGCCCATCACTGGGGCATAACAAGCTTACTCTAAAGATGCTCTTAAAGATTCCCAAAGCATTTAAGGAGAACAAATCAAAGGAAATGTTTTATTATTATTATTATTATAATTTAAGTTTTAGGGTACATTTGCACAATGTGCAGGTTTGTTACATATGTATACATGTGCCATGTTGGTGTGCTGCACCCATTAACTCGTCATTTAACATTAGGCATATCTCCTAATGCTACCCCTCCCCCTGCCCCCCACCCCACAACAGGCCCCGGTGTGTGATGTTCCCCTTCCTGTGTCCATGTGTTCTCATTGTTCAATTCCCACCTATGAGTGAGAACATGCGGTATTTGGTTTTTTGTCCTTGTGATAGTTTTGTCCTTTGTAGGGACATGGATGAAGCTGGAAACCATCATTCTCAGCAAACTATTGCAAGGAAATGTTAAATTCTTATTTTTTTCTCTTTAAGGCAAAATTTTAAAAATAAGATCTCTCTGTTATAATCAAGAATTGTATTTGGCTTTTCAAAATAGGCTCTTTCCAAAAAGGATCTTCCTTTAAAGTGCTTGATGATCATTTTTGTCTCTTTACAAACATGCACACGTGAGTTCCACACGTCCATGCACACCAGTTTAGGAATCCGGGGATAGTCCTTCCCTAGTGTTACACCTGACTTCTTTCTCAGTTCTGTCTTTTGTACCTTTGGTTTGGTGTTCTGAAATATCTACCTACTCCTCTCCCTCTCTGTGGATTCTGTAAAATATAGGAACTTGCTTAGCACTGTGGTAGAAATTTAAAATTTGGTAAAGACCATCAGAAGAGGCTGGCGGAAATGCTACAGAAGTTTATGTTCCCAATAACTAAAGTGATGACTAACCTAGGAAAACATTTTTCTTGATGAGAAAAAAATTGACATGGTGTGTACTTCTCTCTTCCTTTGCTTTTAGGTTTCAAATCTCATTTCATTCTGGTATTAGTACGTAAGATTCAAAAAGCCCCTTCTCTTCCACATTGCTGTTTCCAATCTGCTACAACTTAGGAAACAATTTCCCAATATCAGGATAGGTTCTATATTAAGTAAGAGCTAACCTGCCAGGCTCCCTTGTCACTGGGGGTGGACATGAACTCAATTCTGCCCAAAAATAAGTAAGCGAAAGTGGCTGGGTAGGGTTTCCAGAAAAATTTTTGAAGGTAGCCCAGTTGGCTGGTATGTGCTGCTTTGCTTTTACTAGTTGCTCTTCCTTGTCTATTTCCTCTTTGTCTGGAACATGTTTGTGAGGCCGGAAGTAGAGAAACCATCTTGCATCCCTGAGGTGAAAAGTGCTAAGAACGGCAGAGAGAAAAATAGAAGGACATTCTTGAGGACATCTTTGAGAGCTGGCCTGCCGAAACTGCCTTCATGTGGACTTCACATTAGCTGAGGAAAATAAACCCTTACTTAAACCAATGTTAACTGAATTTTGTGGCTGTAATTAGAGTGATCAACCCTCCCAGTCTGCCTAGGACTCAAGTGTTTCTGGGGACTCAGGACTTTCAGTGTTAAAACTGGGAAAGTCCAGAAAACAAACGGGAACTCTTGGTCTCCCTAGATGTTGATATTAATGATGACATTGGGCTTTTTTAAAACTTTTAAGTTCCGAGGTACAAATGCAGATTTGTTACATAGCTAAACTTGAGTCGCTGGGGTTTTCTTTCCTCACTCAGGTATTAAGCCTAGTACCCATTAGTTATTTTTCCTGATCTTCTCCCTCCTCCCATCTGTTACAGCTGGATCACAATACCAACTGATACACTTCCAATTAGCTGGGTAAACTTCAGAAGGCTAAATATTCCTGAGACACATTGCTTGTTTGAAATTCCAATTTTTGACTTCCTTTCAACCATCAGTTACCACTCTTTTTTAAATTTTTAATTGATACGGAATAATTGAACCTATTTATGGAGTACAGTGTGACGTTTCCATACATGTATGCATTTTGTAACAATCATATCAGGGTAATTAGCATATTTGTCACCTCAAACATTTGTCTTTCATGATAAAAACTTCAAAATCTTCTAGCTATTTTGAAATACACATTATTACTAACTGTACTCCCTCTACTGTGCACACCAAAGTTATTCTTCCCAACTGTAACTTTGTACCATCAGTTACCATTCTTGAAAAGTTGAATGTTTAGCTTTGAATGTTTCAGCCACAAAGATCCATGTTATAAGCATTTATATCAAATCTGACAGAAGCAACAAATATGTCACAATTATTATAAACACAGATTCAACTTTTAAAACATTGGAAACTTGCTAATTGCTGTGTCTTTCAGGATTTTAGGGCCAAAAGGTCTCTACTTAGATGACCTATAGATATCTAAAAATCAAATGCCCCAAACTAAATCGTTTATCCTCCATCTTATTTAGCCTCTCCTCCATTATTGTCTCTATTCCTTCTCTTGGTATTTGACATCATTCATCACGTCACTCAAGAAACTTCATCCTCTACTCCTTATGCTTGTTCTCCCTCCCCTCCACTCCTTTCCCCAGACTTCCCTGTCTATGTGGCCACATGATCCTATATGTTCTACCTCCTAGAGGTCTCTGTTCTCCTTCTCTCCGTCCCCCTTGCCCTTCCACCCTCTCAATAGGGCTTCTATGTTTCACCCAGTCTCTTCAATAATCACCAGGCCAGTCTGCCTGCCTCCAGACTGGTCCCACAAAATTCATCTTCCAAGTATTACCAAAGTACTTACTATCTGAAATAAACAAACTGATTGTGTCATGCTTAAGAATGTTTCTTTTTAAAAAAACTCATTGAGGTGAAATTCACATAACAAAATAAAATTTAAAGTGAAAAATTCAGTGACATTGAGTACATTCCCAATGTTGTACAACCACCACCTCTATCTATTTCCAAAACATTGCCGTCACTTCAAAATAAAACCCAGCTATCCATTAAGCAGTTTTTTCCATTCTCCCCTTTTCCAGCCTCTGGCAACCAAAAATCTGTGTTCTATCTCTGCAAATTTACCTATTCTATTTTATATATATGTAATAATATAATATATCACCTTTTGTGTCCAGCTTTTCTCACTCAGCATAATATTTTTCAGGGCCATCCATGTGGTTTTTTTTTTGTTTGTTTTTGTTTTTTTTGTTTTTTTTTTTTGAGACGGAGTCTCGCTGTGTTACCCAGGCTGGAGTGCGGTGGTGCGATCTCGGCTCACTGCAAGCTCCGCCTCCCGGGTTCACGCCATTCTCCTGCCTCAGCCTCCCGAGTATCTGGGACTACAGGTGCCCGCCACCATGCCTGGCTAATTTTTTGTATTTTTTAGTAGAGACAGGGTTTCACCATGTTAGCCAGGATGGTCTCGATCTCCTGACCTCGTGATCCACCCGCCTCAGCCTCCCAAAGTGCTGGGATTACAGTCGTGAGCCACTGCGCCAGGCCAGCATGTATTATTTTTATGGTTGCATAATATTCCATTGCACATATGTACCAAAATTTGTTTTTCCATTCAGCCATTGATGAACATTTTCATTGTTTTCACATTTTGGCTATTGTGAATAGTGCTGCTATGAACATACATGTACATGTATTTGAGGACAAGTTTTTCAGTTCTTTTGGGTATATACTTCGGAGTGGAAATGCTCCTATAGTAATTCTATGTTTAACTTTTTTAAGAACTACCAAACCATCAAAGAATATTCTTTTGACTTCTTTAATGTAGTCCATGCTCAAATATTTTTATTTCATATCATTTTCTGAACACGTGTCATCTTCTCTTTTTTTATTTTTTGTAGTGACAGGGTCTCACCATGTGCCCAGGCTGGTCTCAAACTCCTGGGCTCAGGCAATCCTCCCACTTCAGCCTCCCAAAGTGCTGAGATTACAGGTGTTATCCACTGTGCCTGGACTTGTGCCATCTTCTCTCATGCCTCCATGATATTTATTTTGCCCCCTTGCATAGCCTGTCTTTCCCTGCCTTTATGAGTGAGTATGGATGTCTGCATTTCTGTGACACATTTGCTCTTTCTTTCTTCCTGGATAGAATGCCTCTATTGATCCTCCTTTTACAGTTTCATATTTTGTGTCTGCTTGTCCATCTCTATTAAAAAATTGTCAATTCCAGGGCAGAGGCCACATTTTATTAATCTTTGTATTACCATTGCCCACTGTGTCTGGTGCACTGTAAGTACTCAAGATGTATTTCTGAGTAAGCAAATAAAATAATAATAATGTCACTGGTATGTAGCAGGAGTTATGGGGTACAAACATAAAGTCACTTTTATTGTTGTCTTTCACTGTCCTCTTAACCCCCACTCCAAAGGTTGCCATCTTAAGCAGGATCTCTAAAAAAATAACGCAGAGTGGCCTAGAGTGGTGGCTCCCACCTGTAATCCCAGCACTTCAGGAGGCTGAGGCAGGCAGATTACTTGAAGCCAGAAGTTTGAGAGCAGCCTGGCTGACATGGTGAAACCCTGTCACTACTAAAAATACAACAATTATCCAGGTGTGGCTGCACACAGCTTTAATCCCAGCTATTCAGGAGGCTGAGGCAGAAGAATCGCTTGTGCCCAGTAGGCAGAGGTTGCAGTGAGCCAAGATCGTGCCACTGAACTCCAGCCTGGGCAACAGAAGAAGACTCTCTCTCAAAAAAAAATTAAAAAAAAAAATAACTCAGAGACAATATCCTTATCATAGGTTCTTCATCTTTTCCTTGAGATCATGTACCATTGCCCATCATCAAAGGGGAGGACAATTGTTCCCCAGATGCAGTAGCAACTCTCCTTTGCTCTGCCAAAATCTCCATTTCTTCTCTTTTGCCTTCTGGAATTCCCAGATTGGAAGTAGTCCACTGTGACCCTCTAACTGTGAGGTCATATGTTAACCTCTCCAGAGATTGTTCTAGGAGTCACTTTCCCAATCTTGTCTCTTTCTTGGAGGTGGGAGAAGAGTTTTTCTGGTTCTCAAAGCAGTGTTCACTCCAAAATTCTTCCTCACCAAATTCTCTTCACTCCTTCCTCTAGACCCTTTGTATCCTTCTTGTAGTTAAGAGGTCTTCAAGGTCATGCTACAGATTTTCAAATTATTTCTTGTGAAAATATGCATCTTGATAGTCTACTGAAAGTTTATAATGTATTTGATAAACATTTGTTGTGGCACCTCAATCAAAATTTCCAAATTAGTATATTGTTGCAGAGGAAATTCTACATTGAGAGATAACTTGTACTTTCGAATATCCTCAGAAAGGGAATCCATTAAGTCCAGGAAGAGGAAAGAAAAGGAGAAAAAAACCTGAAGATTCATTACCATCCACTGCGTCCTGGGCACTGTGCTCGGTGTTCTAAGCATGCAGTGGGAATCATGCCTGCATGGAGCTCAGGTTTGGGTATGCTGCTGAGGGAAAACAGGTGACAGATACTCTACTACACAGGGGCTCTATTTGTAATTAAAGCATAGGCATGGTCTTAGTCTGTTTTTGGTTGCTATACCAAAATACCTGAGGCTGAGTCATTTATAAAGAAAAGAGGTTTTTACATAAGCATAAAATGCAAAAGAGAAAAGTAAAAAAGAAAAAAAAGAGGTTTATTTGGCTCATGATTCTAGAGGCTGGGCAGTCCGAGAAGCATGGCACCAGCATCTGCTCTGCTTCTGGTGAGGGCCTCCTGCTGCTTCACAATGTGGCAGAAAAGCAGAAGGGGAAGTGGGTATGTGAGAAAAAGGGATGAAACACAAGGAGCAGCCTCACTTTATACCAACTCACTCTCACAGTAATTAATCCAATACTGCAAGAGTGAGAACTTTATTAATCCATTTACAACAGCAGAGCCTCCATGACCCAAACACTTCTTAGAGGCTCCACCACCCATCAATACCATTCTTTTAAAAAACTTTTTTTTGAGACAGGGTCTCACTCTGTCACCTGAGCTGGAGTACAGTGGCATAATTATGGTTCACTGAAGCTTTGACCTCCTGGACTCAAGTGATCCTCCCACCTCAGCCTCTTGAGAAGCTAGGAACACAGGCATATGCTACCACACCCAGGCTTTTTGTTTTGTGGAGATGGGGTCTCACTATGTTGCCCAGGCTGGTCTCAAACTCCTAGGCTCAAGTGATCCTCCTGCATCTGCCTCCCAAAGTGTTGGGATTATAGGTGTGAGCCACCATGCCCAGTCTGTGTTATTTTTCTATATTTTTTAGAGATAGGGTCTTGCTCTGTTGCCTGGCTGGAGTGCAATGGCACAATCATAGCTCACTGTCCTTCCAACTCCTGGCCTCAAGCAATTCTCCCACCTTGGCCTCACAAAATGCTGAGATTACAGGTACAAGCCAGTGAGCCTGGCCTGTCAGTATTATTACATTGGCAATTAAATTTCAACATGAGTTTTAGCAGAGCCAAATTGAGCCATGGTATTGCCCCTGACCCTCCAAACCTCATGTTCTCCCAATGCAAAATACATTCATCTCATCCCAATAGTCTCAAAGTCTTAACTTGTTTCAGAACCAACTCAAAAGTCCAAAGTTCATAGTCTCATTTGTGACTCAAGGTAAACTCCTTCTAGCTGTGAGCCTGTAAATTTTAAAAAGTTATCTACTTCCAAGATACAAACAATGGTGGGACAGACATAGGGTACACATT
Source organism: Homo sapiens (assembly GCF_000001405.40). NCBI lineage: Eukaryota > Metazoa > Chordata > Mammalia > Primates > Hominidae > Homo > Homo sapiens. Next base: position 93,017,766 of record NC_000011.10, read on the forward strand.
TTCATTCCAAAAGGGAGAGATACGAAAAAATAAAAATAAAAAGTTGTAATCTGCCCAAAGTCTAAAACCCAGCAAGGCAGATAATAAATCTTAAAGCTCCAGGATAATCTACTTCATGAGCCATCTCGTGGATAAACTGGGGCAGGGACTGGGCTCTCAAGGCTTCAGGCAGCACTGCCCCCATGGTTTTGCTGGGTGCAGCTCACTTGGCTGTTCTCCCAGTTGGGAGTCCAGTGCCTGTAGCTCTCTCAGATGAGTGTTTCATGCTTCCGGTGGCTCTGTCCTTCTGGAGTTCTGGCAGTAGCCCCACTCTTTTGGCTCCATTAGGCATTGCTCTGGTAGGGACTGTCTGTGGCGGCTTCACCCCTGTGGCAGGTTTTTCCACGGGCCTGCAAGCTGTTTGATACATCTTTTGAAATCTAAATGAAAGTTGCCATGACCCCAAAGCCCACGCACTCTCTATACCTTCAGAGTCAGCACCACGTGGACCACTGCCAAGGCATATGTCTGGTGCCTTCTGGAGCAGTGTCATGAGCAACCTCTGGACCTGCTTGAGCCATGGTTTGTCGCTGCCAAGGTTTACAGTTTATACCTTTTTGATGAACAGGCTGAGTTGCACCTGGGGCCATTTGAGCAACAGATGAGGTGACTGAGTGCTGTACTGGAATTTGGGGAGCAGACATACAAGGAGCAGACACTTGAGGCAGTATAGGACAGCAAGCAGGGAGCTCTTTCTGCCCTCCAGGCCCTCACATTCTCAGCCTATGATGAGAGGGCCAACCTCAAAGATCTGAAATGCCTTTGGGGCCATTCCGTCATTGTCCTAGGATTAGCACCTGGCTTCCTTTTAGCCATGCTAGTTTCTTAACAAATTGTCTGTGGGTTATACCTTCTCCAGAAAACGCTCTTACATTCTCCACCACATGGCCAGGAAATTTTCTAAATCTTTTTGCTCTGTTTCCCTTTTCTCTAGCAGCTCACTGTAAGCAGTTAAAAGTAAGCATGCAGAAGCCTGAGTGCTTTGCTGCTTAGAAATTTCTTCCACAAGATATGTTATTCTGTCACTCATAAGTTTAGCCTTTCACAAAGTCCTAGGATATGAACATGATGCAGCCATGTTCTTTGCTACTGTGTAACAAAGATGAATTTACTCCAGTTCCCAGTAAGATAGCCTTCATTTCTGAGACATCATCAAAGTGGTCTTTACTGTCTGCATTTTTATCAGCATCCTGGTTATGACCACTTAACCAACATTTAAGAAGTTCCAGACTTTGTCAGTCTTCTCATCTTCTGAGCTCTCACTAGAAGTGCCCTTAATGACCTGTTTATGGCAATATAGGCTTTTTCCTTTTTTTTTTTTTTTGAGACGGAGTCTCCCTCTGTCACCCAGCCTGGAGTGCAATGGTGCAATCTCGGCTCACTACAACCTCCGCCACCCCTGGGCTCAAGCGATTCTCCAGCCTCAGCCTCCTGAGTAGCTGGGATTACAGGCATGCGCCACCATACCCAGCTAATTTTTGTATTTTTAGTAGAGACAGGGATTTACCATGTTGGCCAGGCTGGTCTTGAACTCCTGACCTCAAGTGTCAGGAGTTCAGCCTGCCTCAGCCTCCCAAAGTGTTGGGATTACAGGCGTGAGCCACCATGCCTGGCCAATATAGGCTTTTTCTAGCCTGCCTTTCCAAATTATTCCAGCCTCTACCTATCACCTCCGAAACTGCTTATACATTTTCACATTTTCAGGTATCTTTATAGCAATGTCATAGCAATGATCTCATTTCTTGGTACCAATTTTCTTAGTCCGTTTTGCATTGCTATAACACAATACCACAAACTGGGTAATTCATAAAGAAGTTAAATTTATTTCCTACAGTTCTGAAGGCTAGAGAGTCCATGGTCAAAGGACTGCATCTGATGAGGGCCTTATTGCTGCATCAAAACGTGGCAGAAGGCATCACATGGTGAAAGGGTAACAGCATGCCAGCTCAGGTCTCTCTTCCTCTTATAAAGACAACAGTCCCATCATGGAGGGGGGCATCCTAATAACTTTAATTCTAATTACCTCCCAAAGGCCCCACCTCCTATCAACATATCAATTTGGGGGTTAAATTGCCAGCACATGAAATTCAGGGGACACATTCAAACCACAGCAGACATAAATAGACAAAGATTGATGGATTACCAGAGTGGTATGAGAGAAGCAAAATTGCATCAGAGGATAACAGAAATTTTGAGAGAAAAATTATTAAACACGAACAAAATTGGTCAGACACAATGAGATGGACTTAGCAACAATGCCTGAGGACACTGGAGGGATACTGAGGCACAGGAGGACAGGAAACAATCCTAGATCTTCTTGGCCTCATTACGGCAGCAGGCTATGGATGCCTTAAGACTGAAGCAGAGCTAAATAAGTACAAACAAACATACCCAAAACTCTTTTACCTTGCTGCATTTCACTCTTTCATCATAGTTCACCCTCTCTACTCCCTGCTCTTCCTCTCCCTGTCACCATAACAACCACGTCCTGTAACAAGTGGCAGAGCCATTATCAGGAAAAATAGAAAAAGCAAGCCTGCCCAATGACTTGCCCATTCAATTTAGCCTCAGATTTCTTGTTCTCATTCTCCCCATGAGCTTTCAGTATCTTGAGATGGATGACACCTGCCTATGAATCACTGGAAGGTTTCCAGCTGGATTTGGGTTTTGTTCTACATGTTAGGACAAGATCAGGAGTGTTTCTTGGACTCCTTTCAAGTATAAACTTGGCTAAAAATGGTGAAAATTTTTAAGACAAAAGGAAAGGCACATGTTCTTTTTTAGTCCATAAGGAAATGCAGAAGGGCAGTGGGTTGTATCCTGGGAGGCACAGTGAGAAGAAAATAGTTTTCTAAGTGCATTGGCCTCCAGACCCTTGCTGCTTAGGTGGGGACCCTCTCCCCACTCTCCTTCTGACTGGAGACACTTTTCAAGAGTACTGCCATCTCTAGAAGGATCACGAACCCTGGAGTTCAAGAACAGCCTGGGCAACATAATGAAACCCTGTCTGTTCCACAAAAAAGAAAAAGAAAGAAAAAAAGGAAACAGTACTGCCGCCCCTGGTCTGCTTCGCATGCCAATTATCCCCATACCAAGTGTGAGTCATTGTGAACTGGCTGGACCTAAAGCCTTTTTTTAGACCCTGAAAAGGCAAGATTTAGAGATGCCCCCGCTCTAAATTTCAGTCAGGGAAAAGATTAAGTTGGAAGGAATTTAAAATGTAGCCTGAAATTAAGTCTCTTTTATTTTAATAACTTAGAAAATCTTTCTAGGGGTTTTATTTGTAAGCAAATTTTATTACCCAATGTTCTGTTCATACTTACTCTGTTACCTGGTTTCCCTATTGCCAGTAAAAATCTGGTAATAGGCTATCAGTGTATGTGTGAATCAATTATCTTGCTCATTAAATGATAAATCATTAATGCAGCTTGAAGGGAAAACGATACAGCTATTTAATCTATTAAATGTAAAAATGGTAATTTCACCCTCCTGTGAAAATCATTCTGTTGTCTCTTCACATTTATGAAGTTCAAAAGCCCTTCATAATTTCATCTTTGCTTGTCTCTCCACCTGCATCATCAGCCACTACCCCTGCTGCCTGGAGCCTCTGAGCTTCAGGCTGACTCCCAGCCTGTGCCTCTGTCAGCATTGGCTCTGCTGGATCCCCTAGCCTGCCTTCCTTCATGGGGTGAGCCCAGTATTTGTCCTTTAGGACCCTGCTATGTATCTGCTCTCTTTCCCTGACTATCTATCCCCACTTTGGGTCACCACTCTGTCTTGTTCTTACTTTCACCATACCTTTTTAAACTGATGCTTGTTTATATTTCTGTGTCCCATAATGAGGATACAAGTTGTCTGGGGCAACATCTGAGTCTTAATTATTTTTTTCTTTCCCGTGCTTAATACAGTACAGTTGACTCTTGAACAACACAGGTTTGAACTGCATGGGTCCACTTATACATACATTTTTTTCAACTAAATGTGGATCAAAAATACAGCATTCTTGGGATGCGAAACTCAAGCATACAAAGGGCCCACTTTTCCTATACTCGGTTCTGCAGGGCCGACTGCAGGACTTGAGTATGCATGGATTTTGATATACACAGGGTCCTGATACCGGTCGTCTCTGTATATTGAGGGACAACTGTCTATACAACAGATAGTAAGGAAGTATGAAATAAATGTAAACTGAAGGAATGATGAACAGACAACCCTTGTGGGTCGTTTGATGGGCTGTAGAGAATGGAATCAGGAGAATGGATCTCTTAAATTGTTCTCAATTTTCAGATTCACATAATCTCTTTTCCTTATGCTTCTACTAAAGCTAGTGTATATCCAAATGGACTAATGTCCAAAATTCTCTTTTAAAAATGTTCACAGAGTACTAAACTTGTATTCATCAGTATGATACTGTTAAAAAACAAGGTTACAACACATTTAGCTTAAAGATCTTAATTAGCTTTTATTTGCAATTCTAGAATCAGGCAACATCTCGTTCCATAAAATAGAATGGGTCTTCTGATGAACTGAGCAGAGGAGCTTGGCTTTATAGACAGAAGAAGGCTCAGGAAAGCAGAAACAGAGAACAAAACGCGGATTGATCATTTCAAAGTTGTTTTCCTTGTAAAGGTTAAAGCAGAAGGGACTTCCTTATCATGCCAGCTAAATCTGGCTTGTTTGGGGATTTGGGTATTATCGTGCACTATCTCATTTTCTCAGAAGTTCAGATAAACCAGCTGAGTGTTGGTGGCATGGAACTTCAGCATATGTGACTCCATTTTGGTTTGGTCTGTTGGACCTAGTGCAGGAATTCGGTCCAAATCGACAGCCTTTAAATTTTATTTTACAATACAAATAAAAATAAAGGTTAACCATGCTTTCTTAACATAGAATGAGCTATTTAATCCCAGGCTCACATAAAGCACACTGCAGTAATACACAAGCAGATCAGTGGAACAGAAACAAGCCCAAAGACAGTATATTCCATACATATTGGGACAATTCCATATACAATGGAAATTTAGTATTTAAAAACTGTTATTACAAATCAGTGAGGAAAGAAAAGAGTGTTCAATAAATAATCCTTGGATATCTGTCTCTCTATTTTGGAAAAAGTGAAAGATAATTTACTAATAACATACATAAATATGAATTACAGAACTAAACATATAAAATGAAACTATGAGAGTATTAGAAAAAAATACAGAACATTTGTGTACTCCTAGGGTGGGGAAGGCCTTTCTAAGTGGGGCATGACATCGAGAGGCCTTAAAGGAAAAAATTGACAGATTTGACTATGTAAAAATTTAAAACCATTACGTAGCAAAATGTGTTATGAATAAATTTTTAAAAAATGAATAACAGATTAGGAGAAAATGTTTGCAACACATATAACAAAAAAGTAATAATATCTAAATTACAGTTTATGAAAAGTTTTTATAATATAAAAACATTTTAAAAAGTTAAACAGAAAATGTACAGAGAAAAAAATAAGTGACTATTAAACATTGAAAAGCTACTCAACTAAAAATCAAAGAAATGCTACTTAATGTGATATTATTTTTCATTCACCAGAATTGGCAAGCTAATACAAGATTAATCACATTCAATGTTGGCAAGGATATGAGCATTGTCATTTGCTATTGTAGAAATGCAAATTTCATAAAGTGTTTGGACAATAATTTGCTTAGCATTTATCAAAATTTTAAATGTATATACCTAGAAATTTAACTTGTGGAAATATTTGTACCATTTAGTACAAGAATTTATATCCCCTCATTATGTGAAGTGCTGAAAAACTGGATTCAATTTAAGAACATATTAACAGAGTGAAGGTAAATAGAAAACAGTATATAAATGCAATGGAATACTACTCAGGTGTTCAAAAGCATAACACAAGTTGATATACTAACATGGAATTTTGTCCACTATATAGAGTTAAATGAAAACAAAAACAGTTTGAAGATCATATACAGTAAATGGTACTATTTTCCCCCTAAAAATTGTATCTCCTATATATGTTCATTTATTTATAATATGTGTATACATAATAAAAAGTCTGAAGGTATATTACTAAATTTTTACCTTTGGAAAAAGGGATGGACTGTGCTTGGAGGGAGAAGTCTTCATTTTTTACTTGATATACTTCTTTTTCTTTTTTTTTTAAGTTGAGCATATCTTCTTATTTTTGTAAATAAGATACTTTTTAAAAAATGTATACATTTAGCTAGGCCTATTGTCTATTATGATATCACCAGAGAAGAATGGCTTAACCACAGGAAAAGGGGACAGAGCAGGGTCCAGATGAACTCTCTGGGTCTACAAGTGCTAAAAGAGGGGCAGAGGGAGGCAGAAGATGTTACATTAATGAGACAGGGAAGAAGGACGTCCAGCACCTAGAACCAGGTGTTCAGGGACAATGGTGAGAAGTGACAGGTCAAGACAAGCTGCCAGTGTCCATGGTCCCAGAGATTTACAGGACATCTTCACTCCCAAGTGGCTGATGAGGAAAGTTGGCTGAAATATGGTTGATGGCAGCAAGAATCAGAAGCCCATCCAAAAGCTTCAAGTGCAGGGGATGAGCCTCAGTGCATAAGGTGGAGCAGAGGGAGATGGCACTGACAAAGAGAACCTTCTGAGGACACATAACCTCGAGTCAGGGAGAATGACAGGTCCACAGCTATAGGCCCATAAAGAACAAGGCAGACTCCAGTTTTAGAACAGTGGTGAGACATCCATTCATGCATAACATGACTACTAGCCAGTGTGTGGAGCAGGGCCAAGTCTACATTTGAGGGTCAGGAATTCTTGACTCTGGGTCAAGAAGGAGGAAAAGCAGGCAGGCTGGCAGGCATTGGTGTCATTCAGGGCAACTGAAGAAACTACAGGCCTTGGCCTCTTGGCTGGCTCTCCAAAGCTGTATAGCTCAGAATATGTTTGGTCTAGACTGTGGATTTAAAAAAAATCCACAACACATTCTAAAGAAGTACTAGAAATAGCAGTGCCTCAAAGTGAGGGCTTCTAGAATTTCTGATATATATTCCTTGGAATAGACTTCTTATTTTGAGGGTCATAAAGAATTGAGAGACTAGCCATGGTTGCACACACTCCACATTAGGTCTGAGCTCATCAGTCTTGATGGTTCTCTCTCCTGAACTCTCGTGAAGGCAATATCTACTTGTAGTTGATGGAGTATCAGGCAAAACAAAGTGCTGTCTTAGATTTATGAACTCCTTTATCACTCAAGGTAAGGAGATTCCAGAATTCAGAATACTATATTTTTATCTCATGCCTGGGACTAGATTAAATGTTGAAGTACATGATAGATGAAGCTGGAATTAATTAGTGTCAGTCTCATATAAATTGCTTATGCTAAGTAACAGTGAAATCAAGGTAAGTAGATGTGATACATTACCATTCCTCTTCATTTAACCCAGCTGCGAGGTGGGACAGGAGGAAAACGCACTGCATATGCAAGAAAAATGGCAGCGTTGGTGATAGATTTACATTCATTTCCTTTTCAGAATGTTCAGGAGATGCTCTCAGGAATCCAAAATTCATATTCACTGTATAAATCAGCTCTATGCTTTCATTGAAAAGCATTATCTGGTTTGTTCTATTTAGCAATAATATAACCCTTTATTTTAGCAATGCAAACTTGCAAGGAAAATTGGGAAATTTTCAACGATTGAAATATTAAAGTGATAACACCTTTCTAGCTAAGTTTTGAGTGAGATGAGCTTCCTCAGAGCCTGGCACACATGACAGGAGGGAGGAGTCAGTGTTCTTTTTGACTTTGCTCATATGCATTCAGAAGTCAAAGCCAGGCTATCCCCAGGATGTACAGAGTCAGATCTGATGATCAACTCCAAAATCTTTTCTGAGTCACCACGTCCCTGTTCTCTGCAAGGAATGAGGACTCAGTGACAAAGCAGAGAATGGTCCTGACCTACAGAGGTTCCAATCTGGCAGAGCACCACTCAAGTGTGTCAAAGAGGACAAAGTGCAGGAGAGGGATTGGGAAAGGAGAAACTGCAAAAATCTAGTTTGCTAATTTTACCACCCACCTAAATGTAATGAAAGCACTTTTTAAATTTATTAAACGAACACATATATGCTAGGCTTGGGGTTAAATGCTAAGGACACCAGGTGAATGTCAAGAACCCTTCCCTGGAGAAATTAGTTGGAGAGATAGACACATAAACAAATAATGTGGAAGGTACAACAATAGAGAAAGGACAAAATATTATGGGAGTGCTTGCAGGAATTGCGATGTCCTCATCATGACATGACCCTGGGCTAGGTCTCAGAGTAGAGAAAAGGTCACCCTTCAGAGGGGGAAGGGTGTATGAGACAGAGGGAACTGCAAAAGCAAAGGCATAGTAGCCTGAAATATATGGTCAGAATTTTTACCTATCTGATTGTCAATAATTTTAAAATGTAAATAATATTGTATGGACACTCATGTTGAAAACAAACCCTTTCCTGTGCTGCTGATTGGAGTGTAAATTGGTATGAACCCTTACTCAGGATAATTTGGCAAATTTCTCATGATTACAAAGGCACCTACATTTACTCTAGCAATTCCTCTTTTAGGAAGTTGTCCTAGAGGTACACTCACCCTGGCGCAAATTGTGCTAAGTTAATGATGACGGCACTGTTTTTGAGAGCAAAATACTGGAAATAACTTAAGTGTATGTCACAGGGAACTGGAAAAATAGACTTTGATGCAGTCCTGCACCAGAATAAATGGCACCACGAAAGAATGAGAAGCCACCTTATGATTGGATATGAAATTATCTCTAAGATATATGATTCAGGAAAAGCAGAAGGTACAGAACGACAGTATGGAAGATACTATTTGTGTAAATAAAGTGAACAAAATAGAACAAACATAAATATTTTGTAACTGTGATGGTTAATTTTAGATGTCAACTTGTCTGGGTTAAGGGGTACCCAGATAGCCGGCAAAGCATTATTTTGAGTGTGTCTGTGATGGTGTTCCTGGAGAATTAAGCATGTGAATCAACAGATTAAGGAAGATCTGCCCTCACCAGTGCAGGGTATCATCCAATCTGTTGAGGGCTTGAATAGAACAAAAAGGCAGAGGAAGGGAAAATTTGCTCTCTCTTCTGCTGCTGAGGCATCCATATTCTCCTGTCCTCAGACATCAGAACTCCAGGTTCTTGGGCCTTTAGACTCTGCAGCTTACACCAGTGTCTCTCTGATTTCTCAGGCTTTTGACCTCAGACTGAGTTGCCCCATCAGCTCCCCTGGTTCTTAGGCCTTTGCACTCAGGATGAATGACACCAGTTTCCCTGGTTTTCCATCTTTTCTTTCTTTTGTCTTTTTTGTTGAATCAATTGTAGTATATTTTAAATAAGTCAACTTAAGCCTACATGTATCAACATGGACAAGTCCCCCAAAACTCATGTTAATGGAGGAACTTGTACAATTATATTAAAGTATAATACTGCTTATATCATGTTTTAAAACATCATAGTAACCTGTATATTCCATCAGTTATATACATGCAACAATATTATTAAAATAGTAAATAAGAAACTATTATTTAGCCAAATAATGCTCACCAAATTGAACATAGTGATTTCTGTAATAGTCAGGATAGAATAGGCCATGGTGTGGCAATAAGCTTATCCCCAAATTACAGTGGCTTATAAAGAAAAGATGGCCAGGTGCAGTTGTGGGCACCTGTAGTCCCAGCTACTCAGGAGACTGAAGTGGGAGGATCGCTTGAGACCAGAAGTTTGAAGCTGTAATGCACATGATTGCGCCTATGAAAATAACTGCTGCACTCCAGCCTGGAAAACATACCAAGACCTCATCTCAAATAAAATAAAGGTAAGTCAAGAGAAAAATAAAGACAAGACATATTCGTCACTCATCTGATGTGAGTCAGGCAGCCCTCATCTCTTGACACTTGGGACAAATGGTCTCCAAGATACATCCTGGTTTTCCATCTTGCAGATGTCATATGGCAGGACTTCTTGGCTCCATAATTGCATGAGCCAATTCCCATAATGAAGGTCCTCTTTATCTCTGTATCTATCTGTCCATCCACCCATCCATCCTATTGGTTATGTTTCTCTGAAGAACCCTGACTAATAAGTAATGTATGCACAAAATGTTGCTGAAAAGACACAAGAAACTTATAAATGTGTTTCCTCAGAAGAAGAAGACATCTGGGAGGTGGGGTACAAGAGTGGACAGGAGAATGTGCACTATATGCCTCTTGAATGTAGCCATATAATGTGGTTTGGATTGTGCCCCTGCCCAAATCTCACGTTGAATTGGAGAAGGGGCCTGATCGGAGGTGATTGGATCATGTGGGTGGATTTCCCCCTTTCTGTTCTCATGATAGTGAGTGAGTTCTCACAAGATCTGATGGTTTAAAAGTGTGTGGCACTTCCCCCATCTCTCTCCTGCTACCATGTGAAGAAGGTGCTTACTGTCCATCACAATTGTAAGTTTCCTGAGGTCTCCCAGTCATGCTTCCTGTTAAGCCTGTGGAACTGTGAGTCAATGAAATCTCTTTTCTTCATAAATTTCCCAGTCTCAGGTAGCTGTTTATAGCAATGGGAGAACAGACTAATATACCATATTACCTGTCAAACATAATTAGATGCCTTTTTAAAATGTGTGGTTTGTTTGGAGAATAGTCTACTGTGACTGCAATTAAGGATGTGTATGAATGTATTGGCAAGTGGAGCTGTGGAAGATAAGCCTCAAACGGTTGGAGGTGAAGGGCTTTTTATCCCAGCTTAAGATGAGAGGCCCACTGTTATGGTAGTGTGGTGTTCCGAGCACTGTCTTCGGTGGTGAAAAGATGTTGCTCTAGACTTCCACCTCCGCCGTGTCCTGATTGCCTGTGGCCTTGGGAAAGCCACTGATGTTCTTCAGTCCAAATCTGCCTCTCAGGTGAGGTAGCTTGTGGGACAATGCCTGGCCTTGTTTCAAGGCATAGTAGGCTCTCAGTTTAATCTCTCTACCACCCTCCTTTCTTTTCCTTTCTTTATTCTCCTATGCTCTGGGCTGCTCAGTTCTTGCATTTATATATATGAATCAGAGAAAGAAAATGTCTGAGCAGGTCATTCTCCACTGACCCAGTTCACCTGGGTAACAGGGAGTTCACTAAGGCTAGAAGAGGGGGGCATCTAATTGTTTGGTACCCATGCTTTCGCATGTCCTCTTTTTTATAATAAAAAGGCAGTTATAAAATAAGTCTCCTTGTCTTAATTATTTTATTCACCAAGGGACACATTACCACAGTTCCATGCAACTCAGAGGGCGGTCTGATGAATCAGGACAGCACGAAGAAAACAAATTGAAAATGAAATTGAATGTGAAAGCATAATTCTGAACACAGAAGTGTACTCAAATTAGCTCAGGCAATTCCATTTAATGTGCTCTTGCCATTAGGAAAATATCATTACTCTGTAGTTTACTTTCTTCCTGGAGTGACTGAGTGGTTGAATAAGGCTCAAGACGTCACATGAGCTATTTATAAGCATGATAGAGAAAGTAAAAGGTGCGTTTAGAATGCAATGTGCTGCCTAAGGAACCCTGGAGACTGGACATTTGTATTCTCAGGACCCACACCCTTTGTGGTGACAGGACCTGAAGAGAATAGGGATGAGAGCCCCTAAAACCATCCTAATACGGGAATGGAAGTGGATGAGGTTTCCAGGGACTATTTATTTTGGTGAAAGGTAATATTCTGGTTTCTAGATTTCTATAAACGGGAAAGTGTCTTTCTACTTCTCCCAGATTCTTCCCTGTTTTGTTTGTTCTTGTATTTATTCAACACACATTTGCTAAGTGCCTATTATTTGTCTAACATTATATAACACAGTCGGAAGGCAAAGAAAAATAAGACAGTTTCTGTTATCAGAGAGTTCATTCCATGGTGTACCCCTTTACCTCTTCTCTATTAAATTTGCCTTCTTCAATTCATAATGCCTGTGAATATCAACATCAAACACACAGACACATGCACACACAGAGCAGGTTGTTGCCAAAAGGTTGGTAATGTGAAAAATGCATTAGGACACTTTTTATATTTCTGTGGACAAATCAGGCCTGGCATTGGCATGTGAATTTGATGCTTCAGCCAAAGAAACAGTCAAGAAAGTTATGGTGAACCAAAGACCTAGTGTGCTTACAATGCCCCCTCAACTAAGTATCCAATCTTAGCATGACCAGAAACAGAATGAACTGAAATTATGCACATCTTGATGTAATACAATGGGAAATACACAACATTCACTGAATCTAGTTAGGAGAAAATAATCACAGAAATCCAGAACATGTGGTACTCTACAAGACAACTGACCCCGACTTAAAAAATGTCCCTGTCATATGTGGTAGCCACCTACCAAGATGGCCCCTGGTGATACTAGCCTCCTAGTATTCATGCTCTCAGGCAGTCCCTTCACACACTGAATAGGGCTGACCCATGTAAATAACAGGGTATTTCAGAATTGACTGTGGATGGCTAGGATAAATTCTTAGAAGAATTAGAAGAATTTATCTTAGTGATATAATTAAAGGTAAGCACAAAGATTTAAATACAAGACTTATCATATTTTAATAGTAGTCAAAATGCAACTTTCACATGGATATTTTCGAACTATTCTTTATATTTTAGGTCTATTTTAAATATGCCCCAAACTTTAAAAAAATTCAATTGTCAGCTATATAAATATTCAACCAATAGAAGAATCATTAAGTTACATCAATATTGTATAATAGTAATGATTCTAGCATTGAAAATTATATTGAAGATGAGTTGTTATTGAGATTTTTAAAAACCTATTTCAAGTGAATAAAAGACATAACAGTTCATCAGGAATAGTATGATCTTATTTGTAGAAAATATATGGGTATAAAAACATCTGGAAGGGTAATTCCACCAAAGTTTCCACCAAGGGATTGACTATCTCTGGGTCAAAGGAAAATGGGTACTTTCACCTTCTTTTTACTTGTCTGCATCTTTAAATTATCTTCAATGAATATACAGTAAACTTGCTATAAGTAAATTTTTTTAAAAGGTTATTCTTGTTTTTAAAATATGGGGATGCTGTTTTGTTTTAATGACATATGCTTGTATCCAAATTGACTGTTACCCTACCTATCCCCAGAATTAGGTTAACTTCTTTCATGTGGAAGACATGAATTATAGAGATAAAGTGAATCTTGGTGAAGTTAAAACGATCCCGTTTCCCCAAGTTAACGTACAAGTGACTCCTAACCAACCCTGATGAACAGAGTGTCTTCTCTGCGGTTAATTTGGATGGTCCAATCTGAACCATCAGTCATTCGTCTCCCCTTGCCCTGAACTACTGCCCCGATGCTGCTGTGTCTCAGAGGCCTCCTTCTGTGAGTCCCCATTGGCTCATCGGTCCACCCCACTCTCACACTCTCTGTAGCTGCTCCAGGAAGGCAGTACTGGCTGCCCTAATTCTGGCGTCCCCTCACTGGGACCACTGTAATTGCTAGGGGCTCCTCCTGGTTTTGCCCACTGCTTTTGTCAGTACCACTGGCTCTCACTGCTGCTACTGCTACTCTCTTTCCCAAAGATGACAGGGCCCTCTCTTCCCCCTTTCTGTCTTTCGCAAAAAGGAGAAAAAGCCCACACTGCCCGCAAGGCTCCTACTCATACCTGGATCTCACCAGCAATTTCCCAACTTCTTAGCTCAGGAGCTTAGAAAAGAAGGACTCTGAGTCACAACTTCCTGTTCCCATACAGAGCTATACCAGGGTGGGCGGGAGTGGGGAACATCTAAACCCTCAGGTTCTCAGAAACCAAAGCATTCCTCACTTCGACTAATTCACAGTCGACTCCACGGGGGAGCTTGCCTTTCTATTCCAAATTGTGACGTGAGGTTCCAGTTACTCAGGGCACTTGCAAATTCCCTGAAGTCAACCACTCTCACCACATGTGTGCAGTTGCGGCCTGAGGGATTAGGAGTTTTCAAAATGCCTTCCCATACACCTTCACATGTGATTATCACAAGTTCCGTGAGGTCAGGTATTCCCATTTGAGACTGATGTTCCTGGGGTCAGCATGGAAAGGGTGGGAATGGGACTGCTCTAAAGAGGCTGCTGGAGTAGAAGGCAGATGGTAGCCTTCTCAAGGACTAGGGAGTGAGAAAGGGCAAACCTCAGTGGATCTGCCAACATGCAAGGCCATCTCTCACACTGGCTCATTCCACAGCCAGCACAGCTCAAAGGCCTTCTCACACACCCCAAGAGACCCTCAAGAGTAGAGCTGGTAGGCTCTCTGAATTTTCCTTGTGAAATAATCTATACAAATGCACAGTGATTTAATGCTGGTGTGGATGGTATCCCAGGACATGAATGGGATAGAAAGCCTGTGGCACCCTGCTTGCCTTCAGCCAGGTCATCTGATGGATGACAAGCCTATGTCTGCTTCAAAGCCAACCTGGCCTGGAGAAGGTAGACCTGGGTGCAAATCCTGACCTTGCTGCTTATTAACCATACGGCAGTGGCCAAGTTACTTAATTTCTCTGAGTCTCAGTTTCTTTATTGGTAAAATGGAGATAAAAGTCACTTTTGGGGTTATGATGAAGAGCAAAGTACTGGAAAATAGTTGGTGCTCAATATATTTTAGTTTTCATCTTGCAGTCCAGAGGTCTTCTGGCTACATTATATATTTTCTCTTAATACAAACACCCAGGTCTCCTCAAGTGTGGGGAATAACACTCTCATTTTTTTTTTCTAAAAGGAAGATAGGGCAAGGAATACACTCTGATTTTTGATGAGGTGGGCAAATGACAGAAAAGAAAAGTTCATTGCTGTGCTACACAGTCACAATTTGAGCTCCTGTGAGGGGCTCCTGCATTCTGACATGAACATATGCTGCTTCAACTTTCTCACAGCAGAAGTCACCCGGAAGCCAGGGGCCCAGCTGTTTGAAGCATTAGTTAGTTAAGCTGCCAAGCTGTGGGATGTGGAGAGCACAGGCCAGGTTGGCTTTGAAGCAGGCATAGGCTTGTCATCCATCAGACGACCTGGCTGAAGGCAAGCAGGATGCCACAGGCTTTCTATCCCATTCAGGTCCTGGAATACCATTCATGCCAGCATTAAATCACTGTGCATTTGTGTAGATTATTTCACAAGGAAAATTCAGAGAGCCCACCAGCTCTACTCTTGAGGGTCTCTTGGGGTGTGTGAGAAGACCTTTGAGCTGTGCTGGCTGTGGAATGGGCTAGTGTGAAAGATGGCCCTGCAAGTTGACAGATCCACTGAGGTTTGCCCTTTCTCACTCCCCAAGTGGTGAAGGCCTGGAGGAGGCTGCTAACTAAACCTGCCATGACCCAGGTTTGAGTCCAACTTGCCTGTGGCAATGGGGCATGGAGTTGGGGGATGGTCACCAGATGCAGCCTTCTGTGGGGTTCTGGGACAGAGCGAAGATAACAGTCTAAGATATAAATCAAACCAGAAAAGATGACTTACAAAGCAAGCAGATCAGGGATTCTGGAGAAGTGATGTGTGATGACAGCTCAGCAGATGGAGGGAAGATGAGCTTGGAGGGATTGAGCCACCATTCAGGGAAGAGCAGTAACTTTTTAAGGGATGTCTGTAGCCACTGGTGTGTTTGAGCCATGACCAGTGAAGAGGGCCAAGAAGAGAGCATTATTCATTTTAATGTTCCTAATGCAGTGCTTGACACAGGATAGCCACTCATCAAATATTTCTATTGGATGAATGGATAAGTTTAGTGGAGCCAAAGCATAAAAGTCAGCTTTACCCTTTTCCTCAGACCTGGTGAACAGGACTGCTATAGAAAAACCCTTGTCCCTCCTAGCCCATTCAAGCATAAAGAAAGAAATTTAAGGGATTAATGTTATTTTTTCTCTGTGAATTGGGAGCTTTTATTAAACTTTCCAGAGATTATTTTTAAATTTTTTTAATTGACAAATATAAATTGTATATATTTATGGTGTACATGATGTCTTGATAATATGTATACATGGTGAAATAGCTAATCAAGTTAATTAACATATGCATTACCCCACACACTTATGTTTTGTTGTGAGAACACTTAAAATTCTACCCTCTTAGCAATTTTTCAGTAAACAATATATTGTTATTAACTATAGGCCAGATAAAATATTAATCCAGAATATCTCTGGGCCTTGCCAACAGTAATTCTACCTCTGAATTCTAAAGAGGACCAGAGCTTTCCTAGGATGTGCTCTAGGGAGTGAAGTGGTGGGTTCAGGGAAACACAGGGTTAAAGATGCAACTTAGCAAATGCTTTCCAGTTTCTGCACTGTGGGCTGAAAACTACTGGGGTAGGATCTACAGGCTTCACTGCTGGAGAATTGCCACGCAGAGACTGCTAGGAGAGAAAAACCACAAGCTCACATTGTTGGTCAGTGCAAAGTCTCATGATTGACGAAGGAGAGTTTGCTTTTGACTAAAATCAATTCTCACAGGGTTTATTTTGGCTAAAAGGTTTACAGAGTCCAATACAGAGAGTGAACCTGTCAGAGTCCAGGGCAGACAGGTTTGTAGAAAGAGCTTATTCCTTTAGCTTCTCTTCCCTGGACTTTCGCAATTTATTTTGTTTTATTATTTTTTGTTTTGAACCAAATTCAAAATTATAAGATAAAACTACTACATGTTATTTTATTAGATTTGATTCCTCTCTTGAGGCTGCCTAATCTTTTCAGATCCTAATTATGCAGTCAAATATATTCAACATTTATGGAGTATCTACTCCATGCCAGGTGCTTTGTATATTGCCTCTAATTTGCATAATAAGCCTGAGGGTAAGTGTCTTAGTCTGTTTTCTACAGCTATAACAGAATACCACAGACTGGATAATTTATAAAGAACAGAAGTCCATTTGGCTCACAGTTCCAGAGGCTGGGATGTCCTAGAGCATGGCACTGGCATCTGAAGAGGGTCACCTCATGGAAAAAGGCATCCCGTGGCAAGTAAACACATGAGATAGAGAGGGAATGGGGGCTGAACTTACCCTTTTATCAGGATGCCACTCCTATGATAACTACCCCATTCCCTGAATCATGCCATTAATGCATTCATGAGGGTGGAGCCCTCATGACCTTAGCCCCACCTCCCAATACCATTACATCATCTGTCAAATTTCAACATGAGTTTTGGAGGGGACATTGAAACCATAGAAGTAAGTATTATTATTATCTCCAATTTATAGGTTGCAGGGTTAAGGCTCATCAATAACTTGCCCGAAGTAACATGCTAATATATGGGAAGAAGTAGGATTTGAACCCAGCATTGTTTTTTCATTCCCAAGCCCAAGACTTGGTCAGATTATTATATACTGCATTAGCAGCTTTGATGAGGATGGTCTCTAGGTCTTCACCCAGTCACTGATAAAAATACTAAGCCTGATACCAGGGCCTGGACCCAGGCACTAGTCCTGCCACTCAGAAGCTGCCTCTGGTCACCTTCTTGGCTTAAGGGCACATAGTCTGAATCTCCTGGTGCTTTGCTATTAGTATAGATTTCTCCATGCTCACCAGAAGGGTATCCTGGGACTTCATTGTAGGACCTTGCCCAAACAGGGGGACCTATGCCTCCATCTTCCTTATCTATGGTCCAATCTTACTTTTATTAAAGAAAAAGTTAGATTTGTCCACCATGAGTTTTTACTTAAAGAAACCATGCTAAAAACTGCGGTCAGATTTGTATCTCTTGCCTTCTTTTCTCACCTTCCCCTTCCCTTCCTGCTGTCCTTATGTTGTTTTACTAAGGATTTGAGAAGTCTTATAGGAAAAAAATCATACAAAATAATGGTAAGCCACAAATAAACACTACTAAGCAGGACCAATGAGTTTAAATCAGAACAGGACAACTAACCAGGGGCAGAAAATAGGATCCAATTATCCAGACTGTAAAGGTTTTCATAGTTGATATAGTCAAGCCTGAAGCTGTTTCTAGCAGCTTATAGCAAAATTTGAAACAGTACGTTACATAATTCTTATCAAAATTGAAGAAAAGAAAGTTTGTGCTGGTTACACAGCAGGAAAAAAAAAAGCTTTGCCTTCTATTTAGTTCTAAAAAAAATGTTCCCATCCTGTTTTATTATGAGTACTAAAATCAAATCTATATGCTCATAATCAACCCTTCCCAGAATCCTGCTTAGAATTCATCTAATCCTAACCTGTCTATTGCTTGCAAAATCCACTTTCTTTCTCTGTGTGAGAAGTGAAATTAATTCATCTCTGGTTTCTAGTACTTTCAACAACTTTTACAAGTCCCCAGGGAGGCTCCAGGTGATACTGAAAACCAACGGGGAAATTTCCTGGAAGAATAAAAGAGAGTCTTACTCAAAATAATTGCATGTGTGGGATATGCATTAATTTAACAGACTTGAGCACCTACTATACATGGAATTAAATGATAAGCTCAAACTTTGAATCCTTCTTTTTACAAAAATAAGATGAACTGTGTTGCCATGATATTTCATAGACAAAAATAATTTTGTTGAAATAAGTATTTAGAGAATTCAAGCATTAGGCTACTTATTTTCCTTCTCAGCAAATAAAAAAGAGAAAGTCAGGGAATATTTACATTTTGGTGGCCACAAGACTACTATGAAAATGGAGCAGCATTAGGAGCCTAGGCAAGTGTGGCAAGAGTCTTCCTTAAATTTAAAACATTGCATACTCTACTGCTTTTTCATCTATGAAATATGACATACAACATGGTTCATAAAGTCTACATGGATGATTTAGAGAATAACTATAAAGCAAATACCCATGTAACTCCTACTCTAGTCAAGAAAGAATATTGCCAGCACCTCAGAAGCCCCCTTGTGCCCCTTCCCCATCACAAACCTCTTTACCCCAAATAGTTAACCGCTATCCTGAATTTTGTGATCATCATTTTCTTGCTTTTCATTTCTATTTCTGACCACTGTATACAACCTAAATCATATCATTTTGTTTTGCCTGGTTTTCAATTTGATATAAAGAAATCACACAGTGTGTATTCTTGTATACTCTGCACATGCATATATCCTGGTATACATGTGCACCTGTTTTGCTACAGAATATTCCTAGGAATGGAACATTGAGTCTTAGGATATATGTATTTTCAAATTTGCTGAATAATGCCCAGTTGTTTTTCAAAGTGGTGGTACCAACTTACAATCCCTATCTTGGCCACCATATGGTAGTGTAAGATGTTTCAGTTTCACCAGTCAGGAGGATATTTAATGTTACCTCCTTAATTTTCATTTTCCTTGTGCTTAATAATGTTGAACACTTTTTTTTTCTTATGCGTTTTGTGCATTTGGATATCCTCTTGCAAAGTGCTTGTTCAACATTTTTTGTCTATTGGGTTATTGTCTATTGTTTCTTATTGATTTGTGGGAGTTCATCATAAATTCTGGATTCTAGTAATTTGTGGGAGTTCATCATAAATTCTGGATTCTAGTACTTTTTTGGTTGTGTGTGATGCAAACATCTTTTCCCTCTCTACAGCTTGTCTTTTTATTTTCTTGACAGTGTTTTTTGAAGGATAGAATTTCTTAATTTAATGTGGTCCAATTTATCAAACTTTTTATTATTAATATTTTTAACCTTTTTAAAAGAATTATCCTCTAGTCTTAATAATCTTATCGTCCACATGGAATTGGCTTTGTGTATGATGTAAAGGACAACAGTTTTATTTTTATTTATATCAATAATCCAGTATTCTCAGCACCTTTTATTGCAAATACTGATCTTACTACATTAATCTACAGTGCCACTTCCATCGTGTTTCAGTGCCCATGTGTTAATAGATTTATTTCAGAGCTCTCTACTCTGCTTCTGATGGATTTATCCCTTCACTAAACCACATTGTCTGTCTTAATTACCATAGCTTTAAAATTAGCCTTGATTTCTGGTAGACAAAACTCTCCCCACCCCATTTCTTGGGGGGAAATTTACATTTTAACAACATTGAGTCTTTGAACCTATGATCATAGCATACTTCTCAATTTATTTAGGTCTGCTTTAATTTCTTTTAGTAGTATTTTATTCATTTCTCTGTAAGGTCTTAAACATATTTTATTAGATTTATTCAAGATATTTTATATTTTTGTGGTAGGTAATCCAAAAAATTCTGTTCTCCAGTATCCTTCACTGCTGCAACAGACACATGTGGCCTGGGTCTCACCAGTCAGATCCACCCACATAAGATTTTAATTACAAAGTGAGCAACTTGAGGAAAGTGGCCCCACACAGAAAAGAGTTTGCTGGAGGGTGCTGTGGCAGAACTCTGGCTGAGTTCCAGAGCAGAATGGGCATCACTAGGGCAGTCATGGTTGAATTCATCCCTTTTTTAGTTACAGCATGGCTTTAACCACTGTTCCTGATAGCTTAGCATCCATACAAGCTACCCAATATCCAGAGTCAGTGCTGTTGTTTGCAACTGATAACACTGATCCTGTTGGACATACAACATTTTTTAAATGTAATTTCTTTAGCATTTTCTTGCTAATATGTAGAAATACAACTCAATTTTATATATTGCTTTTTTATTCAGCAATTTTCTCAATTCTTTTATCAACTTCATTTATATTTTTAAAATACATGTATTATCTTCAAATTGTGACAATTCTATTTCTTCTTTTCCAGTCCTTATACCCAACTGCCCCCTTTCCTTCCTCCTCCTTCTCCTCATCTTCCACTTATTTCTTTCTCTTCCCTTCTCCTTCCTTCTCTTTCTTTAAATATCAGATCGAATTTGCATTTAGAATCAGATGGAGCTTGAGTTTTCTGTGTGGAAATTTTTTTGCTACCTGATTCAATGTGTTAAATGATTTTTCACTCTATTTTTTTAAGTGATCTTCTTGCCTCCCCTGCACCCAGCCCACTCTATTCATTTTCAAAGTTTCTTAGTCATCAGTTCTGACATATTGCATGTTTCATATAAACTTTCAAATTTACTGCCCTAAAATTAGTCATAATATCTTCTTACTCTATTTTAATATCTGTGGCATCTATAACGATGTTCCTTTCTATTATTGGCCACCTCCTCTCTTTTTATGAATCTTGCTAAGAATTTGTCAGTTTTATTAGTTTACAAAGAACCTTTCTGTTATATGTTTGTTTTCTACTTTATTAAAATTTTATTATTTTCTTCTTTAATATTTCCTTGCTGTATGAATGCTTACCTCTTTAATTTTTTATTTTGCTGTTTGAATGCTTAATTCTTTAATTTTTTTCAGTCTTTTTCCTTTGCTAATATAGACATTGAATGGATAAATTTGTTTGAGTCCTGCTTGAGCTGCATCTCAAGTTTGGTATGTCATATTTTGTTAATTATCAGCATAAAATATTTTCTAATTTCTTTTATGATTCTTTTTTGATCTCATGTTATATAAAGTATTTATAATTTCCAAAAATATAGAGATTTTCTTGTTATATTTTTGATATATATTTTTAGCTTTATTGCATTATGGTCAGGGAGAATGCACTCTGAATGAGTGCAATTTATTGAAATGTATTGGTCATACATGGTGGCCCTACTGGTCAATTTACAAAAACATTCTATGTATGTTAGAAAATAATATGTATTCTGCATTTGTCAGTTAGAGCACTGTATTCATATCCAGCAGGTTACAATTGTTACTTGCGTTGCTAAAGTTTTGTATGTATATGGACATAAAGATGGGAACAATAGACACTAGGGATTCCAAAAGAGGGGAGGGATGGGGGCAAGGATTAAAAAACTACCTATTGAGTACTATGTTCATGTGATGGTTAGCATTGAGTGTCAACTTGGTTGCATTGATGGATGCAAAGTATTGTTCCTGGGTATGTCTGTGAGGGTGTTGCCAAAGGAGATTAACATTTGAGTCAGTGGACTGGGAGAGACAGACTCACCCTCAGTCTGGGTGGACACCATCTAATCAGCTGCCTTCAGGGCCAGAATAAAGCAGGCAGAAGAAAGAGTAGAATGAACTAGCTTGCTGAGTCTTCCAGCCTTCATCTTTCTCCTGTGCTGGATGCTTTCTGCCCTAGAACATCAGATTCCAAGTTCTTCAGCTTTTGGACTCTTGGATTTATACCAATGATTTCCCAGGGGCTTTCAGGCCTTTGGCCACAGACTGAAGGCTGCACTGTTGGCTTTCCTACTTTTGAGGTTTTGGGACTTGGACTGGCTTCCTTGCGCCTCAGCTTAGAGAGAGCTTGTTGTGGGATTTCACCTTGTGATCATGAGTCAATTCTCCCTAAGAAACTTCCCTTCATATATACTTCTATCTTATTAGTTCTGTCCCTTTACACAACCCTGACTAATACAGTTTACTATTTGGGTGACGGGTTCAGTTGAAGCCTGAACCTCAGCATCATGTAATATACCCATGCAACAAACCTGCACATGTTCCCCCAAATCTAAAATTTAACAACAACAAAAAAGTGTATACTTCAGACTCATTTGTCTGCTTCTTGTACCAATGACTAAAAGAATTATGTTAAATTTGTTGCCATGATTTTACATTGATTTGTCCTTGTATTAACAACTTTCAATTTATATATTTTTGAGGTCATATTATTGGATGAATAAAATAGTAGAGTTGTTACATGTTTTCTGGTAAACTGAATGTCTTGTCATTAAAAAGTGATCTTATCATTAGCAAAGGTTTTGCTCTAAAGCTATTTTAATTAATACTAATATAGCCATATTGACTTTCTTTTGGTTAACATTCACATTGTGTATCTTTTCTTTTTATTTCGACCTTTCCATATACTCCAATAAGCAGGATTATTCCCCTAGTTTCTCAGATTTTAAGTTTTTTTAGCTGAGATATCTAATATGTTTACATTTAATGCAATTACTGATATACTGTTAGTACTAGTGGATTTAAATCTACCAATATGATATGTGCCTCCTATTTGTCCCACTAAGCCTATATTTATTTTCTCTTCTTTCTTGCCCTCTTTTTGATGGATTTTTAAAAATTCCATTAGCTCAGAAGTGTCTATGCTTTTAGTGGCTACCCTAGAAATTAAAACATGCATATTTAACAAACCCGTTAGAATTAATCAATTCCTTCCAGACAACACAAGGACATTGGAGCACTTTATTTTATTTATACCTCTGATAATTTATATATTACTATGTTTCTTCATTCTATTTTTTAATCACACAAATTATTAATATTGTTGTATAGTCCATGTTCATTTCACATTACTCACATATCTACCTTTTCTTTCTTCCCCAATTTTGTACCTCAGGCTGTCATCTGTTATTATCGCCTATCTATTTGAAGTTCATCCTTTAGAATTTCTTTCTAATCAGGACTCATTTTGGTAAGCTCTTTTCATGTTGGTTTGCCTGAAAAAAAAATTATTAATTTTATGCTCATTTTAAAGTTATGTTTTATAGGTTTTGGAGTATGGGTTAGCACTGCATTGCAGATAACATTCTCCTGTTTTCTGGCTTCCATAATGTTCTTTATTTATTTTTTTAATAGTTGGATTATTGCTATGTTGCCCAGGCTGGTGCACCATGGCTCTTCACAGGTGCGATCACTGAATGCTGCAGCCTCAAATTCCTGGGCTCAAGAGAGCCTCCAGCCTCAGCAGGTGTGCACCACTGCACCTGGCCAGCACTGATGTTCTTGAGCAGTCATTTGTCAGTGTAACTATTGTTCTTTTGAAGGTAAGCTTTTTTACTCTAGCTGCTTTTAAGATTTATTATTTGTATGCCAAAACTGTATATAGTTTGGTGGGACTTGTTTTTGTTTATCCTACTTGGGAATCACAATTCTAAATCTATGAATTGCTGTTTTTCATCAGTCCTGGAAAATTTTTAACCATTATCTAACCCAGTATTGCCTCTGCCCCATCTACTTTTCTTTCTAGCACTCTAAATATATATATATAATATATATATGCATATATATTAAAGTATATTAAATATATATTATATATATTAAATATACATTAGAACTTGTCATTCTGTCCTTCATGTTTCTTAGCTTCACTTTCATGTTTTCTATATTTCTATCTCTCTATGCTGCATTCTATCTAACTTTTTCTGGCCTATTTTCCATTTCCATAAATCTCTCTTCAGCTATGTATAATTGGCTCTTAAATCTGTCTGATGGGTCTTATATTTTGGAAACTACATTTTTAATGTTTAGCTCTAGTTGATTCTTTGTGTAATCTCCCAGATCATGTTCAATTATTTCCTCCTTCCCTGCAGTTACTTTCAAATTTGTATTCATTTATGTAAACAAAATAAGCCTTTAAAAAAATACACAGCTGACAATTCTAATATCCGAAGTCCTCGTGGCTCTCTGTCTGCCAATGTTTGTTGTTGTTGTTTTTGTTGTTGCTGTTGTTGCTTTGTTTGGCTGATTCCCAATTAAAGTGCTTTGCTTCCTTGTGTACTTAGTAAAAGTTATGTAGGCTGATCACCATCCTTGAAATATTATTTGTGTTGTTCTTTAGGATAAAAGATCTTTTCTCTAGGAAGAATTTGTGTTTTCTTCTGTAAGGCATCTAAGAGGCATTTCCAGGCTAGTACCATCAGGTGTTGTGATGTGAATTTGAACTATAAGTCCATAAGAGGGCTGATTTTTTGTTTCGATTTCACAAGAATGAGGTTTTTTTATTTCTTGTTTGTTTGTTTGCTTGCTTACTTGCTTGTTTTTATTCCTTCTTGGCTCTATTTAATGTTAAAGTAACTTTCCTTGAAATCCTTTGGGCAGAGAATGAGTTTCCTTTTAATTCACCCTTATTCTGATATATAGGCTTTTTGGGATCCAGCTTAGCTTGTCAGGGGTCTCATTTGGTAATTGCCAGACTTTGATGTCTATCTGCAGCACTACAAGACCATCAAAACCAAGTTCAGGTTTTCCCAGATCAGCAACTGCCTTCAGGGTAAAAGCAGATTCTATTTACTCTATTCTTCTTAAGCCCTCTGAATTCACACTCTCCTTTACAATTTAGTTTGATAACTTCTCACAATCTTAATATATATGTCAGAAGAAACTAGGGTATGCTAAGGTAACAAAACTGCCCAATACTAGTGACTTAAAACAATAGAAAAGCATTCCTTTAAAAAAAATGAGAGAGAGAGTGGAGCCAAGATGGCCGAATAGGAACAGCTCCAGTCCACAGCTCCCAGCGTGAGCGATGCAGAAGACAGGTGATTTCTGCATTTCCAACTGAGGTACCAGGTTCATCTCACTGGGGAGTGCCAGACAGTGGGTGCAGGACAGTGGGTGCAGCGCACCATGCGTGAGCCGAAGCAGGGCGAGGCATCGCCTCACCCGGGAAGTGCAAGGGGTCAAGGAATTCCCTTTCCTAGTCAAAGAAAGGGGTGACAGACGGCACCTGGAAAATCGGGTCACTCCCACCCTAATACTGCACTCTTCCAACGGGCTTAACAAATGGCACACCAGGAGATTATATCCTGCACCTGGTTCGGAGGATCATATGCCCACAGAGCCTCACTCATTGCTAGCACAGCAGTCTGAGATCAAACTGCAAGGCAGCAGCGAGGCTGGGGGAGGGGTGCCCGCCACTGCCGAGGCTTGAGTAGGTAAACAAAGCAGCCTGCAAGCTCGAACTGGGTGGAGCCCACCACAGCTCAAGAAGGCCTGCCTGTCTCTGTAGGCTCCACCTCTGGGGGCAGGGCACAGACAAACAAAAGGCAGCAGTAACCTCTGCAGACTTAAATGTCCCTGTCTGACAGCTTTGAAGAGAGTAGTGGTTCTCCTAGCATGCAGCTTGAGATCTGAGAATGGAAAGACTGCCTCCTCAAGTGGGTCCCTGACCCCCAAGTAGCCTAACTGGGAGGCACCCCCCAGTAGGGGTGGACTGACACCTCACATGGCCGGGTACTCCTCTGAGACAAAACTTCCAGAGGAACGATCAGGCAGCAGCATTTGCGGTTCACCAATATCCACTGTTCTGCAGCCACTGCTGCTGATACCCAGGCAAACAGGGTCTCAAGTGAAACTCCAGCAAACTCCAACAGACCTGCAGCTGAGGGTCCTGACTGTTAGAAGGAAAACTAACAAATAGAAAGGACATTCACACCAAAAACCCATCTGTACGTCACCATCATCAAAGACCAAAGGTAGATAAAACCACAAAGACGGGGAAAAAACAGAGCAGAAAAACCGGAAACTCTAAAAATCAGAACGCCTCTCCTCCTCCAAAGGAACGCAGCTCCTTACCAGCAATGGAGCAAAGCTGGACGGAGAATGACTTTGACGAGTTGAGAGAAGAAGGCTTCAGAAGATCAAACTACTCCGAGCTAAAGGAGGAAGTTCAAACCAATGGCAAAGAAGTTAAAAACCTTGAAAAAAAATTAAATGCATGGATAACTAGAATAACCAATGCAGAGAAGTCCTTAAAGGACCTGATGGAGCTGAAAACCACAGCACAAGAACTACGTGACAAATGCAAAAGCCTCAGGAGCCGACGCGATCAACTGGAAGAAAGGGTATCAGTGATGGAAGACGAAATGAATGAAATGAAGCGTGAAGAGAAGTTTAGAGAAAAAAGAATAAAAAGAAACGAACAAAGCCTCCAAGAAATATGGGGCTATGTGAAAAGACCAAATCTACGTCTGATTGGCCTACCTGAAAGTGACAGGGAGAATGGAACCAAGTTGGAAAACACTCTGCAGGATATTATCCAGGAGAACTTCCCCAATCTAAAAAGGGAGGCCAACATTCAGATTCAGGAAATACAGAGAAGGCCACAAAGAAACTCCTCGAGAAGAGCAACTCCAAGACACATAATTGTCAGATTCACCAAAGTTGAAATGAAGGAAAAAATGTTAAGGGCAGCCAGAGAGAAAGGTCGGGTTACCCACAAACGGAAGCCCATCAGACTAACAGCTGATCTCTCGGCAGAAATTCTACAAGACAGAAGAGAGTGAGGGCCAATATTCAACATTCTTAAAGAAAAGAATTTTCAACCCAGAATTTCATATCCAGCCAAACTAAGCTTCATAAGTGAAGGAGAAATAAAATACTTTACAGACAAGCAAATGCTGAGAGATTTTGTCACCACCAGGCCTGCCCTAAAAGAGCTCCTGAAGGAAGCACTAAACATGGAAAGGAACAACCAGTACCAGCCACTGCAAAAACATGCCAAATTGTAAAGACCATCGAGACTAGGAAGAAACTGCATCAACTAACGAGCAAAATAAGCAGCTAATATTAATTCACACATAACACTACTAAACTTAAATGTAAATGGGCTAAATGCTCCAATTAAAAGACACAGACTGGCAAATTGGATAAAGAGTCAAGACCCATCAGTGTGATGTATTCAGGAAACCCATCTCATGTGCAGAGACACACATAGGCTCAAAATAAAAGGATGGAGGAAGATCTACCAAGCAAATGGAAAACAAAAAAAGGCAGGGGTTGCAATCCTAGTCTCTGATAAAACAGACTTTAAACCAACAAAGATCAAAAGAGACAAAGAAGGCCATTACATAATGGTAAAGGGATCAATTCAACAAGAAAAACTAACTATCCTAAATATATATGCACGCAATACAGGAGTACCCAGATTCATAAAGCAAGTCCTTAGTGACCTACAAAGAGACTTAGACTCCCACACAATAACAATGGGAGACTTTAACACCCCACTGTCAACATTAGACAGATCAACGAGACAGAAAGTTACCAAGGATATACAGGAATTGAACTCAGCTCTGCACCAAGCAGACCTAATAGACATCTACAGAACTCTCCACCCCAAATCAACAGAATATACATTCTTTTCAGCACCACACCACACCTATTCCAAAATTGACCACATAGTTGGAAGTAAAGCACTCCTCAGCAAATGTAAAAGAACAGAAATTGTAACAAACTGTCTCTCAGACCACAGTGCAATGAAACTAGAACTCAGGATTAAGAAACTCACTCAAAACCGCTCAACTACATGGAAACTGAACAACCTGCTCCTGAATGACTACTGGGTACATAACAAAATGAAGGCAGAAATAAAGATGTTCTTTGAAACCAACGATAACAAAGACACAACATACCAGAACCTCTGGGACACATTCAAAAAAGTGTGTAGAGGGAAATTTATAGCACTAAATGCCCACAAGAGAAAGCAGGAAAGATCTAAAATTGACACCCTAACATCACAATTAAAAGAACTAGAGAAGCAAGAGCAAACACATTCAAAAGCTAGCAGAAGGCAAGAAATAACTAAGATCAGAGCACAACTGAAGGAGACAGAGACACAAAAAACTCTTCAAAAAATCGATGAATCCAGGAGCTGGTTTTTTGAAAAGATCAACAAAATTGATAGACTGCTAGCAAGACTAATAAAGAGGAAAAGAGAGAAGAATCAAAAAGACACAATAAAAAATGACAAAGAGGATATCACCACTGATACCACAGAAATATAAACTACCATCAGAGAATACTATAAACACCTCTACGCAAGTAAACTAGAAAATCTAGAAGAAATGGATAAATTCCTCAACACATACACCCTCCCAAGAGTAACCAGGAAGAAGTTGAATCTCTGAATAGACCAATAACAGGATCTGAAATTGAGGCAATAATTAATAGCTTACCAACCAAAAAAAGTCCAGGACCAGACGGATTCACAGCCAAATTCTACCAGAGGTACAAGGAGAAGCTGGTACCATTCCTTCTGAAAGTATTCCAATCAATAGAAAAAGAGGGAATCCTCCCTAACTCATTTTATGAAGCCAGCATCATCCTGATACCAAAGCCTGGCAGAGACACAACCAAAAAAGAGAATTTTAGACCAATATCCTTGATGAACATTGATGCAAAAATCCTCAATAAAATACTGGCAAACCGAATCCAGCAGCACATCAAAAAGCTTATCCACCATGATCAAGTGGGCTTCATCCCTGGGATGCAAGGCTGGTTGAACATACGCAAATCAATAAATGTAATCCAGCATATAAACAGAACCAAAGACAAAAACCACATGATTATTTCAATAGCTGCAGAAAAGGCCTTTGACAAAATTCAACAACCCTTCATGCTGAAAACTCTCAATAAATTAGGTATTGATGGGACGTATCTCAAAATAATAAGAGCTATCTATGACAAACCCACAGCCAATATCATACTCAATGGACAAAAACTGGAAGCATTCCCTTTGAAAACTGGCACAAGACAGGGATGCCCTCTCTCACCACTCCTATTCAACATAGTGTTGGAAGTTCTGGCCAGGGCAATCAGGCAGGAGAAGGAAATAAAGGGCATTCAATTAGGAAAAGAGGAAGTCATATTGTCCCTGTTTGCAGATGACATGATTGTGTATCTAGAAAACCCCATCATCTCAGCACAAAATCTCCTTAAGCTGAGAAGCAATTTCAGCAAAGTCTCAGGATACAAAATCAGTGTGCAAAAATCACAAGCATTCTTATACACCAATAACAGACAAACAGAGAACCAAATCATGAGTGAACTTCCATTCACAGTTGCTTCAAAGAGAATAGAATACCTAGAAATCCAACTTACAAGGGATGTGAAGGACCTCTTCAAGGAGAACTGCAAACCACTGCTCAATGAAATAAAAGAGGATACAAACAAATGGAAGAACATTCCATGCTCATGGGTAGGAAGAATCAATATCGTGAAAATGGCCATACTGCCCAAGGAAATTTATAGATTCAATGCCATCCCCATCAAGCTACCAATGACTTTCTTCACAGAATTGGAAAAAACTACTTTAAAGTTCATATGGAACCAAAAAAGAGCCTGCATTGCCAAGTCAATCCTAAGCCAAAAGAACAAAGCTGGAGGCATCACGCTACCTGACTTCAAACTATACTACGAGGCTACAGTAACCAAAACAGCATGGTACTGGTACCAAAACAGAGATATAGACCAATGGAACAGAACAGAGCCCTCAGAATTAATGCCGCACATCTACAACTATCTGATCTTTGACAAACCTGACAAAAACAAGCAATGGGGAAAGGATTCCCTATTTAATAAATGGTGCTGGGAAAACTGGCTAGCCATATGTAGAAAGCTGAAACTGGATCCCTTCCTTACACCTTATATAAAAATTAATTCAAGGTGGATTAAAGACTTACATGTTAGACCTAAAACCATAAAAACCCTAAAAGAAAACCTAGGCAATACCATTCAGGACATAGGCATGGGCAAGGACTTCATGTCTAAAACACCAAAAGCCAATGGCAACAAAAGCCAATTCACATAGGTGAGAATGGAACAATGAGAACACATGGACCCAGTAAAGGGAACATCACACACCGGGGACTGTTGTGGGGTGGGGGGAGGGGAGAGGGATAGCATTAGGAGATATACCTAATGCTAAGTGATGAGTTAATGGGTGAAGCGCACCAACATGGCACATGTATACATATGTAACAAACCTGCACATTGTGCACATGTACCCTAAAACTTAAAGTATAATAATAATAAAATTTAAAAAAAAATGAGAGAGACAGTCTCCCTGTGTGGCACAGCCTGGCCTCAAACACCTGGGCTCAAGCCATCCTCCTGCCTCAACCTCCCTAGTAGCTGAGACTAGAGGCACACACCACCGCGCCTGGCTAGAAATGTATTCTTAATAACAAAACTCTTATGTCAAGTTGGCAGATGGTGTGCTCCCCATTTTCCTCACTCAGGGAGCCATGATTACCATGGCACAGGGAATGGTGAATCACACATTGACCTTAAATGACTGCAAAGAAATAACACAAATCAGTTACCTCTGCTCATATTTTACTGTCCAAAGCAAGTCACATGGCCACACCAACTTCAAGAGGGTGGGGAGGAACAATGCTGAGCACATGAGTGCTCAGAGAACTTGAAATGACGGTAAACATCCCTAATGACTAACACACTTGTCAATTATTCAATACTTTCAAGGATATATTTTTTAAAATATATTTGCCATATTTGTGATTGTTTTTAAAAGGAAAATTGGCTCAAATCATTGTTTTTCTATAATTATATCCTCCCTTTTAATGCCCACTGACATACAATGAGTCTCGGTCAAATACATCTTGGGTATATATGTCTCTCTTCCCCACCAGTAGTCCCAAGGTATTGAAAAGCAAGTTGATGGTTCTCGAAGATATTCAGCTATTCAACTAGAAAAATTTTATTTACTTTCACAGGACTGTAAACTGCACCATATATTTGTTATACAACAAAGATTTTTAAAGTTATTTTAGGAAACTTTATTTGTTCACTTAGGCTGTTAAATATATTTGTTAAAGAAATTGATTTTGCTTACAAGCCTTAAATGCATTCACCAAGCCTTGAGTTAATTAATCCATAAGTCTCTTTTACTCACAAGCCTAATAGTAATTAACTCCCTACTTTATACATACTGAGTGCTTTCTTTCATTAGCAAGAAAGCACCAGATTCTAGTGAAGATTTTTCTCTCTGCAGTCTGCTTGAAATAAAAAGCTCCTCTCGCAGATTCAGATTTAAACACAATATGAAGATACTTTCTTTTCTTTGAAGGTCAAGTACTATTGAACACATAGGAGATACAGAATGAAGAAGACAGAAAGGGCCCCTGATATCATGGACTTGACATTCTAAAGAAGAGGCTGGCAAACTATAGGCTGCAGGCCAAATTTACTCTCTCTGCCTTTGTCAGCTGCCTGGGTATCCATGCCCAGAATGACCGTGGCACCCACATGCAAAAAATGGCATCTCTCAGCCCAGTTGGTTGAATGACAAAAAGGACACAGAGACATCCCTGCCATGAATAAGAGGCAAAATTCTACTTAATTAATCATTCATATTTCAGCAATATGGATACATATAGGGTTATGGATGATGGATGAACTGAAGATACACTGAGATAGACACAGAGGAGAAGCAGCAGCAAGGACAGGTTTTGCAGAAAGCATAACGAATATGTATGAAATACTGGGTCTAGTAGATAGCTGGATTGACCTACCTAGGCTCAGGTGAGAGTTCCTGGCTGGAGAGAATAGACCTGAAGTTGCCATTATTCTAAAGGTAATTAAAACTATTTCTAGATAGGATGGCTCACAAAGCAATGGAACACTTATGTTCTATCTAGGCACAAAGCTAATGTCAAAGTCTCATTCTGGTGTCCTAGGTCTGTAATTGTGAAAGAGTTATCTACTCTGAAGAGTGCTTTTTATTGCCCTATGAACTGTATGAGATGGCACATACCTCTTTTGGAAACATGGAGTGATTTCTTCCTTTCATTACCAGTCCCTGAAGCAAACTGGTGAAAGGGTGGCCTCTGACTCCGTTTCCTAGTGAGTGAATACTAATGAGAACAACTGCCCTTCAAACAACAGAAGATGCAATCAGCAAGCAACTAGCTATGCTGCAGGACCGACAGAGGGAATCTGGTTAAGGATTTGGCCAAATTTCTGAAAACGTTCTTCTCCCTGGAGGAATTCTGTCATTAGGATGAATGACACTGTCAGTTAAACAAAATTTTCTGATTAATGTAATTTGGGCTTTTTGTTTGTTTTGACATGTGAATTTGCGAGAAGGATGAGTGGTGTTAGGAATTACTACTGTGCATATTCCTCTATCTTAAATTCATTTACATCCCTCCATTTAAGTTGCCATAGAGGTTGCTATGGAGAGCTTTATGTCCAGTGACATAAATGAACCCCAAAATACATGTGTTACAAATGCACCTACCCCAATTTTGTATTCAGTGATTGTTAAATTATTTTGAAAATATGAGTAGCCTCTGGTAATTAGAGAATACAGAGGCTACAGAATTCTTTACCTCCAATATTGCTCTCAGGTGTTAAATTTCAATAAAAGCAAATCCCTTACAAATTTTGCCGTAGGTATAATATTTATTCTCATGTTGGCACAGAACAGTCTCATAGCTTGCTTCTGTAAGCATGATAAAGTCCTGCTCTCTGTTTGTATGCATTTCAACAAGTATCTGCCTGGAAATTTCAATTTGAGACTGGTGCCATGATATCCTAAAGGCTTCTAGTTAGATGGGGAAAACATGGTCCTTTATTAATTCAGGAAAAACAGGAACAAAGGGAATTCTAGATTTCAGCCACCCCTCTGAAGGTGTTGGACTGCAAGGCTTACTGAATTCTTGTATCTCCCTTATGTGAAATCTTTCTCAACCACATATCTAGAACACCACTCATTCATTAATAACAAATTATTTCTAGCATGCCTTACTTCTGGTGTACATTTACATAACAATATTTGAAGTGTCCGCCGTTTATATCTGCTGTGTGAATTCTGCTGATTAGTTTTCTCCAAATGCCAACTAACCTCTCTTAATGTGTAGATCAAGTTTACCCTGCACATGGATTTATACCATACTATTCATAGTATTTTTAAATAAATTACCAAACAGAAAATTCTAAATACTTTATTTTTAAAAGTACAAAAACCTCACAGAGTCATATTCAAAGTTTCCACCAAAATGGATAACATTGACCATTTTTGGCAGTACAAAAATGCACCTCCCCCATCCCATACACTAAAAGATATAATATCTAAGAGATGATGCCTAAAACAGGACACTTCGCAAGCATGCATGCCATTCATTTTACACACAGTCTCCCAGGGAAAGGACTTGAAACTACAGATCCTGGCCAGGATTCCACCGACTTGTTCCTCATCTCCCAGAGACTATTGCTGGGAAGGGCTAGAATAACTCCACAGAGACTCATTTCTGCTATAGCATAGCACTATTTTTTTATCCACTAATTTGGGAGTGGACAGTAATTTATATTAGCATGTCTTGTCAACAATATGTAGGGGTTCCTTGTCAGTATGTGAGAATAGCACCCTTTAATTAAATAAAGGTTTGACAGCACAGCCATGGGTAGGATAGATCCAAAAGTATGTCCTATTCACCACTTAATAAGGAAATAAACTTATTATCAGGAAAGTATGTTGTGTATAACAGTCAGATAGTATAATGTTCATCTCCTCTATAGTATGTAATAAAAAAGCTTTTGGCCAGGTTGGGTGGCTCATGCCTGTCATCTCAGCATGTTGGGAGACTGAGTTGGGAGGATCATTTGAGGCCCAGAGTTGGAGACCAGCCTGTACAACATAGTGGAACCCTGTCTCTACAAAAAAAAAAAAAAGAAAGAAAGAAAGAAAGAAAGAATTAGAAGGGTGTGGTGGTGACATGCACCTATAGACCTAGATACTCAGGAGGCTGAAGCAGGAGGATGAGGATAGCTTGAGCCTAGAGTTTGAGGTTATAGTGAGGACTATGATGGCACCACTGCACTCCAGCCAGGGTGACAGAGAAAGACCTTGCCTCAAAAGAAAAAAAAAAAAAGAGGAAAGATTGAAAGGAAAAACCTTTTCGGGTTTTGGGGTGGGATGTCTCTGGACCTGCAGTACAACTGAAATAGGATTCAAGGCTCCAGAAAGAAAACAGACCCCTGAGGGAAGGGGGTGATGATCTTCTTTTGAGATATTAGAATGAGGTGGGTTTTGATGGCTTGAAGGGCACAGATACTTCCTTATTCCTCAGGCCATGGTTGAGGAGCCTTTTCCTAATAATCTAGAACAGACTCGGAGATATAGACTATTTGTAAATAAGATTACTTTATTCCTGCATCTTGATTGTTTCTTCCTTATATTTTCCCTTTCCCTTTCCCACTTGGCAAGAATTGGCTTTCTGTTCAAGGATCTTTTTGCATCTTTGTCCAGCTTTAGCCTGGTGATAACTGCCCTGCTGCGGTGAATGCCCACATGGGTGGTTTTGCAATTAGCTTTTTTTCCACCGCACCTGTTCAATGTAGATGACATATTTCATCCTGTAAACCTGGATTACTTTGCCAATTTGCTGACCTTTATAGTGTCCTCACACAACTGAACTTCATCATCCTTTCAGATGGGCATGGATTGAACATCGTACTCTGTCTTAGCTCTTTGGAAAGAAGGGAAAATGTAATCCTCCTGAGAATGTGGGAAGGCTTATTGAAATGTCCTTTATGGTTCTTGATTCAGTCTATAGTGATAAATGGATTGAATTTCATTTTGGTCACTGCCACTTCGGCGATGGCCACAAAAAAAGAGATGACTATTTTTATAGTAATTAGTCTGGTTATCCGAAGGTGAGAGATGCCTCTCAATTCATGTTTCATTTTTTGCCTATGGATGTGGGGCGGTAACTTTAGCCCATTCCTTTCTTCTCCACATTAGGGGCTGAATGGATGGCCCACCCAATAACCCCATCAGTTCACCCAGATAGGTCCCTGAGCCTCACTTTTGCAAACCTCAGATTTGCTTACAGCAATCTGAAGCAAATAGTTTGGGGGCGACTATGAGGCAGTTCTTACATGTTTCAATAATGCTTGGTGGAATTTTGTTGTACCCCTTCCACCCATGTGTCCAATTATACCATACAGGACAAGGTGAATGAAGATGTTTTATTTTCAAGGTTCAGTAGGGAAGTATGTTTGAAATTGGTTGAGGACTCTAAGCTCTTTCCCCCCGCCAACAAAAAAAAATATTTCTGGGAAATATATTTCTGTCTTCTATATAATGATCATGGCTGTTTGTTGTATGAATGTGACAGAAGCTGCAAGAAAAATGAGTAATCAGATGCCAATACCACCTCTGACACCCCTAGATCAGCAAAAAAGTGCAAGTGGTTTGTCTGCTAATAGCTGGAAATTGTGCTACAAGTATGTGTTGTCGGAAACTTTAAAATCACAAATATGTATGTTTAAATATTAGTATGTAGATAGATGATAATACTGCTGTAGTTGGCTGAAAGGGAAAGAAAAGTCACCATGATGTTAACACAGCAAAGCTATCATCCATCATGAAGGAAATGCTTAGATGCTCACAATAAAAGAATTGAAGTTAGAAACACGGATTATTATGAATACAGCAGATGATGTTAAGGTACAGTGTTTAGGGAGAATGTATCCGACAGCCCCAAGGATTTGGTTGAGACAGAGCTGCTGGCTATTTCTTTATATTTTTTGTTGTTGTTTTGCTGCCATAGAAGCCTCAGTCCCTAGGATAGAGAGGGCATCTCTGTTGTCAGCCTGTGATACAAGCTTTAGCAGCACCAAACTGCCACGGGGCTGCCCCCAGCTTTCCTGAGATACAGTGGGGAGATGCTTTGTGCAGTTCCCCCACACAATGCATCAGAAACATGGGCTCTGGGGCTCTGGGGACCACACAGGAGCTATGGGGAAGGAGGCTGAAGTAGCCAAGAGTAATGATGGGGAGGTTTTATTTATTTATTTATTTATTTATTTATTTATTTATTTATTTATTTTCAGAAACCGAGAATTCCTATGTGAAATTGTTATTGTGCTGAATATGACCCCACATTTTCTTTTGGAAATCCAAACCAGACACTATCTTATACAGACCCCTGACATGTGAGGTGATCATCAGGAGTTTGCAGAGACTTATGGTCAGTGCAAGACCCAGAGGTTTTCATTCCAGCTCCCATTATCAAGAGAAGGTGTAAATAGCCCATCGTCCTCACCCATTTCTGTGCTGTGGAATCCCTGGTTGCAGAGTATTTCAAAGTATACTGATCATAGGTTGATAGCGGTAAAGGATAAAATTGGGAGTGTACATGAAAAGGTAAAATCTGTTCTTCCTACTCAGATGATTCATTGTAGTAATCAGCATCGGGTGGATTCTCATCACTTGGAGACTCACTCATGTCTTGCCGGAGCTCTTACAAAGTGTTGCTAAGGTAGGACACTGCTGGTGCAGGTGGGGATAGTTCACAAGGCTCAGGGTCTTTCTTTCAGAAAAAAAGATACAGAGGAGAGATGTTTCTTTTTTCTTTTTTTTTCCAGCACATGGTTGTTACCCAAAGTTATTTTACTGAATTAGTTTAATTTTTTTTTTTGATGGAAACTAATGAGGTGGTGGCATTCATATAAGAAATTCACTTTTTTGAGTATACTTATGACTGTATATGTACTTCCATCTCTTTGTTACCAGAGAAAATATAAAAACGCAAATACATGACAATGCTATAAATACTGTAATAACCTGGAATCACATCTAATCTACAAAATAATTTTTAATTAAAAAGTAAATCATCTGAAAATAAAGAGATGTTTCTATTAATGTGGCCATGGTGGATGGGAAAGCTCTGTTTCTGAGAGGTCATCAACGCCCCCAAATGGTTTTTGTACTTTCATACTCTGATTATTATTACAAGATGACAAATATGAGGATGCTCCTGGGTTGACTCATATCTGTGGCAAACACCATGTAACTTGTAGTAATAAACACCCATGCAATTGCACACATTCAGGATGATTCAGCTGTCTGTCATCACAGCATGAAAAGTGGCCTACACTGTTTCTCCCTCCTCTGGGCCTCTTCAGATTGGCACAGTGGAAAAACACCACCACAGAGATTAGCTTTCAAGAGAGACACGGAGTGGTGAGTGCTTTTGGTGCACTTCCTCAAAGACA
This sequence comes from Homo sapiens, assembly GCF_000001405.40. Classification (NCBI taxonomy): domain Eukaryota; kingdom Metazoa; phylum Chordata; class Mammalia; order Primates; family Hominidae; genus Homo; species Homo sapiens. Next base: position 93,055,252 of record NC_000011.10, read on the forward strand.
CAGGAATGAAAGTTTTGTCAAAAAAATCAGATCAGATTTAAAAATTGTAAGAGTTTATTGTGCACTCAAAAGAATAGCTGGGGAACTGGGAGGCTTCAAACCAGAAGAGGTAAGAAGCTCTGCTTATGGCCAGGCGTGGTGGCTCACGCCTGTAATCCCAGCACTTTGGGAGGCCAAGGCAGGTGGATCATGAGGTCAGGAGATCAAGACCATCCTGGCTAACATGGTGAAACCCTGTCTCTACTAAAAATACAAAACATTAGCCGGGCATGGTAGCGGGCGCCTGTAGTCCCAGCTACTCGGGAGGCTGAGGCAGGAGAATGGGGTGAACCTGGGAGGCGGAGTTTGCAGTGAGCCGAGATGGCGCCACTGCACTCCAGCATGGGCGACAGAGTGAGACTCTGTCTCAAAAAAAAAAAAAAAAAAAAAGAAGCTCTGCTTACAACAGTTACTGTGCAGTTTATAAAGCATTAAGGAGGAAGTATTGTGACCTTTTTTGTAATTGGTTGTTACACATTAACATTCTTTTAGGGCAAGTAGAGCTGTTTAAGCTGATCTGACTTTTGCTGATTAGTTTACTTTTACCGAATCCTGCTGGCAAAAACGTAAAGCTTTTATTTTGTGTTTCATTTATGATTAGGGCTACCATTTCTGAAAAATTAGGATGACTTCAGCTTTGGCTACCTGGCTATGGGCAATTGGCCTTGGATTATATCTAAACTATGACCTCCATTTTTTTTTTTAACCATTGCTTTCTTCCAGTGATTCTCTCAGCTGAACTCAGAGTGTGACCAACTACCTATCATTACTCTTGGTCATCACATTTTCTTTTCTGTAGACCTTTGTAGGAGCAAACTAGAATCTCATTAGATTCTGTGATTCTTGTCCAGGTAGTTTCTGTTGTTTAATCCTCATGGAGATAATCTGAAGAGTTCATGGCTGCTGAGAAGCATTTAAGACTAGAAAGATTATAATACACAAGGGATATTATCAATATGACTAACGGGGAGCTAATACCAAGAATTTGAAAAAGACCCTGAGTATTAATTGGAATATGTGGAGGGCTTTTTTGAAGGATAAGTATCTTTGGTTTTGGACCCCCAAAATACTCTGAACGTGTACAAGAAACAAGGCTACACACCTCATATTAAATTATGCAGCACTCATGTTCAAGTGAAGTTAGAGGGAGAGCTTGGGGACCAATTTTAATAATATTTAAATGCATTTATTGCTACTGATTTTCAAGACTGTTTACAACCACAATTCAAAGTCTTAGGATGAGTACATTACAGTAGACAGTTACTTAGTGAGAGATTGCTCTGAACCTGATGCCTCGGGAAGGATGTCAATATCCACAGAGCCCCACTCTCCTGACTGCATTTTTTTTACTTTTATTTTAGGTTCAAGGGTACATGTGCAAGATGTGAACGTTTGTTACATAGATAAACATGTATCTTTGGGGGTGTGTTATTCAGATTATTTCCTCACCCTGGTATTAAGCCTAATATCCATTGGTTATTTTTCCTGATCCTCTCCCTCCTCCCACCCTTCACTCTCCGATAGGCTCCAGTGTGTGTCATTCCCCTCTAGGCTTCCATGTATTCTCATCATTTAGCTCCCACTTATAACTGAGAATATGTAGTATTTGGTTTTCTGTTTCTGTTTCTGCATTAGTTTGCGGAAGATAATGGCCTCCAGCTCCATCCATGTCCCTGCAAAGGATATGATCTTGTTTGTTTGTTTTTGGTTTTTTTTTTTTTTTTTTTTTTTGAGACAGAGTTTCACTCTTCTTGCCCAGGCTGGAGTGCAATGGTGCAATCTTGGCTCACTGCAACCTCCGCCTCCCGGGTACAAGTGATTCTCCTGCTTCAGCCACCTGAGTAGCTGGGATTACAGATGCCTGCCACCAGGCCCGGCTAATTTTTTTGTATTTTTAGCAGAGACGAGTTTCACCACATTGGCCAGGCTGGTCTCGAACTCCTGATCTCAGGTGATCCACCCACCTCACCTCCCAAAGTGCTGGGATTACAGGCATAAGCCACCATGCCCGGCTGATATTCTTTTTTATGGCTGCATAGTATTCCATGGTGTATACGTACCACATTTTCTTTGTCCTTTCTATCACTGATTGACATTCAGGTTGATTCCATGTCTTTGCTATTGTGAATAGCAATATAATGAACATATGCATGCATGTGTCTTTAGAATAGAATGATTTATATGGGGGGGGGGTATATATAATCCCAGTAATGGGATTGCTGGGTCGAATGGTATTTCTATATTTGGGTCTTTGAGAAATCTTCACAAAGTTTTCACAATGTTTGTACTAATTTATGCTCCTGCCAACAGTGTATAAGTGTTCCTTTTTCTCCACAACTTTGCCAGCATCTGTAGCCCTGACTGCATTTTTATTCCCTGAAGCTAAACACATTTCCACAGGCCTTGAGTTTTCTGGGGAATATGGGACACGTTCCCCACTTAAAAAAAAAAAGTTTCAAAATCAGAAATATGTAGGTATCATGACAGTTCTGAAATATTATAGCTGTCAGATGATACTAGCTGACAGAGGAAAGATTTCCCAGTGATATGAAAAGAATAAGTTGTTTCATCAGTAGACAAAGTTATGGCATTACAATAAGAATATATAGATTCTGAATACAGCTGGTATTCTATAATGTAAAGTCATTACTTAGACGACTTGTAATGAAAGATACAAAATATATCTTTCAAATATATGTGCAGTGAGGGTGAGTCTCTAGTGAAGCATGCTGTCCTCTCTCTCTCTATTCTACCTGGCTTCTATGTTTGTGTGTGTGAGTCTATCCTCTTACTCCATGCATGCTGGCTTTTTTACTCCCACATGGCCTCCTCTGCTTGGAAGGATCATTTCATCCTAGTTTTCCAAGGACTGAGGTTTCTAGCAAGAAATGCCACGATGACATTTCCATATGACATGCCTACATGATCAATGGAGTGTCAACCTAAGTAACAAACAGAGAGAGGCTCTCTAAAAGAAAAATGATATTTATTCAAGAATAGGGCATTGCAATGGGAATATCTGTGACATGGTAAACTATGTGCATATTCAAGGAGGTAAAGGCAGATGAAGGGTTTTAAAGAAAAAGTTGGGGGGAATTACATAATTGTTTTGAGATAATTATTCTTGGCTACAAGGATCAATAACAAAAGTGGCACCAGATCAGGCTGGCTGGCAGTTTCTAGGGAGATGTCCTTGCAGGAGTATTTTTTGTGTGTGAGGTTGCAATGGCCTTTGTGCAAGGTTGTGGTTTTTTGTTATCAGCCATTTGTGCATGAGAGCTCTCTCTTCATGGCCTTCCCTGGTTCTGTTTGTCAGGGTTCTTAACACAAGTGACCCTGTTTTGATTCTGACAACTTTCACAAGAGGCACAATGGCCTGGGAATGTAATGGTTATTATCTTCTAGGGCTTCTATTATCTTCACCTGTTTCAAAGAGGGGAGCCAGAGTGCTGGGATTGGATTTAAACAACCTGGGAGGTGATTTATACCAGGACTATGGTCAATTCCATTCTCTTCGGGATTGGTTTTCTAAGTCGGCATGAATTAGTCTTGCCTCTGGAACCCAAGGATTCCTGTTTGTGGGGGCATTGAATAAATGCTATCTGCTTACACTAATGGTTCAAAGACTGGAGAGATGATGCCTGATGTTCACAGCACAAGTTTCTATTACTTTCAGGAAAAAGAGGAAGAACACTCACATATTAATAATGGTAATTCTGCAGACACTGAAAAACATCATTTTGATCTTGGAAAGGCCAAATTGTATTCACTCTAATGGACAGGTTTGTCTGCCCTGCTCTCAAGTGTTGGTGGAAAGCTAATATTTATGCTCTACTGCACACAGGCAAAGATCTGTCAGCAGACTCCTCTATGTTTATAAAGCCATAGTGGGGACTTGCTGTGCTTTAAGAGTAAATGTAGTCTGCAAGTGGCTGATAACATTCCTGAGATTTGTGAAGTTTGGCGTTTTAAAGACATTCCCACAGAGCTTTTGGTGATTATGTTCACCAACTCAACTGTAAGCAGGAAGCTTTTTTCCTAGCTGCACTGAGATTATCAGACTGTAAACAGAATATTTTGAGGGTTATTGCTTTAAAGAGTGGTTGCTTTGAACCCGCGAAGTATTAGTAAAATTGCTGCTGGAGGGGGAAGGTTGAGCTATGGTCAGATCTTTCCGATATGACTTTAGTGAGAAGTCTGGAAGTTTGCAACTATCAGTTTTCACCTTCTTAGCGTATGTCCTCTTGAAAAATTCAATTCAGAGATGATGATGTGGCTTTAGTTTGTGGAAGGATGCCAAAAACTCCACATGAACTCTAGCAAGTATCTTCAGAGCCTGCTTAACTGCAGCATACATTACAGAACAGGAGTCTTTAGCATGCCTGGCCCCGAGACTGTCAGCATCACAGAGGAGGATTGGCACCCATCTCTAGGTAATTACCCAGGTGAACACTCTAGTGAATTGTCACCTAGGCATCACACTGAGAGTTATTTCTGCACACCCCAAGTATTATAGCTCTATGACATAATGGTTCTCAAGATAATGGTGTCACACTGAACACTGGGAAAGGGCAGCAAAGCCAGTTTTGACAAGTTAAAGACCCCTGGGTCTGATTATTTCAAAAAGAGGGAGAATGAAGCCTCCAGCTTTGTTGTGCAGCAGCAGGCCATGGTTTGTGATAAAGACAGCAAGGGATGAAGAAAAAGGTGAAAAAGAAACTCTGCAAGGTGGCCCTATCTGTGTGATTATTATGACTGTAAAGCGTGCTCTTCTGGCTGCTGAATCCTTTGGAAGGCAGTGATATACTAGCCAAGCTCTTTAATTCTGGAATCAGCTTTGTGGGTGTGTATGTGTGTAAGGCAAACCTAATGGGAAATAGAGATAAGGTGTTATCAGAGATTTGTTTCTAAAGAAAATTATCTGGTGCTACCAGTCTTTATAGGCAAGCTATATCTAATCTATGGAGGACTTCCTGCGATATTTAATCGTGCAGGGCAGTGAATTTATGAACAGGTTGGTGTAGACAATTGTTAAAATCAAAACAGGACTTCATCAATTATGTCATGCCAACAACGTCATGATCCTTAGCCATATTCTTTTTTATTATTATTATATGTGAAGTTCTGGGATACATGTGCAGAACATGCAGGTTTGTTACATAGGCATACATGTGCCATGGTAGTTTGCTGCACCCATCAACCCGTCATCTACATTAGGTATTTCTCCTAATGCTACCCCTCCCCTTATCCCCCAACCCCCAACAGGCCCTGGTGTGTGATGTTCCCCTCCCTGTGCCCATATGTTTTCACTGGGTGGACTCCCACTTATGAATAAGAACATGCGGCGTTTGGTTTTCTGTTCCTGTATTAGGTTGCTGAGAATTATGGTTTCCAGCTTTATCTATGTCCCTGCAAAGGACATGAACTCATCCTTTTCTATGGCTGCACAGTATTCCATGGTGTATATGTGTCACATTTTCTTTATCCAGTCTAACATTGACGGACATTTGGGTTGGTTCCAAGTCTTTGCTATTGTGAATAGTGCTGCAATAAACATACGTGTGCATGTGTCTTTATAGTAGAATGATTTATAATCCTTTGGGTATATACCCAGTAATGGGATGGCTGGGTCAAATGGTATTTCTAGTTCTAGATCCTTGAGGAATTGCCACACTGTCTTCCACGATGGTTGAACTAATTTATACTCCCAGCAACAGTGTAAAAGCGTTCCTATTTCTCTACATCCTCTCCAGCATCTATTGTTTCCTGACTTTTTAATGATCACCATTCTAACTGGCATGAGATGGTATCTCATTGTGGTTTTGATTTGCATTGCTCTAATGACCAGTGAGGATGAGCTTTTTTTCATATGTTTGTTGGCTGCATAAACATCTTCTTTTGAAAAGTGTCTGTTCAGATCCTTTGCCCACTTTTTGATGGGGTTGTTTTTTTCTTATAAATTTGTTTAAGTTCCTCGTAGATTCTGGATATTAGCCCTTTGTCAGATGAGTAGATTGCAAAAATTTTCTCCCATTCTGTAGGTTGCCTACTCACTCTGATGGTAGTTTCTTTTGCTGTGCAGAAGTTCTTTAGTTAAATTAGATCCCATTTGTCAACTTTGGCTTTTGTTGCCATTGCTTTTGGTGTTTTAGTCATGAAGTCTCTGTCCATGCCTATGTCCTGAATGGTATTGCCTAGGTTTTCTTCTAGGGTTTTTATGGTTTTAGGTCTTACGTTTAAATCTTTAACCCATCTTGAGTTAATTTTTGTATAAGGTGTAAGGAAGGGGTCCAGTTTCAGTTTTCTGCATATGTCCTTAGTCATATTCTAAATGTATTCCGGCCATGGCAAGGAAAACCTCACTATCAATGTAATCACAAAATACACAATTCTTTTTAATGTCTGCCTAAGACAAATTCCAGATATCTGCATAGGTCAGATAAATATACTCCATTCACGCATGCTTCCTCTGGAAGCTTTCCATGGTGGCTCCTAGTTGCCCCTGCACAGACCTCCAGGTAAATTAAATATACTGGAGATTCCTTGACATATTGATTCCTTGGCAAACTCCCATGGAAAGCAGGTGTCTTTGAGCCCAACTGGCTGGCTCTGAGTGTCTCAAGGAAGTGTTCATTCTGGGAAGCTGAAAGGAAGGAAACGTTCCAGCAGTCTGTGGCCACATACCTTCGCATGGTGCAGACTCAGCAATGTCTGATGATGTGCTAAGGAATCTGGATTTATTGAAGTTACTTATGCGAGCATCCACAAAACAAAGTAAAGCTATAATTAATCTAAATTCTGTAATCTCAGGGATTGCTCCTGACACACCGTAGGGTAAAAGCTATCAACCAAAGCCAGGTCTGCATTTTAAAAACTGATACATAATAGATGTACATATTTGGGCATGCATGTGATATTTCATACATTTATATAATGTGTAAAGATCAAATCAGGGAAATTGGGATATCTATCACCTTAACTATTTATCTTCTCTTTGTACTAGGAGCATTTGATTTATTCCCTTCTTGCTATTCTGAAATGTATAAGGTATTAATGTTAACTATAGTCACCCTACTGTCAATCAGCACTTTAAACAAAGGTTGGCACTGACTAAAAGTTTGGTGAGACAGTAGGATTCCTCAAATATTAGCAAGTTCTAGTGTCCCTGTGTTTCTCAGACTTCTGACCACTTGTTAGTGGAATATAACAAGTTGTATCTGGTGAAGAAACTGTCATCAGGTAGAACAAATAAGAACACACAACTACTTCCTCTACAAAGGAAAATATGATTACTTTGACCCACAATCTAGATCTGTGCTGTTCAATGCAGCAGCCACTAGACATACAGAGCCACCAAGCACTTGAAATGTGACTTGTCCAAAGTGAGATGTACTCTGAGTATAAAATACACACCGGAATTCAATAGCATTAAAAAAGAATGTAAAATATTCCATTCATGATTTTTTATTTTGATTACATATGGAAATAATCTTTTTGTATATTTGATTGATAAAAATATATCATTACATTTAATTTCTCCTGTTTCTTTTCACTTTTTAAGTATGGCTACTAGAAAAATTTCAATTACCTTTGTGGCTTGCATTTGTGACTCACATTATATTTTTAGTGGATAGCACTTGATTGAGAAATTTCATCCTGCTCTGTTTTAAATAGAGTGGGAAAGATAAAGTCTACAGTTTTGCTTAACATCAACTCTTGGTTAGTAGTGTGGTCAAACAGAGGAGATGCTTAGATTTGTCTTTCCTGAAAGTCAGTGTATACCACCTGCCCATACTACATTCTGGGAGCACCAAACTTGATCTGCATCTGCAGAAATCTTGGACAGTGTAAATTGATGCTACAGAGAAAACCCAAGACTGCTACTGAACAAGATGCAGCCATACAACCAAATGGCTGTCAGGTCAGTGGAGGGATGTGTCCAGTGTGTTATTGTTGACCTGGATTGCTTTGTCATGCAAGCTGGCACAGGCAAGTACTAGCCCAGGGAGGGACACATCCATCATGGCTTAACCATGCTCACAGGCTTCACTGAGCAGAGAAAACATACGCAGTAGAGGCATGAATGAATGTGCAGCTTCCCAAACATGCTCATCTGGTGTCTCTGGGAAAGTAAAAGATGATCCCAGCTGCTAAGAGGGAAAAGCTTGGGTTTTTATTTTTTAAGGAAAGATCATTTTTATGCATTCTGCTTTTCTTCTTTTAAAACAAAATGAAATAAATTTCTTAATTTATTAGTGTGGGAGAAGGTATGAGTTTGAGGAAAAGGTGAAAAATTGCTCATAAGGAAACAAAATAAAATGCTATGAGTGCATTTATGACTGACAGATTATAATCTTCGTTATTACAACAATTGATGGAACTCCTGTTGGGGGATACATTTCTTTGAGAGTGGAAGATTGGCAGGAGCAGTCTATTATTGCTGCAGCATTGGTTGTTTCATTTATAAAATAAAATGACCATCCTGTTATTTAGACAGAGGAAGTTAAAATACATTTTGCCTTCTGGCTAAGACAAAAATCTTGCCAATATTTTCATAAGAAATGAACGTTTAAAAACCACTGTAATATAACTATGTGTTATGGAATGTGGAATATTCTTATTCTGAAATCTTTTATTTATTTTTATTATTTTATTTTCCAGAGAATAAATGTAATACCTGCTGTTCTGAAATGTTACTGTTATTTTACTTTAAAAGAGATTATGAAGTATTATTTTTTAGCAAAGTATCCAAAGAAGAAAAAAAAACAGTTGTTTTATAGGAATGAGCTTGAAGAAGCCAAAATTTGTAATAATTTAAATATCAAGCTGAAATAATAACAAACCAAGTAAACTGAAGTCCACAAGCCATAGTGATCCTCAAAAAGGGGAGGGGAGGGATAAGACAAAGCTCTTTTCTCCTCCCTTCAGGTTGCCAGTTCACACAATATAAAGCTCTTTTTTACAGAAGAATACTAGTTGATGAATGTAGAAGGACTAATGGAATTAGAGTCACTATTTTCAAATGTTTAATATAATAATGGATCCAGGCATGCATTATCAATGGTTGTTAAAATCAGTAACTGAAAGTTGGTTGCAAAAGACGATATTTTCATGGTGCCAAAGTCTCAGCTTATAGATTTTTGACAAATGTAAAAGCAAAACTATACCTTTGTAATGAAGGAAACTGATGCTTACTCCCTTAATCCAGTGATAAAACTCAGATCACTAACTGGGGTCACATGACATCCTGGGCCTCCTGATGAAGCATACAACTTTGTCTATGAAATGTTCTTGCCAAAAATGTTTATTCTGATTCTAATCAAGCCTAGAAACTACACTATTCAATACAGGAATGTAAGGGAGAAAGGTTTTCCACAACCCTATTTGGGTCCCTGGCTGGGTCTGGAAATAGAGCTGGCAGACACATTAACAGGAGAAGAGCAAACACATGTTGTATTAGTCCGTTTTTATGCTGCCGATAAAGACATATCTGAGACTGGGAAGAAAAGGAGGTTTAATCTGACTTCCAGTTCCACATGGCTGAGGAGGTCTCAATCATGGCAGCGAGCAAAAGGCACTTCTTACATGGCAGCGGCTTCTTCCTCATTTTTGCAGCAAATGGCAGCAGCAAGAGAGAAAACATGAGGAAAAAGCCCTAATAAACCCATCAGATCACTGGACACTTATTCACTATCACGAGAATAGCACGGGAAGGACCATCCCCACGATTCAATTACCTCCCCCTGGGTCCCTCCCACAACACGTGAGAATTCTGGAGATAAAATTCAAGTTGAGATTTCAGTGGAGACATGGCCAAGCCATGTTATTCCACCCCTGGCCCCTCCAAATCTCATGTCCTCACATTTCAAAATCAATCATGCCTTTTCAACAGTCCCCCAAAGTCTTAACTCATTTCAGCACTAACCCAAAAGTCTATAGTCCAAAGTCTCATCTGAGACAAGGCAAGTCCCTTCCGCCTATGAGCCTGTAAACTGAAAAGCAAGCTAGCTACTTCCTAGACAAAATGGGGTTATAGGTATTGGGTAAATGCAGCCATTCCAAATGAGAAAAAATTTGCCAAAACCAAAGGGTTACAGGGCCCATGCAAGTCCAAAATTCAGCAGAGCAGTCAAATCTTAAAGCTCCACAATGATCTCCTTTGACTCCAGGTCTCACATCCAGGTCATTCTGATGCAAGAGCTGGGTTCACATGGTCTTGGGCAGCTCCACCCTGTGGCTTTGCAGGGTACAGCCTCCCTTCTGGCTGCTTTCACGGGCTGGCACTGAGTGTCTGCAGCTTTTCCAGACACACAGTGGAAGCTGTCAGTGGATCTATCATTCTGGGGTCTGAAGGATGGTGGCCCTTTTCTCACAGTTCCACTAGGCAGTGCCCCAGTAGGGATTCTGTGTGGGGGCTCCCATTCCACATTTCCCTTCCACACTGCCCTAGCAGAGGTTCTCCATGAGAGCCCCGCCCCTGCAGCAAACTTTTGCCTGGGCATCCAGGCATTTCCATATATCTTCTGAAATCTAAGTGTATGTTCCCAAACCTCAGTTCTTGACTTCTGTGCACCCGCAGGCTCAAGACCAAATGGAAGCTGACAAGTTTGGGACTTCCACCCTCTGCAGCCATGGCCGGAGCTCTGTGTTGGCCCCTTTCAACCACAGCTGGAGTGGCTGGGACACAGGGCACCAAGTCACTAGGCTGCACATAGTATGGGGACCCTGGGCCCAGCCCACAAAACCGTGTTTTCTTCCTGGGCCTCCAGACCTGTGATGCGAGGGGCTGCTGGGAAGTTCTTTGACATGGCCTGGAGACATTTTCCCCATGGTCTTGGGGATTAACGTTAGGCTCCTTGCTACTTATGCAAATGTCTGCAGCTGGCTTGAATTTCTCCCAGAAAATGGGTTTTTGTTTTCTATCACATAGTCAGGCTGCAAATTTTCCAAACTTTTATGCTCTGCTTCCCTTATAAAACCAAATGCCTTTAACAGCACCCAAGTTACCTCTTGAATACTTTGCTGCTTAGAAATTTCTTTCTCCAGATATTCTAAATCATCTGTCTCAAGTTAAAGTTCCATAAATCTCTAGGGCAGGGGCAAAATGCTGCCAGTCTGTTTGCTAAAACATAATAAGAGTGACCTTTGCTCCACTTCCCAACAAGTTCCTCATCACCATCAGAGACCGCCTCAGCCTGAATTTTATTGTCCATATCACTATCAGCATTTTGGTCAAAGCCATTCAACAAATCTCTAGGAGGTTCCCAACTACCCCACATTTTCCTGTCTTCTTCTGAGCCCTCCAAACTGTTCCAACCTCTGCCTGTTACCCAATTCCAAAGTTGCTTCCACATTTTCAGGTATCTTTTCAGCAACACCCCACTCTACTGGTACCAATTTACTGTATTAGTTAATTTTCATGCTGCCGATAAAGACATACCCGAGACTGGGAAGAAAGGAGGTTTAATTTGACTTAACTTCCACATGGCTGGGGAGGTCTCATAATCATGGCAGAAGGTGAAAGGCACTTCTTACGTGGTAGCAGCAAGAGAGCAAAAATGAGGAAAAAGCAAAAGCAGAAACCCCTAATAAACCCATCAGATCTCCTGAGATTTATTCACTATCATGAGAATAGCACAGGAAAAGACCAGCCCCCGTGATTCAATTACCTTCCCCTGGGTCCCTCCCACAACACGTGGGAATTCTGGGAGATACAATTCAAGGTGAGATTTCAGTGGGGACACAGCCAAACCATATTACATGTATTTGAGAAATTTTACATGATATGGGAGGCTTCATAAGGAAATGTAGATGCAATGAAACAGGGAAATCTGCATACGTTGTAAGCTAAGTGTGATGAAGAAAAGGATAGTTGTAGAGAAACGTGATTGGACAAAAAGAGATATGATCTAATGACAATAAACTGGGGAAAATTCAGCAAGGCCTGCTTGTCTCCGATTGTTTTCTGTGTCTCTGTGTCTTCAGAGATGAGGGCATTCCTTTCCTCCTGGTATGAGGAGGACCCCTCTAGAATGAGAATTTATGACCTATTTTCAGGGAAAAGTCACATATGGCTTGCTTCGTGGGAAAAGGGGCAAGGGAAATCCAGTTTCTAAGGCCTGCCTCAGGAGAGGATGGGGGGAAGGTCAAAGAGACCTACTCTTCTGTGGTTTTCTCAGTTTCCTTCAGCTTAAAATCCTCAGCATGCCAAGGTGCCATATTTTGGGATAGTAGGTTCTATGTCCTGGCAGTAGCTACTGGTTATATGTGGCTATTGAGCAATTAGAATGAGGCTTGCTTGAATTGAGATGTGGTAAAGTGTAAAATACTGGACTTTGATATCTTACTATGAGAAAAAAAGAATGTAAAAATACCTCAAGTTAATTACATGTCAAAATGATAATGTTTTGGATAGGTTGGGTAAAATGAAACATATTATTAAAGTTAATTTTACCTGTTTCATTTTACTTTCTAAAGCCTTAAAGTTTTAACAGCTGTATCACATTTCAGGATTTCAAGAGTCTTAATTGATTGAAGATAGAAGAAATTGGCATTTGCATCACTCTCCCCAGCTGTACCTTCACAGACCTGGACATATATGGTCACTGTAATTAAGTGACAACTCATAAATGTCCCTTAAGGGTGGGAAGTGTTGATCTGGCTGACAGGACAGACTCACATTTAGTTAGGAGATGGGTTATTGAAATTTAACATAGTTAGGAGATGGGTTATTGAAATTTAACACAGTTAGGAGATGGGTTATTGAAATTTAACATAGTTAGGAGATGGGTTATTGAAATTTAACATAGTTAGGAGATAGGTTATTGAGATTTAACATAGCTAGGAGACAGGTTATTGAAATTTAACATAGGAGATAGGTTATTGAGATTCAACACAGTTAGGAGATGGGTTATTGAAATTTAACAGGGCTACAGCAGTCCCTCCATTAGGACCTTCCTTCCTCATCTTACAAGATGAGAAGAATAGATACTTATTACAGATATCATCATTACTAGTTACACACAATGCAGGAAAGGAGGATCAGATACTCCTGGAGGCTGTTCTTCATCACACCTGCTTTTCTCAATGCATGTATATGTGTGTTATATGAGTTATCTCAAACAGTTCCACCTCTGACTTGGTTTGTTCTTTGAGCTGTAATGTATTTAAAAGTCACTGTCACTATTTGTGGGGGGGATGTGTGTGTGTGTTTGAAACATTCTGAGAAAAATCTGTATAGTGATGATATGTGCCTTTATGGGCATCTTGTAATGTTGACTGGTGACTTTTTGTTTTTCTGATGCTTTTTATCTCTGAGATTTTTACTTTTTTTAATAAAATTATCTCCTGGGTTTCCTCTTACATTTACATTCTGCAGAAGTCTTAGTCCCTTTTTGATCAATTTCTTTATTGAACAGTCTTTTACCATTCCTCAACGCATCCAGAGTCACACTTGATAACTCATGTGAGGCCTAAAAACATCAGACTTTCTTTCAGAAGAGACATAGGCTTTCAAAATAAGCTCCAGAGCTGCTTCTCATTCTTGACCCAGTCGTCACTGAAGTTCCATGAAGTATTAATCCCAAACCAACATGAGCCTTTTTCAACCTTGCAACAGCTTCCAATTTCTGTCTTAGAAAACCATGTGTTCCTCTTAAATATTCATCTCTCTCAGAATGCAAAAGTGCACCTTCACAATGAGAACTAGGGAAAAAAATTTATCTATTCAGCATTGACCTGAGGGTTCTGGCCACTGCTATCAGGCAAGGGAAATAAACACAAGGTATAAAGATCCAAAAGAAATATTCACAGATAAAGTCACTGTTTATAGAAAAAAAAATCCAAAATACACTTCTACAGACAAATTATTACAACAAAAGAGTGATTTTAACATGGTCATTGAATCATTGAATACAAGGACATTATATAAAAACTGTTTTTCTGTGTACTAGCAATCAACAATTTGTAAATGAAGTAAAAAAAATCAGTTAAGATAGTATTAAAAAAACTGAAGAATAAATCTGACAAAAGATGTGTAATACCTTTATGCTGAAAATTATTGAACAATATTGAGAGAAATCTCAACTCCTAAATCAGTGGAAAGATATAGTATGTTCACAGTCTGGAAGATTCAATATTTTTGTGATGTCAATTATGTACAAATTAATCTACATATTCAGTACAATCTCAATCAAAATTCAAGCAGGTTTTTCATTGGAGATTAAAAAGTTGATTTTAAAATATTTATATTCAGGGATCTAGAACTGCCAAGAATACTTTGGATTAAAAAAAAAAGTTCAAGGACTTAACTAAAACCTCACTATAAAGCTATAATAATTAAAAGTTCATGTTGGTGCAAGAAAAGACAAACAGACCGATGGAATGGAACCGAGAGCCCAGAAACAGATCTATACTTATACAGTCACTTTATTTATATAAAACTACTGCAATTATAGGGAGAAAGGATGGTCTTTTAAATACATGATGCTGGAACAAATGCATATTTCTATATTTTAAAAAAATAACCTGGGCTGTTCTTCACAGTGTCCACAAAATTAATTTCATATGAATCATAGTCGTAAATGCTAAAGGGAAAACAATACAAATTTTAGAAGAAAATATCATCATGCCCTTGGGGTAGGCAAAGCTTTCTTAAATAATACACAGAGAATCCTAATCATAAAAGGGAAGTTTTATCGATAAAACTTCATTAAAATTAAGAACTCTGTTCCTTAAACAACACCATTTAAAAAGTGAAAAGGCAGCCATTTACTTGGATAAAATATTTATAATAATTATATTTAAGAAAAGAATCATATCCAGAATACACAAAGAACTCCTACAAATCAATAAGGAAAAGACAAACAATTCAGTATAACCAATGGGCAAGCTCTTCACAAAAGAAGATATCCAAATAGACAATAAACATATGAAAAGAGGTTCCACCTCATGACTTTTCAGAAAAATGCAAATTAAAACCACAACAAGTTGCCATAGTTTTCCAACTACAAGTCCACCTCAATAACTAAAGCCAAAAAGACTGACAATTTCAAGTGTCAGTGAAGATAAGCGCAACTGGAACCCTCATACATTCCTGGAGCAAGTGTAAATAGATAAACCATTTGAAAAACATTTCTATCATATTTTTAATACCTAATAACCAAGAGAAATAAGTACACATGTTCATCAAAATGCTAAAGCAACCTTTGTTTGCCAAGCCTCTAGTTTTATAAAACATGACGAGAGGGACTCCATCTTGAAGTAAATAGCTAGGCACTCTCAAGACACCTATAAAGTTAATGCTTATGATCTTAAAACAGCCACATTCTAAGCTGACCACCAATTATAATTACAAAATATTTATGGCGATAAAGAACATTTCCCACCAAGCCTACAGATGCCCAGATGTCCTAAGTGTGCAGCCCACTTTACTTAAAAATAAAATCAATGAGCAGGCTTAGGTTAAAGATTAATGGTCATTATAGCAGCAATGGCCCCTACCTTTAGTGAGCACATCTGCACATTCCATGTTTAATTAACTCCTAAAAGCGTTTTAAAAGTAGAGATACTAACAAAGGATGTAGCATTTTTCTTCCTGCTTTCTGAAAATGCCCTACTCTGTAATGGAGTAGTTTTCAATAAACTTGCTGCTTTCACTGTGCTCTGTGACTCCTCTCAAATTATTTTCTGTGCAAGATCCAAGAACCGTTTTTGGGGTCTGGATCGGGATGCTCTTTTTCCAGCAACAAAAAAGACATACACAAGGATGTTAACAGCAGCTTTATTCATAATTTTCCCAAACTTAAAACAATATAAATGTTTATTTTCAGGAAAGAGAAATTGTGTGTGTGTGTGTATACACACATGTATATGCACACTTTTTCATGTATATATAAGTATTCACATATATACTTACATATATTCATCTAATGGAATACCATACAGTGATGAAAAAGAAAGGACTACTATACACAACAACTTGGATGAATTTCACACACATTTTGTTGAGTGACACAAACCTAACACAAAACAGTATATACAAATACAATTCCGTTTATATAAAGCTCAAGAAGAGGCAAAATTAATAAATGATTATAAAAGCCAGAATAATAGTTACCATTTTAGGGTGGGCGTTAACAGGGGAATGTGCTAGAAATGTTTTTCTTTAGTTTTTTTAACATGCACAAGGAGGCTGCATAGAAATGCTTTATATCTTTTTTTTCTTTATTTCTTTTTCTATAACCTCAGAAGGGAAGAAATGTTTTATATCTTGATCTGGGTAGTGGTTACATGAGCATTCACATGTGGAAAAATTCAATAAGCTCTACACTTAAGATTGATACATTTTATGGTATATATTTAAACCTCAAATTTATAAACTTTTTCAAAAAATTAATAAGTTATTATGTAGTAGGGTTGGCACCTATTAAAAGAAATTTTGGGAAACACAGAATCAGGGTTTTTCCTTATTTTGCCAGAATTGTCCAGAAACATAATTCCTCCAAGTCAGAACAGACTCATCTGTTTTTAAAACAGAATTAAACCTCATGGCCAACTAATTGGACTCTTTCCCAAAGAGAGATATACCTCACACAAACAGCTGTGTCTTAAAGATCAAGTTTTTGTTATAGCCTACAAGCTATGGAAAATTCTGCCAGATGATTTGGAGACATTCATTTCTCCTTTATTTCTTGCTAGCAGAGCCACACTTTTGTTCAGGGTCCACCAGTTCTCCACCCGACCTCTAGGAAGGTGACTCTACCCATAGGTCCGAGGTAAGGCCTGATTCAGATATAGGGGGAAGAAAAAATAGTTTTTCCTCTACCCTTCTAAGTTCTAAACTGGAGCCTCTTTAACAGAAGACAGATTAACAAGAGAAAAACAAAGAGAAGTGTATTAACATGTATATCCCATATATACATGGGAGATGCCCAGGGAAATGAGTATCTCTCAGAGAGTTGGCTTAGAATTCAGGTTTAAATACTATCTGCAGCTAAAAACAAAGTCATGAGGGTGATCAGGAAAAGTACAGTAAATGAGAGAAAGGGTTTGTTATGCAGATTTTACTCAGTGCCTCCTCCCTTGCTAAAGAGTCTCTTGTTTAGAGTCTTCATTCTCTCCTGGCATAGAGAGAAAGTCACGCTTACAAATGCAGAGTCCCCTCATAAAGTACATTTCCCTTACAAAAGGGCAGTGTATTTATTCTGTTCAAGGAGCTTCTCCTGTATCTGCTGTGTCTCAAAATAGTCAGCTCAAAATAATCCTGACACCAAAGGGGCATATTTTGGGATTTGGGGGTGGCATATTCTTCTGATCCCACAGAGTAAATTATAGTGATTTCTGTTCCCTTGGCTGGGAATGGTCTAGGGGTGAGCATGTGACACAGTTCTGTTAAGTCACATGGAAAGAGATCTGCTGTTGACATTCTCTTTGCAAAAATTATAACAGTGAGAAAATTGTGTCAGTGGGGGAGATCTTATCTAGCCAACCCCACCTCTTGCCTTTAGCCTTCAGGCTGCCTTTAATTATTTCTGGGCTTAGGCCAAACTAACTTTGGCAGACATTTAGTTTACAGTTTAAATGATAATAGCCTTTCCCCAAAATTCAGCCACCTTTGTAAAGCTAATAAGAGAGCACCAGGCTAGGAGGATAGAGGATCCTGAATTCTGCTAGGTAGAAGTAAACTTATGACTGCCAGCCATTCTTCCAGGGGGTCACAAGATATGCAGCTCCCCAGTTACTCCTGCAGAGAACATCACAATTGTAGAACCTAAGATTGGCCTTTTGAGATATCTTTTCAGGTGTTTTACCTGTCTGAGAACCAGTGGCTCCACCTGGACCTGCCAATTACTCTTGTAGCCCCACCCAGAAATGACTCAACTCAGATCCAACCAATCAGCACTCCCCATACCCCAGTCCCTGCCCACCAAACTATCTTCGAAAAACTCCTAATCTCTGAGCCTTCAAGGAGATTGATTTGAGTGATAACTCCGTCTCCCACTTAGCATGGCTGGCCTCACATCAACTGAAATGCCATGGTCTCTGTTAATTGATTTTGTTTGTGCAGCAGTCAGGAGGAACCTGTCAGGAGGTTACACTGTGCATGCACATGTGTGTGTGTGTGTGTGTGTGCGCGCGCACACGCACATACATGTTGCAGAGGTGTTTCTGGCAAATGCTTGTCATTCCTAAGCAGGAGATACCAGAACAGAAGTTTATTCCTGCCTCTGCCTGCTGCTACCTCTGAACTTCTGCTAAGGTGACTGAGGCTCTTTTCTTACTTGCAGCCAAAGATGCCCTAGTTGATACTGAGATCATTACCTGCTTTTTTAGATTAGTCACTCTAAATCTTCCTCATTTGATTCCAGGCAAATCAGACATTTTAAATTTCTCCAACTTATTTTTTTTCTCTCCCTCTCACCTCAGGACCTTTGCATGTGCTTTGCCCTTTACCCATAATATTCTCCACCCTCCTTCACCCACTTTACTACTCAGCAGCTATTCATTTCCTCAAAGAAAGAGTCCATATACTCCTCAGACTGAGTCAGGCTTCCTCTTCCTTTCTCTCTGAGACAGAGCAGGGATCCCCTCTTAGGGGCCTGCTGGGCTCCCCCATCCCTTCAGTGTAGAAATAAAAGATTTTGAGTTCTTCAAAAGAAATTCCAGGCACTCAGCCCCACAACCAGCAAGTAGGCGACTGAATGAATGACCTGCTAAAGATAACAATGACTTAAACAATAGCCACTCAAGTATGCCAGGGTCACAAGACGTTTGGTTCCCTGTAGAAACTAAAGATAACATTTTGACAAATGTCCTTGAGTTGTTTTTCAGAAACGAGGACCCCCAACTGATGGAAAATGCCAATGGCTGTCACACAGACCTAAGACAGACTGGAACCAGAAAATAGATAAGGAAGTTTCAGAAATTCCTTAGCCCCTAACTCACTTCGGAAGACCCCTCACTGCTGCCTTTGAAAATCCTTGCTTGTAAGCCATCAGGGAGTTCAGGTCTGAAGCATTAGCTGCCTGTCCTCCTTGCTTGGTGTCCTGCAATAAATGGCTTTCTCTCTCACCGCAAATCCCAGTGTCAGAGTTTGCCTTTTTCTGCACGCTGGAAGAGTAGATCCAAGTCTGGTTCAGTAACATCTAGTACCCTGTACAGTTCTTCATACCCCAATATCATATCTACGTTTTGAGACAGGAGATTGCATTTCAGAGCATATAAGCCTTATTCAGCCTGCGATTGTGCATATAAAGGGTTGTGTCCTGGCCGGGCGTGGTGGCTCATGCCTAATCCCAGCACTTTGGGAGGCCGAGGTGGGTGGATCATTTGAGGTCAGGAGTTTCAAAACAGCCTGACCAACATGCTCAAACCCCGCCTCTACTAAAAATACAAAAAAAAAAAAAAAAATGAGCCAGGCATGGTGGCGCATGCCTGTAGTCCCAGCTACTCGGGAGGCTGAGGCAGGAGAATCGCTTGAACCCAGGAGATGGAGGTTGCAGTGAGCCAAGATCATGCCATTGCACTCCAGCCTGGGTGACAGAGTGAGACTCTGTCTCAAAAAAAAAAAAAAAAAAAAAAAGAGTTGTGTCCTTTGGGTGAACCATAATGTGTCCAGCGAGATTATGTTCTCTTCATATTTGACCTTTCTTCTCATCCTCAGATTGTTCCATTCATACTCAAAGGTTGAAATAAGTTTTGTCGGTGACCTCACAGATACTAAGACATTCATTTCTAGCGCCCTTGATATTGTTACAGGAATCACTATGTGGTGGAGGTGTTTTGATGGCACACGAACATGAATTCTTTGTAGCTTTGGGCCATTTTACCAAGAATCTACCTGACCTTGACATCTACCTAGAGGCTCACCCCAGACTGTTGCCAAAAGGACCACTACTGCTGAGGCACTTTGATGGGTGGTGTGGTCTGAATGAGACACCCCAAAATCCATATGTGGAAATCCTATCCCCCAAGATGATAGTATTAGGAGGTGGGGCCTTTGGGAGGGAAGAGCCCTCATGATTAGGACGAGTGCCCTCATAAAAGAGACCCCAAAAAGCTAAGCTAGTTAGTCCCTTCCACTGTGTAAGGGCACAGCAAGAAGGTGCCATCTCTGAGGAAGTGGGCCCTTACCAGACACTGAACCTGCTAGTGCCCTGAACTTAGACTTCCCAGCCTCCAGACTGTGGGAAATAAATTTCTGCTGTGTATAAGCCACCCAGTTGATGAGATTTTGTTATAGCAATCAGAATGGATTAAGACTGTGGGATTAGCATTGTGAGTTTTGTTTACTGGTCTAAGGCTACACACCAATAAATGGAGCTGTCATGTTGACAGAGCTTTGCATCTGTGGAGGGGCTCCCATCCACAGGTGGAAGGATAGTTCCATGAGTCCCTCCAAGATAGACAGGACAGCATTCTCCGTCTTTTCAACTTGCTACATGATTTCCTCAATTCATAACTTTCAACTCCATTCTATCTTAGCTACCTCCTCTCAGGTCACACCTCCATTTTCTCCTGAAATTTTCTTTCTCTAACATTTCAGGCTGTATCATCTTCCCAACTGAGCACAACTTCTTATCTCCCCACACTCTTGTTCTCTTCCTCCCTCAAAGCTCTCCTAGGCTCACACGAACTCTCATTCCTCAACCAGTCCGCTTTCTGCCCATCTAGCAGCTCCCTGCTGCCTGCCAAGATTTCCTTCCTCTTCCCACTCTCTTGGTGTCTGTGAAATGTGTGGATTGAGAGGTTTATCTCCAGATGTGACTTGTGGATTGAGACTGACTTGCTGATTTAAAAACAAAACGACCCTAGTCAGTTCTTTCTTAAAATGGTCAAACCAGTTTCTACGTGGAGAACATTTCTAATTGTGGTTTCTAGGTAGATAAGTGCTCTTTCTGGTGCAGGAATAAATAGCTGAAAATGGAATGCTGAGATTTGAAGGACTTGATTCAAAGGGCCAACAGGCACTTGCAAGTTCATCAGCTGTGTAAGAATTATATTCTATGCAAAGGCGAAGATGGAGAAGCAGCTAATGCCAGATAAGTACATCAAAGATCAATCTGCTTTTAGCTTTTGAAGTATCTGGAGAGACTATGGGTTAGAAGGAATAATAAAATATGCATTCTACATTTGTCCTTGTAGGAAAAGGCTGTATAAGCAAATTACATCAATTTCCTTATTGGTACTCAGAGCCTGCATTTCAGTCATTTTAAAAAGAAAGGAAGTTTGGTTGTGTTTACAGATGAAGGAAATGTTCTTGTCTCCGGAACCCCAGAGCCTATTATTTAAAAGATAAATTCCCAATCTAGTAAAGAGAAACGACACCTTGGGTCAAGATAAGGAATATCTTTTCTGAATAATGCACAACATAAACTTCTTTACTTCTGACTTTGGTCCCAAGACTGCTTTATTTCTTCCTAGGCTTAAGTGCTATTTGTTCTCTAGGGGAGTTTTTGCTCTACGCTCCTAAAGATACTTTCAACCTGATGCTTTCTTGGGTCCTGGGGTTCCCTTGAGGAATCAACCATTGAACTAAGATCTCCCCAGAACCCTGAACTTCAGGGAGACAGAAAATCTGAGTTCTATCCCTGGTTTTGCACCAGATATGGCTTTCATCTGGTCTCTGCCCTCCAGCTTGTCTCTGCACTCTCTGAACTTGCTTTCTTTGCCATAGAATGATAGTGATAATACTTACTCTGCCTACCATGTGGGCTGTTGAATAGGAAAAAGGGCTTTATTAAATATGAAATCCAGTGCAAACACAGATGTTCCTGTAGTCTTATTGCACAGGAATATTGCTGGGGGTAATTTGAATACCTGGAAATGCTGTGATTTGTATGCCACAAAACTGCTGATGTTCTCAGTTCCTTTTCTGCTTTTTATAAAGAGTTCTAGTCACTATTCTGTGGCTGTTTTCCCCCTTTAAAATCCCGCAAGGCTGCCGGGTGTGGTGGCTCATGCCTGTAATCCCAGCACTTTGGGAGGCCGAGGTGGGCGGATCACGAGGTCAGGAGATTGAGACCATCCTGGCTAACATGGTGAAACCCCGTCTCTACTAAAAATACAAAAAATTAGCCAGGCATGGTGGCAGCCACCTGTAGTCCCAGCTACTCGGGAGGCTGAGGCAGGAGAATGGCGTGAACCCGGGAGGCGGAGCTTGCAGTGAGCCGAGATTGCACCACTGCACTCCAGCCTGGGCAAGAGTGAGACTCTGTTTCAAAAAAAAAAAAAATCCCGCAAGGGTAAGTGTGGTAACTACTGTATTACAGAGGCTGGGGGATACATTACATGACTCCTGTCTTCAAGGAGCCAACGGTTGAGCTGAAGGAAGAAGACACACACACGAAAGTTTTACAGAAAGCAGGTTCATCTCTTTGCCTGGTTTTTAACTGTTGGAATATCTCAGGGCTCTGCCTTCTTTGCTTCTCCATGTTGACTCCTTCATTGTATGATCTTAGTCCCTCTGTGACTTTCAATACCAGCTTTATGCTGATGACATCCATAGCTGGATCCTTAGCCCTGACTCCACCCTGAGCTCTAGAATCTGTATAGAAATTGTCCAAATGCACCTTGCTCCTCAGATGTCTACTAGGCATCTGAAACTGAACCTCTCTAAAACTAAGCCCTTACTCATCGACCTCCTCTCCCTGTTTTCGCTCATCTGTTAGTCTCCCTCATCCCTGGAAGTGGTACTCCTCACCAGTCAGTCACTCTTGTCTTGCTTCTTCCCTGTATTCATGGATCTTATTCCATCTGAAGTTGTTTTTGTTTCCTTATGTGCTTTTTGCCTGACTCTCTGAGCTAGAATGCCTGACACCTCATAGGCACTTAGTATTTGTTCGAGTAAATTGTCAAAAACAGTAACATAGAGGGAAAGCAGATAGACAGGGAGATTTTTGTGAGCTGGGGAAGTAAAGGTAGGCTCCATGCAGTGGGTTGCTAGAGCTGGCTTGTACCAGCTTGCAAGAGCCGACTGTCATATTTTCAGGATAAGCAAGTTGTTAAATACAGCCATCATTAAGAATTAAATTAAATAAACACAATTAAGTAAACTATGTTACAGATAAAGGTAATAAATACTCAACTCACTATTTCTTATTTACTATTTTATTATTACTTGTGCTCTTGAGATAAATTTTATTTTATCTGAGGATAGAAATACTTTCCAACGGTGGCTACTGCTCATGTCTTTTTTTTTTTTTTTTTTTTTTGAGACGGAGTCTCACTCTGTCATCCAGACTAGAGTGCAGTGGCACGATCTCGGCTCACTGCAAGCTCCACCTCCCAGGTTCATGCCATTCTCCTGTCTCAGCCTCCTGAGTAGCTGGGACTACAGGCGGCTGCCACCACACCCAGCTAATTTTTTGTATTTTTAGTAGAGACAGGGTTTCACCATATTAGCCAGGATGGTCTCGATCTCCTGACCTCGTGATTCACTCAACTCAGCCTCCCAAAGTGCTGGGATTACAGGTGTGAGCCACCACACCTGGCCAATGTCTTCCTAACTCTATGTTCAGTTACATCACCTTGATTGAAAATGACTGTAGTGGGAGTATTTACTTTATGAAAATCAACAAATGCTATAATACAAATCAGCTTGCTTGTTTTCTGGAGACCTAGTTGGGAAATATTTACCAGCACACTACACAGTCCATGTAAAATGTGTCTTTGAAGGATGGTGGGAGTTCATATACATAAGAATGGGAGGAGGATTCTGGGCAGTTGCCACAGAATAAGCAAAGTCCAAAGGAAGGAATAGCATTCATATATGGAGTGTGTGTGTGTTTGTGTGTCTGTCTGTCTGCTTGTGTGTGTGTTGGTGGAAATTGGGGAGGAGGGGTAACAGACTAAGTGTAGCAGGGCCTGGAACATTAGGCTGAGAAGTTTGAATTTTATTCTACAGGCAATAGAACACCACTGAAAAATGTTCTGCAGCCATGTGATATGATGGAAGCATATATTAATAGTAAATGCTCAGTGAACACCTGAGGAATGAAATGAAAGGAAATACTTTTGGTACAGCAAAGACTGTTCATAGTTCTTTGTAAGCTTTAGCAAGTCTGTAAAGAACCTATACAATCACTCTGAATGTGTGAACTGAAGATGCTCATCAGGGAGAAAAACTGTTCTTTCAGCTAAAACTTACTCCGCCAGATTTTTGTGAACTGCATGAAATTAGATTGAGACTGCATCTAAGATGTAGATTTGAAATCCCTCCCTGAATAGAGAAAACTCATGGAAAAGCTAGAGCCAAAGCATGGAGTAAGGATGATCAGTCTGATGGAAGATCAACATGATTGACTGAATCCCTAGGAAAAGTGACCACGACTTTTACTACCAAAAAACCTGTTAACATACCCTCTCCACTGACCTGAAAATGTGAGTGAATGTAGTTTTCAGTAAATTTACCAAAGGGTGTGTTTCTGGCCACGAAGCTCATTAGTAGCAGCTGAAAGTAATTAGAGGGTTAATTAAAACACAGTAATGAGGTAGCTCTGCACTAATGATACCATACTCCTTGTTATCCATTCAGTGGTCCTCTTTGTGTCTTATGTGTGTCAGGGGAAGAGTGTGTGCTCTGCTAAATACACATGGGTCTTGCTGTTTGTAAAAGCATCACAATTATGAATGTAGAAATAGAGTCTTAGAGACTCTTAGAGATACTTGCCACCTCTCCCAAAGAGTGAACAGTAAGTCCAACAATGTGAGTGGTATCTGGACCCTAATGATCTTCTGTCCTTCTTGATATGAAGACAGGTATATATGGTGTCAGGTCCACAACTATGCCAAATGTCACGCTTGGGGTCAGGTTCTAGCCCCTGCTGAGGTCCGAGGAGAGTGGGTAGATGAGCAGATAGCTGAAAGAACACTCGGGGGGCCGTAAGCAGGTGAAATGTAGTTTTATTCAGCAGCTCTCTCATCAGCAGCTTACTCAAAACAGCTCTTTTATTAGCAATTCTCTTACAAGCAGCTTTCTCTCACTGTCTGCTCTGTTTCGGCTACTTGAGCCTGCTGCTACCACACACAGCTGTGAGGCTGGCTCTCCCTTCGGGGTCAGCAACTTAATTCTCTCTCTCTCTTTGTGCACAAGCCAGGTCCTGGCTCCCCACTGCCTACCTGCAAGATAGACAGCTTTGGTTCTCTCTCTCTCTCTTTCTCCAGGCACCAGTGCCTGCACAAGAGCCATGTCAAGCCATGCCCAAGAGCCTGTACAGTATTGGCAGGGCAGTTATACCTTCTACAGCTTCTACAGACAATAGTGGCATAGAGCCAAGTATGAGCGTCCACAAACAGGTATATAACAAGTGAAGTATGCACCTGTACCCTAAACTCGCTGAGTCACTCTGGCCTGGATGTCCACCTTGGCCTATTCCTTGACCAAAGCACATCCATGTGCCTTACATATGGAGAGATAGCAACTTAAATGGTAAAGGGACAGTGAAGAGACCTTGACAATAATGTCAAAGTATTTCCTAAAGGAAAAGGAAAACACAAGGCTTTAATAAGCAAAATGTGAGTCCCTTTGTCCAGAAGAACATGTTCAGTCTCAAAATAATAAGATATTGAGAAACTTTTTTTTCATCATTTTTTTCTTGAACCCATTTGGTAACATTGGCATTGCTTGGTAGAAAATGACTATATTGAAAATGTTATATTTCCTGAAGTGAGAAGTGTGAAAGTTGTCAGAATCAAAATGAAGTCACTAATGTTAACAAAATCCTGACAAATAATGCTGAGGAAGGCCATGAAGAGAAGGTGCTCATACTTGTATGCATACAATGAAAAAGACTCTACAAAAACTACAGTCTTGCACAAAGGCCATTTCAGCCTCACAAACACAAAAATACTTCTGGGAGGACATGTGCCCAGCAACTGCCTGTTTGACCTTGGACTGGTGCCACCCTTGTCATTGATCCTTGCATTTAAGGATAATCATTTCAAAGCACATATGTAATCCTCCTCGTTTTTTCCTTTAAAAATATTTGTCTTCCTTTACCTCTCTGAATATGCACATAGTTTACCATGGCACATGCATTTCAATGGTAATACTCTATTCCCAAATAAATATCTTTTCTTTTAGAGAGCCTCTTCATTATTTTGGTTGACAGAAGTCTAGTAGAGAAAATTATGCCATTAGTCAATGTTCAAAACAAGTATTTGCCTGTACACTCATATAAAAGCCTGCAGAATAATTTGATAAGAATGCCTTATTGAAATTTCCAACAAAATTTATGAAATGTGATCTAAATACAGAAACCTGCCTGTTTTAAGACTGATTCAAAACCAGTCAACTAATTACAAATAAGAAACTCTTAGTGGAAATTCTAGTATCTCATTTGAGTTTGACATAATATATAATCTATAGCAGAATAATTAATCTATTACAAGGTGTTTTGAGTCTTGAAGATCTTAAGAACTTTATTTACTGTCTTTGAAAATAGATAAACCCCTGGTGGTTAGTTTAGAAGCTCTAATGGATTAAAGAGATTTTGATCTGATCCCTCTGCCCCATCCTTCTTGCCACAGGCAGACCTTGTGCCTAATCAACTGCTGCCTTGCATTCAGCCCCAGTCATGCTCCCCACTGCTACCAAGAAAAGCTTTGTGATGCTGCAGTCTGTCATGTCACTATCCTTTGGTTGCTCCCACGCCAGCAGGCACACAAAGCTCTCCCCAGTTTGGTGTCAGTCCTTGTGGATTATCTCTTGATGTCTGCCCCTTGCATCTTCTACCCAGCTGTAGCCAAACTACCTGCAATTCTGAAAAGAACCTGCCTCTTCCATGCTCTCCAACCCTGTTGCATGTCTGATACTCTGTTCAGAAAAGCCTTCTCCCTTGCTTCCCCCACTCACAAACTCCTACTTATACTACAAGATTTAGCTCAAGTAACATCTATTTAAGCTTTTATTTATCCTCTCTCTAAATTCTCAGTTATCGTTCTGCTTCTTTCTCTTTGTTTTTTGTCTCCACCCCTAGACCCCGAGATATTTAAGATCATTCAACATTCAACAAAGATTTATTGAGGGCCCACTATGTGACAGGAACTACTCTAGGTGCTGAGAATATAGCCATGAACAAAGGAAATCCCCTGCCTCTGTGGAGTCTCCACTCTATCAGGGACAGGGAGGTTTCGAAAAACAAACAACGACAACAACAACAAAAGAACAAAAACAACCCAAATTACATGGGGTTTCCTAACAGTAGTAGAGAAGACCTGGGAATCTTAGATTCTGAAAAGAAAGAACCAAGATAAAATCTTACTGAATTAACTGAGCAAGCATTTGGCATTATTTTCAGTCTGAGGAAACCTAAGGCAAACACATGTGCACGGATTTATTCAAGGAAAGTTGCAGGGTTTATTGGTAGCTGAGCTGAATCCCTAGCCTCATCTCCTGACACCTCATTGAATGTTCTCTCCATCCTTCTAAAACATGGCAGCTCTCAGGCAAATTCATGTATGTTCCAGCCTTGACTGTGATCAAGGTCTTTTTTTTATAGTAACTGCATAAGGTTATCTGAATGAGGTCAACTATGGCATACAAAGCCCAGATGATTTGCCAAGCTATCTACGGTTTAGCCAAAATGACTGGCTTGCTATGAAAGCCATTACTCTGTCAGGTCATTAAGTTCCTGGAGGAAGACTCTGCAAAGGTAGTAGCATTTGCTGTGTGCCCCATCACGATCTGAGGTTATTTTGACTGTGTAAAGGGTTGATTGGCAGGATGGAGAAGACAAGGATATGTCCGGCAGAGGCAGCTTCTTCTTTTCATGATGACAGATGGTTGTGAGATTTCAATTACAAGCCACCTGAAAGGAGACTCATATTTGGCATTCCCTTTCTGAGTCAGTGATTCACAGCGTCCCTGTATGGTTTGGGATGTGCAACTGAATCATAAAAGTTTAGAAAAAGACAAGGTCCCACCTTCAAGCCTTTGCTCATGTCATCCTCTGCCCGGTACGTTCTCTTTACTCCACTGTCCAAATCCACTCATCCTTCCACGCACTCCTCCTCCATGGCGTGCTCAGACTACTCTAGTCTTCACTGAACTCTCCTCCCTCTGACTTAATGTTTCTTTGTAGTTCTTAGAACACAGTTTTTGTTTTTATTTAAGCCAGGGTTTCTTAACTTCTGCACTGTTGACATTTTGGTCCAGATAATTATTTGTTGTCGTGTGCATTGTAGAATGTTTTGCAGCATCCCTGGCCTCTACCTGCTAGATGCCAGTAGCACTGCCCTCAAGTCATGACAATCAAAAATATCTGCAGGCATTGCCAAATTATCCCCTGGGGGATAAAATCACCCTGGGTCAAAAGCCATTGATTTAAATTCTCATGCATTTATTAACAGCAAAAGCAAGCATAGTGCACTGGGCTTATATACTAGGTAATTTTCTAGGCACTTTACACAGACTGTCACAGATAAGGGACACTAGCCCTATTTTATGTATGGGAAAACACGAGGCTAGCAATGATTAAGTAATGTGCCCAAGGTCACAGAGCTAGAAAATGGCAGAGCTGGGATATGAAGCAGTTCTCCTAACTTGAGCTGGTTCTTCTAACCACTATTCTGCATAGTCTCACCTCCCTTCACAGATTTCTGCCAGTGTCACCCAGCAACTTGTCTTCCTTTCCCTACCAGTGGCAGTTCTCCCCAGAAGCAGCAGCTTTTCCAACATTCACCGAGGCAGGCTTATTGTACTACACTTAGATCTCTAAGGGGTATGGGGTGTGCTACTCAGCTGATTGGGGCATTTCTGTACTTGGCAGAGAGACTCTAAGGACCTGAGACCCAGTCCTCTGACGAGGGGCCACCAACTATCTGGTGAAGTCTCTAAGTTATATCTTGTCAGAGTTCTTCTTCAAGCTTTTAGGTTTTAGTGATTTCAACCTCCTCCCTTCCCCCCCAGCCTCCCTGGCTCCCCGCCCAGGTAGGGGCTGCTTTCTGCATTTGCTACTTCTTGAAAACTTATTGTTCCCTTTTGATTTTTTAGTTACCTAGTTAGCATTTATTAATACCTAGATAACAATCCTTTATATTAAATTCTGTCTCTTATAAAATAACTGGCATGGTTTTTGTCTTTTGGCTGGCCCCTGACGAATATATATACTCTTTAGCACTTATGTAGGCTCATTGGTAACACCCTCAAAGGCAAAGGAGAGAACGGAACATATTTATTACATATAACTCAGGCAATTATTATATCTATTCAGAACTTTGAAAGTGTCTCCTAGGAACTGTGATGCTTATCAAGAATGTTAACATATCTGATCTTTTGCTTATGATGAAATTGTGGAGGAAAATAAAATACAGATTATGGTACAAGTGATGATGGAGATGATTTATCCTCTGATTGCAATTCTACTTTTCATGGCAGGGGTGCCTCTGAACATGCAGGCAACAAGCAAACAGAATGCATTGGAAAGACCAATAGAATCTGTATGAAATGAACCTTTAAAAAATGTACATTTAATATGGCACTAAAATGTTGGAAGGAAATTAAATTGAAATAGAAGAATGGGAGTTCCTTGGAGGAACTTTGGATCTGTACTCTAGGGGATTTCTTCCAGAAAAGAAATCAATAGGGAACAGAGTCTAGGATGATAAATCCCACTGGTCCATTTTGATTAACAGTCTTTTTTCTTCCAATTCATAGGATGTGAACAGTAATGAGTTTTAATCACAGGGCAAACACACTTCATGCTTGTAACCCCAGCATGGCAGTTTTAATATCTTTTCCAGGTACTGTTCTGATGAGTACATTCTGCCTTCAAAATGTCTGAGAGCTATCAGTCACATACTTCTTTTTGTAATAATCCCCCCTTTGATTCAAAAGGCTAATCTTATGTCCAAAACATCCTAAATTTTTGAGACATTTCTAGAATTCTCCCAAGAGTTTCTATAAGCTCCTTCCAGGGCTAGAAATCACATGCAACATAACTTGATTCTTACGAAGAGAGCCAGCTTCCTGATGCATAACCCAGTCCCTCTGACTTGAGTCACAGGATGTCTATGGCCCTGGCAGAGACTGTACTCCCATCAGGGGCTCCTTACTTCAGTAACCACTCAGACTCTCACAGAGATTCTGATTCTCTGAAAAATGACAGCTTCTAGGTGAATTAACCAAGGTTTCCCCATAAGATCTCTATACGCCTATAATATTTCTTCTTTTCCTGTAGATTGTGACATTCATTAGGTTTCAACATTTACAACTTCACAATTCTCAGGGCTATGTATAGGGTTCTATATTAAGAACTTTCAGAAGTCCATGCCAACTTGACATTTCTGCATAAATCCTAATAAGATATATAAAATAAGTACACACAAGTTGTGATCTAGTGGAAAGTACCTGGAATTATTACACTGATTCTACTACCAGTAAGCTCTGGAAATGGAAATGTGTGACAACACTGTTAATTGCACACCCAATATCCATTCTTTCTTTCCTTCTTCCTTACCAACACCCAATTCTGTTTGGGATGTCAAGTTACCCAGTTAAAAGTACTTTCTTCTCCAGGCTCCTTTGTCATTAGGAGTGGCCATGTGACTAAGTTACAGCTCATAAGAGACACAGGAATGTCGAGCTCTTGGAAAGCTTGTTAAAAAGCCCTACATTCTTTTTTTTTTTTTTTTTTTTTTTTTTTTTTTTTTTTTTTTGAGACAGAGTCTTGCCCTATCACCAGGCTGGAGTGCAGTGGCGCAATCTTGGCTCACTGCAACCTCCGCCTCCCGGGTTCGATTCCCCTGCCTCAGCCTCCTGAGTAGCTGGGACTACAGGCGTGCACCACCATGCCTGGCTAATTTTTTTTTATTTTAGTAGAGATGGGCTTTCACCATGTTGGCCAGGATGGTCTCGATCTCCTGACCTCCCGATCTGCCCACCTCGGCCTCCCAAGATGCTGAGATTACAGGCGTGAGCCACCGGGCCCCGCCAAAAATCCCTACATTCTTTTATCTTTCATGCTTTGCCCGGAACACAGACACATGCCTGCAGAAGAAGTATCCAGCTTTCAAAGGGGACAAGAAGCCACACACTAAGGATGGTGGAACAAAAGCAAAAAAGCCGAGATTCCTATTGTCATTATGAAGCTGCCTGACCCATTCTCTGCCCAGCTCCAGATCCCCTTTCATGTGAAAAAATGATAATAATTCTAAACCTTTTGGGGGGTGTGGGAATTAAGGGAGATGGGATAAGTTGTATTCCTGTTACATGCAACCAGAAGTGTTGGCCAAAATGATACAGGCTGGTTCTAATCACATCAAAGCAACTGGTCAACTCACTTTAGCCAAAACAAAACCAAGAAATCTTCAACTAAAGGGACAAAACAAATCTGTTGTGAGGCCATTGCATTAAGAAGTTACATGATGCCTTTTTATGTCCATCTTCGGCTGGCTGTGCTGTGGCCCAATGGCATGGGGATGGCTGGGAGTCAGGATCACAAGGGCTTAATTTTTCTTTCCTAGTTTTATCAGTGGATAAAAAGATGTAGCAGAGAGTACCATGCAATCATCAGCGGCTCGAAAAAGCCCCACTCCTCAAGACTTACACAGGCTTGCAAAACGACTTTCTTTCTGATGAGACTCCCTTTTTGCCTGGGCTTCCAGGAAGTTTACAACAAAACTGTATGCTAAATACATTAACCCTGCTATTTCTGAGAATGGTAGTGGTCTTTTTCCTACATCATCTTCTTTCTATTCTGATTTTATTTTTATTTTTGAAAGCCCTTTATTATGAGCTACTTTAAAATCCTTTTAAGATGTAGATGGAATATAAATACATATTTTCATACATATATAGTTTGGTTAAGATTACATAATAAGTTGAGATGGCTGCGGTCCTTTCTGAAGGACTAATTCAAAATAAAAGGAATTATTATTCTGTGGAACTTCTTTGTATGCCATCTATTCTTTCATGTTTGTAACTCAGGAGACAACCTTGCAAACTTCTCCAGAAGTGATGAAAGAGAGATGCTTGGATGGCTCCCTGCGGAGCTACAGAGTTGTGTGCTCCAAGGTTTTTGTGTGATTTTTCTAGAGAACAAATGTGCACCAGCATTAATAAATGGCATTTATTTTCCCAAGTCAGGAATGAATCAAATGCATTGCTGTTTTTGATGACCAAACTGTCAAATACCATTTCAAATACCTCTTGGTCCTCGTCTGTGTTTTCTCTTTTTAAATTCACTGTTTTATTCTTTGAAAATAAGACTATGAAAATTAGGCTTTGAAAATGTCCAAGGGCCTTGACATAGCCAACTGACTTTAAAAAAAACAAGATAGAGAAGTGAAAGGAAACATTTCTCCAGGAAACAAAAAAGAACTGAAAGCGAAAATTAAATCATCTCTATTTTCCTTCTGATAGAAAGTTAATGTTTTGGTTTTTCAGGAAGTATAATAATTGTAGGATCTATTTTTTTTTATTGCCAGCCACTGTGCTAGGAACTTTACATACACTGTCTTATTTAATCCCTATAACAACCCCATGAAGTATAAAAGAGAATAAAATAAGGCCTCTCTTTGAAGAAGAAAAATATGTGATCTAAAATAGCAATGTCCCATGAAGAAGGGAATCAGCTAAGTACTCCTGAAAGCACTTAGTTTATACAGATGCTATACTGTAAAGGCCAGGGCGGACAAAGTAGCTGAATCTAAAGCTAGAGATTTAGAATCCATTTGCTGACCCCAAGTAGGATTAAATTGGTTACGCTATCTTCTCTATCAATTTTTCCTGGCTGTGATGTTTTCCTCCTGGTCAAGGCAAACCAATGAAAACTCTCGTAATGTTCAATTGTTTTATTTTAAAAATCTGCCCTTATCTATGTTTGACTAGGCATCAAGGCTTGTAAAATATATTTTAATAATTGTAGGAAGTCACTAATAAGTTATATGTATTATCAATAGATATAACTGAACTTAAGATGAATTTATTGGGCTTTCTTTTCTCTCTCTCTCTGTACGTCTTTGTCTGTCTATCTCTATCTTTCTCTCTCATTCCCTACCTAAAGCTAAACTCATTCTTTAACACTATAACAAACTCAAAGTAATTCTGGTATTTTAGATAATAGTCATTTTGTCATCTTCCATCTGTACTAGTTCAAAATAAATATGCTAGGGCAATCTTCAAAACTCCGAAAGGACACAAAACTTTGTTTATTCTTAAACAGAATTAAAATCCCCCAGTGGAGGAAAGCAAGACCTAGAGAAGTCTGCAAATGTTACACAGCTAGTAGGTGTGTACTAGTGACAGAACAGAACTGCAATTCAAACCCGGGCCTACCTGATTTGAAAGCCTCTGTTTCTGGCTAAAAAAGGCAAAAATGTATATTTTGCAGGCTTTGTCACCTGCAAAATGAGATCATAGCAATAAATAATAATACCGAGAGCTAATCTTTATTATAAGACAGGACTGTTTAAATGATTTAAATGTGTTAACTCATTTAATTTTCATAACAACCACATGAGATAGACACTATTATTATAATCTCCATTATGCAGATAAAGTAAATGGGCACAAGACTGAGATTAAACTCCTTGTCCAAGGTCACAGAGTAAAGGGTGAGATTGCAGACAGTGTGGTTCTAAAGCCCATGCTTTAACCGCAATGTTATACAACTTACAACAATTAATAACATTCCTCTTTACAAGCAACAAGCAACTGGAAAATGCTACAACAGAGATAAAACTATAGTCTCAAGGAATTAATCTAAGAAAGAATTGACAAGATATCTATGGCAAAAATTCCTTGACAATAATTCTATTTAAAAATAAACTTAAAAAATGACTAAAATGAGAAATGTTTATGAATGCTATTTCTCAATGCTGTTGTAAAGATTGAATTAGTCAGTACATGTAAATGCATGTATGAATGAGTTACAAGAAATGCTCCATAATATTACCTATTATTATTTTTAAAATTAGACTCACCATTTACTGGTAGTATGACTTTGAACAAGGTCAAATTTTTCTCTCTGAGCTTTGATGTCCTCATCCATAAGAATCAGATTAATAACAAATGTTTGGAGGCTGCTATGGAAATTAGATGAGATGACAAGTAAAACCAAATCTTGCCGAGTGCCTGGTATGTGGCAGGGACTGCATTGAGGTTGACCGATTTCCTTCTTGAAAAATAGGACTATCTTATTTTTCTTTAGAAGCTGCTTATCTGGTGGTCCCCAGACTTGAAGATTTCAGGCACCAACAGTGTTTCTTCTTTGTCTATTAGTTTCTTAGGGCTGCCGTAGCAAAGCGCCACAAACTGGGTGGCTTAAGCAACAGACATCTATTGTCTCCCAGTTCTGTAGCCTGGAAGTGTGAAACTGATGTGTCAGCAGGGTTGGTTCCTTCTGAAGGCAGTGAGAGAGAATCTGTTCCATGCCTCTCTCCTAGTTTCCAATAGTCTCAGGCACTTTCTGGCCTGTAGATGGCAACCTCTCTGTGTCTTCACATAGCTTTCCTTCCCCGTGTGTCTCTCTATATCCAAATTGCCCCATTTTGTTAGAACACAGTCATGTTGGATAGGACCCACCCAAATAACCTCATTTTAGTTTGATTACCTCTGTGAAGGCCCTATTTCCATATAAGGTCATATTCTGAATTACTGAGAATCAGGACTTCAGCATCTTTTTGAGAGTGACACAACTCGACCTATAACAGTTTGGCTGCTTTTTTTTTTTTTTTTGAGAAATGATATATAGTTGCCAATTTTCTGTTTTGTTTTATGCCAATCCAAACCTTAAAAACAAAATAACTGCCATCTATTTATTCCATCATTTCATTTAAAACATTTTAGGCTAGGTGCGGTGGCTCACACTGTAATCTCAGAACTTTGGGAGGCCAAGGCAGAAGGATTGCTTAAGCCCAGGAGTTTGAAACTAGCCTGGACAACATAGCAAGACCCAGTATTTCTTTACTTTTCTTTCTTTTTTCTTTTTTCTTTTTTTTTTTTTTTTGAGACAAGGTCTCACTCCTGTTGCCCAGGCTAGAGTGCAGTGGTGCAATCACAGCTCACTGCAGCCTTGACCTCCCAGGCTCAGGTGATCCTCCCGCCTCAACCTTCTGTGTAGCTGGGACTACAGGCACACACCATTATACCCAGCTAATTTGGGGGGAATTTTTTAGTAGAGATGGGGTTTCACTATATTGCCCAGGCTGATCTCAAATTCCTGGGCTCAAGCGATCCACCCACTTTGGCCTCCCAAAGTGCTAGGATTACAGGCATGACCCACCACACACAGCCAAGACCCTATCTCTTCAAAAAAAAATTAGCTAGGTGCAGTAGCATGTGCCTATAGTCTCTGCTACTCAAGAGGTTGAGGCAGAGGATCACTTAAGGCCAGGAGCTTGAAGCTGCAGTGAGCTATGACTGTATCATCACATGCCTCCAGCCTAGACGACAAAGTGAGACCCCGTTTCTAAAAAAATAAAATAAAAGTTTTTAAAAGTAAGCATTTTTAATGCTTATTTTAAAACAACAACAACAGCAAAGCATTTCTTGACTGCCACTGCTCTAGGGTAGTTGCAAAAACCTCACTAAATTACTTTTGAATAATTTGTCTTACATGCTTATATCATGCTGTTCATGTATTAGAAACCCAAAAGCAAAATTCTCTTCTTACTTCCTTGCCAATGCATTTGTAATGTCAGTACACCCTGCTTGGTCCATTCCTTCCATGATTGTCAATTTTTTCTTCCAGTGAAGTAATTTCAGGTACTTCAAATTTATCACTTGGGAAATGTATTGGAAGGCTGAATTTCAGTTTATTCTCTGTGTTGTCTAAACTGCTGTGCAATTTCTAGGTCATCTCCACATCAGGAATTGAGGGCTTAATAGTTAGATTTTCTATACCAAAGAAAGCATTCATCACCTGTGCATCTCTTCCTACCCCCTTGCCTTTTCTCCTTCTCTCTCTGTACTTTATACTAGACTGTTATAGATGGATGTTTGTGTGTCCTGAAAACTAGTATGTTGAAATTCTAACCCTCCAGTGTGATAATGTGATGGTATTAGGAGGTGAAATCTTTAGGTGGTAATTAAGTAATAAGTGTGGAACCCTCATGAATGGAATTAGCGCCTTTATAAGAAGAGACACTAGAGCTTGCTCCCTCTCTCTCTCTCTCTTCCCTTTGCCACACAAGGGTACAATGACAAGACAGCTGTCTGTAAAGCAAAAAGTGGGCCCTCACCAGATCCGCCGCCACCTTGATCTTAGACTTCCCAGTCTCCAGAACTGTGAGAAATTAATGTTTGCTGCTTAAGCCATCAAGTCTAGGGTAATTTGTTGTAGTAGTCTGAACTAGTGGGCTTTGACACTCTCCAACAAACTCTCCAGCAAACAGCTATGTCATTTGACTATCATTTCAGGCTGACAGTTTTATAGACAAACATTGTTCACATCTTTCACCCTCAAAAATAAGTGACAGCTCCCTTCTCTCCCACTTTTTGTTCTTCTTTCTGCCAGTATCTATTTTTTGTTTATGCTCTATTTGAGTTTTCTTCACCCAGAGAAGACATCAGTTACTTGATACCATGAAGCAGCTGGTTTAAGAAATCTATTTACTGTCCTTTGATATTAGTGATATTGCTAGCTTTATGGTAGAAAATGTGTATTTTAATAGTTTCTGTAGCATTTAATTAAGAAATAAAGTGTAATGAGATGTGGTTTATGGGATTCATTAACTATGCTCTAGAGAGTCTAGTTGGTCCTCTGATATGTATTTTCACCTCACAGTATGCGTCCTTTTAATGAACTCCAGCCTTAGAAGATATTTGCCAAAAACCTATTTTTTTAAATTTAAGCATCTAATGAAATAGGATTTCATTAAATTATTATATTCTTGAAACAATGCCAACATTTTCTCCATCTGATCTCGTCACAGAATACAGGCATGCTTTGTATTCCAAAATAACTGAGATATTATAATGCTAGAAATGTTAAGCAGGCTTTGTGCTTTAGTGAACTTTGTGTCTCAGCTTGGTTTGAAAATTTAGGTCTGAATCTTAGCTTCAACGTATAAGGGTTTGATCATGGGAATTCATTTAGACTCTGAGTTTCAGTTATCTTACATATAAAAGGAAGATAAAAATACCCATCTTACAGAGCTGTAGTAAATATTATATTATGTACAAAAGTGAACTAAAAATGGATCACAGACCTAAATATAACAGCTAAAATTATAAAACTCTTAGGACTATATCAAAATTTTAAAATTTCATGTTTGTAGAAAACAGTACCATCAAGAAAGTGAAAAGACAACCCAGAGAATGGGAAAAAATAATTGCTAGCTAGTAAGTCTAATAAAGGACTCATATCTAGAATAAATAAAGAACCCTTGCAATTTGAGAAATAAAAACATATATCTACAAAAAGTTAGACACGAATGTTCATAGCAGCATTATTTATAATGGCTGAAAAGTAGAAACAAGGTAATTTCTATTAACTGATGAATAGAAAAACAAAATGTGGTATATCCATATTTTGGAATATTATTCAGCCACATAAAGGAATAAAGTACTGATATGTACCACAACATAGATGAATCTCAAAAACATTACGCTAAGTGAAAGAAGGCAGTCACAAAAGACCACCTGTGGTAAGATTCATTTTATATGAAATTTTTAAAAAAGGCAAATTTATAGAGAAAAAGTAGATGAGTGGTTGCCATGGGCTGGGCAGAGAAGGGGAGAGTAAATGAGAATGGGGAGTGACTACCTAGGAGTATAGGGTTCCTTTGTGAGGATGAAAATGTTCTAAAGTTAGATTGTGATTATGGTTGCACAACCCTGTGTGTGTATTTTTGTTTTTGTTTGTTTGTTTGTTTGTTTGTTTGTTTTTTGAGACAGAGTCTCACTCTGTCACCCCGGCTGGAGTGCAGTGGCGCAATCTCGGCTCACTACAACCTCTGCCTCCCAGGTTCAAGCAATTCTCCTGCCTCAGCCTCCCAAGTAGCTGGGATTACAGGCATCCATCACTATACCCGGCTAATTTTTTATATTTTTAGTAGAGGTGGGGTTTCACCATGTTGGCCA
The DNA here is from genome assembly GCF_000001405.40 of Homo sapiens. Taxonomy (NCBI): domain Eukaryota; kingdom Metazoa; phylum Chordata; class Mammalia; order Primates; family Hominidae; genus Homo; species Homo sapiens. The sequence goes on from NC_000011.10 coordinate 93,093,317, forward strand.
GGCTGGTCTGGAACTCCTGACCTCATGATTCACCCGCCTCAGCCTCTTAAAGTGCTGGGATTACAGGTGTGAGCCACCGCGCCTGGCCTGAATTGTACACTTTAAATCAGTGAACTTTATGGTATGTGAATTGTATCTCAATAAAGAAATTAAAAATAATTAAATTAGAGAGCATTTTTTAAAGTCCTAGCAGACCAAATATTTAGCAAGTTTTAAGTCCTTTCCCTCTGGGCTGTCAGAAAACATGTTGGCTTTGTTGACTTGTACTTTTTTTCTATTTCATTAATTTCTGTTCTTGTCATTATTTCCTTTCTTCTACTTTTTAAATATTTCATTTGCAGTTCCTTTATAACTTTTTTAGATGAATGCTGAGCTCATTAATTTGTAGCTTTTCATCTTCTCAAATACATGCACTTAAAAGCAAACACTATTCTTTGAGCATGCTTTTACTATATTCCAATGTTTCGATACGTACAATTTTTATTATGCATTTCAAAATTTGACACCTTAAAAATTTAGAAATATATTAAAAATATAAAAGAACTATCTAGTTATATTTTATTAATGATTTCTAGCTTAATTAAATTGTTGTAAAAAGTATGCTGTGTGATTCCCACTCTTTGAGGTTTGTGGCAGCTTGCTTTACAACTCATTAGAAAGTCTATCTACAGCTGTCATGGTGCAATGTTCTAGATATGTTCATTATGTTAAGTTTATCATGTTCTTTAAATCTTCCATAGCCTTAATGATTGGTGTCTGTTCTATCTGTTAATGAGAGAGGTATGCTAAGTTTCCCACTGTAATTATTAATTTGTCAGCTCCTCTTTGTAGTTCAGTCAATGTTTGCTTTATACATTTAGAAGCCATGTTATTTCATCCACGTAAATTTAGAATTGCTATATTATCCTGGTGAGTTGAACCTTCTGTCATTATGAAGTGCCTCTTTCATCTCTAATAATGCCTTCAGCCATAAAATCTATTTTGTCTGATACTGGTATAGCCACGTCTTTTTCTATTCTTTTACATTCAACCTTCTGTGTCTATATATTTGATGTGTGTCATTTGTAAGCAGCATGTGCTTGGATTCTGGTTTTTTTTTAATGTCTAAAATTTTTTGGCCCTCTAATTGATCAATTAAGGTAGTTGCATTAAAAATAATTACTGATACACATGGATTTATATGTATTCAGTATTTATTTGTACATACATGTGTATGTACTTCCTGTTTGCCCTCCCTATTCTATGTTCCTTTCTTTTTCTTTTTTGCCTTTTTTGGGGGGATTGATTAGTTCTTATAATTTCTGTTGTTTTTCTGTGTTCATTTGAAAGTGATAGGCTCTTTTACTAGTCTCTACAATATGAATTCTTGAATTACTAAAATCAAATATGAATTGATATTTTTACCCTTTTCCTTAATAAAGCAAGGAGCTTAACATAACTTTACTCTCTCAACTTTTATGCTTCTGCTGAAGTATAAAATTATACTTCATATTAAAATTCTATATTAAAATTCTCTCTCTTCCTCCTCCTTCTCTGCCTCCTCCTTTTTCTTCCTCCCTTCTTCCTTTTTTCCCTCTCTTTCTGCCTTCCTCTCTACTAACATATGGATCTATGTCACAATATATTATTATTATTGTTGTCTCGTAAAAGCACTATTCATGTAGATTTACTGATATATTTGCCTTTTTTCACTGTTCATTTTTTATTCCAGTATCCATAAGCTTCTTTCAGGGATAATATTCCTTTTGCCTGAGGAACAGCCTTTAAAGTCTATTGCTGATTAATTCTCTCAATTGTGTATATCTTAAATGTCTTTTGTTTCACTTCCATTCTTGGAGGAAATTTTTGTTAGGTATGAAAATCCAGGCTGACAGTTATTTTCTTTCTGCAAAATCTCCCTATTTTGACTTTGAATTGTTTTTCTTGAAAAGGCAACTTTCAGTCTAATAGTTGATCCTTTAAAGGTGACCTTTTTTACTTCTAATTTTGGATTTTCTACTTGTCTTGGAATTTTGCCAGTTTCATTTTGAGGTGTCTTTTTATTTACCATACTTGAGTTTGTGGAACTTATTTTTATCTGTGAATTGAAGTCACTCATCTGTTTGGGAGATTCACAGCCATTATCATTTCAAATATTGCATCTGTCCTGTGGGGTTTTTTTCTCATTTATCCTTCTGGAAATTTATTTAAGCATATAGTAGTATACCTTCTCACTGTCTCTGCTGTGTCTCTTATCCTTTGTTTTGTATTGTTCATCCTTTTCTATTTTCATATTTTACTCTGTATAATTTCTTCTGAACTGTCTTCTAGTTCTTTAATTTTCTATTCAGCTGTGTCTAATCTATTGTCAAACATAACCACTGAATTTTCAATCTTTCTTACCATAAAGTACAGAAATTTAATTTAGTGTTTTTATAATATTTTTAGTTCTAGAATTTTGATTTAATTTTTCTTATATTTCAATTATTTAATAACATTTTCAGCCTTTCTTTTTCTCCCTTTCTTCACACACACACACACACACACACACACACACACACGCATAAATAAATCAGGTTCCTTTTTAAATCCTTGTTGGCTAACTCAGATATTTTGACCATTTGTGGACCTGTTTCTCTTGGTTTTTAGACATAGGACCCTATCTTTGACCTGCCTAATAATTTTTTTTTTATTGCCAGACATGGTATATATAACTGTGTTGAAGCTTCAGAACCTTCTCTAGAAAGGATTTATCCCTCCACTGGGCACATGGAGAGGTTGTTTATCACTTTAATCCAATTAGGAACACCTGCCTTTGGCTTTCTAGGCTTTTCAGCTAACAGCTTTGGGTATTTTTAGCAATTTTATAAGACAAGGTTAGAGTTGGAGTGGTCTCCTTATCTTACAAAATTGCTGAAAAACTATCCTCTATATTTCAAAAGTTTTCCCACTTAAGTTTGTAGGCTTCTACTACATGTATCCCTAGTATTCAGCAAATGTCTTGAAGGAAAAACTAGTATGTGCTTGAGGACATCTCTCTGCTGGTTTCTTTCTTTCCTTGCAACAACCCTCACGAATTGCACATCAAATGCTCAGAATTAACACATGCCTCTAGGATAAAAGTGGCTGCAGAAGCCGCCTCAGCTAAGGTTTTTCCTTCAGCTAAGGTTTTTCCTTCCTGCAGTCTGAGTCCCACTAATTCTCATAGTCTCAGCAGCTTTCCACTGCCTTGAAGAGATGTTTTTTAAATTATACCCAAGTTTTCTAGGTAGGAATTGTTCTAGGTGGGAGTGCTGGTCTGCTGCCAGTTATTTCATCCTACCCAAAAGCAGAAGTCCTTTCAAAATGTTTATGTCACTTTTTGTAGTTTCCAAGCTTTTGGTTGAAACTTTCAAACTTGCTTTTTATCTTCATAAATGTAATAAGCATAATTTATTTTAAAATTTGTGTCAAATAATTCTAGCGTTTGGAGCCTCTGCCAGTCTATCAGTATTATCTATTGTTTCTATTGATGATTGTTCTTGTTATCTCATGTTTGAGAATAGCTGGTTATCATTGCTTATGTATCAGACATAAAATTTGAAAAAAATATATTTTGAATAATATTTTAATGCCTACAATGACTTTACCTTCCTCCAGAGATAATTTTTGTTTGTGTTTTCTGAAAACATGCCAAGTGACACTAGTAATCAAGATCACCTTAACAGCTTCATGGATTAGGAGATCCTTGATCAACCAGTTGATTTTGATCTGATTGTCAGTCTCTACAAGGGTCGTTTTTCTTCTAATTTACCCTTAGACTTGTGGAATTTTTCTAACTGGATTTAGAAATCAAGACAAACGTTTTTCAGCAAAGCAAATGATAACATATAAAACCCCAAAGCTATCAGTAGCTGTATTTCCTGCTATGTGGGAAAAAAACAGAAAATGAGATTGACATGAAGTCAGAAACAGAAATAATAATAATAATAATAATAATAGCTAATACTTATATAAGGCTTGCTCTGTAATTGTCTGTTTTAAGCAGTATTTACATCAACTCATTTATTCTCACCACAACCTTGAGACAAATAGAGTTAAGTCCTGTTGTCGTTTGAGTCCCTGGCTTCAGTTCTTCCTAATACTCAGCCAAAACACTGCCGTTCTTGCGACAGACAGAGTGACTGAAATGTGAGGTTTCTCACCTTGCAGCCTGTGTTTGCTCAGATTTTATAAGCTGCCTCAGGAAAGACCTGCCTTTTTCCAGCTCCAGGTCTTAGGGCTGCCAGGTCTGTCTTTTTCATAAATAATGGCATCGCATGGCTTGACAACTTTTTCATTTCTATTCATCAGACTAGCTGTTACTGACTGACAGAAACTGCTGCAAACCTTTTCCCATGTAGACTGCACAAAATATATTTTTTGAACAAACAGTACAGATCCCTACAATGCCCCCCAAAATGTATTTTATAATTTATAGTTATTACACATAAAATATTATATTAACCATAAATGAAATTACAGAGAAAAAATCCCTCACAATTCCATTACCTTAAGAGTTCTTACATTTTCTTTGTAATTCTTAGCCATATTTTTAAAGAACATGGTTGCCATCACTCCTAGATACATTATTAAGTGCATTTAATAATTCATTAGTATTTATCAGGGTATTGATTAGAAGCCCCCAGAAAAAATAATGGGTTAGACATAGGTATTGTTCATTATATAAGGGTAGATTAGAGCAAGGGGTAGGTGCAGCTTGCAATAGAACTAAAAATTACTGAGTACTATGGTTTGAACATCCCCTCTAAAACTCATGTTGAAATTTAATTGCCAATGTAAGGATATTGGGACGTGGGACCTATAAGAGTTCATAAGGTCAAGAAGTCATAATGCCATTACCTCTGGAGTGGGTTAATTATCTCAAGGGTGGGTTTCTGATAAAAGGATGTAGTTCAGCCCCTGTTTCTCTGTCTCACACACTCACTTGCCCTTGTACCAAGCCATGATGGGGCACAGAGGCCCTCATCAGATGCCGGCACCATGCTCTTGGACTTCCCAGTCTCCAGAACCATGAGCCAACTAAATCTCTTTCTTTAGAAATTATCCACTATGTGGTATTCTGTTATAGCAGCAGAAAACAGACTAAACTGAATCTTAACTGTTTTTAAGGAGCCTTCTTTATTTTACCTGATAGGATCTTTAATCTGGAGCCCTGTAGGGTCAGATTTGTAACATACTCATATGACCTTTGTTATTCACTACTACATTTCCTATTGTTTTTCTGGAGCAAAGCAGGATGTAAATGATTGTCTTATTTAATTATTTCTATTTAATAAAATAATTATTCCCATTTAGAAACTAACACTCAGAAGATTACATGATTCACACTCATTATAAATGGTAAAGCTGACATTTGAGTCCTGGAGTAAAAGACAAAAATAACACTGTTTAATCACTATCACTTCCTTGGCCCCTGTAGCAGACTCCTTTGGAGTACCCCATGTAAGTTTGCCAGGAATAAGAAATAAAAATATAGACCATGTAGCAAAATTTGAGTTTCAGGTAAATAAGAAATTAGTTTTGGGTATATGTATGCCTCAAATATTGGATACCTTCCCCACATATCCATACTAAAGAAATGGGCCTAAGTGGCCACTCCTAACACCTCCCTTCTCCCCCTTCTCTCTTGCACTCGCTCTCTCTCTCTCTCTCCTAACTTAAAGGCACAGAAAGTATACTCAGAGGGCTTTAGCATTGGAGCTGTAAAGTCTTGTCAAGCTGAAATCAAAACCAGTACCATGGTATGCCAAGCCACATGCATGCAGAATGTATGGGACAGTAGAGAAAACTGCTTGCAGAGAGGAGACTGGAGCAAAGTGCAGGAATGACCCAAAGCAGAAAAAGAAGCTGCATGACAGCTTCCCCTGCCCCAGAAAGCACAGCCATACATGCTACAATGAGGTCCAGAAGATTATCCTGTATCTCTACTGACTTGACAGAGTTCTTCCTTATAGTACCTCCTCCAGGCATTAGTGGGAGGTCATGGCTGGTGGCATAGTTGAACTTTCTGGCTGCGTTTGGAGAGGCAGGCCCATTCACTGGCTTTGTGGTGACATGCAGTGGGCACTGTGCTTATGTGGGCAGCATGTAATCAATGCATCAGTTCCCTTCCTGCTCACCCTGCTAGGAACTTCATGTCCAAGTGACTCAGACCTTAAGACCAGATTCTTCAGACAGACAGAGAGGAGGACTAAGGGGTCAGGAAGATTTCTGGAACATCCCTAGAGGTAATCTCTTAAGAAGCCATTTTTTGATCCATCTCTACTGGTCCAATCATCACACACACACACATACACACACACACACACACACATGCCTGTATGTGCTCCAATCATTCTTTCCTCTCCTTTCCATCACATTTATTATCATACCTGCTCCCCAGCTCCTCTTTGAAACTCAGGTATAATGTGTTAAATCATTCTCCAGGTATGGAGTGGCTCAAAGCAGAGAAGTGAACTCTGCAGGGTAGAGGCCTAAGCTTCTCTAAAGGATGCCTTCCCCAAGGTCGAGACTTTCTTTTCCAAAGTCAGGATATTGCCAGACACAGCATCATCACTTTCTGACTGCTGAGAACTTCTTATGAGCTTCTTTGCTCCAAAGCAGCAGAATCTCAAGTTCTTTGATGTCTGCCTTGGGAATGCAAATTAGTCAACACAGACAGCATCAAAGACAGTACTGACCCTGAGTGAGCAAAGCATTCTTTTCCTCCTTAATCAGCCAAGTTGCCTAAAGCTCAGGAGAAAACTACCCAGCGAAAGGAAGAGTTCATACTCAGCCAGGGCACAATTTCAGCTCTGACTCCTAAAAATAAAGATTGTTCTCTCTAACTGAAAACCTCATCATGTAGGGGCTACACTTAGCTCTAGAGAGAAATGCTCACAAAATTCATAGCCAATATTATTCTACTTCTATTGTTTCATTAAATCACTCCCAGCTCAATGATCTCACTTGACTTCACAGTTCCCATACAGCACCCAAAGGATGACTCAGTGGTCATTTATAGTGTCTACCCAGCACCCATGGCTTACAGTACCAAGGTTTCCACCCTCCCCATGCAGGCCCTGTGCTTGGGGAGACTGGCCTCACCCTCAGGCCCACGGGAGCCTGGATAAGCAAAGCCAAGCAGCCTGTGTGACTGTCTTCACCACAATCATGTTCTTGAGACTTTGCCCATGATCTAATCTAGCTCAATCATGATTCCTGCTGAATGCTGGGACGGAAGCTGTGCCTTTTCTTCTGCAAGCCTTGAACTAGAAGTCAGGCACCATCCAATCTGCTGGAACCCACTTGTAAATTGAGCCAACACTCTGGGAGGCAGAACAGAAAAAAACATGTAAGAAAGTGCAACCTTGATAATAGCACAGTTGAGCTGCTGATTCAGGCACACTGATGTCTGTTCTTCTTCTGGACTTTCCAGGCACACAGATGAACAAATCTTTCTTGTTTATTCCAATTTTGAATTACATTTTCTATTATGTGCAACTAAAGACAAGTACAACAAATAGTGAATATTTTAATGAGTAATGAGACAGTGGCTGTTCCAAAATTGCTTGTGTGTGTGTATGGTGCCTTCTAACACTCTGCAGTGTGCAACCTGCACAACTACACTGTGTGGGCTCTGGCATAGGAGCAAGTATTTATCTTAGAGCTGCATTTACAAAGCAAACATAAAGTTTACATCTAGACTGATTGCACATTTGGGTGATTTGAAGAAGTGAACTAACAGAGATTATGCCCCCTCATTCATTCGTTCAATTATTTATTAATACAAAAATATTACTGAATGCCTAATACATGCCAGGCCCTGATAGAGAAGTGAACAAGACAAGGTACTTGTCCTCATATGTTATAATCGGGGAGAATGATAATAAACAAATCAGTATGTAATGTAAGAACAAACAATGATGTGTTATGAATAAAAATAAATCAAGGCAAAGAGATAGTGCAGGGAGTGACAGGAATTATTTAAATAGAGTAAATTAAACAAGGTCCCTCTGTGAGGCAACATGTGAGAGGAATGCTGAATGAAGTAATGAGGCAAGTTGTGTGAAGATAGAAGGAGAATTCCAGGCAAAGAGAACAGCCAATGCAAAGAAACTGAGGCAGAAACAATGTTGGCATGTTTGAGAAACAAGAAAGGCAGTGTAACCAGAGCAGAACAAACGAAGACGAGAATATAGGCAATGAGATAAGAAAAGCAAGCAAGGGCCAGTTGCGTAGGTAGGGCCTTCTGAGACCAGAAAGGAGACTGGATTTACAGTCATCTCTCAGTATACAAGGGTTGGTTCCAGGATTCTGTGTATACTCAAATCTGTGACACAAGTCCCACAGTGGCTTCTGCGGAACCCACATAAAAGAAAAGTCAGCTCTTGACCAGGCGTGGTGGCTCATGCCTGTAATCCCAGCACTTTGGGAGGTCGAGGTGGGTGGATCACTTGAGGCCAGGAGTTTGAGACCCGCCTGGCCAATATGGCACAACCCATCTCTACTAAAAATACAAAAATTAGCCAGGTGTGGTGGTGTGCGCCTGTAATCTCAGCTACTCAGGAGGTTGAGGCACGATAATCACTTGAACCTTGGAGGCGGAGGTTGCAGTGAACTGAGATCATGCCACTGCACTCCACCCTGGGCAACAGAGCGAGTCACTGTCTCAGAAAAGAAAAGTAAAGAAAAGAAAAGTCAGTTCTTTGCATACTTGGGTTTACCCTGAATATTGTATTTTTGATCTGCATTTGGTTGAAAAAAAAAATCCATATCTAAATCCACCGCACTTCAAACTCTTGTTGTTCGCGGGCTAATTGTAATTCTATTTTATTTTATTTTACTTTAAGTTCCGGGATACATGTGCAGAGTGTGCAGGTTTGTTACATAGGTATACATGTGCCATGGTGGTTTGCTGCACCTATCAACCCATCATCTGGGTTTTAAGCCCCACATGCATAAGGTATTTGTCCTAATGCTCTCCTTCCCCTTGCCCCCCACCCCTAAAAACCCCAGTGTGTGTTGTTCCCCTCCCTGTGTCCATGTGTTCTCATTGTTCAACTCCTGCTTATGAGTGAGAACATGTGGTGTTTGGTTGTCAGTTCCTGTGTTAGTCTGCTGAGGATGATGGCTTCCAGCTTCATCTATTTCCCTGCAAAAGATATTATCTCATTCCTTTTTACAGCTGCATAGTATTCCATGGTGTATATGTGCCACATTTTCTTTATCCAGTCTATCATTGATGGGCATTTGGGTTGGTTCCATGTCTTTGCTATTATAAATAGTGCTACAATAAAACATGTGTACATGTGTCTTTATAGTAGAATGATTTATATTCCTTTTGGAATGATCTAGAACTAGAAATACCATTTGACCCAGCAATCCTATTACTGGGTATATACCCAAAAGGAATATAAATCATTATACTACATTCAATGTAAAAGTGTTCCTATTTCTCCACAGCTTCACCAGCATCTGTTGTTTCCTGACTTTCTAATAATCGGCATTCTTACTGGTGTGAGATGGTATTTCATTGTGGTTTTGATGTGCATTTCTCTAATGACCAGTGATGACGAGTTTTTTTTTTTCCATGTGTTTGTTGACCACATAAATGTCTTCTTTTGAGAAGTGTCTGTTCATATCCTTTGCCCACTTTTTGATGGGGTTGTTTGGTTTTTTTTCTTGTAAATTTGTTTAAGTTCCTTGTAGATTCTGGATATTAGACCTTTGTCAGATGGGTAGATTGCAAAAAATTTTCTCCTCTTCTGTAAGTTGCCTGTTCACTCTGATGCTAGTTTCTTTTGCTGTGCAGAAGCTCTTTCGTTTAACTTGATCCCATTTGTCAGTTTTGGCTTTTTTTGCAATTGCTTTAGGTGTTTTAGTCATGAAGTATTTGCCCATGCCTATGTCCTGAATGGTATTGCCTAGGTTTTATTCTATGGTTTTTATGGTTTTGGGTTTTATATTTTAGTCTTTCATCCATCTTGCATTAATTTTTATATAAGGTGTAAGGGAGGGGTCCAGTTTCAGTTTTCTCCATATGGCTAGCCTGTTTTCCCAGCACCATTTATTAAATAGGTACTCCTTTCCCCATTGCTGGTTTTTGTCAGGTTTGTTGAAGATCATATGATTGTAGATGTGTGGTGTTATATCTGAGCTCTCTGTTCTGTTCCATTGGTCTATATGTCTGTTTTGGTACCAGTACTGCAGCAGGAAAAGCTGCAGACAAAACCTCGCTGACACTGAGTTAAAGAAGGAAGAGCTTTACTTGGCCAGGCACTTTGGCAAGACTCATGTCTCCAACAACCAAGCTCCCCGAGTGAGCAATTCCTGTCCCTCTTAAGGGCTTACAATTCTAAGAGGGTCCGCATGAGAGGGTTGTGATTGATTGAGCAAGCAGGGGGTACATGACTGGGGGCTGCATGCACCGATAATTAGAACGGAACAGAACAGGACAGGGATTTTCACAGTGCTTTTCTATACAATGTCTGGAATCTATAGATAACATAACTGATCAGGTCAGGGGTCGATCTTTAACTACCAGGCCCAGGGTGTGGTGCTGGGCTGTCTGCCTGTGGATTTCATTTCTGCCTTTTAGTTTTTACTTCTTCTTTCTTTGAAGGCAGAATTTGGGCATAAGACAATATGAGGGGTAGTCTCCTCCCTTATTCCCCCACTTTGAGAACTTCACTTGTTAGTGGGAGTTCTCACTTTCATTCTCACTACCAATGTCTTCTTGCAAGACAGATCGACAGTGGTTCATATAGTACACTTGTGCTGAAGCATTTTGGTGAACTAAGGTAGCGATGAAGCTTTTTATCATTTGAAGAAGTACAGGTAGCAAACAAGGGAGCAGTAAGCAGGTTTCTATTACTATTATAACTCCTATTATAAGGGTTTTAAATCTTTTTAGTGCTGGGAACCATTTTCTAAACATGGCCCTAGGATCAAACCCATGCCTCACTTGCATGGGCACATGTGCCAGTTTTATCTTATCTCTAACTATGTCTTCAACTACTTACCCTTGATCAACTATGTGTAGACAGCAATTAGTAAGGTTAAATTTCCTACAGACCCCTCCTTCAGCTGCTAGCAAGTAGTCGAGAGCCAATCTATTTTGACAGACAGCATTTCTCATCTGAGTTTCTTGCTGGGCCAGAATAGTCAAGGCTCTGCCAGTCTTATTAGTGATTATTTCTAAGACAGCTTGTAACCGTATGATTCAATTGAGCATGTAAATGGGGGTCTGGTATCCTCACAAGCCATCTTGTGCCCAAGTACCAGGCCCATAATATTGTATGATTCTCTCAGGGGGCCATTCATCATCTTTCCAATTTCCTATAGCTATGATTCTCTTTTCACAGGAAGCATAGACAGGAAAGCCTAGAGTTCACCTGTCTTTATGGGCAGTAGGACGAAAGATGGTTTAATAGTGCCAATAACATAACTTACCTGCCCACTGGTCGGGTAATTTGGTGTAAGCTCTATGCCCACATATCCAGTATAATCCAGTGGGGGCTGTCCAGTCCTGGTGGGACTCCGGGTGGGTCCACACGGTTTGCAACTTTGGGAATTTACTAAATGGATTTTTCTTAGCATGGTTTGGACTTCACTAGATGGCTGTTTTTGTAGTACTATTATACAGTTTTTGCCCAAGGCAGCAGAGTCTTCCTACAAGAAGGGTGAAGTTCTTCCTCACTCTTGCTATACAGTATTATCTAATGATTGAGGCTTTTAAGACCCAGAAGTTATCAGGGTGATTCTTTTGAGCTGGGAATTCATCAGGAACTGGGTCTGTAGGTACTAATTCTTGGGCTTCCCATGGCCATTGATATCCCACTACAGTTTCTCTACATACATAACATGAAGTGACATTGAGAGACTGGGCTACATGCTCAGCTAATTGCAAAAACAAATTTCTTGTTTTTCCTGGAATTTCTGGTACTGTCACATTCAGTTCATCATAGAAGGTTTGAAATACTGGCTCAGGAGAGCGTTTATAAACTTCTCCTCAAACCACAATATTTACTCGAGGATCTAGTCCAGCCCCATCGATTTCTATGGTTACACGCTCCCCTTTTTTCCAGCGAGGATCAAGGGGGTTGGTTATTACTAGTTCTAAGGGGTTACACTGACCACTGGTACAGGAAAAGCCACTTTTCCTTTTCTGAAGGTGGACAGGATTCTTTCCATTTTTTATCTAAGTAGCCTAAATGACACAAGACCAGTATCCACATTCATTTCCACACAGTCCTAATTCATGACAAATGTACTTATTTTCTGCCATATAGCCTCTTTCCTAATTAAGAGACCCACATCCTATTCTTAACTTATTACTATTAATGACAGCACAGGCATCAAACTTCAAGGTGACTTGTTTGGGCACCCCTTTTTCTTTTGTTTTGGCTAACACTTTACTCATATCGTTTATGAGCCCCCACCAGTCCTCAGTCCTTAATCTTATTTCAAAAACTGTGGTCATGGGAGGCTCAGATGGGTCATAACACACATCAGGTTGGTCATTTCCTGGGCTACATACCTTGTATAGAATAGCATCATACAAACAAGTTCTTTTTAGAGTCTCGGTACACTTATAATAACCATAAAATAATAGGACTGTAGCAACTTTTTGTCCTACTATACACTGGGAACAGTCCTTAGTCTGAGGAAGGTCAGTTGAGGTCCTTGCTGTACAAGTCCAAATTTTAAGGAAAATGAGTCCCGCGATGAGTTTTCTCATGCTTCGGTCATATGTGGACCAGTCAGCTTCCGGGTGTGACTGGAGCAGGGCTTGTCATCTTCCTCAGAGTCACTTTGCAGGGGTTGGTGAAGCTGCTCCTGCCCATGTACAGCTCACAGTCTACTGATGTTCAAAGATGGTCTCAGAGGTTGGGCCCACTAGAGTAAACTGAGTCCAAAACCTCTACACAATTATGTTCAACTGTGCTCTCTGATACCAGGAGCAAGGTGGCGTGGTTTAGGGTGTTGCAAACTTCAATGATTACACGGGAAGTTTCACATAGCAAGCTTTGGTACTTGGTTAATCCAGCATTTGTTAGCCAATGATGTCCTTTGGTATTCATCAAAGTTACCACAGCATGGGGGGCCTTTATATTCAGGTTTTGCCTAAGGGTTAGTTTATCTGCTTCTTGTGCTAACAGGGCTGTTGCTGCCAGGGCCCTTAGACATGGGGGCCAGCCTTTGGAAACCCCGTCTAGCTGTTTTGAGAGATAGGCCACTGGCCTTGGCCAGGGCCCCACAGTCTGGGTTAAAACTCCAACTGCCATTTTTTCTCTTTCTGACTCATAGAATGTAAAGGGTTTTGTCAGGTCAGGTAGCCCCAGGGCTAGGGCTGACATGAGTTTTTCTTTTAACTCATGAAAAGCTCGTTGCTGTTGGTTGTAATAGATGTAGTTTATCCAATTTACATTTTTATTAACTATGACCTACCAAAATATTGACTCAAATCCTGTAGCTATTTGATTTCAAGCTGTAAATTGACCTGGTATTCCCCATGGGACTCCAATTGCGTCTAAATAGACGTGAGAGTCGAAAGACCCGTAAGGGACTTCTCTCGCTTTATGATGTCTTATTTTTTCTCCCTCTGGTTGATGAAATGCCAGGGTGAAAGGGATAGCCAATTGGACTAAAGTATAAGTGCCACTCCACTTATTCGGCAGAGGGCCCAGTAAAGGTCCACCACAATACCACCACACATCCACTCGGGGATGAACAAGGGCTGACTGATTGATAAGCTCTTGAAAATTCTTAAGCTCACTGAATCCCTTCAGGTCTCCAAGGAACGCTGTTTCCTCCCTGTCATGAGAGACATGAAGCAAACTTAGTGCTGAGAGACAGAAGCTGGATGGCCCTCGGGGGCTGACCCACAGGGTGCCGGACTTTGGGATATAGCAGAGAGAGCTTGGCACGACTTATTATTCCAGACTGTAGAATCCTGGAAAAGAGCTACCATGCAGCCCATGCCTGGTCAACTGAAGGACCACCTTAGTGGAAAGGGGACAATCTGGGCCTCTGGCCTGCCATGTGCACAAGCATAACAATTGCTTTTGTTTAACGTGTGGATGGAATATTTGACTATTCCAACCAGGCATTTGCATCTTGGTATCCTGTCTTAATTGCCAAAGTTTGTTTTAAGTCTTTAACTTCTATGATGATCTAGTAAAATGAATGTATGATTTTAGGAAATTGTAAAAACCAGTTGGGGCAGTCCATCCTTGCTCTTTAGTGGTCCACAGAACATTGGACCAACAACGGCATAAAAGCTCTACATCGGGGGGCAAGAATCCTCGTTGACACTGGAGTCTTTATCAAAATTTCCCCAGATTAAACAGTCCTAATTTACTAATGCCCAGTCTGAGGAGAGTCAGGAGGGACAGAGATACTTTTCTGAAGTAGAGAGCTGTCTTTGACTTGGCAAGTCCCCACGGGGTATAACAAGGCAAGCATTAAATGCAATAGTTTGAGGCAAAATTGACTTGGTTATGTTAATAACTAGATGGTCAGCAATAGAGTGAGGAAAGAAGAAAGAGTAATAGAATAGACGAAACAGTTAAATTTTTCTTAGCTTTAGTTTGGTAGGGTTTTCCCCCTGGGACTATGGCCCACGACTCTGGAAGGGGAGGCACTTTCTTGACTCGGTTGTGATGAGTCCATCCTTTTTTAGCTGTATGAACAGTAGTCTCGGTGGTTAGCAGCACAAGGTAGGGTCCTTCCTAGGCTGGCTTGAGTTTCCTTTCTTTTCATCCTTTGATGAGAACGTGATCCTCAGGCTGGTGCTGGTTTGCCGGAAATTCTAGGGGTGGTACATGTGCTAAAAGACTTTTAGTTTTGAGAGAAAGGAAAGTGGAAGACAAACCAAGTATATAATTTCTAAGAAATTGACCTTTTGTTTTAAATGTGGGGACATCAGCTGTGGACTCTGTAGTCCTTGGTGCCTGTCTGAGAAATTTCCTTTAGCACCTATTATTTATTAGTTTTCAGACCAAAGAAGCCAAACACCATTTTATATCTGACAATGCTTCCTGTATGATTTTTATACCAGCTAAGCTAAATTTCACCTTTATATTACTGTGCTATTAATGTTAAACTTAGTTTTAATAAAACTTTGTAGACATATTTATTCAATTTTTAATGTCGGATCATAAGGTAAGATTTTTATAGACTCTTTTTAACCTTTTATAATCTTTGTTAAAGAGCAGGTTAGTGCTTTAAGAAAAACTCGTTGTGTTTTTACTTTAATGTCAGTTCACAGAAAAACCGGATGATACCCCTTTAACTTTAGCCAATATGTTTACACACAGAATTTTCTTTATCATTAAGTTTTAAAACTTGCTTAAACCCTCAAAACAATAATTTTTTAAACCTTTTAATGTAGGTAAAAATTTATATTCTTATGCCTTTTTATAATCCTTTTACCAAAGGTATATTTTACTTTCCTTATACACCTTGCACATAAACTGTTATTTTCAATAGTTTTACATTCAGGAGGCCTAGTTACTTTTAAATTCTACAACAATTCTTGCATAAATTCTTTTTTTATAACTTTTTTTTTCTTTTTTCCTTCAATTACCTGGGAGGAACCATCTATCGTCCTGTCCTGAAGGGAATTCCTCCTAGGTCTGGTGGGACCTTTGTATGGTAATTAAGATTTAGATCCCCTGTTAGGAAACCTGCTGGGTTAAGGGAATTTTCAGTGGTTAATGTTAAATCATCTTTTTTTTTTCTTAGGATACTTCTGAACTGGTGAGGTGTGCTCACAATGAACTCACCAGTTCAGAAGTATCCTCTAAAAGTTATTTTTCTACTTTCTTCTGTCAGCAAAGCCGTTGCCACTACAGATTGAATGCATTTGGGCCATTCACAGATTACTAGGTTAAGGATTTTTGATAGGAAGGCTACACAGGTTGTTGGTGGCCTCAGTGCTTTCAGGCTACGCCCTTGTTTACACTGAAAACAAAGTGGTATTGGAGTGTTACAGGGTTATGGAGAATACCTTTAATTATCAATTATAGGTTTTAAATTTACCTTGGCTTTTAAAGGAATAGGGTACTCTTTTTTTTTTTTTAACTACTTGTATATCTCTCTTCTTCTCTCTTCTTGACTCCCTCTTTGTCTCTCTGTCTCTTCCTCTCTGTCTCTTACTCTCTCTCTCTACCTCTTTTCCTCTCTGTCTCTTTTCTCTCTCTCTCTCTCTGCTGGTTTTTCCTTGCCTCTGCCAGCCACTTATGCTGCTGTTCTCTCAACCACTGTGTGGGGCGGGAGGGTCTAAAACCAGTTGTAACCAAGTGTCTATGTACGGGAACTGGTCTGGGGGCCCTGGCTTACAGGTTACCTTGTGCCATACCTTTGTAACAAGGGACCTGTCCAGGCTTCCTTCTGATGGCCAACCCACCTCTAATGCTGGCCAGTCTATGTCACACAAAGTTCTAAGTTTTCCTGGTGTCATAGTACCACTGTAATCTCCCTTAAATCCTTTCTTGAAATTTTTCAACATAGTTCCTAGTGGGGTGGGCTTACTTTGTGCCTGACCCATGCTTCCTCAAGAAAAAACACCACACTCACACCACACACACACCACAAAAGAAAGAATGGGTAAAAAGGGCACACACACACTTTTACAGTTTACACCAAACCAGAATCAAAACCAAAATCAGAGTATCAGGAAATCCAAACCAGGTTGAAACCACAACCAAAGTATCAAGCAATCCAAGTCAAGTCAAAAACAAAAACCAAAGTGCCAGTACAGGCACACCGTGGGTGATCAGGCCACACTTCCACTCAAATGGAGTGTGCAAGTTCCAAAGACTAGTCTTACCAAGTTTCAGATGTCCGGACTCTAAGTGCCAGTTCCTTCCTGGTGTTCAGCCACTGCATTGATCCTTCATGGGGGCCTGCCACGCACTGCTCTGGTGAGGCATTCCACTGGGGCAATTGCCTACCTAGGAGCACTCTCAGGATCCGCATCACTCAAGCTGGCCAGAGTGCCCCACAGGGATGCTCCACAGGGCAGGCCTAAGCCGCCTAAGGGGCTGCCTCAACCATCCGTTAATCACCTCGCTTCCCTGTCAGGGAACCAAGAAATGTAGCAGGAGAAGCCATAGACAAAACCCTTCCAACACTGAGTTAAAGAAGGCAGGGCTTTATTTGGCTGGGAGCTTTGGCAAGACTCAGGTCTCCAACAACCGAGCTCCCTGAGTGAGCAATTCCTGTCCCTCGTAAGGGCTTACAACTCTAAGGGGGTCCATGTGAGAGGGTCGTGATCAATTGAGCAAGCAGGGGGTATGTGACTGGGGGCTGCATGCACCAGTAATTAGAATGGAACAGAACAGGACAGGAATTTTCACAGTGCTTTTCTATACAATGTCTGTAATCTATAGATAACATAACCGATTAGATCAGGGGTCGATCTACCAGGCCCAGGGTGTGGCGCCGGGCTGTCTGCCTGTAGAGAGTTTTTACCTCTTTCTTTGGAGGCAAAAATCAGGCATAAGACAATATGAGGGGTCGTCTCCTCCCTTAGTACCATGCTGTTTTGGTTACTGTAGCCTTTTAGTATAGTTTGAAGTCAGTTAGCATGATGCCTCCAGCATCATGATCAAGTTGGCTTCACCCCTGGGATGCAAAGCTATTTCAACATATACAAACCAATCAACGTAATCCATCACATAAACAGAACCAATTATAAAAATCACATGATTATCTCAATAGACGCAGAAAAGGCCTTCAATAAAATTCAACATCCCTTCATTCTAAAAACTCTCAATAAACTAGGTATTGATGGAACATATCTCAAAATAATAACAGCTATTTATGACAAACCCATAGCTAATATCATACTGCATGAGCAAAAGCTGGAAGCATTCACTTTGAAAACAGGCACAAGACAAGGATGCTCTATCTCACCACTCTTATTCACACTGTATTGGAAGTTCTGGCCAGGGGCAATCAGGCAAGAGAAAGAAATAAAGGATATTCAGATAGGAAAAGAGGAAGTCAAGTTGTCTCTGTTTGCAGATGGCATGATTCTATATTTAGAAAACCCCAGTGTCTCAGCCCAAAAACTCCTTAAGCTGATAAGCAACTTCAGCAAATTCTCAGGATACAAAATCAATGTGCAAAAATCCCAAGCATTTCTATACACCAACAATAGACAAGCAGAGAGCCAAATCATGAATGAACTCCCATTCACAATTGCTACAAAGAGAATAAAATACCTAGGAATACACGGATGTGAAGGACCTCTTTAAGAACTACAAACCACTGCTCAAGGAAATAAGGGAGGACACAAACAAATGGAAAAATATTCCATGCTCCTGGATAGGAAGAATCAATATTGTGAAAATGGCCATACTTCCCAAAGTAATTTACATATTCATTGCTATTCCCAAACTATCATTGACTTTCTTCACAGAATTAGAAAAAACTACTTTAAATTTCATATGCAACCAAAAAAAGAGCTCATGTAGCCAAGACAATACTAAGCAAAAAGAACAAGGTTAACAGTAATTCTTAAGTGTGATTGGCAGCTGTTAAAGGCTTTTGTGCAGATGAACAACAATCTGATTTAAGTTTTAAGATGCCTCAACACAGACGGACTCAGGAACAATGTTGAAAAAAGAAGCAAGTCAAAGAATTAATGAGTCCAAAACAATACTAATCAATATATTATTTAAGGATACAATTTTATTTTTAAAAAATGAAAAGCAAGAAAATGATAAACACGAAATTCAGGATGTGAATTACCTCTCAGGGGAGGCAGGAGAATGCAATTTGTGAGAAAATCCAGGGGATATCTAGAGTATTGTAAATTCTATTTCTTAAGCTGGGGGGTGGCCATGGGGTGTTAATTTTATTATTATTATCTAAATCAAATTAAATTATTATTTAAATTTGTTTCCTAGACATGATATATTTGATAATAAAAATATTTAAATCAAATTAAATTATTATTTAAATTTGTTTCCTAGACATGATATATTTGATAATAAAAATATTTAAATAAAATTAAATTATTATTTAAATTTGTTTCCTAGACATGATATATTTGATAATAAAAAAATACTCCAGCTATAGTGGATGATTGACTACAGGCAGGCAAAATTAATACAGGTGAGACTCGTGATAAAGCTGTTGTTAGAATCCATCTGAGTGGAGATGGTGGCATGGCTAGTGTGTGGCAGTGAGTGAGAATGGATCAGATGTGGCTATATTTTGAAAGTGGAGCTAATAGGAATTGAATATGCATTGGATGTGGGATGTGAGTGGAAAAAGGAGATGGGAAAAGAAGTAGAGAGGAGCAGCCTAGGGGACAAACACCAGACCTCATCTTTCCAGACCTTTCTAGCTCTCGTGAGCCTATGACCCAAGGTTCTAAGAGGTCTTGGTGAAGATCTTCAACAAAAGCCCAGAAAACACCTGTTATTGGTGGCCAGCAAAGAAGCCTAGACCCCTCCATGCCCATTTCCACGGGAGCTTCCCCAGGCCCTCTCAGAGCTCATAAGCCTGCTCCCTGTGGGACGGGACTTCAGCTCTGACTGCTTGTTCCAGGGGCACTGGAGCGGAAACAAAGAAAAAAAATGAAGATTTAAGAGTGAGGGGGGGGAAATGAATCTCTTGTTGTTTTTCCAATAAAGTAATTCACTAGATAATGGCTTTTGAGCAGTCTAAGCAGAGAAAATGAATGAGAATAAAAATTAAAACAAAACCCCAAAAATTAACATAACTAAATAGCATGGATGATCCCAGAGGAGGAAGGGAAGCAAAGTCAGGACAGGGGCTGCCTCACTTCCTTGGAAACTCTGCCAAGTTGAGATTGAAGCCCCTCCAAGCAGGGCCACCTGAGGTTAGCTTGACCCCTGCCCAGGCTACAGGGCCAGTTCTGCCAATCTGGCTGGTGCAGTGGAGCCATATGAGGGGCAGGGAGGTCTTTGTCAGACCTCTAACTCCATGCATCCACCCAACAATTCCTAAGAAGAAGGAGGCACCCTCACCACTGTGCACCCCCTCTTTCCCTCTTACCTTGGGGCAGCCAGAAGGATTCATTATAAGCCACAATGCTGGGGGCTGGATGATGCGAGGGCACTAATTTAAAGCCAGAGACAACCATGGTTCTTTGTTGAGATCATTTCCAAAAAATTAGTGTATGCATGTGAGGACTGAGATTTTGAAGCTCTCTCTTCCTCCCTGCCCCTTATTTTCTCCCTTCCTGTTCCTGAATCAGGCTAAAATAATACTATGAACTATAATAATGATAGCTACTTCTCCTCTCTACCATTTATTGTTCACCATATATCTGCCAGGCACACTGCTAAGTGGTTTCCTTGCATTAACTCATTTTATCATCAATAGCCACCTTGTGAGATAGATATTATTATCTGCACTTCACACCTGATAATGTTAGCTCACATTTATCCAAATCATTCCATCTGCCAGACACTGTGCAAAGAATTGGTGTTGTGTCATTATACGGAAGGTACTACTCTCATCCCCATATCACAGAGGAGGAAATTCACTCAGAGAAGCAAGGTAACTTGCTCAAGGTTTTACACCCTGTCAGGAGCAGGCCTGAGATGTCCGGGCAAGATTTCCTCAGAAGGGATCATAGCCTGGGAAGGCCCAGCCATCATTGTAGGCCAATTCAAGCTACTAAGGAAGCCCCCTATAGGCACTCTCAGTAACAGCTTTACTGAGATATCTGTGTTCTCTTTGCTCACAACACCGCTGGCCCCAAATGCAGGGGGTTTTCCACCTGCCAGCCAACTCTCCAGCTCTCCAGACACCAAGTGGGTGTTCTGCAATTCAATTCAGTTCTGACAATAGCTACCCATAGTTAGCGCAGGCCTCACAGGTTAAGGGCTCAGTGCTACAAGACTCCCTTCACTGCAGATGCTAATTGCAAGTCTGAGCCTTCCAGATGGACCAGCTATAAACTAGGGGTTCCCAGGACCCCCCTCCTTGAGTTTTATAATTTGCTTGAATGGCTCACAGAACTGAGAAAGAACTTTACCGTTACCAGTTTATTGTACAGGACACAACTCAGGAACAGCCAAATGGAAGAGATGCAGGGGGCAAGGTATGGGAGCAGGGCCACATCACCCTTCCAGCATCCCTGATGTGTTCACCAACCCGGGAGCTCTCTGAACTACTTCATTTAGGAGGTTTTAATGGAGGCTCCATTCACAGGCATGACTGATTACATCATTGGCCACAGGTGGTTAACTCATCTTCAGCTTCTCTCTCTGCCTGGAGGTCTGTGAGTGGAGCTGATAGTTCCAAATCTCTAATCACTTGTAGGTTTTTCTGGTGAACAGCCCCCACCTGAAGCTGTCTAGGGACCGTCCCCCCTAGCCGCCCCCCACCCACCAGCCACCCATCATCTCATTAGCATACAAACAGTACCCTTATGCCTCTAGAGATTTTAAGGGATTTAGGAACTGTGTGCCAGAATCCTCCAGAAACCTAAGACAAAGACCAAATGCACCATGAGCCCTCTGCCCTCTACATCTGTAAATTCAATGCAAATTCAATGAAAATATTTGGAAAACATAATACGTAACATAAACATAACAAACATAAATAAAAAATAATACAACAATTTAAAATAACACAAATTTTAAAAATATAGTGTAACAACAATTTACATAGCATTACATTGTAATAAGAATCTAGAGATGATTTAAAGTACATGGGAGGCAGTGTATAGGTTATATGCAAATACCACACCATGTTATATAAGGTACTTGAGCATCATAGATTTAATTTCTGAGGGGGGATTCCAGAACCAATCCCCCACAGATATTGAAGGATGACTGTATATTTCTTATTGTTACCACTGGCAAATCCATATGGGTCTACATCAACCTGAATTCTTGCCTCCTCAGAAGACTGAGGGGGTATAAGGCAGAGTGAGAGACCAAGGCAAGTTTTAGAGCAGGAGTGAAAGTTTGTTAAAAAGCTTTAGAGCAGGAATGAAGGGAAGTAAAGTACACTCGGAAGAGGGCCAAGCGGGCAACTTGAGAGATCAAGCGTACGGTTTAACCTTTCGACTTGGGGTTTTATATGTTGGCATTCTTCCGGGGTCTTGCACTACTTCTCCCCTGATTCTTCCCTTGGGGCGGGCTGTCCACATGTACAGTGGCCTGCTAGCACTTGGGAGGGGCCGCATGCACAGTGTGCATGCTCACTTGAGGCATTTTCCCCTTACCAATCCAGTGTTCCTAAACAAAGGTCATCTGCCACTTTCCCTCTTAGTGCGCATGCTTGAGCCCACTTGCCCAACTCCTGAGAGCTTATTGGGAAGCTGCTGATCATCAGTTTTAGATGTTTCTATCTGTTGGGAGGCTGCCGTTCCCTGGCACCGGCTGCAACCAATTATTATTTTAGAGAGATAGCTTAACAACTGCCTGACCATCACCTGACGGTCGCCTGACATTCCTGGTGGGGGTTGGGGGAAGCTCTCTCCTGCCCTGCTCATGTTTGACTAGCTACCTACGGTAACATTACTTCACAAATCATCTAATTCACACATTTAAAGTATATGATTAAATGGTTTTAATATATTCAGACTTGTGCAACTATCACCACAAGTTAGAACATTTGAATCACCTCAAAAAGAAATCTCTCATACCTTAGTTATCATCCCCAACTCTCCATTCTCACAGCTCTAGGCAACCGCTAATCTACTTCCTTTTTCAGTGAATTTGCCTATTCTGGACATTTCATATAAATAGAGTCATGCAATACATGACTTTTATGACTGTCTTCTTTTACTTAACATGATGTTTTCAAGGTTCATCTTTGTATATATCATGCTTTAGTACTTCATTTCTTTTTATTGCCAAATAATATTCCATTGCAGCGCTATATCATACTTTATCCATTCGTCTGTTGGTAGACATATGGGTGGTTTCCACTTTGGAGACATTATGAATAATGCCACTATCAACACTCAAGTAAAAGTTTTTGTGTGGATATAAGTTTTCATTTCCTTTTGGCATTTTTCTACAGGCCTCTGAGATAGTGTTAAAGACAAACATTTGAAAGTGAACTTTAATGAAGTCCAGAAGAGTGAGCTGCACTATCTTCAGCTTTCTGTGCCACTAATTTAATCCACATAACAACCTTGTGAAATAGATTTTTTTAATTCATATTTTAGAGTCAGATAAATAAAATCTATCTCTGTCCTCCAAACCCATGCTCTTAAGCACTATGCAATACAGCCTACCACTCAAATTGGGGGAAAGGGATGTTATTCCCATTTCTGCACATAATATGGTGTGGCTTAGCAGTCTAACAAGTTCTGGAGAAAACTGTTGAAACTGCTAGGTGGGAAGGGCTCCCTGGCAAAACTCCAACCAGCCTATGCACTGGGAGGAGTGCACACCTGGGTGGAGCCACAGAAGTTTGTGCTGTTTGTAGTGGGGAGGAGACTGGCCCCTCCTCTTCCTTTGTGGAACCTGGGAACTGAGAGGCTGGAAGCGCACTAGCAGGGACTCTGGCTTTGCAGAGGGTCCCTGTTTCCCTTTTTTCCTTTTCACCCAATAAACCCTGCCCTGCTCACCCTTCAAATTGCGACCCTAAATTTTGTGGCCGTGTGACAAGGACCTCACCTTTAGCTGAACTAAGGAAAAGTCCCACAACACTGTGAAAGGAAACTAAAAATCTGGGACCCCAAACTCATTATGCCACAGGGAAAAGTCAAGCTTGAAAACTGAGTTATGCAAAACTGCCTTCCATTTTGTTCCTAAATAGATTGATAGAAAGAAGGTTACTGACCTCCCCAAGGGTCCTGCCTCACAATTTGCTTACAAGGAAATTCCTTGTGGGCCCCAAGATCTTTACCCTAAAACAATTCTGTTGAATTTCACCCAAACAATGTAAATTAACAGATTATCTTCACAGGTATGGGACAAAGACAGGATTAGGAGTCATCCTTCCCTCACTTAAGACAAATGCATGTTTGACTGCGTTATCTACTGTTTATTTTACGTAAAAATGTAGATTAACCACACACCAGATGAATGCATAATTGACTCTTCCTCTACCCGCTTCTTTCACATGTAAAATATGGATTCAGTGACTGCTGATCAAAGCTTCAAAAGAATGCAATTGCTTTTCTCTTTTATTTACCCTACCCCCTTTTCTTTCCACTTTCCCTTACTGCCTGCTCTTTCCCCTTTAAATACAAAAGTTCTCAAACCCTGTTTGGAAAAAGCACGGATCACAGATGTTCCTGTGATTTTGTGTTCCTTTTTGCCAGGCACATGCTCAATTTTGGCAAAATAAACCTGTAAAATGATTGAGACTTACCTCCGTCACGTCGTTTGATTTACAGAACACATTGTCATTTGGCATCTCAAGGGTGTTGTGACTTTCGGAGTGTCTGAAGCTTGCTTCCTGGGCTGGGCAGTATTTATTTCATGAAGGACAACAGCAGTCACAGCAGAGGAAAAGCATTTTCCTTAAGTGGCTTGTGGGTGATAGACACCAACTAGGAAGGTGGAGCAGAGGAACAGAAGACCATTATTGCGTGCGTGTAAGACATCTCTAGAGACATCTGAAAATAAGTGAAAAGCATAGGCAGAGAACTAAGATGAGCCATTGAAATGAGGGAATTAATGCTAATGTGAACCTATTTGTACCAGTTACAGGTTGTGGGGAGTTAAAGAAACCTATGTTAAACATACCAGCCATTTTAGGGCTTTTTCCTCTTACTGCCCCCTCTGTCTGGACACCTTCACCACCACCACCACCACGTTGCCAAAGTGGGAATATGCTAAAATGTGGTGCACCTGGAGTTACGCAGTAACTTTGCAATAGAGATAACAGAGTATCCCAATTACTGACCCTAGTCAGGGTTGTTGACTCTAATCACACTTGAAAGCTGTTTTAGTCTGTTTGTGCTGGTATAACAGAATTTCTGGGACTGGGTATTTTATAGAAGAGAAATTTACTTTCTTATAATTCTGGAGGCTGTGAAATCCAAGATCAAGAGACCAGCAGGTTCAGCTTCTCTAGTGAAGGATGCATCCTACTTGCAAGATGGCACCTTAATGTTGGATTCTCCAGAGGGGAGGAGTGTTGTGTCCTCACATGGCAAAAGGCAGAAGGATAAAAGGGAGGAGCTCCCTCTCTCAAGGCCCTTTATATGGGAACTGAATCCTATTCATGAGGGAGGAGTCTTCATAGCCTAATCACCTCTTAAAGCCCCACCTCTTGATAGTGTCACATTGGCAACACCTGAATTTGGGAGAGGACACATTCAAGCAGTTACACTTGGATTTTCTTTGAAGTTTGTTTTTGTTTTTGTTTTTTTGAGACAGGATCTTACTCTATCACCCAGGCTGGAGTGCAGTGGTGTGATTATAGCTCACCATAACACTCAAACCCGTGGGCTCAAGCGATCCTCCTGCCTCAGGCACTAGGATTGCAGCTGTACCACTACACCTGGCTAATTTTATAATTTCTTGTAGAGACAGGGTCTCACTATGTTTTCCTAGCTAATCTCAAACTCCTGCCTCAAGCAATTCTCCAGTCTCGGCCTCCCACAGCATTGGAATTACAGGCATGAGCCACCTTGCCTGGCCCTCTCAGAAGTCCTCTTTCACCTGTACTCCAATGAGAATACGTCATTTTCTCTGGATTTCTGGGTGCAAGGATTTTTTTCCTAGACCACTTTGTTGGTTCTGTTTTGTCTTTCAGAAAGCAAAAAATAAAGATCCCATTCTAGATGCTAAGTGCTTGAAAAACAGTGATCATTTATATTCTTACAGTAAGTTGAAAGATTAATAAAAAAGATCATTCCCTTGGAGTCTTCTTTTCTCACCTCCTGCCTAGGAAACCAGCATCAACACAGTGTTTGAAAGGTTAGTAGTGCTTTTATTGTATTCTACCATCCACATGACTTTCAAGTGTAGAGTTTTCTGGAGTTTGAGCATATCAAGGTTGATCCTATAGGTAGTGATAAAGGCAAATAGTGCTAGAAGCAACCATAATAGATGGGAGAGTGAGAGATTTTTTAGGGATTTTCTTCATCCCCAGACCAGGGATGGAGGCCAGGGTTTGGAGGCTTCACCTATGCCCTTTTCCATATAGAGGGTCCTGAAAGTTTGTTTTCCATTTGTGCTGGCAAATGATGGTCGTGTTTCTGAGGAAGAGAGAAAGGATGGTGGTGTACACTGAAATCTAAGTTATTGGTAGTCATGGGAAGAGATTCCTATGCCTGAATATGTCTGAGAAGTAGGGAGGCTACTTTCTGTCATCAATCCAGAAGAAGCATATCAACCATGACAGTGGACTGAAGGTCAAAAAGATTGTACTCAGTGGTCTGGATTTGGTCTGGATTGTGCAAGACATCTGGCTTGGAGGAGGTAGAGAAGGCACCACGTAGATATATGTAGAGCTGTTAGGAGATGAAGGCAGGAGTCTGGGTGTGATGGTGGGGAACTCTCATCTAGAGAGTCTTCAGGGGGCAGCAGGGCATTATGGTTGAGAACCTTGGCTTTTGTGTTAAGACATACCAGAATTCAAATCCTGGCTCTATCACTTAATACTGATGATGTGACCTTGAGTTAGATGCTTCACCACTGTGAGTCTTTGTTTTCTCATCCATAAAATCCTACTTCATAGGTTGTTGTAGGGATTAAATCAGATAATGTCTATGAAATACTAACAAGTGTAGTTCAAAAGCTTAGATGCCAATGAACATGAGGTCCTTAATGTTTCTAAACTGAAACTAAAATTTTTATTTTTAATGTCATTCTGCCAAAAATGGCCCAAAATTTTAACCAACTTTAATGTGTACACCCTTCTCCTGGAAATTTTGTTAAAATGGAGACTATAATTAGTAGGTCTGTGGTGGGGCCTGAGAGTCTGCATTTGTAACAAGCTCCCGGGTGATACTGATGATGCTGCAGGTCTCAGGACCACAGTTTGAATAGCAAGCATCTAAAGGCATACAGAGCTGACACCTGCTTAATTTACGAGGAAAAAATAAGACAGAAGAAAATAGAGGACCATTGCAACTTAAAAGTGCCAGCCCAGTACATACTGCAGTAGCCACTCAATAAATGATAACTGTTGCCATTAATCTTTGAGAACTGAAATTATCTATACCCACAGGGCTTATTGTCTACATTAACATGACTTTATTATCCATTGTCTTCATCAATATTATTTATTATTCCAGGACACTCTTGCCATGGAAGATAAAGTTGCAAATAACTTTATTATCCATTTCAAGAATATCCTGAAAATTTATTTAAATAAACATTAGACTATTCATAGTCCATGTCTACTACAATATAGTCTCAAACAATGGTTTACAGTCCAAGACTGTCTTCAAAACCCTTGCCTCATTCTGTCCACTAACCCTAATATGTCACAAGATTACCCGATTCTAATCAAGTCCCCTGAAACAAAAGGCCTGACTCAAACTACACTCCAAAACCTCATAAATATCCTGCCTTTGCCTTGCCTGCTTTGAGATGATACTAAGAATCTGCCCATTCATCTTTTGAAAGACATCTTGATGTGAGATTCAGCATTTTTCATGTCATGTACCTTCCCACCCAAGAGAGAAACAAATGGGAGTGGGTGCTGCCTTGAGGGACATTGAGAAGGAGGGGGAGGAGGCCTGAGAAATCCCATGTGGTGTTTCCCTCATCAGTGACATTGAAGGCAAGGCTGCCCATGAAATGCAAATGAAAAATCCAGTTCAGTTCTGCTCATAGAAAAAGGGGCCCCTTTCCCAGCAGGTCCAACCCCTGCTCTTCAAAGTAAATGGCCTTCCCCCAATCCAGGTTCCAGAGACTCGGTCCCTCACACAAACCCTGAGAACCCTGGTTTCTGCACTGGCCTCTGTGGCACTCCCAGGTTGGAGGATGGGGTTGACAAGCAACCATGAAACTTTCTTTCATCAGTGCTAGACCCAGGTTTCCCAAAGGAGAAATGGCTCCCCATCAGTTCCCTAGCAAGTAGGTAAGCAGCAGACCTATGAAGGAAGAAGATTGTCCCTAGCACCTAGAACACCTAGCAAGTAGTAGGTACTCAAAATGTTTGTTGACTAAATGGTTAAAAGGAAGAAGAAATAACAAGTTTAAAAAAATGAACAATTTGAGATTTGTTATCAAATATCTTTTATAAAAATTCAAACCTCTCAGAAAGGATCAGAAGATCATCAATTGGACTAATGCCAAAGGATTCCTTTCTAATACCTGGTGCAATCAAAAGGGCACTGGAAATTTTGATAAAGAGCTCAGGGAAGGATGGAGATGTCATTGCTGAGCTTGGACAGGAAGGAAAAGATGGTGCTAGAAGCAGAGAGAGGCAGAGATAGAGGAGTGGTAACAGAAGAAGCATAGCTTATTAGATCTTGATGCTCTGTGAAACCCTGAGTCCAAGAAGTAAGCAATCACCAGCCCTGCCCTACCCACTTTCCTTTCTTGCCAGCTGAGATCAAAAGCTGTGCCTTGATCTTAGCTCCTGCCACCCCTCCACTCATGGTTGAAGCCTAGGGAATACCTGACTGCAATTAGATTTGTAATAATAGCATTGTTTTTACAGTATTGAATGATAGACGATAATATTAGCATGGTTCTGGGCATATAGCAAGAACATATAATAAATGCTGCTGGACATACTACTGTTTGAAAATTAAAATGCATTGGACTTGCATTGAATAAAAAAGAATAAATTAATCCTAAAGCAAATAAGTTAACAGTCTAAGGAAATTGCTTCTCAGACTCCTTTGAATATCATATTTAAGCTGTTTACATTAAACCAGAACAGCCTCTCTTCCCCATTCATCTTCCTAGACTTCTCTTGTTTGACTCACTAACCTGGCAGTGTATTTTTGTTGTTGTTAAAGGAGGAAAGAACTGATTGGATTAATTTCACATCTTTAAAAAAATCTATTTTGATTTGACAGAGTGTATACTCTTTGTGCATAAACAAAAGACATATTTACTATGAGTGTCCATTTTGACTTTAGTTAATAGTTGTTACATTTCCATTTGTTATCTTAGATAATGACAGTGAGGTAATATCTACAGACTCCTCATGATTATTAATAGTTATGTTTTCATTATTCTGTCAATGTATTTAAAAAAAAACTAAGCATAAGTCGTAAAAGATATGTGATTTCTTTCTGTGTGGTGTTAATAAGTATCTTCCTTATTCTGCCTTCCATAACTGAGCTAAGGCAGAATTATCACTTTTATCACTGCAAAGAAAAATATAAGACTTTAAAATGAGGAAAAGAGATTATTGGATATCCTTTCAATGAAAGGCTGAAGGCCCCAGGAATTATTTAATTCCATCTAGGGGTGACTTTGACTAGGCTCTTTTACAATTCTGTAGAGACAGAAGTTAAATTGCAGCACACTGACAGCAGTGCAAACAATTCTTGTCTGTAAGAATGTAAATTAGGTGTGTCTAGTTGGGATAAAACTGACTATTGCTCTATGGATAGAACACTTTGTTTTTGCAAATTCATTTTAATATTTCTTTACTGCATCAAAATTTACACATATGAGTTAAATAAAAACTTTGACATGTGTTCATTTTATGTCTGAAAGTCATAATTTCTATCATTTTTTGAAAATTATTCTTTGACATCACATTTAATTTTAGTCACGAATTTTCAGTTAATTAGTAACTTGCACTGACTTGTTGTTTCAGTAATGATGTGGCGTTCTGCCATTTTGGTCAGCACAGCAAGATGGGACAAAATACTTACAACTTAAGAACAACAAGATCCTGGCCTAAAATCCAATCCAAGTAGAAACCAGTTCCTTTCACCCAAATTTCCAATTCATTTGATAGTAACTCACATGCATGTTGGCTAAACTTATTGACAGTGGTTTCAACAGAGATGGTAATAGCCAAAGTAGTCAGCAACTGTCATGGGGAACTGGAAGGGCCTTCCATATTTAAAAGATTCACTGTGAATGACGCTGGGATTTTGGTTAATGGTTAAAGTACAAAGCTTTGTAAAAAACAAAAAACCAAAAACAAAAACCAACCATTAGTAAGCTGGGCTATGGAAAATTTCATGTCTTTACAATAAAATTGCTTTACAATAAAGAAAATTTATCGCACTTCAAAAAGCAATACTAAGAAAGGCCAACTATGACCTCACCAGATTTACAGCAGGCTGTACAATGATAAGCTTACGTGGGCCAGTGCCAAGACGAGCTACTTCCCAGAAGAGTAGAACACACTACATGGACTGCCAGACAACAGCCTTCAATGGAGAAATCTCTCTGTAAAACAGCACTTACCGATATGTGGGTCAGAGTAAGGGAACAGTAGCTACTTATTGAATGAATGAGCAAATGAATGAACCAGTGAGCATCCTCAGAAGTCAGAGAGTTAGTTATGTCATGGAATCAGCAAACCATGGTATGCAACAAATGCTGCTTGGAAGGCTGAGGAAAATATTCCATATATCTACTCATGCCTGCCAGTTCCCAAGGTAATTGTGGCAACACAAACAAATTTATCAAAAGCACCATTAAATGTATTGCAGTTTTTTGCTATTTGTATTGGTTCCTGTGGATACAAATTAAAATTATGGCATTTATGGTGGAAAGGTCTCTGAAATTTTTCAATGTTTTAAATGGGAATGTCTTGCTCAAAAAAGTTTGAATTATCTTTTCAAATTCTCCAAGCCCTACTCTTTTTCTCCTCTCCTTCTGGCTCTCTGATTATACAAGTGTTAGATCTATTGAGATAGTTCTACAGGTCCCTGAGGTTCATTTCTTTTTCGTCTAATTTATCCTGTTTTTCAAATTGGGTCATTTCTGTTGGCCCACATTCAAGTTAACTGGTTCTTTCCTCTGTTGTATTTATTATTCTATTGAGTCCATCCAGTGAATCTTTTATATCTGTTATTACATTTTTTCAGTTCTAAAATTTTTATTTTGTTCTCCTCATATCTTCTATTTCTTTGCTGAGACTTTTTGTTTTACCTCTTGTTTGAAATGCAGTCATAATTGCTTGTTTCGTGGTGGCTGGGGTAAAATCCTTGTTAGATAATGCCAACATCTATGCCATCACAGTGCTGGCATCTGCTGATTGTCATTTCTTATTCAAATTGCGATTCTTGAGGCTCTTGAAATGGCAAGTGATGTCTTTATTGTATCCTATACAGTTTGATATTATGTTGTGAGGCCCTGGATCCTATTTACTCTTCTTTTTTGCAGGCAGTCACCATTTTTAGGTATAGTGTACAAGTCTAGATGTGGATGAAAGTTCAGCTTCCATTCTGGCCCCACTGGTGAATCTACTTCCTGCTGAATCTGGAGCATCCATTTACACTGCCTCATTGCCATTGAGTGAGAGGGGAGGTTCTGCTCTTGCCTGATGGAGACAAGGGAGGAGGAATCAGGAATGCCAATGAGCACCACATCACTATTTGGTATCCGTTGAATTTCCAGATACATTTTAGGATCAGCTTGTCAATTTCTGCAAAGCAGAAGCTGCAATTCTGGTAGGAATTATGTTGACTCTGTAGATCAATTTGTGGAGTATTGTCATTCAGCAATATTCAGTTTTTTGATCGATGAACATGAGATGTCTTTTAATTTATTTGTCTTATGTAATTTCTTTCAACAATGTTTTATAGTTTTCAGAGTATACGCTCTGCACTTCTTTTGTTAAATTTACTCTTAAGTATTTTATTATTTTTGATGTGATTATAAGTGGAATTGTTTTCTTAATTACAATTTTTTATGGTAAAAATACATATATAACATAAAAGTATCATTTTAATCATTTTTAAGTGCACAGTCGTATTAAATACATTCAGATTGCTGTGCAACCATCACCATGATCCATCTCCAGAACTTTTCACCACCCCAAACTGAAAATCTGTACCCATTAAACAATAACTCTTCATTTCTCCCTCCCCCCAGCCCCTGGAAACCACTATTCTGCCTTCTGTTTCTATGAATTTGACTACTCTAGATACCTCATATAAGTGGAATCATACAGTATTTATCTGAATTATTTCATTTAGCATAAGGTCTTCAAGGTTCACCCATGTTGTAAGCATGTGCCAAATTTCTTCCTTTTTAAGACTGAATAATATTCCATTATATGTATATACCACATTTTGTTTATTCATCTGTCAATGGACATTGGAGTTGTTTCCACATTTTGGTTATTGTGAATAATGCTGTAATTTTCATTTTGGATTGTTCATTGCAACTCTATTGAAATATAATTGATTTTTGAATATTAATATTGTATCCAGCAGTTCATTTATTGGTTCCAACAGTAATTTGTTAGATTCCTTAGGATTTTCTACATTCTAGGTCATGTTATCTGCAAATGAAGATCCTTTTACTTCTTTCATTTCAATCTGAATGTCTTTTATTTCGTTTTATTTCTATCTCAGTCAGTTAGCCCTACTATAACAGAATACTGTAGAGTGGGTAGCTTAAATAACAGACATTTATTTCCCACAGTTTCGGAGGATTGGAAGTCCAAGATCAAGGCAACAGTATGGTCAGGTTCTTGGTGAATGCCATTTTTCTGGTTCACAGATAGCTGTCTTCTGTTGTATGGTGACAAGAGAGAGAGAGCTTTGGTCTCTGTCTCCTGTAAGGGCACTAATCCCATTCATGAGGGCTCCACCTTTGTGACCTAATTACCTCTAAAAAGCCCCAATTCCAAATACCATCACGCTGGGAATTTAGGCTTCCACATATGAATTTGGGAGGTGAGGGGATACAAGCAAACATTCGTCTACAGCACTTGTCCAATTGCCTTGGCTAGAACTTCCAGCACAATGCTAAATAGAAGTGGTAAGAATGAGCAACTTTATCTTCTTCCTGATCTTAAGGGGAAAGCATTCATTTTTTGGCCATTAAGCATGATGTCAGTTATAGATTTTTTTTGCAGGTGTGCTTTATCACATTTCTGATATGTTGAGAATTTTTATCATAAAAGGATATATAATTTTGTCGAGTGCTTTTTCTGAATCTGTTAACTATAGTTTTCATTTTTTAGTCTATCAATATGGTGTATCATGTTAATTGATTTTTGGATATTAAAACAACCTTGCCTTCCTGAGATAAATCTCACTTCGTTATGGCGTATAACTTTTTTACATGTTGTGGGATTCAGTTTTCTAGCATTTTGTTGAGTATTTTGTGTCTATATCCGTAAGGGATATTGGTTTGTAGTTTCCTTCTTTTTGTGATGTCTTTATTTGGTTTTAGTATAAGGTATTTGGTGTCTGGCATCATTGCATCAGTTTGGACATATTATCTGCTCTTCTATTTCTTTGAAATAATTTGTAAAGGATTTTGTGTTAATTCTTTAAAGCTAGCTCAGCTTTTAGAATTGGGGAGTGGGGTGAATGGGCATAGTTTTTCCATGGATAGACCTATGATTAATTTCCCTGTATCTCACTTCTAGCTTCCATATCTGTAGGTCTGGGGCTCACTGCTCCCCAGAGTTCAGCTGAGAGGATTGGCTCCCATTCCCACAGTAGCCCCTTCATGCTCACTCTGTTTATTTGCATACTTTCAATGGTTTATTTCAGGAATCTTTTATTTGCTGATGACTCTCCTGCAATTCTCTTTGCTAAAATGCATTTATTCCCTTTAATATCTCTACTGCTATTTCAAAGGGGACTCACGAAAGAGAAGAGGCAAATGTGTGCTGAACCCACCATTTATCATGAGATGAAAGCTCAGCACTTAACGTAGAGATTAACAATTTGTAGCAGCTCCCACAATGTTTGTGAGGTTGAAATGAGTTAAATCCATTGTATTGGGACTTTAGAAACTATATTATGTTATTTGTAGTACTGCTTTAAGTTTTTTCATATTTACAAAATTGAAATATCATTTGATTTGCTTTTATATCTCTGAACATGCAACTCATATAATCATTACATTTTTAGAAGTTTTCATTTAAATGATATATATATTCTTTGGAAGGATTTTAATGATATATGTGTACACGCATACATACACACACACATATATATCCAAAATATTGTAGTCATATTGAATTGACATTGAAATTCTCATTGTACGGTGACTTTTTATTCTTATTTGGGGGTCTTAATTGCAATAGAATGTTATCAAAATCTAAATTGTCTAAATAATTCTTACATTCAGGGAGATTTGGGATTGTTTGGTTTTTCCTTATTATAACTGCCACATTTTAGACATCTGGATTTTGTTTCAGAATTTTTCTTAATAATGAAAACCCTTAAAGACTTTCAGAAGTAATTTAGCCAATTCATCTTGCCCTGAGCTGAAATCTTTAAATCTCTTGCAGGCGTCTCAAGATAACGTACTCCATCTCTCAGTAAAACATTTCCATACTTATTGTACTCTTGAGAAATTCTTTTTTACATCTGTCCTGTTCCAATTTGAGCTTGTCTCCTTTCTTTTACCCTCTGACATTTTTAAGGCGACTAGAACATCCTGGAAGCAGTCACATAATCACCCAAAGAATTTACTGCTTCATCGTCTGACTTTTGAAAAATGCCAAGAGCTGTTATTGTTAAAGTTAAATAATGCCATAGGATGATAATTAATTTGATCCTTAACTGTTCAGTGTCATCTCCCCGCACAGAGAAACAGTGAAATATAATAAGTAATAAATTGGTTAAGGGCATGGGATTTAGTGTTGGTCGTACTTTGATTTCTATCCTGGCTTCTCCACTTACCAGCATATCTCCATACTTTCTTCAGTCTCAGTTTCCTCTTCTGTAAATTGGGATCATAATGCTGCTTCCCTCATATAGTAAGTAAGACTTCAACAAGATACTATGTATAAAGGGCCCCACCCATCTAAAGGGCACCCATAGAGCCCTATAATTATTTGTTTTTATTGTTTATTATCTGTAGCAGATCCACTCTATTAAAGGAAAGCAATGAGATACCATGTAATAGATAACTGTCCTTATGAATTATCTAGGAGATAATCTGCCATTCTATTGCTCTATGAAGCCAAATTTGAGGTAATAATGGGAGTTTTGTTTTTAAAAATGTTTCCTTAAGTCCAAAAGAAGAGGGAAGACACTGAAACTCCTTATAAACTTTAAAGAAATTTTATTCTTAATTACTTTTGGTTTTGCTCATTTTCACAGAAGTCAAGTGTCCTTAAGTCTTGCTGAGCTTCTTAAAGTCCTGTAGATAATGATGCTTGGGTGGCAACTCTCAGCAACCATTGGCAGAGTAGCTATTGGACATATTTGGAATAATTCTTAGATTATTTTATTCTGTGCATTGGACCTCCATTAATGGAGACCAATAGAGAGGAAAGGGAACAGGATGAAATTAACAAGAAAGATACAAAAGAGAAGGATGAGACAGCATTTTAAAACTTAGGCCGCCAAAGGAGGCAAATTCTCCGCTGGGAGAAGCTAATGGAAGCGAGCATGAGTATCACCATTTCATTCTGCTAGTGCCACCCTGTGCTCCCACAGAGAAGGGTCATTAATTTAAGACAATGACAACTACCCAGCTTGGAAACCATAGGCTGAAACTGGAAAACTCCAGAAATAAGGGAGCATAATTGATGGGAACTAAAATGATCATGGAATCACCACCTAAGTTTGATGCTTTTTAAGTGTGAGCAGGTAACTAAGCTAAAGCAGCAATTGATGTTGAAATTGAGCACAAAGGAATAGGGCTTCATCTGTGATTTGGAGGGATCTGCACCCTATTCTAAAGGTTTTGTTGCTTTCATTTTTACCCATTATGTCCAGAGATATTTATTCTAATATTGTATTAGACTATGTGTTTTACTTAAAAATATGAAACTTATAGTAACTGTTTACTTACAGCTATATCATAATTACATTTTTTTTTCTGTAGAGATGAGGTCTGCGTTGCCCAGTCTGGTCTTGAGCTTCTGGCCTCAAGAGATCCTCCTCCCTCGGCTTCATAAATTGCTGGGATAAAAGACATGAGGCACTGTGCCTGGCCCGTAATTAAATAATGGTATTTCAACTTCCAGAAATTAAGTCTCTTTGAGTATGGAAACTCAAGACAGTAAGTTTAATGACGGACTTAATCCTTTTATTTTTTTTTTTTTAGACACAGTCTCACTCTGTTGCCCAGGCTGGAGTATAGTGGCACAATCTCAGCTCACTGCAGCCTCCACCTCCCA
This sequence comes from Homo sapiens, assembly GCF_000001405.40. Classification (NCBI taxonomy): domain Eukaryota; kingdom Metazoa; phylum Chordata; class Mammalia; order Primates; family Hominidae; genus Homo; species Homo sapiens. Next base: position 93,129,479 of record NC_000011.10, read on the forward strand.
GGTTCAAGCAATTCTTCTGCCTCAGCCTCCAGAGTAACTGGGATTACAGGCACCTGCCATTATGCCTGGCTAATTTTTGTATTTTTAACAGAGATGGGGTTTCACCATGTTGGCCAGGCTGGTCTCTTGACCTTTAGTGAGCCACCCACCTTGGCCTCCCAAAGTGCTGAGATTACTGGCATGAGCCACTGCGCCCAGCCTGACTTTATCCTTTTAATGAAAAATGATAAAGTGCTGTACTCAGAAGCTGTCAGTACTGCACTATTATTCTTTGCATCTGTTCCTCAATTCATCAAATGTTTATTGGCACCTTGCTGTGCTTTGAAGGACCTTTTTAAATTTATTTCCATGGCTGCACTTCCTGTATGATGCTTGCTTAATTTTGTCAATTAAAGTTTGAAGACAAAAAGTGCATGCAAATTTCGGTATCAAAATACATGTGAGACATCATTTCATATTCCTCTCCATTGCCAAAGTTTCTCCTTTCTTTTTTCAAATGTTAAAAGCTGAACGGACTGAATTCCTTCCACCTTAAAAGAATTTTTTCAATTGACAAATAATAATTTTACATACTTATGGGGTACATAGAGATTTTGATATATATTCTCTCTAGTGATCAGATTAGGTAGATTAGCATATCCATCATCTCAAACACTTATTGGTTCTTTGTGTTGGGAATGCTCAATACCCTTCTAGGTATTTGAAAATACATAATATGTTGCTGTTAACTATAATCATCCTACAGTGGTATATAGCCCTAGAACTTATTTCTCCTATCTGTAACTTTGTATCCTTTAACAAATATCTCCCTATCCCTCCCTTCTCCCTACCATTCCCAGCCTCTAATATCCTCTGTCCTACTTTTTACTTCTATGGTATCACCTTTTTTAGCTTCCACATATGAGTGAGAACATGTGGTGTTTAATTTTCTGTTCCTGGCTTATTTCACTTAACATAATGTCTTTCGGTTCCATCCAAGTTGCCTCAAATGACAGGATTTCCTTCTATCTTTTTAATAATATAATGTAGTCCTCAATTACTGTCTCTTTTTAGGTTCCCATATTGAGGCTGCTTGGTTTGGATCACAGCGCTAATAAGATCAGCATCTCATCTGTTTCAGTCTTCATGAGTCATTTTCTTCATTGAGGGAATGACGGGAGGGAATGTGTGAGAAGAAATTTCATTGTCTGTTAATTGTGTACCTGATTCTGGCTCTCTAATGTTGATGACTGAAAATGTGTGAACAGCTCGGTTTGAGCCCATCGCTACTAATTTCTCAAACTTCTTTACCAAAGATGCCTCTTAGGATGGCAGAGTGCAAATGTGGGTTCTCAGGATTCTATAGTATAACTTCAGCTGGAATCCTTAAACTCAAAAGTTTCTTTGAAGTATTAAAATTCACATGCTTTTTGGATCTTAAGCAATAGCATAATTGATTTTTAATATAAAATAATATTTCCTCTTTCTGGGCACACAGACTCTATTTCCCAGTCTCCCTTGGAATTAATAACATAGGGCCATGTGATTAGGCTCTAGGTAACCGGAAGTGGGTAGAAGTGATGTACCCTTCTTCTAGGCCTAGCCATAAGAGCTCATGCATGATTGCCTGTGCTTTTTCATCGTCTTCTATGCGGACCCCAGAGGCCACGTGTTCAGTATGGTAGTGACACAGGTGTAAAGAGCCAGGATCCCGCATCCCTATGTGGAGGCAAGGAGCTTGATAATACAGCACATTGTGACATAAGAAAAAAATAAACTTTTATTATGTTAAGCCACTAGGATTTTAGGGGTGGTTTGTTGCAGCAGCTATATTAATTGTCATGATTAATACACCATGAGAACAATTTTTTTCCTATCAGCCTTATTCATCAAGATGCAATTTCATTAATTAATTTTGAAAATGGGGCTGAATTGAAGAATGCTGAACAGACTTAGTGTCTAGGAAACTTCTCTCCTGTTTCTTGCTGTTGAAATATCTCCAGCCCCAGACTTACAAAAATATGTGGATACCAAAAATAGGGTTTTTTTTTCCATTTCTTTCTTTTTTCACAAATATCAATGAACTCTATCAGGGTAACCATTGAGAGAATATGCCCTGAATACCACGGGGGAAAATGCAATATTTTAAGTTTGGGTTGAAATTTTGGCAAGTGAATCTTCTTGTCAAAAATAAAAATTATTTGCATCCTTCTGCAGATTTAGAAGGTTTCTGACCTACTGCCCTTCTGTCTCAATATTAAAACATGACTGATGATGTAATTTATTTAACACCAATGTAATCATTTCTATTACTCACATATTAAGTCTCAAAAGATTAATCTTCCTCATATTTGTTTTCACCAAATGCAAATCCTAGGACATGTAACACTGCCACTCATGCACCTGTTCTCAACACATTTCCAGCGTCCCTAGACACAACCAGGAAAAACCATTTGAGGGCGATCTTTCACCACATTCAGGCATTGTGTAGCCTAGACAATTCCCAGACTCATTCATTCCACCAACAATCTCTCATCAGCACCAACCTCTCATATTTTTGTTATCCCCAAACCACTTAGTACTTGTTAAGTGGACTCTTGGACCATTAAGTGAACAGAAAGATATATGATATGTATTTAAATTATAAAAACTGAAGGTAATATTAAAGGTAAGAATAATTATTTCGTGTCAGTTGAAGATGGCTGATCTCACTGTTAACCTTTCACTAGGTTTTTGGCTCAATAATTGAAGCAGTAGGTTCTACATGCAGTATGTTTCTTTCCTGCCTCTTTATTGCTACTAAGTTAAATAATTCAAAATTACAATGATAGGTCATTAGGAATGTCAGCAAGTGATTGAGGGCTTCATCTGATAATTCTGTTATCAGAATGTTACCTCAGTCCAGCTCAAACATGGACAGGGAATGAATGGAGAGATTTATGAGTGAGTAGTACCTGGAAAACTCTTAAGTCCACAACGGAATCAAAACCTGGAAGTTTGGTTTTACTTGGGCTTAGTGACAAATTCCTAATCTACTCTCATTACATTCCACTCTGTAGAGCATGGGTCCCATGGCCCATTAGGAACAGGCCACACAGCAGAAGGTGAGCAGTTGGCAAGCGTTACCACCTGAGCTCCGCCTCATGTCAGATCAGCAGCAGCATTAGATTCTCATAGGAGCGGGGACCCTATCATGAACTGCACATGCAAGGGATGTAGGCTGTGCGCCTCTTACTAGATCTGATAATGCCTGATGATCTGAAGTAGAACAGTTTCACTCCAAAACCAACCCTCCGCCCTCATCTGTGGAAAAATCGTCTTCCACAAAACTGGTCCCTAGTGCCAGAAAGGTTGGGGACCACGCTGTAGAGCAATTCTTATGTTCTATTGTGGCATCTTGATGTATTTTTTAAGCATCCCCAAGATTTCATTGTTTTGTTTTCTCTAATGAGAAAGAAAATAATCAAATACTGGGGATAAGTTGAATTCCTAATGACTGAGGCATTTGTTCCACAGCTTGTTTTGTTTTGTTTTAATCCTGACCCTTTATCCTCTTCATTGGAAATTGGCAAAAGTTCATCCCCAAAGTGATAAGTTCTGGCTTGTCAAGATAATTAAGGCTATTGCTGAGATACACCACATTTGAAGTGATAGAAACGGTCCTTATTGGCATTATCAGTGTCATGGAGATATTTTCCCATCTGTGATTTTTCAGGTCCTAGGATGTTTCCCTCTGGCAACCAACATTTTTTTTCAGAGAGGAAAAAATGTATCTGTAGTCACTGCCCATCTTCTGGCAGAATGTGTTGAAAGGTGTACACTCAAGAGCTGCAAGACGATCCATATTATTACTTTCACTATTTCCTTGAACATCATATTTCAGTCAGGAGGTACTATGGTAGACTGCTAGTTAACCTCTGAAAACCAATTAGTGTGTGGATTTGCATTTAGGGGCTACTCTCCTAACCTTGTAATAATCTGGGCCTCTGTCAGAATTGAGTACAACACATCTTTTCCCATCTATGTAGTGCCTCCAAAGCAATTTTAATTTTAGAAAATATCTTCTCCTATGGTTTGGGTTTTCTGTATCATAATAACCAGAAGTCATTAAGCAGTTTACATCTATACAGCAGTGGCTAAAAAGCGGAATCTCTGCCAGTATGCATTTGATGAGCATCACTGATTATGTGTGATTTCCAGCAGTTCGTTTCAGTATAATACCAGCCATTAACACTGGGTGGCTAGTTTTCCAAGTGTATCCTAAAAAGTGTGATCCAGATCTGTTTTTGTTGTGCAAAGTGTAATATTGATGCCTCGTCTTCTGCCAGTGGCAAAATGTATCTGTTTTATACTGAAAAGTACTAATGCTGGTTGAGGTTTTCTTTTTTTCTTTCTTTCTTTTTCCCCCCCACAGAGCACACTCTGCTGTATGTGCAAACAACATACTTGAGCAATGTCTCATGAAAGGCAATGCGCTGGAGCAAATGCATTTTCAGTTACATAATTCCCATTTCCAGATATTGTGATTCTTGTTTGTTACTTTTTGAGCCATTTCTATACAATGGCCACCTTGGCCAGGCCACATTTCCCAACACATAGAGATTCTCATTCTTGCTTTGCATTGAGTTGGATTCTGTTTATGATATATACCAGAATGCACTCAGACAATAGGTAGGCTCTCAGAACAGCCAGAGAATGCCCTCTTTTGTGAGAAGATCCACAAAAAACTACTGAATAGATGATTCTTTTACAAGCAGGGAACCTTTAGGCATCAAAAGTTTAGAAACATAGCTCTGGGTGTTAGGCTTTTGTCTTCTTAAGACAGAAAGGATCACTTGCAGTCCAGGTTACATCTAATTTTACAAAGAATGAGTAGAAAGTATAACTGATTTATTTCCAAAATTTAATCTGCTCATGTAAAATATAAAAACAGAAAGGGCTGTGAGGGTTTTTAATCTTTTCCTTCTTACAGACTTCACCTACATTACTTGTGAATATGTTTTTAAGATTTGTCTGATTCATATGATTTTCCATAAGACACTCAGATGTGGATGTCTTTGCTTTACAGTATTGTAGCCTGCTGAACTAGCATACAAAGTGGAAAAGGTCGGCCACATTCATTCAACAAAAAGACACAGGGGCAGAGGACAGACAGCACAGAAAGCATGGCTTTGCCCCTGCACCTGGCGATTTTTAAGTATCAGAGCTCTAATATGGGTTTTTCTGTCAATTCATTCATTCATTCAACAAAATTTTTTGAGTGTCTGCTATGTGCCTGACATCCTTCTAGGCACTGTATTTTCAGAATTGAACATAATTGATCAAACTACCTTACTCATAGAGCTCATAGTGTCTAGGGAAGGGCAGAGAAGAAATGAAAAAAATGAAGGAATATATAACTCACTCCAGGTACAGGTAAGGTTGTATGTGAAGGCTTCCTAGTAGAAGAGCCTCCTAAACTGAATCTTAACTAAGAATTGACCAGGAAAAAAATGGAGGAGCGAGAAGGAAATCATTTTAGTATGAGAAGGTTCTGGAGTCATGCAGATGAAACAGAGTGTGTAGTGTGCTTGTGGTGCTGGCAGCAGTTTGGTGTTGCTGTAACTTTTGGGGTGAGACAGGGAGTGAGGCCAGCTATGGTACCACATTAAAGAGCTCGGTCTTTGTACAGCCAAGACTGGAGAAGACAATAGATTTAAGAAAGTGACAAGATCAGATTTTCAAGCACTTATTCTGTGCTCTTGTGTGGTACTGCTGGGTGTGGGAACTACAAAGATAGGAAGACACTACAGGTCCATGATCTGAAGTGCTCACTTCTGCACTGCCCACCCACCTCTTTTTTTCTTTTTGGTCTACTTTACTTTCTTATTCAACTCTAGACCTGCTCTCCCTCAATCCACGCCCAGCACACCCTTCCTATCCCTTAAGTGCAAGTTGGGCATTTGGTAGCCAGTCCCTGTCCTTTTGCACAGAGATCCAGCATGGAGAATAACAAAACTATTTCATAACTCCTCGGCAAGGCTGACATATTAGCTTTAGTTTCTATCATCAATACCTGCTAGTCCCATGATTCATGGCACCAGAAAACTGACGACCAAAAGACCCAATTCCCTCACATTTTAAGCCATCAAACAAATCTACCTTTACAAGGAAACTTGAAACGGTATCTGTTCTTTAAAAACCAATGCACAACAGACACATAAACCAATGGAACAGAATAGAAAACACAGAAACAACACCACACGTCTACAACCATCTGATCTTTGACAAACCTGACAAAAACAAGCAGTGGGGAAAGGACTCCTTATTCAGTAAATGGTACTTGGAGAACTGGCTAGCCATATGCAGAAAACTGAAAGTGAACCCCTTCCTTACACCATATACAAAAATTAACTCAAGATGGATTAAAGACTTAAATGTTAACACCCAAAACTATAAAAACCCTAGAAGGAAATCTAGGCAATACCAGTCAGGACATAGGCACAGGCAAAGATTTCATGACGAAATTGCCAAGAGCAATTGCAGCAAAAGCAAAAAATGACAAATGGGATCTAATTAAACTAAAGAGCTTATGCACAGCAAAAGAAACTAGCATCAGAGTGAACAGGCAACCTACAGAGCAGGAGAAAATTTTTGCAATCTATCCATCTGACAAAGGACTAATATCCAAAATCTACAAAGAACTTAAACAAATTTACAGGAAAAAAACAACCGCATTAAAAAGTGGGCAAAGGATATGAACAGACACTTCTCAAAAGAAGACATTCATGCAGCCAACAAACATGGAAAAGAGCTCATCATCACTGATCATTAGAAAAATGCAAATCAAAACCACAATGAGATACCATCTTATGCCAGTCAGAATGGCAATTATTAAAAAGTCAAGAAATAAAAGATACTGGTGAGGTTGCAGAGAAGTAGGAATGCTTTTACACTGTCGGTGGGAATGTAAATTAGGTCAACTATTGTGGAAGACAGTGTGCAATTCCTCAAAGATCTAGAACCAGAAATACGATTTGACCCAGCAATCCCATTACTGGGTAAATACCCAAAAGAATATAAATCATTCTATTATAGAGATACATGCATGAGTATGTTCAGTGCAGCACACTTCACAATAGCAAAGACATGGAATCAACACAACTGCCCATCAATGATAGACTAAAGAAAACGTGGTACATGGGGGAGGAGCCAAGATGGCCGAATAGGAACAGCTCCGGTCTACAGCTCCCAGCGTGAGCGACGCAGAAGACGGTGATTTCTGCATTTCCATCTGAGGTACCGGGTTCATCTCACTAGGGAGTGCCAGACAGTGGGCGCAGGCCAGTGTGTGTGCGCACCGTGCGCGAGCCGAAGCAGGGCGAGGCATTGCCTCACCTGGGAAGCGCAAGGGGTCAGGGAGTTCCCTTTCTGAGTCAAAGAAAGGGGTGACGGTCGCACCTGGAAAATCGGGTCACTCCCACCCGAATATTGCGCTTTTCAGACCGGCTTAAGAAACGGCGCACCACGAGACTATATCCCACACCTGGCTCGGAGGGTCCTACGCCCACGGAATCTCGCTGATTGCTAGCACAGCAGTCTGAGATCAAACTGCAAGGCGGCAACGAGGCTGGGGGAGGGGCGCCCGCCATTGCCCAGGCTTGCTTAGGTAAACAAAGCAGCCGGGAAGCTCGAACTGGGTGGAGCCCACCACAGCTCAAGGAGGCCTGCCTGCCTCTGTAGGCTCCACCTCTGGGGGCAGGGCACAGACAAACAAAAAGACAGCAGTAACCTCTGCAGACTTAAGTGTCCCTGTCTGACAGCTTTGAAGAGAGCAGTGGTTCTCCCAGCACGCAGCTGGAGATCTGAGAACGGGCAGACAGACTGCCTCCTCAAGTGGGTCCCTGACTCCTGACCCCCGAGCAGCCTAACTGGGAGGCACCCCCCAGCAGGGGCACACTGACACCTCACATGGCAGGGTATTCCAACAGACCTGCAGCTGAGGGTCCTGTCTGTTAGAAGGAAAACTAACAACCAGAAAGGACATCTACACCGAAAACCCATCTGTACATCACCATCATCAAAGACCAAAAGTAGATAAAACCACAAAGATGGGGAAAAAACAGAACAGAAAAACTGGAAACTCTAAAACGCAGAGCGCCTCTCCTCCTCCAAAGGAACGCAGTTCCTCACCAGCAACAGAACAAAGCTGGATGGAGAATGATTTTGACGAGCTGAGAGAAGAAGGCTTCAGACGATCAAATTACTCTGAGCTACGGGAGGACATTCAAACCAAAGGCAAAGAAGTTGAAAACTTTGAAAAAAATTTAGAAGAATGTATAACTAGAATAACCAATACAGAGAAGTGCTTAAAGGAGCTGATGGAGCTGAAAACCAAGGCTCGAGAACTACGTGAAGAATGCAGAAGCCTCAGGAGCCGATGCGATCAACTGGAAGAAAGGGTATCAGCAATGGAAGATGAAATGAATGAAATGAAGCGAGAAGGGAAGTTTAGAGAAAAAAGAATAAAAAGAAATGAGCAAAGCCTCCAAGAAATATGGGACTATGTGAAAAGACCAAATCTACGTCTGACTGGTGTACCTGAAAGTGATGTGGAGAATGGAACCAAGTTGGAAAACACTCTGCAGGATATTATCCAGGAGAACTTCCCCAATCTAGCAAGGCAGGCCAACGTTCAGATTCAGGAAATACAGAGAACGCCACAAAGATACTCCTCGAGAAGAGCAACTCCAAGACACATAATTGTCAGATTCACCAAAGTTGAAATGAAGGAAAAAATGTTAAGGGCAGCCAGAGAGAAAGGTCGGGTTACCCTCAAAGGAAAGCCCATCAGACTAACAGTGGATCTCTCGGCAGAAACCCTACAAGCCAGAAGAGAGTGGGGGCCAATATTCAACATTCTTAAAGAAAAGAATTTTCAACCCAGAATTTCATATCCAGCCAAACTAAGCTTCATAAGTGAAGGAGAAATAAAATACTTTATAGACAAGCAAATGTTGAGAGATTTTGTCACCACCAGGCCTGCCCTAAAAGAGCTCCTGAAGGAAGCGCTAAACATGGAAAGGAACAACCGGTACCAGCCGCTGCAAAATCATGCCAAAATGTAAAGACCATCGAGACTAGGAAGAAACTGCATCAACTAATGAGCAAAATCACCAGCTAACATCATAATGACAGGATCAAATTCACACATAACAATATTAACTTTAAATATAAATGGACTAAATTCTGCAATTAAAAGACACAGACTGGCAAGTTGGATAAAGAGTCAAGACCCATCAGTGTGCTGTATTCAGGAAACCCATCTCACGTGCAGAGACACACATAGGCTCAAAATAAAAGGATGGAGGAAGATCTACCAAGCCAATGGAAAACAAAAAAAGGCAGGGGTTGCAATCCTAGTCTCTGATAAAACAGACTTTAAACCAACAAAGATCAAAAGAGACAAAGAAGGCCATTACATAATGGTAAAGGGATCAATTCAACAAGAGGAGCTAACTATCCTAAATATTTATGCACCCAATACAGGAGCACCCAGATTCATAAAGCAAGTCCTCAGTGACCTACAAAGAGACTTAGACTCCCACACATTAATAATGGGAGACTTTAACACCCCACTGTCAACATTAGACAGATCAACGAGACAGAAAGTCAACAAGGATACCCAGGAATTGAACTCAGCTCTGCACCAAGCAGACCTAATAGACATCTACAGAACTCTCCACCCCAAATCAACAGAATATACCTTTTTTTCAGCACCACACCACACCTATTCCAAAATTGACCACATAGTTGGAAGTAAAGCTCTCCTCAGCAAATGTAAAAGAACAGAAATTATAACAAACTATCTCTCAGACCACAGTGCAATCAAACTAGAACTCAGGATTAAGAATCTCACTCAAAGCCGCTCAACTACATGGAAACTGAACAACCTGCTCCTGAATGACTACTGGGTACATAACGAAATGAAGGCAGAAATAAAGATGTTCTTTGAAACCAACGAGAACAAAGACACCACATACCAGAATCTCTGGGACGCATTCAAAGCAGTGTGTAGAGGGAAATTTATAGCACTAAATGCCTACAAGAGAAAGCAGGAAAGATCCAAAATTGACACCCTAACATCACAATTAAAAGAACTAGAAAAGCAAGAGCAAACACATTCAAAAGCTAGCAGAAGGCAAGAAATAACTAAAATCAGAGCAGAACTGAAGGAAATAGAGACACAAAAAACCCTTCAAAAAATCAATGAATCCAGGAGCTGGTTTTTTGAAAGGATCAACAAAATTGATAGACCGCTAGCAAGACTAATAAAGAAAAAAAGAGAGAAGAATCAAATAGACACAATAAAAAATGATAAAGGGGATATCACCACCGATCCCACAGAAATACAAACTACCATCAGAGAATACTACAAACACCTCTACGCAAATAAACTAGAAAATCTAGAAGAAATGGATACATTCCTCGACACATACACTCTCCCAGGACTAAACCAGGAAGAAGTTGAATCTCTGAATAGACCAATAACAGGCTCTGAAATTGTGGCAATAATCAATAGTTTACCAACCAAAAAGAGTCCAGGACCAGATGGATTCACAGCCGAATTCTACCAGAGGTACATGGAGGAACTGGTACCATTCCTTCTGAAACTATTCCAATCAATAGAAAAAGAGGGAATCCTCCCTAACTCATTTTATGAGGCCAGCATCATTCTGATACCAAAGCCGGGCAGAGACACAACCAAAAAAGAGAATTTTAGACCAATATCCTTGATGAACATTGATGCAAAAATCCTCAATAAAATACTGGCAAACCGAATCCAGCAGCACATCAAAAAGCTTATCCACCATGATCAAGTGGGCTTCATCCCTGGGATGCAAGGCTGGTTCAATATACGCAAATCAATAAATGTAATCCAGCATATAAACAGAGCCAAAGACAAAAACCACATGATTATCTCAATAGATGCAGAAAAAGCCTTTGACAAAATTCAACAACCCTTCATGCTAAAAACTCTCAATAAATTAGGTATTGATGGGACGTATTTCAAAATAATAAGAGCTATCTATGACAAACCCACAGCCAATATCATACTGAATGGGCAAAAACTGGAAGCATTCCCTTTGAAAACCGGCACAAGACAGGGATGCCCTCTCTCACCGCTCCTATTCAACATAGTGTTGGAAGTTCTGGCCAGGGCAATCAGGCAGGAGAAGGAAATAAAGGGTATTCAATTAGGAAAAGAGGAAGTCAAATTGTCCCTGTTTGCAGACGACATGATTGTATATCTAGAAAACCCCATCGTCTCAGCCCAAAATCTCCTTAAGCTGATAAGCAACTTCAGCAAAGTCTCAGGATACAAAATCAATGTACAAAAATCACAAGCATTCTTATACACCAACAACAGACAAACAGAGAGCCAAATCATGGGTGAACTCCCATTCGTAATTGCTTCAAAGAGAATAAAATACCTAGGAATCCAACTTACAAGGGATGTGAAGGACCTCTTCAAGGAGAACTACAAACCACTGCTCAAGGAAATAAAAGAGGACACAAACAAATGGAAGAACATTCCATGCTCATGGGTAGGAAGAATCAATATCGTGAAAATGGCCATACTGCCCAAGGTAATTTACAGATTCAATGCCATCCCCATCAAGCTACCAATGACTTTCTTCACAGAATTGGAAAAAACTACTTTAAAGTTCATATGGAACCAAAAAAGAGCCCGCATTGCCAAGTCAATCCTAAGCCAAAAGAACAAAGCTGGAGGCATCACACTACCTGACTTCAAACTATACTACAAGGCTACAGTAACCAAAACAGCATGGTACTGGTACCAAAACAGAGATATAGATCAATGGAACAGAACAGAGCCCTCAGAAATAATGCCGCATATCTACAACTATCTGATCTTTGACAAACCTGAGAAAAACAAGCAATGGGGAAAGGATTCCCTATTTAATAAATGGTGCTGGGAAAACTGGCTAGCCATATGTAGAAAGCTGAAACTGGATCCCTTCCTTACACCTTATACAAAAATCAATTCAAGATGGATTAAAGATTTAAACGTTAAACCTAAAACCATAAAAACCCTAGAAGAAAACCTAGGCATTACCATTCAGGACATAGGCGTGGGCAAGGACTTCATGTCCAAAACACCAAAAGCAATGGCAACAAAAGACAAAATTGACAAATGGGATCTAATTAAACTAAAGAGCTTCTGCACAGCAAAAGAAACTACCATCAGAGTGAACAGGCAACCTACAACATGGGAGAAAATTTTCGCAACCTACTCATCTGACAAAGGGCTAATATCCAGAATCTACAATGAACTCAAACAAATTTACAAGAAAAAAACAAACAACCCCATCAAAAAGTGGGCAAAGGACATGAACAGACACTTCTCAAAAGAAGACATTTATGCAGCCAAAAAACACATGAAGAAATGCTCATCATCACTGGCCATCAGAGAAATGCAAATCAAAACCACTATGAGATATCATCTCACACCAGTTAGAATGGCAATCATTAAAAAGTCAGGAAACAACAGGTGCTGGAGAGGATGCGGAGAAATAGGAACACTTTTACACTGTTGGTGGGACTGTAAACTAGTTCAACCATTGTGGAAGTCAGTGTGGAGATTCCTCAGGGATCTAGAACTAGAAATACCATTTGACCCAGCCATCCCATTACTGGGTATATACCCAAATGAGTATAAATCATGCTGCTATAAAGACACATGCACACGTATGTTTATTGCGGCACTATTCACAATAGCAAAGACTTGGAACCAACCCAAATGTCCAACAATGATAGACTGGATTAAGAAAATGTGGCACATATACACCATGGAATACTATGCAGCCATAAAAAATGATGAGTTCATATCCTTTGTAGGGACATGGATGAAATTGGAAACCATCATTCTCAGTAAACTATCGCAAGAACAAAAAACCAAACACCGCATATTCTCACTCATAGGTGGGAATTGAACAATGAGATCACATGGACACAGGAAGGGGAATATCACACTCTGGGGACTGTGGTGGGGTCGGGGGAGGGGGGAGGGATAGCATTGGGAGATATACCTAATGCTAGATGACACATTAGTGGGTGCAGCGCACCAGCATGGCACATGTATACATATGTAACTAACCTGCACAATGTGCACATGTACCCTAAAACTTAGAGTATAATAAAAAAAAAAAAAAAAAAAAAAAAAAAGAAAACGTGGTACATATACATAACGGAATACTGTGAAGCCATAAAAAGGAATACCACCATGGAATACTATGCAGCCATAAAAAGGAACAAGATCATGTCCTTTGTAGGGACATGGATGGAACTGGAAGCCATTATCCTCAGCAAACTAATAAAGGGGACACAAAACCAAACACCGCATGTTCTCACTTATAAGTGGGAGCTGAACAATGAGAACATATGGACACAGGGAGGGGAACAACACACACTGGGGCCTGTTTGGGGGTGGGGTGGGAGGAGGGAGAGCATTAGGAAAAATAGCTAATGCATGCTGGGTTTAATACCTAGGTGATGGGTTGACAGGTGCAGCAAATCACCATGGCACGTTTACCTATGTAACAAACCTGCATATCCTGCACATGTACCCTGGAACTTAAAATAAAACAATGCACAACCTTTCCCAAAGAAAGTTTTCTTCCAGAATTCATAAAGAAAGGTTTCTTTGGGAAATGTTGTGCATTGGTATTTAAATAACAGAGTAGTACCTTGTTCTACCAATTAAAGTAGTACCAACCATCTTTATTTTCCTCCATCAAGTACCCCACAGGGCTTTTCATTGCAATTCACATGCAGCTAGTCCTATCCCTAATTTGGGGTGTGTGTGTGTGTGTGTGTTTTGCCTTTGTGTTCTTTCTGTTGCTTGCCAGAAGCACATACCACTACTAAGGCTTTATAAACTTCCTGTCCCCAAAACCATTTCTCTCACATTCCTCCTTTCACTAGTCATTTAAAAACAGTAAAACCCATTTCTTTATCCTGACACTATGGTTCCATTTTCCACAAATCTCCTTGTCTTGGCCCAGAAGCATATTTTGTAGACCTGCAATTAAAATTTACTTATTTTTTAATTTCCCAACTTATCAGTCTTCAGTATACGTTTGTTGTAATATAATCTTCATTGTATTCTAGGTTATCGTAATTTATGATCCCCCTCTTGCTGAACATGTAGGTTGTTTCCAATTTTTCACATTAAAACATAATGCTGTAACACACCTTTAGGCATAGCATCTCTCTTCTGTGAACTATGTCTTTATGCTAAGTTCACAAGAGCAGGATTACTGATGTGAAGGTATAAATATCTTTATGATCTTTTACTACAGGATTGGCATAATGCTTTCCTAAAGCATTAATTTTGTAATGCAAACAAAATGATTGATATATATTCTTGACCTTACAAAAGCAGTAAATCATGAATGCAGCATCTGCAGATGGCTCATCCTGCATTCATGCTGCAGGAAGTTCAGGTCACAGTTTTGAGTGTGTCCTTTCATTTTTAATCAACTTCTGCTCTTAAAACTTAGAAGTATACAATATCAACTTCCAGCATAACAGAATTAACCACAAAGACTGCTTAAAATGTTATTATGAGAATATTATACTAGTGCCATTTTTAGCTTATGACACTTATCAATGTCATTTAACCTTAGAAAAATGTTATCTAAAAGGCAACTGCAAGCAAAATATTTTATTGAAAATTCAGAAAAGTTACAACACTTTAAGACAGCGTTTTTCATATTCTGTTATAAAGAAAAATGTTAAAAGAATTGACTTGAATGTTATATTTAGGTTTCATTCAAACTAACAAAATCATTTTGAAAAACAAAAATCCACCCACAGCTGAATTTATTCAGGGTGTAAACATATATTTTCCTATTTGTTATCAAGAAAACGCTAATGAAATATTTTTAGTGTTCTTTTCAAAACAGCATCTTTCTGGACCCAATTTAAATAGTAATTTAGTATTAGTATCTAGTTCACATAGATTACTGATTTGTGTGTGTGTCTGCATATACTTGTGCACGCATGCATGTAGGAACTAGCTAATTTTAATATGAAATTTTAAGAATCAAGAGTGATTTGCTATTTCACTTATCATAGGGCAATAAATAGCATTTCTAGCCATTTCTTAGGCATGTTTCCTTATCTCATAGGTCAAAACCAATCAGTTTCAGAAAGTTTAGCCTAGTAAGTGCCAATGGCATAAACAAGACTAACCATAATGCTGCCAAAGTATTAACTATTACAGCCAGGAATTTAATGTTAGGAAGTACAACTACACTTTTCAGATCCAAGTTTCTCAAATTTTCTTATTAAGGGAAGCTAGGTGAGCCAAAAAGATCAGACTCATTTTTTAAAAAGTCATTATTGTATATTATCGATGTTCTGTATGTTAACCAAATTATTTTATTCCTCAACAGATGGTATTGAGCCACTGATGCTATTTAAATAATTTTATTTATTATTTACACTAGCTCTATTTCAAATCTTCTCCTTTTAAATGAAGAAAGAAGTGAGGTCAAGACCTAGTTTGTGTATACTGTCAGTAAACAGATCCACTACTCAGATGCTGTACTGAAATCTATGAGAAGACATAAGTAAGCTATAGTAAGACTTGTGCCTTGCCACAGCTAGAAATGGCACTAATACTTTAATATTTCAAGTAATATTTTATAGTATTTTGCAGTTAAAGAGATTTTACATAACTACTATGAAACTACTAAGATTAGACACTGTTAGGAAATTCAAAACATGCACATTGACATACAACGCTTGTAAATATGTAAGTGCATTTTCCAGGCAAGATGCAGAAATCATTTTAATAACGGAGAATTTAGTGAGAATACGACTAAATATAATGTGGCATTTGCTAATACAGACTTGTTTTCATTTGGTAACATCATCTAAACTGGTTTTTAACCAAGAATACGCTGTAGCTCTTATTTTCTTAATTGTAAAGAAATCTGGCCATGTGGGGAAAAGAAGTCCCTCTGAAAAAAACGTCTGAGAACCAGTGTTTTGACAAGTTGACTCTGATACTGATGAAACTCTTGGGTGTAAGGGAACAGTGATTAACTGACTTGGAACGGAGCTCATTAGAGGTAAATAAAGCTTTCCTTTCTTTCCCCTCAGTAGCAGAAAAGTCTCTCAGGCAACTGATTAACTTTCAGGGAATAGTTCTTCACTGTGGTGGCCAACAAAATGCTGAAGTCATTTTAGTCACAGTGTGATGATCCAAAAGTGATGAGATACAAAATTTGACAGGTGCAATCACTCTCATTTCTCCAGGCTCCCAAAATAAAAGCAAGAGCTGGTATAATCGAAATATCGTCTCCAAAATCTTTAGGAAATTTTACGACTTATTAAAGCTAAATTTTCAGAGAAAAAATTACCCACTGGTTATTTTTGCAAATAAAATGCATCATCAAATACCCTTAATAAGAATACATTTAAGCTTTCCATCTAAATAGTGTTTCTTGTTGAGAATTAAAACTTTCTTCCTTTTTAGCCCCTCTTCTTTTCTGCAATTCAACTTTTTCTTGTATTTAAAGTATTCATCATTTATTGAATTTAGTACTGGATGTTGATTCACCATTCTTATTGCTAAAGGAAGCCTGATTGATAATATACTCAAGATGAGTTTGTGCTGAATTTAAAAATTATTTATTGCTATGATCAATTTTATTCAAATTTCATTGCATTTGATGAATTCCTTAAGGAAAATAAACAATGGGCCAAAGTGTAAAAATTAAATAACATACATAGACTAGAAATATTATCTGAAAACAGGTGACAAAAATCTAATGCTGCTTCCTATTAAATAATAATTTTCAACTCATTTTATATCAAGCTATAAAGTTTTTTAAACATCTAATTCAAGATTATATAATACTAGTTTCAGTGAAGATTCGTTTTCCTATAACTTCTTCTGCATTCTCTTAGTATGACTAAAGGCTCAGTGTAACAGAATTGATATAAAAGTATCTCAAACAATTACTGTTGATACCTAATGTGAATGGTTAAAAAAGTTTTGATTCTTATGACTTTGTACCAAAATAAAGCTTCTGATATATCTTTAGGATTGTATTTGATGATCAGTTAACGATACAAGCAAAAAATACTTGAACTAAGTTAACATTTACATATAAAAATAGAGAATATATACAACTATAGTGATCTTGATGATATCTTCAAGTATGGTATACTAACAAACTAGAGTATCACCAGCCTGAGTAAACAGTTCATGTTTTAAAGTCTAAATTGTTTTTAAAGTCAGAAGACAATTCTATTCTTAATAATTTTCATTTTCCCCACTAACTGAGAGATTCTTTATCTTGGTTAATAACTTGAAAAATATGGAATAATTAGAAGTTATTTGTCTGAAAGAAGCCTGGAGTGTCTCAATATTTAGAAGGGAGTTTATGGATTTTTTCTAAGCATGAATCCCTTTATGTTATGATTCTTGTATATATTTATTGTTGTTTTAGTTTTTAAGAGTTGGGATCTCCCTCTGTAACTCAGGCTGGTGTGCAGTGGCACAGTCATAGCTTACCACAGCCTGAAACTTTTGTGCTCGAGGGATCCTCCTGCTTCAGCCTCCTCAGTAGCTGGGACTACAGGTACACGCCACATCAGGCTAATTTTTTTTTAAATTTTTATGTTTTATAGAGTCGAGGTCTCACTATGCTGCCCAGGCTGGTCTCAAGCTCCTGGCCTCTCAAGTGATCCTCCCAACTTATCCTCCAGAGTAGCTGGGATTATAAGCACAGACCACCACACCTAGCTGATTCTTTTATTCTGCTCATAATAAATAAAAGGCTGTGATAAGAAAAGCCACAGGGCTGGAAAGAGTCCACAAATCCTCCGTTTTCTGAGGTGTCTATTTTCTGCCATTCAGGAATGTGGTGCCTACAAAACTCAGGAAAGGAAGGTAATAATTAAAAAAGCTCAAGCCACAAATAGTATAGCTAGACACACATCTTACTAGCCAGGAGTTTCACCAGCAAGCGGTCTCTATTCTGTTTTAAAAGAACATAGCTTCTTTCTCTTGCTGAGGTTTATATGGCCACAGTGTAGGCTTCTTGGAGTTCCCTGATTTTCTGCTCAGGTCACATATACTATTAAAAATCACACATTCATTTTCAAAGTATTAAAATATAATCAAATAGATTCAACACTAAAATTAAGCTGAACATAATTTATTCTTTTTCTTGGACATGATGTGAGAAATAAAACATCCTGGCCTGGGAGTCAGAAGATTAGGTTTTCTTGATCTCAAGGCTGAGTGGTCTCGACCAAGTTACTTAACCTTTCTAGGCCTCCTTTTCCTCTGACGAAAAACAAGGGAGTTGCACTGGATAAGTTTTAAAGTCCCTTTTCAAATTTCATTGAAACACTAAGTCATGATCTTGAACAGTGCCTCTTGACTATGAAGATCAACTACCATTAGAGTGTAAAATTAATTCTAGTGTTTGCAATTTTCTGATGCTTATATTATGTTAATGGGAGTTTTCTATACTTCCAGGAGCCAATCATTAGAATTTGGCTAATAAAAACATAACTGAGATTTTTTTTTTTTACACTGTACATAAAGTTTACTTTGGCATTCACAGGGATGATCTGGAGAGAGCTTTTTGTTATACATGTTCTTATTTTATTCTCTTATTGTTGAAATCCTATTCTGTTCTCAAGTGAGTGGCAAAAGAGTAGCATAAAAGAGAGATAACTTGGTTAAGGTATTTCTTACTGAGATAAAAGAATAATAGAAGTATTTTTATTCTTTAATTTTTTTACATTTTAATTTTTTCAATTTTCAGAACTTAATTTTTTGAACTATTGCTAACACTTAAAAGCAAGGATTTTTCATAGGTTTACCACTACTGGTAAAGAGTTATGATTACTTCCAAAATATTAATATCGTGCCAAAGAAAACAGAGTTTGTTACCATTTTTATGTATATAGCAATGTATTTTACTAGTTATCTTGATAATTTTCAGAAATGGGACAAAAATAGAAGACTCATGATTCTGCTTTTACTATTTCAAACCAGATGTTAAGCATGTTGAATTCAAATTTAGAAAAGGACTCTGTGGAGTGCCAGCTACAACTTTGGGAGTAGGATAAATAATTTCTTCAACAGTTATATATGTACCTAATAAGAAGCCAACAACTCCAGTGAATGCTATAGAAATATTTTTCAGGACCATCCATATATTATAATGTTCCTTCGAAAATGTAAGAATTTCAACCAAAGGTGGCAGGATTAGGGCCAATGTGCTGCTGCTCACAGCTCCAACGAAGGAAATCACAATGTCTAAACGAGGAATAAGAATTGCTCCGGCACCTAGAAAATGAAAATACATTTATTTTTCTTATTTAAATGTTTGTTACTTACATGAATATTAACAGTAAGTATTTTCAATACTGAAAGTAATTACTAGAAATAATTAATGAAAGTTGAACTACTAAACTATTGCTTGTGAAAAAAATCTGCCATATTTTGTTCTAAGCTAGAGAGAGACAGAAAGACCAAAATAGTGAGTGACATGTCCTAGACTTACACTTGTCAACAGTTTCTTATGTAAACAACTTTTAATTTTTTGCTTTAAAATTCTGGGCAAAGAAGTTTTGATAGTTTATTTCCAGAGCATTTGCATTACTTTGTCTGCCCATACAGCTCAATAACGCACAAGACATAGAGTGGTGGGACATAAATAAATGAGAGAGAAGAGATAGCTATTCCTTAAAGTAGAATTCCAATTAATCAAAATAGAAGGAACAATGGAAACAGAAAAGCATTAAGCAAATACCACAATAATCACAGGATAGGAAGAGTCACTGATGAATGCTGAAATTAGTGGGCAAAAACTGGATGAGATCAGAGTTTCAAAATATCTTCCTTCAAGATACTTATTAATTATAAAAGGAGAACTAGTAGCTTTACAGTGGAGAAATAAGTCAACAGACCACCTTAGCCAAGTAAACAAAATTAACATCACCAATAAGACACTGATACTATGATGTGATACACTGAGAAGTGCACAGCATCACTTCTGTGGGATTCTTGTTAAAAATGCTTAACTTCAACCTAATCATGAGAAAGCATCAGAAAAATTCAAATTGAAAGAAATTCTACACAATTACTGACATTTCGAAAGTGTGAAGGTCAAGAAAGACAAAGAAAGTCAAGGACAGTCAAGATTGGAAGACACAAATGAGTATGACAGCTAAATTCAAGTGGGACCATGGCTTATGTCCTGGACCAGAAAAGGATCTTAGTGGGAAAACTGGCAAGATTATCATAAGGTCTATAAAGTAGTTAATAGCATTGTATCCATGCTAATTTCTTGGTTTTAATAACTGTACTGTGATTATGGAAGCTGTGAACATCAGAGGAAGCTGAGTAGAGGTTTATGGTAACTACTTTCTTTTACACCCTTTCTGTCTAAATTACTTCAAAATGAAAAGTTTAAAAAAAATAGTACTCCACTATTGTCAGCAGATTTCCAAACTGTTGATGAGTTTTCTGCAAGTTCTGGTCTGGCGCTTTCTTGATCTTATCAAAATGCATCAACAGAAGATTTGCAAAAACCAAGACTCATATTCCTTCTTTATTTGTCCTTAACGGTTTTGTTAAATGATTTGTTGAGGGTCTGGAGTTGCCACCAGAAATAACACCTGTGTTTGCTCATATACAGGCTGTGACAAGTACATCACCACTGCCATCGATGACGATTATATCACCACATTTCCTCTTTGGGGACTCCAATTATGGCATGTGTTGGAGACACATATATTCCTGTTAGTAATTTAGTTTTCAGCTTGCAGTACAATGGTTTCTCTACTTCTTAATTTTCAATTTATGACGTTTTATTTTTTCCTTTTTCTATTCTTTCTGTGGCTTTCAATATTTTCCAGGAGGTTGTGGGATCAACTTGGAACTAAGTTCCCACCATGTTCCTCATATAACCAGAAGTTATTATTTATCATTCTGTATTCAAATTATTATGAAAGCTAAAGCCCTAAAAACTGTTTTGAAATTATAAACGTAGCTTTACATCTATAGGGCTGAAGTGGCATAACCCTTTATAAATGAAATAATTGACTCTAAAGAAGTAGAAATAACTAGCTCTAAAGACCTCGAAAGTAGAAATACTTTATAAAGTAGATTATTCGTCTAATAGATGCTTGTTACATATATAGCCTTTTAACTTTGCTCTCTAGGGAGCTATAGAGCATAACTCTCAAACATAGTTAGGACCTCTCAAAATTCATTGAACATAATCATTTGTGGAGACATGTTTGTTTCACCTACTTATAGTAAGTAGTAGTATAAAAGTGAGGCCAGACAAATATGACCAGAATCTTGCCACCTGAAGAGGCTTTCAATTTGGAATCCATTTTTCTTTGTTTATCTATAATCCAAGCTGTCACTAGTAAATCAAGTGAAATATTGTTGGAAAACTATGTGGGGGAATACTATAGCACTTTAGAATTTATAGACAAAATTTCCATCTAGCAAACACTTTTAAATCATGAAGTATAATTCTCATCTAAAATCTGTTTAAAGTCAGATTTTAAACATTATATTACCAAAAGATATTTGCTTGTAAAAATGGTTTGAAATATGCTATTGGTAATGTTATTAGTAGACAAAGAAGACAAGTATACATACTTTTAGCCAAATCCAACATATATTAATAAAAACTCAAAGCAGAGTTTAAAATAAGGATAGTTTTATTCATTACAAATACTATGTCATTTACAGACAGCTATTATGAATAGATCTATTAAGTACTAATCACACTTATTCAGTATTTACCAAAACTATATATAGCAAGAAAAAGAATGTATCCTTAGAGCATAAAGTTCCCTCTGATATTAAAATAAAAGCCTATTTAGGTCCATTATTTGCATCTGAAGGGTAAATGCAGATACATCAGAACACAAAACAAAGCACTTGATATTACAGCACCAAAAACAAAAATGTGGAAAATAACTTAGCACATTCATTTTAATTATACAAATAGTTAATGGTGCTCTCCACATACCGACTCTAAGACAGGATATCAGGAAACAGAATGGTACTTTTCTAGTCTGCAGAGGCAACTAACTTAAATGAAGGATTTTAGTGGGTTTTCTCTACAAACTACTAAAGATTTATAGGTTTTGATACTTATAAAGTCATAGTCTACTATAGATTATAAAAACAAGGACTTTTAAAAAATTACAAACAGTAGAAGGATCAACAAATTAGAGAGTAACAGAAGTAAATAGTACTTAGTATATTTTGTTGATTCAATTCATACACAGAATTGAAACACTGGTCTCAGTGTTTATTATAATACATTTAAAAATGTAATGGCTCATAGTACAGGTTTACTCTTAAAAGGTATTTATGTCCATGGTGACCTTTGGCTGGTTTCTACCGTCCCTCCTCCCTCACTTGTGAGGTGCCTATATACCAGGTAAGCACCTAAAGGGAACACGCAGGAGGAGTCTGAATCATTTCTAAAGTTTTTGAATTTCACTAAGAAGATATTTTGAGATCATGATTCAAATGCTAAATGGATACTTGGACACAACCAACATAATCCAAGCTGATAAGTCCACTTCTTTAAGGACTAATACAACAAACATGGATTCAGTACTTGGAAAGGATTATGGAACATTGAAAGACATTCAATTTTCAATGCAAATCAGGCTGAGCCTCCACTCTCATTGCTAGTGCTGCTGCACAGCCTACTCTACAAACATGACAAAGTCCCATCAACTGTCTACACACATTTATCAGTAAAGTGTACGCCCCCAAATCTTTTCAAGTGCTTTGGAAAACAGAATTAAAAAGCAGTTTTGCCATGAATATCAGTTGGCTTTTACTTTAATTTGGAAGGATATGTGCCAAAGACACAAATGAAGTTCAGGTTCAGTGTCCAGTGATGTGTCCCAATATAGCAGAAGGAAATATTACAGTTTTTGTTCCCTTTCTCCAAGGCATATCCCATATATGGATGAGAAGCTTTAATGACTTTTAACTAAAAGAAAGCAGCAGCCAAGAAAAGGCTGCAGTTCTCTGTGCTATGAACTAAGCCCCTGGCTTCTGGAAACAAACTCATGGAAGCAGATGTGGCGTGGTCTGTGCCTCAGCTGATTCATAACTTCAATACAACAATGCCAGCCAATATACAGAAATGGGTGAAGTTATAAAAAAATCCTAGACCCCTTTTCCCATTGCCCTCAAACTCCTTTACCTGAATTTCCATTACCAACTTTAAAAGACGATATACTTTCAGAATAGAATTGTCTTACATCTATTGATAAAAACACTTTTACTGAAATTAGTCTTTTTATTTAGTCATTACCAAAATGTCAATAAAATAAATGTATAAAAATACTTCAAAATGTCTTAAAATATCTTTTTCCTACTGAATGTTTTTTCATTTGTCATCAGAGTATGGGCTTATTGACTTCATTTGTTAATATGATTTCTCTTATTAGTGATATAATTCATTTAAGTAATTACTTCGAAAAATACATTTTATCTACTTTTTCAGCTTTGCATTTCCCATTTCAAACAAAATATAATACACTCAATTCTTTAAATCTAGGCATGAGCTCCATGGCAGGCTGCTCAAATCAATTTATTGAGTTGCCCCGAATTTCTAGCTCTACTATTCTAAATAGTGCAAGATGTTTATTAATATCTTACACAAGGAATTTCCAAAGCTGCTTGTTCCCCAGAACACTAGTAATCTGGTCCCTGGTATCATTTTAGGCAATCCCAGTTTAGTTTGGTGATGTAATCATCTGTATATTTGTAGTTACAGTAATGGTTACAATAATGATCATAACTTCCAGCTATTAATACTTTGTTAATATTATTTCTAACCCCATCAAAATGCCATAAGGAAGTTTTATCTTCATTTCACAGTTGAGGAAAGAGGGGCTCAACAATGGCATGTAACTTGCCTAAAGACACCACCGAGTAAGTGATAGGCTTGACTTTGAATTCCCAGATCTGTCTGACTCCAAAACTTACACTCTTTCCACTATACTGAACTCAAGCTCCCTTTCCATGAGTCTCTATTATGAATGCTACCTTGAGAAGGCATTTTATGATGAAGAGTCTTAATAAAAGATTATATACACTTCTTCAAATAATAAGAAAATAAGACACTAAAATTATGAAAGACCAATACAAGTAAAATTAAACACTTTCCTGTAGGTAGTTATGAAGAAGTAAACTGTTAAAATATACAAAAACAGGAATGAAAAACCTGAGAAAAACTAGAACCAAAATAAAATGTGTATCAGAAATGGAAGGGGTCCCATGTACACATTATTTTAATCACCAGTAATGTAATTTTCAAAATAACTTCATTAGTTATTTTAAGTGTGATAGGATCTGGTTTGTGTTTTTCTTATGTAGTAGTAGAAAAATTGAATTTTAACCTGAAAAGTAACCCAGCTGGGTGAATAAAATTGTTTTAAAAATATTGAAAAATACATCTTATGTAGCTTTCATTTTAAGAAATTACATCTTATATAGCTTTCAAGAAATTGAACAATAAAAAATTATTATGATATAAATATATAATGATACTTACAAGTAATACTAACCAAGAAGGATCTTATCCCAAATTCACAGATTTGCTTCCATTTAGTATGAAATTTGGATGTGATCCCAGGGATAATGATCTCTGCTGGAACATAGAACTGAATTGAATATGTCACAAAAATGCCAAAGGAATATAGAATTTTCACTGATTGATATAACCTGTTGAAAAAAATTTTCAAAATTTAGTCATTTTTAATGTGAATTTAGTTTTCCTCCTTTATTTTTAATATTAAGATAAATAAGAAATCCAGAATACCAAATTAGGCCAGAACCTTACTAACTAAAAATGCTTGTTTGTAAAAAAGGCAAATTGATCTCTAACTAAATTTCTAGATGATACAAGAACAATTCATTTTCACAAGACTGGAAAGCTTGAACATGCATGCCAGGGTTTAGGGTATAGTGGTAAAAAGATTTCACTTTGGGATAAGCCAATATTCTGAAGGTTAGACTCAGCCCCTCAAAGAGCTAAAGTTTTCTCAACTTTCTTTTTAAAAACTGAGCCTACTATATGTCTTAAATCCTGAGTCATACCCTCGTTGATCTTTACATAGAAGAAAAACTCACATTAAACTTAAGTATAGTTCTTGGGTGAAAATCTTTGGAGGTATGTCATCAGTTGCAGAAATGTCATCCATCTTAAGTCTAAAAGCAGACATCTAAACGGTTTCAACTTGCTAAGTTCTCTAAATTACACATACAATCTATTGTTTAAAATTACATTAAATAAGAGACATACAGTTGCTGGGTAAGGTTGTTGTTATTCTTTTGGGCAAATTAACTTATCTCTTTGATATACAGTGCTTCAAAACAGCACAGCAATTTTCAGTTTTATAAATATCTTTAGATTTCTACATTATGGATAACCTCCTGTCAAAACTTCGCATGCATGTCTTGATAAAGACTTCAGTAACTTTCTTAAGCCCAGAAAAAGAAGACTTTTTAAACGTTAATGACATGAAGAGAAAACAGAATTGTAGGACCTAGAGGAAGAAACATTACAGAATCCACTCTTTAGGGTTGCAGAATAATAAAATTAATATGCTGTATTTAAAAAAACATTTTAATATTTTATAAAATTCAAAAGAAAAACCCAACCATCTTGCATTTTTTAAGTAACAAAGCAGAGAAAACACTGTGGGTTCAGTGTGCTGCAACTTCGGGGCAGTGATTAACACATATGTCCTCTTTCAGCAGAAACATCTTCCCACGGTTTTCTCATTTAAGAGTTCTACTTTCCCACCTAAAATTCCCATGCACAGGGAAGAGTGTTTTCTTTCTTACAAAAAAATGCAATCATTTTAAAAGGATTATATTCTACTTTTGGTATATAATGTCAAGGTATATAAACCTTGACATTAATGAAGCTTTAAGTATAAATGTACTTAATATATAAGTATATAAATGTCGACATTAATGGAGCTTTATTTCTGATGTCTTAAGACTTAAAGTAGTAAGGATTTTTTAATTTGACTTTTAAAGTTCAGGGGTACATGTGCAGGTTATATAGGTAAATTTGTGTCATGGGGGCTTGTTGTACAGATTATTTCATCACTCAGGTATTAAGCCTAGTACCCATTGGTTATTTTTTCTGATCCTCTCCCTCCTCACACCCTTCACCCTCAATAGGCCCCAGTGTGTGTTGTTCCCCTCCATGTGTCCGCGTTTTCATCATTTAGCTCCCACTTATAAGTAAGAATATGTGGTATTTGGTTTTCTGTTCCCATGTTAGTTTGCTAAGGGTAATGACCTCCAGCTCCATCCATGTTCCTACAAAGAACATTATCTCATTCTTTTTTATGGCTGCATAGTATTCCATGATGTATATGTACCACATCTTCTTTATCCAATCTATCACTGACAGGCATTTAGGTTAATTCCGTATCTTTGCTATTGTGAAAAGTGCTGCAATGAACAAAGGTATTTATGTGTTTTTCTAATAGAATGATTTATATTTCTTTGGGTATAAACCCAGTAATGGGACTACTGGATCAAATGACATTTCTGTTTTAAGGTCTTTGAGGCATCGCCACACTGTCTTCCACAATGTCTTGAACTAACTTATACTCCCATCAACAGTTTATAATAAGTGTTGTTCCTTTTTCTCCATAAGCTCACTAGCATGTTATTTTTCGACTTTTTAGTAATAGCCATTCTGACAAGTGTGGGATGGTATCACACTGTGGTTTTGATTTGCATTTCTCTAATGATCAGTAATGTTGAGCATTTTTTTTTCATATGACTGTTGGCGGCATGTATGTCTTCTTTTGAGAAGTGTCTGTTCACGTCCTTTGCCCACTTTTTTTTTTCTTTTTTTTTGGGGTGGAGTCTCACTCTGTTGCCCAGGCTGGAGTGCAGCAGCTCAATCTTAGCTCACTGCAACCTCCACCTCCCCAGTTCAAGCGATTCTCCTGCCTCAACCTCCCAAGTAGCTGGGACTACAGGCGCCTGCCACCACACCTGGCTAATTTTTGTATTTTTAGTAGAGATGGGGTTTCACCATATTGGCCAGGCTGGTCTCAAACTCCTAACCTTGTGATCTGCCCGCCTTGGCCTCCCAAGCCCTTTGCCCACTTTTTAATGAGATTCTTTTCTTATAAATTTCTTGAAGTTCCTTTAAATGCTGGATATTAGACCTTTGTTCAATGCATAGTTTGCAAAAATTTTCTTCCATTCTGTAGGTTGCCTGTTCACTCTGTTGATAGTTTTCTGTGCTGTGCAGAAGCTCTTTAGTTTAATTAGATCCCATTTGTCAATTTTCACTTTTGTTGCAATTGCTTTTGGAGTCTTCATCATAAAATCTTTGCCCATTCCTATGTCCAGAATGGTATTTTCTTCCAGGGTTTTTATAGTCTGGGGTTTCACATTTAAGCCTTTACTCCATCTTGAGTTAATTTTTTGTATATGGTGTAAGGAAGGGGTCCAGTTCAGTCTATCCCATATGGCTGGCTGGTTATCCTAGCACCATTTATTGAATAGCGAATCCTTTCCCCATTGCTTGTTTTTGTCAGGTTTTTCAAAGATCAAATAGTTGCAGGTGTGTGGCCTTACTTCTGGGCTCTCTATTCTGTTCCATTGGTCTATGTGTCTGTTTTTGTTCCAGTACAATGCTGTTTTGGTTACTACAGCCCTCTCGTATAGTTTAGAGTTGGGTAGTGTGATGCCTCCAGCTTTGTTCTTTTTGCTGAGGACTGCCTTGACCCTTCAGGCTCATTTCTGGTTCCACATGAATTTTAAAATAGTTTTTTCTAGTTCTGTGAAGAATGTCAATGGCAGTTTAATAGGAATAGCATTAAAACTATAAATTGCTTTGGGCAGTGTGGCTATTTTTATGATATTGATTCTTCCTATCCATGAGCATGGAATGTTTTTCCATTTGTTTGTGTCATCTCTGATTTCTCTGAGCAGTGTTTTGTAATTCTTGTTGTAGAGATCTTTCACATCCCTGGTTAGCTGTATCCCTAGGTATTTTATTCTTTATGTGGCAATTGTGAATTGTGGCAACACAATACCATTCACAATTGCCACATAAAGATTTGGCTCTCAGCTTGACTGTTATTGGTGTATAGAAATGTTGATGTTTTTTGCACATTGATTTTGCAGCTTGAGACTTTGCTGAAGTTGCTTATCAGCTTAAGAAGCCTTTGGGCTTACTATGGGGTTTTCGAGATATAGGATCATGTCATCTGAAAACAGGGATAGTTTGCAGATCTTGCAGTTCTTCCTATTTGGATGCCCTTTGTTTCTTTCTCTTGCCTGATTGCTCTGGCCAGGACTTCCAATACTATGTTGAACAGAAGTGGTGAGAGTAATAAGGATTATAAACAGCCTGTAAACTATGGCCAAGCAAGAAGAGATTCAATAGTATTCTGCTATAACATATTTATCATACAAGAGTAAGAAGAAATTTAAGAGCTGAATAAAAACAGATTTGAAGATACACATCACAATTAGGAAGGAAAGAACTCCTTAGAGCTAACAACATTTAAAACTTAATTTTAAAAATTAGCTAAGGATGTATTTCTCAGCTTGAGGCTTAAAGGTTACACATAAATGGTCAAGTTACCAAATATATACCACATAACTGAAAGACACGTGTTTCCTATACTCTGATATGTAACTGTGGATAATTAAACAAATATTCTTGTTAGTTAATTAGTTTAACAGGACATTCCTTTTTCTAATTAATTATCTTTTCACTTATGTATTTTTAAAATGTGGTAATAATATATTTAACATTTTTTAAAATAAAAATACATCATTTTGCATGTAAGTACTATTACTTTTTTATTGACAAAGTCACATCGGCTAAGAATCTGGTTATTATTAATATCGTTAATTATATGCAAATATTACTATTTGGTGTTACAAAGAGTAAAAATGGGAAATAAAATGGTGTGGATCTTTTAGAAGTTGGTATATCTACTAATCAACAAAAGAATAGTTATATAGAAACAAGAGGGCATCTTTAAAAAGTGCCACAGTTTAATATGAACTGTTTCACTCCTACTCCTTTTCTGTTTCAAGAACCCACTTATTTCTATGTTTGGAATCTATATTTTCAATCACTTTAAACTATTTTTCTCTACAACTTTTGTATAGCTATTATCACAACCTTTTCTTCATTTTGGTTTTAAGCAGCATCTATTGTAAGGCTTCTTTTGTACTACGTTTTAGAAATGAAGAACATTGAAAGGAAAAATCTACCCAGTAAACCCTCTTTCTAAAGAATAATAAACTTTCTTAAAGTCACAGGAATTTGTTTTGAGGGTACAAAAAACATCAAACAACTTTAAACAACATTTAGTGTACATTAAAAGGTCTTTTAAAACTCCTCGCTGCCAAAGCTCCTGAGAGTTACAGACTAATTCTTCTCTGTATATCCCTTCAATGCACTTAGTATTAATAGGTGATTGATACTTATTAAATATTAATTATCAAAATAGATATGGATAGGTAATTCTTAGAAACTACAACCATTCAACATGAAAAATATTAATAGCACTTCAAAGAATAAAATGATTTATGCTTGGAAACAAAATCTATTATAATGATAGTAAAGAATTTAATACCTTAGTAAAGGACAGAAATGTATTTTTAATAATTATTTTTCAGCCAATATATTGAATCAGATTATAGGGAGAAAACAACTTAATGTTCCAGTGAAAATATTAGTTTTGAAAACATAGAATATCAAAATTTATAATGCTTTTATTCTTTTCCCCACATTGGCTAATAAGTCAACCTTCAGGTATGAATAACTTAAAATTTTTTAAAAACCAACTTGGGAAATAAGTTGGTGACTGCTTCTCTGTCTCTCAAGGTTGAATACAGAAGCTACCGTTAGAAATAACCTGGTAAGGCACTTTCCCTCTTGGATCCTTCATGATGCTCAGGCTGAGAATCTTGAGGATTTAGCTCTGTCAAGAAGTCATCTTAATTGAGAACTATCTGCAATCCTTGCCAAGAGCCTCATCTCATTCTAGGCTAAAAACTAAGACAACTATGGTTATGTAGCATTTATCACTAGATTGAATGCCTTGAACTAGTAAAACCTTTAAAATACATTCTTTACTTCAAAAGCTAAATGCAATACATGTACAGTATTACTCATAACTAATTTTCAAAGATGACAGTTCAGAAAGATTAAGGGTAATAATAACTTGGAGCTTCTCTAATCCATACTTGCTTTATCCTATGGCCTCTTTCTAATTCAATCTTTTCTTGCAGAAATAACCCTAATATACTCTGAGACTTTGCCAATCTGTACCAAAAGCCCTTTACAGCTTTTCATAGCTAGTAGCCATTAGTTCTCTAGGATACTCTTGTAACAGTCATTGGCTTTCATACTCTGCCAATAGAGTACACTGCACAATCTCTAACTTTCGAGGCCTCTTGTGTGAAGCACAGGAAAGAAGTGAAAGAGAGACTCGTATATAGTATATTAAGAAAGAAATCTTAAATGTAATCCCATGATTATTCTAGTCCAAACTTCTCACTTTACAGAATGCCATGACTGTAAAAAGACAAGCAACTCTTCTCTTGTATTCCTCAGTTGTGACTATTATTTTAATTGTCCCACAACTGCAGAGTCCACACAGAAACAGACTATAGGCTGCATAGGGCATATCTCCACAGTGCAAAGGCATTAACCAATGCAAATTCTCTAAAGGGAAATATGTGTCTTGACTGGCTTTCCTGTTTTTTCCAGATTTTTGTTGTTTCTTAGGATACTTGTACTAGGGTTTCCTCTAATGAAAGGTGGTGTCTAGCTAGACTTCCTTGAATAGAAACTATGATCTAATGGTCCCTTTTAAATCAAGAGTCTCAACTAGTTCCATTCTAATTGGAAAGTCACAGCAATTAGGAATAAGGTCAGATGTAGAAAGGGGCTGTGGGAAAAGGGAAGGATTAATTGGAGCTACTGCAGGGACAGTGTCACCCTCCAAGATTGAGTTGTGAATACCAAAAGCATTCTGTCTTATTCTCGCCCACTATTTCTACACCACATTCTTATGTGCCTGGTAATACAAACCTTTCAATGTGAATGTGTGCACACTCCCACTTTGGAAACTTCCCCCCTAAAATATTCCTTACATGCTTTTGTAAATAAGACCGGGAAAGAATTTTGACATTATTTCCATGTACCTTTTACATTTGGCATTAAAAATAGTTGTCAATTTCTGAAATGATTATTTTTAAGACCTAGTCAAAATATTATTGTTATTATTAATATTATTGAGACAAAATGTCTCTCTGTTTCCCAGGCTGGAGTGCAGTGGTACCATCACAGCTCACTGTATAATCAACCTCCCAGGCTCAAGTGATCCTCCCACTCAGCCTCCCAAATAGCTGCAATTACAGACTTGTGCCACCATGCCTGGCTAATTTTTAAATTCTGTGTAGATTTGGAGTTTCACTATGTTATGCAGGCTAGTCTCAAACTTCTGGCCTCAAGTGATCCTCCCACCTTTTCCTCCCAAAGCACTGGGATTCCAGACATAAGCCACCATACCCGGCTCAAAATATTCTTCTAAATGAGGAAAAAATATCATTCTATTTTCCAAACATTGTACAGTATTTGAAAAGATGAACTTACTACCATATTTTTAGCTTGATTCTCTTATACTAAGCTGTTTAAGCTTGAAACCAAAAAGCACATTTGAAGGCAATAAAATTATATAATTAACTATAAAGAGTTAATAAAATAAATGCTAAATAACCATATATCTTATTTGTAATAATAACTCCACCTTGAAATATATTTGTAACATTTGAGACATGTTTCCATTTTGAAATACATTTATGTTAGCTGAAGTTAAATTGTAATTTAAAAATACAGACACACCACATGTATGCTCCTTGTGCAATGTGGAAACTATCCTAGGTCCATTTGCTCTGTCATAAATGGCTTCCTACAAACATTTGTCCTAGCAACATTTTTGACTCCAATAAATGCCCAGGATTCAAATGACTATTAAATGACAGACAAATTCTCACCAGGAGGCCAGTCAGAAGATATAATTTCTGCTGTTGTTGCTTTTTCACTAATATAGTAAGACATTTAAGATTACACAGATTTTTTTAATCCAAGTAGCTAAAGTAGTAGTGTGACAATAATTCAATCAGCGATTCCAAATTTATTCTTTGCGTATGTGAAAACTAAGGAGTTACCTTCCATCTTGTAAATAAGGAAGTAAGTCTGCATGGTAATCACTGCCACTATCTTTGAAAATTTTCCAAAGACAAACCTCTGGAAAAAGGAAAAATCATATACATATGATGCTTCATTTAGCAGGATATGGTCCCAATATGAAAGAGAACATTAAGATGATGCACCATTTTGTTTTATTATTTATAATGTGTCCCAACTGTGTTCTGAAAGGACTTGGAAAATATACACTATGAAGCTGACCAAAATAGCAAGGACCATAAATGATGTAATCTATTATTTTATTAGGAAGCGTGAGTGTTTGGCTTTTTTGGCAATAAGGACAAGTATTAATTTTTTTATTAAAACGTGTCCATATTAAAATAATCCCTGTTCTACTCTTATACTTGACTTGGATTTGGAAAAAACTCCAATTTTAAATATTTTTTTAAAAATCCCACAAGAACCCTAAGTTCATATTTGGTCTCCTACGAAGATTATGAAAAAATTCCAGATTGCACAAATAAATAAATCACAGTAATTTTTTTTTTGTTTTGAGACGGAGTTTCGCTCTTGTCACCCAGGCTGGATTGCAATGGTGTGATCTCAGCTCACTGCAACCTCCGCCTCCCGGGTTCAAGCGATTCTCCTGCCTCAGCCTCCTGAGTAGCTGGGATTATAGGCACCCGCCACCACGCCTGGCTAATTTTTGTATTTTTAGTACAGATGGGGTTTCATTATGTTGGCCAGGCTGGTCTTGAACTCCCGACCTCAGGTGATCCGCCCACCTCTGCCTCCCAAAGTGATGGGATTCCAGGAAATCACAGTAAAAATTTTAAATGTTTAAACCATAAATCCAAGAACACGACTTTATCATCAAACAGTGGTACATTATAAAATATATAAACTAATATTGACAAATTCATATACACCTACCATACATCTTGGGGAAGATTTAAAGTTATGCTGCCTTTGATTTCATCATGGAAACACATATATCCTAAAGTAGCTAATGTTACATACAAAGTTGTAACAATCCCCATGCCAATATTCAACGCTTGAGGGAAACGCTTTGATTCTTTCATTTGGTTTTCCAGTGGAAGGACCTAAGAAAAGAATACAATACTTTTTTTTAAGGGAATACAAGTATTTAAAAATAACAGTGTCTCTTATACATACAAATTGGTTGTTTATAGCCTATATGCAAATTTTTTTCCTTTAAAACACATATAATTGTTGAAGTACACTTCCATTGCTATATATTTATACTACCTATTTTAAACTTCTTAAAAAGATTTAAACTCATCTCTTGGCAGGCAAACCTGTTAGTTTTTTTTTTAAATAACCTTTTTATTTTGGGATAATTTTAGATTTACAGAAAAGTTACAAAGATAACACAGAGATCTCCCATATACCCCTCACCCAGTTTCTCCTACCATTAACTTTTTATATTACGATAGTACATTTGCGACAACTAAAAACCAATATTGGTACATCACTATTAACTAAACTGCAAATTTCATTTGGATTTCATTAGTTTTTCCATTAATATCCTTTTTCTGTCCCAGAGCTCCATCCAGGATACCCACAGTGCATTTTGTCACCATGCCTCCTGTCTGATCGTTTCTCAATCCTTGCTTGTTGTTCATTATCTTGCCAGTTTTAAGGAGTACTGGTTTGGTATTTTACATAAAACCCCTCCATTTAGGTTTTTCTGAGGTTTTTCTCATGACTGGACTGGTATTGTAGGTTTTAGAGAAGGATAACCTAGAGGTGAAGTGCCTGTCTCATCACACGTTATTAACATGGTTTATCACTGGTGAAGTTAATTTTCATCATTTGGTTAAGGTAGTGTTTGCCAGGTTTCTCTATTGTACAGTTACTTTTATTCCCTCTCATCATACTCTGTTTATTGAAAGCCAAGTCCCTAAATCCAGCTCCTTCTCTGGGGAGTAGGAGGGGGATTAGTTCTATCGCCTGGAGGGAGGAGGGTTTCTAGGATTCTCATGTATGTATGTATGTATGTATGTATGTATATTAGCATGACCCTATGTATTTTTTTTTAAATATTGAATTACAATCCAAAATTCTGTTATTTGTTTTGTTACTCATATTATTCCACTTTTGCCCATTGTAAATTCCATCAGGTTGGCTTCTGTGGTCCTTTGACTTGCCTCCATTCTTTTGTTTCTTGAACATATTCTTACCTTCTGACACTACAAGATGCTTTAGCCTCATCTTGCATTTCCTTGCTTCAGCCCTAAAATCAGCCATTTCTCCAAAGAACTTTGATTCTCTTGTAGAATGGTAATTAGAAATGAAGATCTGGTATTTGGAAATCAAGATCTGGGTGTGTGCTTGTTGATACTGGGGTATCACTACTTGCAGCCTCTCTCAGGAGACAGAACTAGGAAGTATATGCATGTATACTAACCCATGTATACTCACATACGTGTAACTGGTTTTACATCTACCCACCTGTATCTACTGTCTGTCAAATTCAGTAAAACTAATAATTTTTATTTTATTGAAAAAGAACCTTTAAAGAAAATAAGAAAAGGCTGACTGAAAAACCAAGTTTTTAAGGCAAATCTTCAGAGATTGTAACCATAAAATTAGGCCATACAGTCAAAGACCTAAGTAACAATAATAGCAAGTATTTACTGGAGTGTTTATGATATGCCAGGTATGATTCTAAAAGCTTTGCATGCAGCATTTTATGCAATCCTCACAATAACTCTATGAGATGATAAATCTAGTATTTTTTCCACTTTTCATATAAGTCAGTCAGTTCCATATGGAAACATGAACTGTTAATAGCAGCAAGAGGGCAGAGAACAGTTTGGATGCTATGGAGATAATCCAGAGCAGAAATACAGGCAGTGGCCAAGAATGGTGGCAGTGCAGCAAGGGAGAAAGAGAAAGAAATGAACATTTCCTGAGGCCTTCTGTGTCACGCAGCATTATAGGTGTTTTATGTATAGTCTCCTTTATGGAATGAATTTGAGAAATATAAAAGAAAAGTCAACATGCCTTAATTATTGATTGAAATAGAGAACCAAGGACAAAGTAAAAGGAATCACTCCAGTGTTTCAAGCTTAAGCAACTGAAGATAAAACAGAAAGAAAAAGGAAAATGAGAAAGTAAAGCTGGTTTTAGATGAGAAAATACATGTCAGACTTTGGAATTGTTGAATTTGAGATCCTAAGGAAATGTCAACAGT
This sequence comes from Homo sapiens, assembly GCF_000001405.40. NCBI lineage: Eukaryota > Metazoa > Chordata > Mammalia > Primates > Hominidae > Homo > Homo sapiens. The sequence goes on from NC_000011.10 coordinate 93,164,993, forward strand.
TAACTAGTGCTCATGAGTTAAAGACAAACATGAAAATCTGTAGTTACGTTTACAACAGCAATAATTGTAGCTGTGAAAATTTGTAAGAATTTGGGAGAATTATCTAAAGGAGAATTCACAGAGAGCAGAAACCCAAGTAAAATGTTATAAAATTTTATTTTAGATCTATTTTGTCTGGGGTTAGTATAAATAGATGTTTACAAATGGTTTTGCTCCCATACCAGATCATCAGACTATGAAACATAAACTATGGAGCAAAGCAGACAGCAAGATTCTATTTTCCCCAAGTCTACAAATGTTAGGCATTAAATAAACTGGGAGCTACCTGAATGGCAATATTTAATATCTTAGAATCCTCAGAATCTTTGGAGTCTCTCTTGGTATTAGCTTTATAACACTGTTTCTCAAAACAAACATTATATTCATAAAACTATAGGGAGAATTTACATCCAACTTTTTATATAGCAGTGATTCTGCAACTATTCTGATTACCTTCAGATAATCTCATCTATAAAATATGCTTCAGATGTGCCTGAGTATGTGGGATATAGATTTTTTTTAAACTGGCCTTGAGTTAATAATTTTTGAAGCCAGGTGATGTTTACATAGTTCATTATACTACTCTCTAAATTTTGTATAGGTTTGAAATTTTCCATAATAAAATGTTAAAAATGATCTGGCTAATTTCTTCATTTTATAGATAAATAAAAAGAGAAGTAGAGAGCCTAAGTGGTATGTCTAACATTAAGTTCTTTGTTAATGGAAGGACTAAACTATAATTCTAATCTATCACACCAAATTGGAAATCATGTAAAGAAAATTGAAATAAAAAAGAAAAATATGCAATTTTAAATACAGGTAGGCTATATAAATCATTGTGCTGAATTAAGATTTTAAAAAATAATAATAAAGACTAAATTCTTACCACTCCTATGCCTTCAAAAGCAAATACAGCAGTACCAAAAAAGAGTGGGTATTTCTTCCAACCAGCCACTATTGGAAGGTTGTGGGGATCTGGCATGTTCTAAAGAAAGGAAGAAAAAAAGAAGACCAGTTACATCTTTACTTATTCTAAATAATTAAAAAATGTAAGAAAAATCATATAATTTTGAGCTTCACAACAGCAAATGTGTTATAAAATTGAATAATTGTTTCAACAAACACTTAAAGCATCCTCTGTTAAATGTAGCCAAGCTGTTAGGATTTCACTGCCAAAAGCAATTGTTTCCCTCATGCCCATACATTCCATCTGAGCAAAATGCTCCTGATTACCTGCTTCCACCTGCAAGTCCCAGGCTGTGAACACTAGGTATGGCTCCTGCCACAACAGGAAATACATAAGCACACTCAAGGCCTAAGCTGAGAGCCATATAGTCAAGTTATCAACCACTGCTGCTGGTGCCTAGCAGAAATTCATTCTCCACTCTATTTTTATTGCTCTTTCAGTTCTCTAAGATACCTGGTTCCTGACACTGGCTTTCTACCTTATAGCTCTGCTGCTGCCCAAAACAGGTTTCCTTCTTGCTTCAGTGCTTACTATTTGATTTGATGGTTGTCATTACCCTTATTATTTGAATATATATGTCCTGACTCTGGCTTTGATTGCTTGGTCCTGACTCACAGGCTTATTCCAAATCTCACCATCCGGACAAAGTACACATTGGCTCTAAATGGCCACTTCTTCCAGATACCCCAAGTCTGGTCCCTACTCTTCTCACCATCTTACATTCTCTGCTTTGCCTGATTGGAAGCAGAATTCAAGGCCAAGTAAAAAGAATGAACAAAGCAACTGAAGTGTGAAAGCTCTAGGATAATTTGGGGAATAGAGAGATCTAGAATATCTGAAGCATAGATAGAACTGTGTGATATACTGGTGATACATGTCTAAAACCATATACTGGGTTTAGAATGAAAGGGTATTACAATGTTTGGCTCATTCAATGCTAAACTATTATTTAAGGCAAGCAGGATGCTATTTCACTTCTCCCAACAGCAGCTCACGCTGTTCCTTCTATTTTGGAAACCTCCTTTTCTGCTTAACTGACTCTTACATGTTTAGCTAAGGGGTCATGAACTCCGGAAAGCCTATATGAACTTCCTGTCTGTTTCCTCCCACTCAGTGCTATAAGAGAAACTACAACTTTTGAAAATCAAAGAGGAGGGAAATGAAACACAGATCCATAATAAGAATTTTTAATAAATTGCTAATGAAGATTTTACAACAATTACCTTGGAAATAATATATAAGATTAATTAGATCAGGAGTGACTAGAACAGGGATTCTCAACCTTTTTTGTGTCTTTGACACCTTTGCAAGATGAAAGCTATACAACTGCTCAACAGCAAAACACATACATACATACAGAAATACTAAATCTTGCAAACTATTTTAAGGGATTTGAAGAATCCCTGAATCCCATCAATAGATTATTTTATGGAAACTGGGTTAAGAATCCCCAGACTATGGACAATGAAATCAGTTGATGTTATTGCATATACTTCAGGTAAAGGGATTACAGACTAGTGTAGTGGCAGTGGACTGAAGCAGTGGCAGCAAATAAAAGTTCAGAAGTGAAAGGAAATTATGGAATTGCATATATATATATTAATGAGTACCTGGTTTCATGTTTGGCACTGTACTAAGAACACAATCCTAAGTCTCATAACTCTAATAGGGTAGGCATTACTATCTTCTGAAGCACTGTCACAAAGCCCAGAGGCGTTATTTACCAAGATTCAAGATCTGACCACAAAGCCTGTTTAATCTCTATGTCATATACTTTTCTAACTCAGCAGCATCCCCCTAAAAGAAACCAACATTTACTGATTGCACACTGTGTGCCACATATGAAGTAGGGGTCTTTGCATATCATTACTTTTACCTCCACAGTAAACAAAATTTTACTTACATAAGAAAGATAAGAACTTAGTTAAAAACTTTTTATACTTACCCTGACAACATACTGGTAAATTATCACAAGACTGACAGCCATGGAAACGTTGGCAAGGAATGAAAGTACAAATAGATTCTTTAGTTCACGAATGAAGACCAAAAGAATTATAAATGGAAGAAAGCAAAGCATATATATCCTTAGGTCAACACTTCTTCTCTCACAAGGGTTTGATGAATTGGTACTATTTGAAATAAACACTTTACTCTCCAGGAATCCTTCATGAACCTACATAGGATTACCAGGAGAATAAAGAAGGGGGAAAAACTTCCATCAACTTACAATCATAAAACACATGTACAAAGAAAATCACAACATATACACTCTACAATAAATTCCTATGATATATTTTAAAATATTTACATTTACATTTTTTCAAGATACTCTGGTTTCCTAGAAACATATGTATCAAATATAAGGATAACTGACGTAAGATAATCTTGAAAGGTAATTTCTTTTATCATACTGTAAATATAAAGTTCATTAGAAAATTATAATGATAGATTTGCTAATGTATTCTGAAGCTTTGTGACTATCATGCTCATGATACCTCCAAAGGCTCAAGTATCTCTTTTTGAGATCATCAAATTTGGAACCATGCTTGTACCTAGGATGGCCACTGAGTATTCTCCTCTAGCTTATTTTCTTCAGATAGGAAACAAGCTCCAATTATCTCTTAGAAATATAGTCAGAGCAAAATTTTAAAATTATAGCCTAACCTTAAAACTCTTATAAAGCAATTATTTATAAATTATCATCACTATCAATAAATATTTATTAAAAATCCACTACATTCATGCATGGCCATATGGTAGACAGTACATAAATTTTTGCTAGAGCAAAAACCTTCACAAGATAAATCAACCTTATATTAAAACTTATTCAGCCATTCCTATAACCCAATTTTCAGATTTCAAAACAAATATGATTTACAAATATGATTTACAGTCTCCATATATTAAAAACTATCTCTGATCCAATTAATCACATAACACTACTTACTAAAATAGAAATGAAATTATAGAGGACTTTAGAAACAGTCTTAAAAATTTATAGCAGATGCAGATAATACTATAACTAGAATACCAGTGAAAACTTATTTGCCCCAAAACAGTGTACCCTCCTTCAAACACATCAATATTGTCGAGTCTCTGGATACACACACTCTAAAAATTCTTAAGACCTTGTAATAATAATAGCTAGTGTTTTTTGAGTAATTTCTTTGTATCAGGTACTGAACTACATGCTTTATATACAACATCTCACTTAATCCTCAAAATGACTCTCTAAAGTAGATGGTAATATTAATCCCAATTTATAGTTGAGGAACCTGAGGCTTAGAGAAATATTTTTTTTAAATCTTGCGTAATATCAAGCCAGTAAGTGGTGGTTCTAGGATTCAAACCTAAGCCTGTGACTCTAGAATTAGCCTGACCAAAATACTGCAACCCAGAAAGGAGGGCCCTGCCCAAGCGGTCACCTGGCCTCCACTTTTACATATCTCTCTCTAAATGTAGTAATTAAGAGGCCAACAAATCAGAAGATTAAAACACATTTCTGAAATAACAATTTAAGTGTTTCTTCTACTTTAATCTTACATGTATAATCTACCATACACAATGTTTAGTGTCAGTATAAATGTACACATCATCTTAGACTGCAGAGAATATATCTATTAGATTTTTGCCCTATACAGGCAATTTATAACTCATACTGGACTAACAGACTCTCAAGTTGCACCATTTAAGAAATGCACAGCTCATGACTATGTTGTAACTGACCATCAAAACTTTACATTTTATTTTCTATAATTTGAAATAAAAACAAAATTGGGGATTTACATTCCTTGGTTTTTACAAACATATTTGATTGTTGATTTAACATTCTAGTAACTAAATTACTTAGAGCCAAATACTTCTTATGAAAGCAGTATCTCCAATAATTAGATTAGATAATGATCAAAGTAAAGCTCTAACAAGGATAACTGGCAAGAGAAAAGCAGTAATATAACCAATATTTTAAAGGGCTGTTTTAATTATTATTAGGTGCTTGGGAATTTAAAATTAATTCTATCACAAATATAGTATTTTAGCATTTTTGGCAGAAAAGTGGTTATAAAAATTCTGAGGATTAAAAAATAAAATAAAATAAAAATGTAGATACATACCTAGAGCAAGATTCAGGTAAACATTTGAGTCCTTTGGTGCCCTCTAGAGACAGAGATTGGCTATCTAATAGGACTTCCTACGATCTCACATGTTTACCAAAATGTAAAACACTGAAATAAACATTATAAAATAAAATTACTAAATTCAGTTGTTTCCATTTGAGCTCAAATTTACTAAAATCCACCACTTATTAACTTTTCAATGATTCTGTAATTTAACAATTAAAATTCCAACAGCAGATTATGTTCGTCAGTAAAGCCAAATGCAGAATTAAAGTTATAGTACCCTACATTTGTATCTTTTACATTTTACAAAGGCTTTCATAAACCTTTTGTCAGCTGAGCCTCACAATAAGTTTATGAGAAACAAGGGGATATTTTGTTACTATTCCCATTTTACAAATAAGGAAACTGATGCTAGACCAGGGATAAGGGGGGTTTGCCCAATGTGTGAGTTAAAACTGAGAAAGCAGAGATTTGAACTCCTATCTTCTGATTCTACAATCAATGATCTTTGATATTGCTACATTTTTTATTTGTAATACTGTATTCCTTCCCATTCTCCATGCCTACATACCACTATTTTATCTGCATGAGATTTTCTAGAGTATCTTAGAGTAAGAACAGAGAGGAACAACTGTAACCACTATGGACTAGACTTATCAGAAGCACTAGGATTCTTTATCCCCTACTGATTGTACATAAAGACTTAATGGGACCAAGAATAGTCATGTGGCAGTTACATAGCAGGTTTCTACATTTGTGTGGCAACTAAACCCTTAATTTTGGGGGTTAATAAGATACATTTCAATTTCATGTAGACTAAGGGGAGGGTAACAATCCTATGGTTTTTAACTATAACAGTAAATAGCAATTGGTAAGGTTTAATCAACTAGTGTGTCTACTATTGTATAATGCTATCAAATGTAAAAGAACACCTCTGTAGAGTGAAAATCTCTGATTGCATGCTGCTTCAGTGACCATCTCAACTACTTTCTCAAGCCTGACTGCCTTTTTTTTTTTCCATGTTACTCTTTATGATTCAAAAGGACTTTTACCTTTCTATCTACAGCAGGCATTCTCCTTACCTCCAGAGAATCACTTTTTCTACCTGATCTTCTTAGGACATGTGCAAAGTTAAACTTTTCCATTCAACCTCAGAAGCATCTGATAATATTTCATAGGAGAAAGTCACCAATTCTAAGCTTATAAGCATTTATTTTATCGACCTTATCTACTCTTTATGTCATACAAACACACTCACAACTAAAATCTGACAAGACAATGTCCCATGGGGTGATTAACAATTAACATATTGGAAGTGACAGAGATCTACGTTTCAACCTAATTCCATATGACTTAGGGCACACTACTCATGTTTTGTGAGACTGCGTTCTCATCCATAAAATGAGCATAGTACTTACTTTACAGAGTAGTTATAAACATTAAATAATGTATATCATGGTTTCTAAATATAAAATTATAAGGCATTATTAACATTATTCTTAAATTCAAATAGAGCTTGTAACTCCTTGAGAAGATAGGTATTCAAATAGATACAGTACTACCATGTTACACGACCCTAGAAAGGCATAATTTCCATCATATTATATATAAATAACTGGTAAGATGGTATGTCTTATCAGTTCTTGTTAATAAAAAGCCTCTTAATGGAGTTAGGAGTCCTAGGAATATGCAATTTGTAGAATTAAATATTTGTAAAATCAAAAGGACATCATCTATAACAAGTAATGCTAATGGAAGGACTGATGCTTTATTTTGATAAACAAAAGAATATAAACAGGACTCTAATTAACTCTAATTACTGTTACTCTTTTCTATGTCCTCTACATCTCCCATGGCTACTTGCTCTCGCTAAGACCTTTCACTCTATTCTGTAGTCACAGCACATATGAGGGAACACCTGTGTCTGATGGTTTACAGATTTTTCTGCCAGAAAATGTGTATAAGAACTTAATTATTTGCAAATATCTAGTAAAAGTTAGAAGAAATAGTTTAAAACTAGGATATTTTGAAAAAAATAATAAAATGAGGGTAGAAAGAAAAACTACAGGCTGGCTAAAACTGTCAGCAGTTACAACACTAATCTCTTGACACCATTCCCTTTTTTAAAAACATTTTATTATTTTATTTTTCCATAAATTATTGGGGTACAGGTGGTATTTAGTTACATGAGTAAGTTCTTTAGTGGTGATTTGTGAGATCCTGGTGCACCCATCAATGAAGCAGTATACACTGCACCATATTTGTTGTCTTTTATCCCTTGTCCCCTCCCACTCTTCCCCCCAAGTCCCCAAAGTCCACTGTATCATTCTTTTTTTTTTTTAATTATACTTTAAGTTTTAGGGTACATGTGCACATTGTGCAGCTTAGTTACATATTTATACATGTGCCATGCTGGTGCGCTGCACCCACTAACTCGTCATCTAGCATTAGGTATATCTCCCAATGCTATCCCTCCCCATCCCCCCACCCCACCACAGTCCCCAGAGTGTGATATTCCCCTTCCTGTGTCCATGTGATCTCATTGTTCAATTCCCACCTATGAGTGAGAATATGCGGTGTTTGGTTTTTTGTTCTTGCGATAGTTTACTGAGAATGATGATTTCCAATTTCATCCATGTCCCTACAAAGGACATGAACTCATCATTTTTTATGGCTGCATAGTATTCCATGGTGTATATGTGCCACATTTTCTTAATCCAGTCTATCATTGTTGGACATTTGGGTTGGTTCCAAGTCTTTGCTATTGTGAATAATGCTGCAATAAACATATGTGTGCATGTGTCTTTATAGCAGCATGATTTATAGTCCTTTGGGTATATACTCAGTAATGGGATGGCTGGGTCAAATGGTATTTCCAGTTCTAGATCCCTGAGGAATCGCCACACTGACTTCCACAATGGTTGAACTAGTTTACAGTCCCACCAACAGTGTAAAAGTGTTCCTATTTCTCCACATCCTCTCCAGCACCTGTTGTTTCCTGACTTTTTAATGATTGCCATTCTAACTGGTGTGAGATGGTATCTCATTGTGGTTTTGATTTGCATTTCTCTGATGGCCAGTGATGATGAGCATTTTTTCATGTGTTTTTTGGCTGCATAAATGTCTTCTTTTGAGAAGTGTCCGTTCATGTCCTTCGCCCACTTTTTGATGGGGTTGTTTGTTTTTTTCTTGTAAATTTGTTTGAGTTCATTGTAGATTCTGGATATCAGCCCTTTGTCAGATGAGTAGGTTGCGAAAATTTTCTCCCATTTTGTAGGTTGCCTGTTCACTCTGATGGTAGTTTCTTTTGCTGTGCAGAAGCTCTTTAGTTTAATTAGATCCCATTTGTCAATTTTGTCTTTTGTTGCCATTGCTTTTGGTGTTTTGGACATGAAGTCCTTGCACATGCCTATGTCCTGAACGGTAATGCCTAGGTTTTCTTCTAGGGTTTTTATGGTTTTAGGTCTAACGTTTGAATCTTTAATCCATCTTGAATTGATTTTTGTATAAGGTGTAAGGAAGGGATCCAGTTTCAGCTTTCTACATATGGCTAGCCAGTTTTCCCAGCACCATTTATTAAATAGGGAATCCTTTCCCCATTGCTTGTTTTTCTCAGGTTTGTCAAAGATCAGATAGTTGTAGGTATGCGGCATTATTTCTGAGGGCTCTGTTCTGTTCCATTGATCTATATCTCTGTTTTGGTACCAGTACCATGCTGTTTTGGTTACTGTAGCCTTGTAGTATAGTTTGAAGTCAGGTAGTGTGATGCCTCCAGCTTAGTTCTTTTGGCTTAGGATTGACTTGGCGATGCGGGCTCTTTTTTGGTTCCATATGAACTTTAAAGTAGTTTTTTCCAATTCTGTGAAGAAAGTCATTGGTAGCTTGATGGGGATGGCATTGAATCTGTAAATTACCTTGGGCAGTATAGCCATTTTCATGATATTGATTCTTCCTACCCATGAGCATGGAATGTTCTTCCATTTGTTTGTATCCTCTTTTATTTCATTGAGCAGTGGTTTGTAGTTCTCCTTGAAGAGGTCCTTCACATCCCTTGTAAGTTGGATTCCTAGGTATTTTATTCTCTTGGAAGCAATTGTGAATGGGAGTTCACTCATGATTTCGCTCTCTGTTTGTCTGTTGTTGGTGTATAAGAATGCTTGTGATTTTTGTACATTGATTTTGTATCCTGAGACTTTGCTGAAGTTGCTTATCAGCTTAAGGAGATTTTGGGCTGAGACAATGGGGTTTTCTCGATATACAGTCATGTCATCTGCAAACAGGGACAATTTGACTTCCTCTTTTCCTAATTGAATACCCTTTATTTCCTTCTCCTGCCTAATTGCCCTGGCCAGAACTTCCAACACTATGTTGAATAGGAGTGGTGAGAGAGGACATCCCTGTCTTGTGCCAGTTTTCAAAGGGAATGCTTCCAGTTTTTGCCCATTCAGTATGATGTTGGCTGTGGGTTTGTCATAGATAGCTCTTATTATTTTGAAATACGTCCCATCAATACCTAATTTATTGAGAGTTTTTAGCATGAAGGGTTGTTGAATTTTGTCAAAGGCTTTTTCTGCATCTATTGAGATAATCATGTGGTTTTTGTCTTTGGCTCTGTTTATATGCTGGATTACATTTATTGATTTGCATATATTGAACCAGCCTTGCATCCCAGGGTTGAAGCCCACTTGATCATGGTCGATAAGCTTTTTGATGTGCTGCTGGATTTGGTTTGCCAGTATTTTATGAGGATTTTTGCATCAATGTTCATCAAGGATATTGGTCTAAAATTCTCTTTTTTGGTTGTGTCTCTGCCCGGCTTTGGTATCGGAATGATGCTGGCCTCATAAAATGAGTTAGGGAGGATTCCCTCTTTTTCTATTGATTGGAATACTTTCAGAAGGAATGGTACCAGTTCCTCCTTGTACCTCTGGTAGAATTCGGCTGTGAATCCATCTGGTCCTGGACTCTTTTTGGTTGGTAAACTATTGATTATTGCTACAATTTCAGCTCCTGTTATTGGTCTATTCAGAGATTCAACTTCTTCCTGGTTTAGTCTTGGGAGAGTGTATGTGTCGAGGAATTTATCCATTTCTTCTAGATTTTCTAGTTTATTTGCGTAGAGGTGTTTGTAGTATTCTCTGATGGTAGTTTGTATTTCTGTGGGATCGGTGATGATATCCCCTTTATCATTTTTTATTGCGTCTATTTGATTCTTCTCTCTTTTTTTCTTTATTAGTCTTGCTAGCGGTCTATCAATTTTGTTGATCCTTTCAAAAAACCAGCTCCTGGATTCATTGATTTTTTGAAGGGTTTTTTGTGTCTCTATTTCCTTCAGTTCTGCTGTGATTTTAGTTATTTCTTGCCTTCTGCTAGCTTTTGAATGTGTTCGCTCTTGCTTTTCTAGTTCTTTTAATTGTGATGTTAGGGTGTCAATTTTGGATCTTTCCTGCTTTCTCTTGTGGGCATTTAGTGCTATACATTTCCCTCTACACACTGCTTTGAATGCGTCCCAGAGATTCTGGTATGTTGTGTCTTTGTTCTCGTTGGTTTCAAAGAACATCTTTATTTCTGCCTTCATTTCGTTATGTACCCAGTAGTCATTCAGGAGCAGGTTGTTCAGTTTCCATGTAGTTGAGCGGCTTTGAGTGAGATTCTTAATCCTGAGTTCTAGTTTGATTGCACTGTGGTCTGAGAGATAGTTTGTTATAATTTCTGTTCTTTTACATTTGCTGAGGAGAGCTTTACTTCCAACTATGTGGTCAATTTTGGAATAGGTGTGGTGTGGTGCTGAAAAAAATGTATATTCTGTTGATTTGGGGTGGAGAGTTCTGTAAATGTCTATTAGGTCCGCTTGGTGCAGAGCTGAGTTCAATTCCTGGGTATCCTTGTTGACTTTCTGTCTCGTTGATCTGTCTAATGTTGACAGTGGGGTGTTAAAGTCTCCCATTATTAATGTGTGGGAGTCTAAGTCTCTTTGTAGGTCACTCAGGACTTGCTTTATGAATCTGGGTGCTCCTGTATTGGGTGCATATATATTTAGGATAGTTAGCTCTTCTTGTTGAATTGATCCATTTACCACTATGTAATGGCCTTCTTTGTCTCTTTTGATCTTTGTTGGTTTAAAGTCTGTTTTATCAGAGACTAGGATTGCAACCCCTGCCTTTTTTTGTTTTCCATTTGCTTGGTAGATCTTCCTCCATCCTTTTATTTTGAGCCTATGTGTGTCTCTGCATGTGAGATGGGTTTCCTGAATACAGCACACTGATGGGTCCTGACTCTTTATCCAATTTGCCAGTCTATGTCTTTTAATTGGAGAATTTAGTCCATTTACATTTAAAGTTAATATTGTTATGTGTGAATTTGATCCTGTCATTATGATGTTAGCTGGTGATTTTGCTCATTAGTTGATGCAGTTTCTTCCTAGTCTCGATGGTCTTTACATTTTGGCATGATTTTGCAGCAGCTGGTACCGGTTGTTCCTTTCCATGTTTAGCGCTTCCTTCAGGAGCTCTTTTAGGGCAGGCCTGGTAGTGACAAAATCTCTCAGCATTTGCTTGTCTGTAAAGTATTTTATTTCTCCTTCACTTATGAAGCTTAGTTTGGCTGGATATGAAATTCTGGGTTGAAAATTCTTTTCTTTCAGAATGTTGAATATTGGACCCCACTCTCTTCTGGCTTGTGGAGTTTCTGCCGAGAGATCCACTGTTAAGTCTGATGGGCTTCCCTTTGCAGGTAACCTGACCTTTCTCTCTGGCTGCCCTTAATATGTTTTCCTTCATTTCAACTTTGGTGAATCTGACAATTTATGTGTCTTGGAGTTGCTCTTCTCGAGGTGTTACCTTTGTGGCGTTCTCTGTATTTCCTGAATTTGAATGTTGGCCTGTCTTGGTAGGTTGGGGAAGTTCTCCTGGATAATATCCTGAAGAGTGTTTTCCAAGTTGTCTCCATTCTCCCCAACACTTTCAGGTATACCAAATCAGACGTAGATTTGGTCTTTTCACATAGTTCCATATTTCTTGGAGGCTTTGTTCGTTTCTTTTTATTCTTTTTTCTCTAAACTTTTCACTTCATTTCATTCATTTGATCTTCAATCACTGATACCCTTTCTTCCACTTGATTGAATCAGCTACTGAAGCTTGTGAATGTGTCACGTAGTTCCCATGCCATGGTTTTCAGCTCCATCAGGTCATTTAAGGTCTTCTCTTCACTATTTATTCCAGTTAGCCATTTGTGTAATCTTTTTTCAAGGTTTTTAGCTTCTCTGCGAAGGGTTCGAACATCCTCCTTTAGCTTGAAGAAGTTTGTTACTACCGATCGTCTGAAGCCTTCTTCTCTCAACTCGTCAAAGTCATTCTCTGTCCAGCTTTGTTCCGTTGCTGGCGAGGAGCTGCGTTCCTTTGGCCTTTGAGGATGGTAACGTACAGATGGGGTTTTGGTGTGGATGTCCTTTCTGTTCGTTAGTTTTTCTTCTGACAGTCAGGACCCTCAGCTGCAGGTCTGTTGGAGTTTGCTGGAGGTCCACTCCAGATGCTGTTTGCCTGGGTATCACCAGCAAAGGCTGCAGAAGAGCTAATATTGCAGAACGGCAAACGTTCCTGCCTGATCCTTCCTCTGGAAGCTTCGTCTCAGAGGGGGACCCGGCTGTATGAGATATCAGTTGGCCCCTACTGGGAGGCGTCTCCCAGTTAGGCTACTCCGGGGTCAGGGACCCACATGAGGAGGCAGTCTGTCCGTTCTCAGATCTCAAACTCTGCACTCGGAGAACCACTATTCTATTCAAAGCTGTCAGAGAGGAATGTTTAAGTCTGCAGAAGTTTCTGCTGCCTTTTGTTTAGCTATGCCCTGCCCCCAGAGGTGGAGTCTACAGAGGCAGACAGGCCTCCTTGAGCTGCGGTGGGCTCCACCCAGTTCGAGCTTCCCGGCCACTTTGTTTACCTACTCAAGCCTCAGCAATGGCGGACGCCCCTCCACCAGCCTCGCTGCCGCCTTGCAGTTCGATCTCAGACTGCTGTGCTAGTGAGCACTGCTAGCTCACTGTGCTAGCAGTGAGCGAGGCTTTGTTGGCGTGGGACCCTCTGAGCCAGCGCAGGATATAATCTCTTGGTGTGCCATTTGCTAAGACCGTTGGAAAAGCGCATTATTAGGGTGGGAGTGTCCCAATTTTCCAGGTACCATCTGTCATGGCTTCCCTTGGCTAGGAAAGGGAATTCCCCAACCCCTTGTGCTTCCCTGGTGAGATGATGCCCTGCCCTGCTTTGGCTCACACTCCATGGGCTGCACCCACTGTCCAACAAGCCCCAGTGAGATGAACCCAGTACCTCAGTTGGAAATGCAAAAATCACCCGTCTTCTGTGTCGCTCAAGCTTGGAGCTGTAGACTGGCGCTGTTCCTATTGGTCATCTTGGAACCGGCGAGTAGTTTAATTTTTTTTTGCAGCTTTTGTAAAAGGAAAAGGGGTTAAGTTCTTGATTTGATTCTCCACTTGGTCACTGTTGGTGTATAAGAGCTACTCATTTGTGTACATTAATCTTGTATCCAGAAACTTTGCTGAATTATTTTATCAGTCACGGGACATACTGTAATGTAATAAAAGCCATCTATGACAAACCCACAGCCAACATAATACTGAATGGGGAAAAGTTTAAAGCATTCCCTCTGAGAACTGGAGCAAGACAAGGATGCCCACTCTCACCACTCCTCTTCAACATAGTACTGGAAGTCCTAGCCAGAGCAATCAGACAAGAGAAAGAAATAAAGGGCATCCAAATTGGTAAAGAGGAAGTCAAACTGTCCCTGTTTGTTGATGATATGTTTACCTTCAAAACCCTAAGGTTACCATTCCTTTTATAGAGATAGGAAAACAGCTGTGAAGTGAGAAACCAAGCTAAAACAATCATGTAGGGGCTGAAAGAGAAGAGTTCACAGAGAAAATGGGAAAAATGGGTGTTTGCACAGGATGGGAGCAAGGAAAGTGGCAGAGACCATCAATACGGAAATCAAACAAAAGGATTAAACCCTTTCAGTCCAGAAAGTTTTACTGACACTTGTGCTATCAACCAGGTACAGTACTAGGTCTGAGAAATAAAGACATGAAAAAGGTATAATCTCTCCCAGTCCAGTGAGTTCATTTTCCTTCAGAGCCAATAACCATACTGGGTACTGATAAGCCAGACACTCTTAGATGCTAGTTTACGGTGATGAACACAAGAGATATGGGAGTCCCTTCCTTCATAAGGCTTGCTGTCTAGTGGTGAAAAATAACTTGTAGATTAACTTCAGTACAGCATGATCAAGGCTATTTTAAAAAGTTATACAGAAGCCAGGACAAAAACCAATAAATTCTGGCTAGAGATAAAGAAAAGGAAGACATGGAAGGAACAGTTAAGAAAGGTTTCACAGAACAGGTGACATTTAAGTTTCCAGACATTTAAGGTTCCAGATATAAACAAAACTTTTCTAGATGCTGAGACATGGTACACTGGAAAAAAAACTGACCAGAAATCCAAGCCCTAATTCCTAACTAGCTATGAACTCTTTTATAAAAGAGAGTTTGACTCAATGACTTCTTCCAATACTAAAAATCTAAGTGAATGGCTCAAATATAGCATACAGGGATAGTCTAAATCAGGGGTTAAAAAACTATGGTCTGCAGACCACCTATTTTTGCAAATAAAATTTTACCTAAATACAGCCATATCTATTTGTTTACATATTGTTGCCTATGGCTGAACTCAGTAGTTACAACAGAGACCATATGGCCTGCAAAGCAGAAAATACTTATTAACTGGCCCTCTACAGAAACAGTTTGCCAATTCTCAGTGAAATGAAGCATAGTCTATACTTAGAAAAGAGACTCAAATACACAAATGCACAAGAACCTACACACAGGTTCTTTAGAAAACATACACACTCCATCATTTTGCATAAAAATATCTACAAGACAATCCTATATATTACTATGTAAAATGTTTACTGTACCATGGACATGTGGATAATTAATAAATATTATTGATTAAAATAATGATTAAAGAAGAGCAGGGGATAATGTAGGAATAATGATACCAGTCATAAAAGTGCTTTATAGTATTGTTTTGATGGAGGGATTTTTTATTTCATTGCTTTCCATATTTGTCCAAATACACTGTCAATCTCTTCCAAGACTGCAAACCACTTCTTCTTAAAGCAAACCTTCATAATATGAGAAAGTTTCTCAAAAAACTACAGAAAACTGTTCATTTTTGGACACAGTGTCTTTTTACACAATGGCTATAATTACCAGATTTTAATAATGAATGCTCACTATTTTTACTTGATTTTTTAGCCTACTGGCTAAAGCCTTATATAGTTCTTTAAACAATGTCAATGTAAAGAATATGCTTCCAAAGCATCTATGTATATGCTTTTGAGATCTAAGTTTCAAGTAGCTAAGAATCAGTAAATTATGTCATATTCTGATCTGAAAAAACAAGCATTATCAGTATTATAGCAAAACAGTGAAATCAACAATTACAGCAGAAATCCAACTTGCAAGAAAAAAGACTAAAGGAAAATTTATAAAGGAAGATCATTTATGAAAGGAACACATTTTCAAATTCAACTGTGGCTTCCACAGAAGATATATGAAGCCATAACTAGGGCTTTAGAAGAAAATGATTTCACTAACTGGAGAAAAATACTCACTTGTTTCACATTTTCAGCTAAGAAGACAATATAAACACTACAGAATCCCAGCTGTGTTATCACCAGAAAAAAGTCAACCACACTCCTGAAAAAAGATATCCACAAATGAGTATCCAGGAGAGCTACTGAAATGTCAATATATTTTATTTCTCTTTTCAAGAGTTTTAAAACATTTTATTATAGCATATATTCTCCTACTCAGTATGTCAGGAACTCAGAGCAGTTCATGCCAAATCTAACTTCCTGAAAATCTCCAGAAAGGCCACACTTAACTATAAACTACTCTACTAACACTGTTCTTCTTTTAATTCCCATCTCACATGTCATCTTTACAACAGGTAGCACTTTGCTGACTGCTTATGCTTCCTTATTTTTCTAGTCCTGTATTCATCTTACTTTGATTTGCCAGAGCCACCAATAATAAAGTTACATTTAAGTAACAAGACAATAAAATAAGGTTATGCTAAAATATAGCCATACCTCAGATAAGCATACAAATACTACAAATTTATTTGAAATAATGAGACTGCAACATTTTTCTTGTTTTCCTTTATTTAAAAAATTAATGAACACGATTATGTCATCATTTGACCAGGTCATGCTTTATAAATATCATTTTACTTCATCTACCATAATGATCCTGTGAAATGGGTATTACTGTAAACTCATTTCATACTGAGAAAAACAAACCACAATGATAAATAATTTGATCAAGGTCAGAAAGCTGAAAAATGGTCAAGTTGAGATTAGAATCTAAGTCTGTTTAACTCTAAGGGTTACATATGTTTATTCCCCAACTTTATCATATTTTTATTTATATATATTGTTAGGTTAAAATACTTAAAATTAACATAATTTTAACAATCATATATTAATAACAGAGTAAGTACTTACCGCCCCCATGCTGCTTGCTTCTGAAGACAACTCCAAGGACTCACTTCCATAGCAAAGCTCACAGTGTCACTATAACCTAATGTTGACTTTTTAAACCTGTAATTTAATGACATACATACAAAGGAAAAAAGAAAAATTTTAAGGTGGTCCATAAAACCACCTCTTGAAATAAACATAAAATAAATGGGAATTAATAAATGCAAGGCTATGAACTGACAAATGAGTTACCAAAATGTCAAGATCTGCATACTTCTAAAGCATGCCTCATAAAGTTTTAAATGTTTAAATCTGTCCTTTTTACCAGTACATTAATTTTATCTACTGCTAAAGTTTATGTAAGTGCAGAACTCATGTAACTTAATATTTGTACTTTATTAATTTAAATATTTCAAATGCCTAAAACATCAACTACATTATTCATGTCTAAATTATTCCATTCTTAGAACAGCATTATTTAATAATACATCTGTGCAAGGCTGCACAATACATTTTCACATAAACTATCTCATTTAATCTTCCCATGAGGTAGGTATTATTTCTCCATTCTCTCTTTTTTTTTCCCAAGTATACATTGTTCTATAAAGCTCATAAATGATTTGCCCAAAGTTTTAAGAGTATATAACAACAACAAAAAAGAGTCAAGACTTGATATTAGGCTACTAGAATACATATGGTCTACTGTCCAGTAGAAGTATTTCATGATACAAAAATAAAGACAAATAATATTGTGTTGTTGACTATCTACTAACTCATACATCAGCAGAGAGCACCAAAGGCATTATAATCAAAACAGAATTACTAACACATTGAAGACTATTATGCTATAGCTAAAAATCACACCACTGTCTCCATTGCCTCTATATATCTTTTCTAATTTTTTCCATTTATACTAAGAGAAACCATACTATTTCACTAATAAGGCTACCTTTTAAAAATAAATAGATTCCAACCAGATTTAAATTATATGAAATGCTACCTTCTTCCATATTCATTACCTTAGATTTATCTACGTAAAAGCTTAAACGAAATACAAAGCACAGTAGAATATAAGACTATCTGATGCTGTAAATAAAAGATAGCTTTAAAATAAATAGGCTTAACAAATCCACATTTACCTCAGACATAGAAAGTGACTGCAACGTACCAATATGTGCATACAGTGAACAGAAATAATTCCTATAAACACAAGGCTGATTGGTCCAAGCTGTGGGGAAAAAAAATTTATAAGGTTTAAATATTTAACAGAAATTGAGTAATCTTATAAGCAATGAATCAATGGATTATTCACGTGCAGTGAATAAATATTTGTTGAGCAAAATGATTAGTCATTGCATAAGGGAAAACTAATAAACTTGATGCAGAAGGAATTTCGAGTAATATTTAAGACAACCATGTATAATTCCATCTTATTAACATAGCTACTCAAACCTACGAATATGGAGTATAGACAACAAAGTAGGATAGAACACAAGATCATATTTAACATCAGATGGCAAGTCTACAACTATCAGTGACCCACCATTATAATTATATGCAACCATGCATCATTATCTAAATCCCGAAAACGCACAATATCAAACGGAGACTGTGAGCAATTTATTTCTTCTACAGACTGCTTCTTGGGTACTTACTATGTGTCAGAAACCATGCTTATAAAATAATTATTTCAAAAAGTAGTAAATAAAATACTTTAAATATTTATTTACTAAAATTAAAGCAATGCTAGTAATTACCCAGATACAACCAAAATATTGCCAAAGTTTATTTTTATAATCAAAAGTTTTTATCATCTAAATTAGGGGAACAAAACAGTCAAATGCAGGGATAGTTAAAACTGTTTTTAGAAAGTGGTCTATTCAAAAAAGTTAAATATTATTTTATTACCTCATAAATGGGTTTCTCCCCTATCAAGGTTCTCTGCAATTATAATAATTACAATAACTGCCTCTAACAATGCTTTACATATTGGTTTTTAAAAGTTATTGTTATTACTTTTCTTTTATTTATTTATTTATTTTTTTTTTTGAGACAGAGTCTTGCTCTGTCGCCCAGGCTGGAGTGCAGTGGCGCAATCTCAGCTCAATGCAAACTCCACCTCCTGGGTTCACGCCATTCTCCTGCCTCAGCCTCCCGAGTAGCTGGGACTACAGGCATCCGCCACCACGCCCGGCTAATTTTTTGCATTTTTTAGTAGAGACGGGGTTTCACCGTGTTAGCCAGGATGGTCTCAATCTCCTGACCTCGTGATCTGCCCACCTCGGCCTCCCAGAGTGCTGGGATTACAGGCATGGGCTACCGCACCCGGCCAACTTTTCTTAACTGTTATTTAAATTCTGAAAACTGTATATTTGACTCTAAAAAAACTATACAATGTCACGTTACCAATAATCTGCTCTATAAATATATTTGTTGCTGTGATTACACTGCTAAATTCAATTCCTGAAAATCTAAAATAATAATAAGATATAACTATACCTGGAAAAATCAAAGACTGTTTTAGGTTTGTGGCTTTTTTTTGGCTAAATATTACAAATAAGTAATGAAGTAGAAATGAATAAAGTAATTATTATTTTTTGTTAAATATCATTATCACAGTTGACACAATTTTATCAAGACAACATCTAAATGATCATCTAAATGTCACCTTACCAGGTTATATTTGACTAGGCCAGATATTAGGTTGCTATAAATGAGACTGAGAACTGCATCTTAACTGGTGATTACAAAGATAAGTCTTACCACTATGCCTGCATTTTTTATTGCCAATGGAAGTCCTAAAAGGCCAGTTCCAATATTTCCTTTAAGAAGGTGCATAAGAGTTTGTACAAATCTGAAAAGTAAAAGTTGTAAGACTTAAATATTTTAGAACAAAATCTATTATAACATGATCATGGTTTTAGTACTAGAAGGGAACTGAAAATTAATCTAGGCAAGGAACCAAATAACATTTCCATCCCACCACTGGGCCAGAAGTCATACTTGGTTCAAGTCCTATCTTTGCTAATTAAAAGTGGAATAACAAGAGTTATTGTGGATATTAAATGACATAGTTAAGTGAAATATCCGCCAAACAAGATACTAAAAAATTAAATTAAAAAAGACTAAAGGCATTCTCTTTACAGTGTGGTTTTGTACACAGTGAAGCAATAAATTTTTTTTAAAAAGTAATTTTCTCATAAGATATTTTGCTGTTATGATTTTCAAAGCAATGTTGAGTATTTGGTTGGTAACACAGCAATGTATTGACACTACCTATGTAACCATGATACTAAACACATTTGATCTATCATTGTCAACCTAAGAAGTTAATTTAAAAAAAATACAAGTTTTAAAACTATATGAATCAACAGGTAAGATAAACACGAATCAATTTTTAGATACTATGAATTCTGTAAGGGATTTGACCTAAGAGTAGTTTTCAGAAGCATGTGAAGGAAGTATCTTCATCAGGAAGAAATAAGTTGAAATGAAAATGAAGAGCAAAAAGTGTAAACTTAAGAAACAAAAATGTTTACCTAAATATTTTTTCAGTTTATATTCTTCTTTTCTGATCAATTGCATATTACTTTGCTGAACCATTAAACTATTATTAGAATGAGAAGTTACTCAAATCTATTAACGATGACAAAATGTCAAAAAAGGTTTTCAAAAGTTACAATGCATTTCTACCTCCACGACTTTGTTTCAGTATAAAGAAGCATGTACTACCTCCTGATCATTTCAGACATCACTTCTCTTAACATTCCTGTTCCACTTAATCAGATCTCCCTTCTTTCAAGATCCCTAGCATTTGTTACGCATCATCACTCCAGTAATTCCTATACACTGCTCTGTGATTTAAACGCATTTCTTTCCCAAATAGACTATAAACTCATTGAAGGTGGAGACTATGTCTTATATTTGTGTCTTGTAATGTAATAGAATGTCTTGCCTGTAGAAGAAGATTACAAAATACATACTGAATTAAAAGAAAAGGAGACTTATAAACCATAACACTTACGAAATGCCCTCTTGATCATCAAGTTGGTAATGCTTCTGAACAGGCAGAAGCTCTTGCTCATGTTCTTCATCTGATGTCCCATCAAAATTCTGCTCATTTATCAAGGGCCTCATTACATCCATATCTTTAAAAAAGAAAAACAAAGTACTTCACTATTGCTTAAAAAAGTTGGATAAAGCTGGTATAAATGAATTTCAAAATATTAGGAAACACCATTTGTACTCATCTTTACTATTTCCATCCTAAGTTAGTTCATACTAATACCCTGAGTTTTAGTACATTTAAAAAGAAACAACTAAATTTATTTGCTGGATATTCTGTTTGGAATATGCAGTGCAAGGTGAAAGCTTAAATATTAAATGCAAAACTTTTTCTGCTTTATCCACAAGAGGTTTATAGTAAATGATCATAGAATTACACCATGAGAAATGTAAAGAAATGATCAAATATATTTTCATCGCTGCTTAGCTTCAAATCATACTGTACAGGTAAATAGTAATCACGTTTTTAAATACTTGATGAAAATTACAAAGTGATTCCAATATTTAAAATTTCAGTATCAAAATTTGCCCTTTACCACTTTATCAGTGTGTATTTCCTGAGAACAAGGATATTCTCTTAAATATTCATATTATCAAATTCAGGTTAACATTGATGCAATACTCTATTTAATCTACATTCCATATTCCACTTTCATCAGTTATACCAATAAATTCCTCTTAGCAATTTTTTCCTCCGTCCAGGATTATATATTGCATTTAATTGAGTTGTTCTAGTGGTTTCTTTGCCATTATATTTTTTATGATGCCTTTAATCATCTTTTTTTCTTACTTAATTTTTTACTATCTTGTTTGACTGTTTTAAGTGGTACTCTCTGACTTCTACCTATTACCTATACAACAATTAATAATTTAATTCTAGTTTTTCCTGTCTCTGTTCCTTAGTTTCTCATGTTTAGTTGTATTCTTTCTACTTTGACAATACATATGATGTTTTTCATACTGTCCTTCAAATTATGTCTCTACTCATTTCTTAGACATGTATCTACAATCAATATCAATATCCACTATCAGTTCTCTGCCAAAGTTTCCTCAATCTTCCCTTGGCTGGAAGAAGTACATCTTCTTAAAAGGTATGCATCAGAATGGCCTGCAGGGCTTGCTAAAACACACAATAATGGACTCCATCCCAAAGTTTCCCACTCAGTAAGTCTGGGGTGGGCCTGAAAATATGCATTTCTAACAAGTTCCCCAGTGCTGCTGATGTTGCTGGTCTGGGGACCACACTTTGAGGACCACTGCTCTAACTGATTCCTCAGGAGGGTCTCATGGGCACAGTGTTCCCTGAGTTTTTACACGTTTCACACTGTTTTTCTTTATAGCCTGGATACTTGAGGAACAACTAGATATAAAATCCTTGGCTCACACTTTCATTCCTCGAGTTTCTTGAAAATGCTGTTCCACTTTTGCCTTGCTTTTATATGCTACTTTTGAGAAATCTGATGGCAGACTAATTTTCTCAGCCATTAAGTAACTTGTTCTTTTTCCTAGAGTTCCTGAAGATATTTTCTTTGTCTTTAAAGTCTAGTAACTTTACTACATGTCTTGGGGTTGACCATGCTAAGTCAGTTTTCCCAGGGCTACAGTGGGCCCCTTTTGATATGTTGATTTAGGTTTTTTCTTATTTCTACTATAAAGTTTTCTTGGATAATAGCTTTAAATATGTATTTGGTTCAAATACTTCTTCTTTAGATATTTCAATTACATGCATGTTGGGTCTTCTTTGCCTGTCTTCCATTCAACCACTTTATATCTCTGACCCTTCTGATGTCTGTCTTTACCTCATTCTCATTCATATCTGCCTTAAGTGACACATTAAATTTTCATTTCAATACATTCTCCCTTACATCTTGTAATTTATTTCTTATTTGTGATTTTTCCTATTTCTAAGTATTTCATACACAGGAATCCTAGTTCAAGAGTGTTCCCTCTGTCACTATAGTGAAGTTCAGTTTATTTCAAAGACAATGTTGAGCTGTTAGGGGTGAGCAAAAGCAGCTGGCATGTCTTCTAGTTCTCTTTCATTTCTGCAGGACCACCAATTTTCCCCATTACTTTGTTCTTTCCCTCCCTTGCCATCTGAGGGGCATCTCCACTGCTCTATTTATCTCTCACCTCCAGAAGCAATGTTTTGTCAAGGCTTCCCCCTTCAGTCCTGCTCAAATTCACATTCCTGTACTCAGTGCTATGAATTACTAACTTCTAGACCTGACCTCTGTTTAGACGTTTAACAGTTTAAATTAGACTTTCTCTTTCTGAAGGAGATTTTCATGGTGCTTGATCCAGTTTCCTGCTCCCCGCTCTTCTTTTCCAACGAAATACTAAAGACTCCCCTCCCCCACTCTCCATGCTTGTAGCAGCAACAAAAATTTTCTGTTTTTATACTTATAGATAATTTGAGGTTCATGGTATCCTTGATCTCCTCGCAATGCTAAAAGAGTAATTTCATGAATGGTTTACTTGTGCTTCAAGTTGAATTCACAGGTTTTAGGGGAGGATGTGTTGAGAGATCAGGATTTTAGCAGGCTCCATTAGCCCAGTGCCAACTGGAATTCAGCATATTCATTCTTAATAAGAGTAAAGTGATGCCTTAAGATACTGGAAGATGCTTGAAAACAGTCTATAAAATTATTTACATATTCTTCTTCTAATAACGTAACTAATATGTGTAGAGTAAAATTCACAGAATTATCAGTTCCAAATTCCTGAAGTCAAAACTGATGAGGATTTTCTATAATTCAAAGTTCCCAACTTTTCTTTTGGCTGGTTTTTCTAACCCTTTAATCTTTAGGACATTCTCCATACATTGTTTTGTAGGATTTCCTTGTTTCTTGTTTTCCAGTTTCAAAGGTGGCACGGTCTAGAACTATACACAGTAAAAATTGTTTCCCCAGTATTAGGTCTACTGGGATATCTACTATCTCACATTTACTCTAGAAATTTATTATGTTCACCTTCTGTTTGGATAAAGCCTATATCCTTTTCTGTTATACTCTATACAAAATACACTGGTACTCTTGTAAACCTATCACATTGGTTTCCTAGGGCTCTCATAATCAAGTACTACAAGAGAATTTATTGCCTCAAAGTTCTAGAGGCTATTAGTCTGAAAAAGTGCTGGGAGGGTTGGTTCCTTCTAAAGGCTGGGAGGGAAAGCTCTGTTCCAGGCAGGCCTCTCTCCTTGGTTTATGGACAGTCATCTTCAAGTTCACATGACATTCTCTCTGTAATCATGTCTGTGTTTAAATTTCCCCTTTTTATAAGGACACCAGTCATATTGGATTAGGGACCCTCCCTACTCCAGCAAAGCCTCACCTTTTTTTTTTTTTTAGACAAGAGTTTTGCTCTTGTTGACCAGGCTGGAGTACAATGGTGCGATCTTGGCTCACTGCAATCTCTGCCCCGCCAAGTTCAAGCAATTCTCCTGCCTCAGCCTCCAGAGTAGCTGGGATAACAGGTGTGCACCACCACGCCCAGCTAATTTTTGTATTTTTAGTAGAGACAGGGTTTCACCATGTTGGTCATGCTGGTCTCGAACTCCTAACCTCAGGTGCCTCAGCCTCCCAAAGTGCTGGGATTACAGGCATCAGCCACTGCTCCTGGCCATGGTCTCATCTTAACTAATTACAGCTACAATTACCCTATTTCTAAATAAGGTCACATCCTGAGGTATGCAAGGCTATGACAACATATAAATTGAGGGGTGGGGGGACTATTTAATCCATAACAACCATCATTATTAGTTGTATGAACTTCAGTTTCAACCATCAGTATGTTAATATTTTTATTCCTAAATGTACTCCACTGCCCTTGCTGACTAGAGTTCATTTGCTTTTATTCATTTAGCTTATCCAAATTATCAGTTATTTGACCTTTCTGATTTCTTTCTGTCAGGGAGTGTGCAGTATGTTCTGTGCTGTACTAAGCATACTATCTGTCCTCAATAAAGATAGTTATCACTACCAATATTTCAAAAACTGAACAATCTGTTATTTAAAGCACACTGCCCAAGAGATCACAGCAGTAAGGAAAGTACGGAAAATGGTAAGTTTTTTCATATCTTTAACAACAATATGAACTCTAAATGATGTTTATTTGTAATGGCATTATTGAAGAGTTTATTTTTAATATCATTTAAAATAAACCTGGAAATCTAGAATTGTTAAAATTACCTATAAATACTAGTTTTGTAATTCACAGAATTAAGTTTTTAAAAATAGTATTACAATGTTCAGAATCCGAAGTAAAAATTAGTTGGGACCTCCGTCACTCTGAACAAACTCACATTGTTTAGCAGCTATCATATTTATTTAACTTTGTTCAACAGTGTGATCCCTATTATTACACTTTTCCTTACTTCTTAAAGTCATTAATTTTCAATGTTACATTTTCTAGAAAACATTAAACATGACTTACTGTGAAAAATAGCTTTTCATATATATATTTGCTTTAAATTCATCTCATCCTTCACGTTTAAAACCTTAACAAAAATTTAATTATTCCTGGGTACAAAAAATACAGATAGGTAGGAGGAATAAGATCTAATGTTCTATAGCACAATACGGCAACGGTAGTTAACAATAATTTGTTATGTATTTCAAAATAACTAGAGAAATGGATTTGAAATGTTCCCAACACACACAAAAAAAGGATAAATATTTGAGATAATGGATATCCCAATTATCCTGATTTGATCATTACATATTGTATGCTTATATCAAAATATCTTATGTACTCCACAAATACGTACAATTACTTGCCCACAAAAATTTTTTTTATTGAATTATTCCAGGAAACTCCTTTAACTCTCTTATAATGAGATTAAAGTAAGTTAATTTTTCGAAGTTTAAATAATTTGAGATTAAAATACTTCTTAATAGTGTTAGGAATTTAAGAAGTACATATTTATTTACTATTTTGATTCTACCATTAAAGAACCATGCAATGTGACGTTACTAGCTAAGTTCTAACTATGCGCTTAAATACATTTTTCTTTTTTTTGAGACAGAGTCTCACTCTGTCACCCAGGCTGGAGTGCAAGGGCGTGGTCTTGCCTCACTGCAACCTCCGCCTCCCAGTAAATACATTTTTCTAACTACATCTGAAAAATCTCTAAGACTTTCCCTCCAGTTTTAGTATACAGAGAGGTAACATTACATACTAAAAAATGTTTATCTGTTAAACTAAGTAAACTAAGAAAAGGTAAAGCAATCAGGTTTTAAGACTGAGCATATCAACTTGAATGATATAAAACAGCTCTTAAATCTAAAGAGTAAATTGAAAGACACCTAACTAGAAATATCTAGGAAATACTTAGTACCCAAGAAGTTGCATCTTTAAATGGTAAGAGCCTATATAAACCTAGATCTCTGAACATTAGATTAATAAATAGAGTCAACTAGTCATTTATAACTTTTAGAAGCTCCAGGTAATACTATATATAACATGCTAAATTGTATTTTTGTTTCCAATTTAGGTATACACTATAGAAAAATGCAGTAATATGATTTCCTTACACTTAACTCTAATTTTTTAGGAGAGCTTTTAGCCCTGGCATTGGTCACAAGGCTGAGTGGGGCATTCCAGGCTTGAATACAATTGCGTGCTTGAGAAACTTTAGGTTGGTTTAATGTCACTGAAACTGAAGGTAAATGTATATGGCAGAAGATTAAGCTGGAAAGCTTGATAAGTTTTCTAATCAGTGTTGTCGAGAATCGCGTCCCTTTCCTATGGAAGGTTTCTGGCTCAGATTCAAGAAAGATGGCACCCATCACTACCACCATATCCTCCCCTTGGTTATTTCACACTGTGATGTCAGATGAAAAGCAGTGAGGTATGAGGTAAAGAATTAGCATTCATACTCTCTCTGGGAACTGCCTGTGGAATTCCCTGAAAGACATATATATGAAAGTGGTTACCAGGAGTTGTTTTTCCTGGCACAATAGACTCTCATGGCTTACCTTTTAGTTTGCTAGTGAAAAGGATGTCAAAGACTATGATGGCTTTTATGCACAACAGCATTATAGGCGAACACATTAAGGAAGCTGATGCAAAGAGGAATAAGCCCTCTCACAAAATTTACTGGTTTCTGGCCCTTCTCAAAAACCCCTATTAATAGAATGTCATCCTCACTAATATCCACTAATAGTCCCTCAACACAAAAGCTCTCTGCCTCATAACTGAATGTATTCAATTAAATAGGTTACAATGGTTTCCTATTCAATTTCACAAATATTAATGAGGCCCTAATATATGTTAAACACCATTAGATGCTGAGAATAATTACTAAAACTCAAAAAAAAATCCTGCCTTCATGGAGCTCAAATTTTAGTGAAGGAAAGAGACAATAAGATAATAAGTAAAACAGAGATAAGTTGGATAGTGTTAAGTGCTAAGGAGAAACACAAGGATTGAGACAGCCTCTAATTTTGGAGAGACAGCCAAAGGAGGCCTCACTGAGAAAGTGGCATTTCAAAGAAGTCCTGACGAAGGAGCAGGAGTGAGCAGCGTGGATATCCTGTGGGAGGGAGAGTAATCTAGGCAGCAGGAACAAAGGCAAAGGCCCTCAGGATGGGAGTCTGGTGTGCTTAAGGAACAAGGAGGGCAGGGTAGCCAGAGAGGAATGAGTGCGGGGGAGGAGTAGGGGATGAGATCAGATCAGAGGTGACAGAAAGCAGACTGCACATAGCCTTGTAGACCATTCTACGTGACATGAAAAGCCACTAGAGCAGTGCCTTCCAGTAGGAATGCAATGTAATATAAATGTAAATTTACGTTACACAAATTTTTTGTAGTAACTTTTTTACAAAGAAAAAAGGAACAGGTGAAATTAATTTTAATATTTTATTTAACTTACCTAAAATATCATTTCAACATGTAATCAACAGTAAAAAATTAAGATATTTTGGATTCTATTTTTCATACTAAGTCTTTGAAATGCAGCATGTATTTTACACTTACAGCACATTTCAGTTTGAACACACCACGTTTCAAGCGCTCAATAACCATATAACTAAAGGCTATTGCACTGAACAGCACAGCACTAGAGAGTTTTGGGCCTTGGAGTGATATCATCTGATTTACATTTTAACCAGATTCCTCTGGGCCTATTTTCTCATATGTACAATGAAAATAATAACTTCTATTACATAGGAGTTTTGTGATGTCATCACAAATGATAATGTATATGAAGTTATTATATATATTACATATATGTTACATAGATAGAATATGAAGAATGAAATAATGTATATGAAGCACACAGCCTAGACCCTGGCACATAAATAAGTAATCAATAAACACTTTTTTTGTCTTCCTCCATATATTAGAAGCATATTAAGCTCTATGGGATTTTTAAATGCCAATCTTTGACAAAAATTAGAAATAATTTGATAATAATTAATACTTCTGAGCATTTATGACCTATAAACTGTGCTGTAAGATTGAGTATGCAAAGATGGGCAAAACATGTTATATCTGCCAGAAGGAAATAGAGATTAGTGAGGGAGATAAACACTTAACAACTCAACATAGTAAACAGAGTTAAGAATATATGAAATAAAAACTGACACCCCAAAGGAATTAAAGATTATAGAACCCAATTTACATTACACATAATGTCTATTATTTTCGCCCAATGTTTTGCTGTAATTTTTGGCTAAGTACTAAATTGGGCAGCTCTGGAAAATGCTGTGATTATTATTGTAAAAATTAATGATGCCTTATAAACTAAAACACTATTAAGGAATAGGTGTGCTATCTATTTATGAGTGGAGAAATTATATATAAATAAGAAACACTAGCTTGATTCAATATTATACAACATTTATTATACACCATATATCTGATGTTAGGTGTATTACATAGTACACCATAGGGATACATTAATGGTGCATACAAATGGAACATTCTTAAATTAGGCAGTGCTTGTATGCTCTCTTATTTGCCAAGAAAATTGTTTGAATCTCAATTTTCAAGCCTAAAACCAATATAAATTTCAAGTTGTAGACAGAATGTTCTAAAATCACATTAATTTAGCAATATCCTATGTATTAAAGTCTTAAAAATGTTTATTTCTTTCACCTAGTAATTCTACTTCTGGCAAGCTAGTGTATGCAGAAGAGGATTTTGCACAAGAATGTTCATTAAAACATTACTGACGTTGAAAATTGCGAAACAACCTAAATGTACAGCAATCAGGAAATTACTAAATTAACTAAGGCACAGTTACTTTATGAAATATTGCACTGACATTAAATTATGGTTGTGAGGTCTGAGTAAAACAGGGAAAAGTGTATCATATGCTAAGTGGGAAAAGTTGAATATCTGCAATATGATTACAATCATGTTTTTAAAAATTAAGTAGAAATAAGGGGAAGTAAATATATCAAAATGTGAGCAAGTTTACCAGAATATAGACGGACAATTGGATCATTAGTGTGCTTTTCCTTCTCTGGAAAATGTAAAAAAATATAAAAATAAAAAAAATTTAAAAAAGTAGTTGTAGCAAACTTGCATTACTTTTATAATAAAATTTAAAAATCACTTGTATTTTGGCAATAGAAAAACTAAAAGAAAGTAGAAATAGTTTCATTTTTTAAAATAACATAATATTGTCACCCGAATAAAGTACTCTCTAGATATAAAATAAGAACCATTACTATTTTGTTCATTTCTGAGGTGGAAGAAATATACACAGCAAGAAACTTTCCAGAGGTCCCTATGGGATATGAAATAAAGTGCAGACCTTAAGCTATTTACATACCTTACGAGAACCTGTATCTTAACATCTCTACCAGTGCTTTTTACATAAATACCCATTTTTGGAAATTCTTTTTTTAAATTAAATAACACTTGGTCATTGTAGAAAATCAGAAAATATATAAACATTTTTGAAATTAAAAATTACTTCATTACCCACAAATTACTACTGTTAACATTTTAGAGTACATGTTCACAGGCACACACACATACACACAAACAACTCTCATTATGTTCTCATTCTGTCTCCTAGCTTTAAATACTATCTATATGCTGATAACATCCAAATTTACATTTCCAGACCAGACCTTTCACTAATGCTAGACATAAAATCCAATTGCCTACTTGACATGTGCACTTTGATATCTAATGGACATCTCAAACTTAACATGCCCCAAACTGAACTGGTCTTCACCAGCAAGCCTGCTATTCCTGCAACTTTACCCATTTGTATTAGTTATCTATTGCTGTATAACAATTTATGGCTATTGTCCGGAGCCCTCAGTTTTGTGCAACATGGAGCTTTCCTTAGGGCTGCTTGAGTCTCCTCACAACATGACAGCTGGCTTCCCTTCAAGTGAGTGATTCAAAAAGAGAAGGCAAGGAGGAAGGCACAATGCACTTTATTATCTAGTATTGAAGTCATACATCATCACTTCTACCATAATCTATTCATTAGACACAAGTTACTAAGTCCAGCCCCCACTTGAAGAGAAGGAAATTAAGTTTCTCCTACTTAAGAGAAAAACATCAAAGACTCTGTAGGTATATTACAAAACCACCATAATATCCCAGTTAATAACAATTTCATTCTTCTAGATACTCAGGTCCCTGGAGTCTTCCATGTCTCCTCCGTTTTACTCTCTAACCCTCACCCATTCTGTCAGGAAATCACACTGGTTCTTTCAAAATATACCTAGAGACTAACTATGTCTATTCACCTCCACTGCCACTACCATACTGCTCTGAAGGACACCCATATCTTTCCTGAATTACTGAAATATTCTTCTGCTTTTACTTTTGCCCCCTTACAGTTTATTCGTCACATGGCAGTCAATGCAATCCTTTTAAAACAAGGCAGATCATGACACTCCTCTGTTCAAACCCTGCATTGTTCTCCCCTTCCCTCAGGGTAAAAGTCACAGTTTACATTACCTACAAGACCCTACATAATTTGGCCCCATCGCCACCTCCATCACTCTGCTTCAGCCACTTTGTCCTCCTTGCTATTCCTTTAGTTATTCTTTCTGCCTGGAGTAGTCGTTCCCCAGATATCCATTTGGCTAATTTCCTTACCTCTTCCAGGTCTTTACTCAAATTGTACCTTTTCAATAAGGCCCATCCCAACCATTTTATAAAATACTGTAAACTGCCTAGCCCCCACCCTCATTCCTGATTTCCCTTACCCTGCTCTTGTTTTCCATAGCACTTTTCACCTAACATACTATATAATTAACTGGTTATTGTCTTTACTGCTTACTCTCTGCTTCCCATTACTAAATACAAGCTCCATTAAGAACAGGAATTTTTATCTGTTTTGCTCACGATGTATCTCAAGTGCCTAGGGGAAGCTCAATGAATATGTGTTGAATTAATGAAAATATAAAACTTAAAAAAACTGAAATAATTTGAAACTTTTTTTCAGTTAAAGAAAATGTACATGCTGAACATCTTTCCACATCACTTTTAATGGTAGGCAATGTAAAACTATACCACAATTTAACCAATTTCCTTTCATTGTACTTTAGTTAACAGCTTTTCTCTATATACTATAATGAAAACCTCTTGATATAAGTATGGGTTACATTACTTATTTCCTCGGGAAATATTCTGAAGGAGAATTGCTGGGTCAAACGATAAGCACTTTTTTTTTTTGAGACAGAGTCTCGCTCTGTTGCCCAGGCTGGAGTGCAGTGGCACGATCTCGGCTCACGGCAAGCTCCGCCTCCCGGGTTCACGCCATTCTCCTGCCTCAGCCACCCGAGTAGCTGGGACTACAGGCGCCCGCCACCACGCCCGGCTAATTTTTTGTGTTTTTAGTAGAGACGGGGTTTCACCGTGTTAGCCAGGATGGTCTCCATCTCCTGACCTTGTGATGATCCGGCCGCCTCAGCCTCCCAAAGTGCTGGGATTACAGGCGTGAGCCACCGCGCCAGGCCGATATGTACATTTTTAAGGCTAAATATATTATCCCTTTCCTGCCAGCAATGCATGAGAATACCCATTTCTCCATATCCTCACTAAGACAGGTTATTAATGAATGAAACCTGAGTTCACATTTGGGTTCTGCCATTAATAAGCTTAAAATTACTGTATCTATAAAATGGAAATCATGATAGCACCTATCTCAGTTGCTGTGAGGATTAAAGACAATGCATAGGTAAAGCACTTAGCACAGTGTTTGCACACAGTAAGCACGCAATAAAATGTTAAGTTTATTGTTTCTACCATTATTACGGCCTGAAAACAATTCCATTGCAAAGTGCCCTGCAGGCTATTAGAGGAATAACAACAACCTATCAGTTACTTATAATACGGTATTTTTTAAAGTTCAACGGTTTTCTTGAAGATTCCATTTAGATTTAATTTTTTAATTACATTTAATCAGCATCGAATGAAAAATACTCCCAAGTACAGTACGTATAACTGGGAGAGCGATCATTTTACCACCCTGATCCTTACTTTTTTATTTTGGACAGCGGGAAACCGTAAACAAACACGCCCTGTCGCCAAGAAACAAGATGGGAGGAAAGCAGCAAAAAACAAACAAACTTTGCCAAGTGAGCAAGCTACAGGTATCTCCTGTTCATTCTGGTCAGCACGACCTGTTCGAAACTCTGGGATAACAAGGAGTAAAATGAGGATTCATCTGGAGATTCCGAATGGGGCTGCAGCATTTGAAAAGCAGAACAATGATAACTTCCTTAAAGCATCATTGGGAAAAAAACCGTGAGTCACGGCGCAGGCTCTTGCGTCTTTGACGTGTACCCACAGGGCCCCGCCCCACTCAACACACACACTCACCCACACGCGCGCGCGCAAACACACACACACATATTTTAACGCCCTATTCAGGCCTGGGCTTCGTCTGACCAAGTTCTCGGGGTCAGATAACCGGTTCCTTTGCGGATGCTGACCACGGGGTCAGTTAGCAATCGGGCCTCAACTCAGGCCAAGCGCGGGGCCCCTGGAGGTGTGGGCGCACCCGACTCCCGCACAGACCCCCGCCCACGTCAGCCCCGGCTCCCTGCCCACGCACAACACCGACCTAGCTCCTCGCGCCTCGCCGCCCCGGCAGCCGCCGGCGTCGCCGCCGCTTCCATCTCTCGCGGGTCTCCAGGACGCCGCCGCCCGAGTGCTCACTCTCCCGCCGCTGCGTGGCCGGCGTCAGGCCCAGGCCTACCTCCCCTGCCCGGAGGGACCCGCGCCTGGTGCCCGCCTCCCTGCCCCGGCGCTCCCCAACCGCGCGGCGAGGAGCATGCGCAGTGGGACAGCCCGGCTCGGCGGGCACCGCCGGCGAGGGGCGGGAGGGGCCGAAGACCCGAGGACTGCTGCGAGGCCGGGTTGGGTAACCCGAGAGGAGGGTTGGGTAACCTGAGATCAGCGAGGGTGGGACCTTAGAGCTAGCCGAGACCCGGGCCCATAGCTCCCTGGGGGTTTTAAAGATGACGGCGAACTTAAATTTGGGGCGCCTGTCCGTATGCAAGGCGTTAGCGTTCTGTAAGTCACCTTGGAGAATGCGAAGAAGGACGGGATTTGTCCCCTACCCATGCTGAGGTTCTGACTACTCTGGTTATTCGTCTCCCTGTTTCTATAGTTAGAGTTACAGGAGACACTTAAATAGAATTTAATTAAGTCATATACAATTTCACTTTCAGGATATTTCAATGTCCTTCCAGATATTTGACGTTGACCGTGGTGCTGAAAGAAAATTAAGGTAAAGACTAAGTGTACTGATGTAGTTTCAAGTACTCCTAAGCACCATACATACATTATCTTTAATTCTGACTACAATTTGTGAGATAATTCTAATATTTACATTAACGCTAAAGATGAAGGGATTAAGGCACGGAGGTAAGTAACGTGTCTGGGGACAGGAAGCTTGTACATGGCAGAAGTAGAATCCTTCTGCCTTCAGAGCTGGAGCTCTCGAAAAATATGCAAAGCTGGCCTCCCAGATGGGTACCAATGAATATTCGATGAATCAATGGATGAAGCAAGCTTTTGGTTTAAAAGGAAAATATTTATTTTAATTTTAAAATCGCTTTCTTTTTTTTTTCACTTCATAGTTCTTGGAAGTCAGTACACCAGACAATCCTTTTTATTTGTGTCCGTTTCATTCAGTGGGGTTGCTTTAGGAAAGGGTTTTTTTGGGGGGGAGTGGGTCTGATTAACAGTCACTGATGTAACTATATGGCAATGGTGTTAAATATTTAAAATTCTGAGATTAAAAAGGTACGCAGTTACATACTATCTACATCTTTCCTCCTGTTGCATCCTCTGTAGGCTTTCACTAGATAACTAGTGATAATGACAGTTTGCCAACCCCCTTTCTTTTCCTTTAAGTGAACCCAATTTGTTCACATACATACACATGCAAATCCCAAAAGAAGGTTTTATTTGAAGTGTTCCTGACAAATAAAGGGGTAAAGGAGATTTTTTTTAAAAAAGAAGAAGAAGAAGAAATCTATTCTGGAACATAGCTAGAGCAATGTTCCCTAACCTGTGTTGGGGTGGATCACCTGGTTAAAGATCAGCAGGAGAGAAGATAGGCATCAGACAGAAATTATAGGACCAAGGTAATTTTCCATAAACCACTCATTATAATGAGAACATGTGGGACAGCATCTTAAAAGAACATTATCCTTTGAGAGTTAAAAGGGATCAAAAGTCATTGTCCCCTAATCTCAGCTTCAGGGAAAGCAGATCTGGCAATATGGAAGGAAGAAAAGTTTGACTTGTAGTATAGGCCTGAAATCTTTTGAAGAGGGTTGGGCTGAGGTAGGAGGCCCAATGTCTTTACAGTGATGTGGAGATAAAGCAAGTGATAACAATGATCATAAGATTCAAGAGAAATATGTTTTTCATGCATCTCTACTTGAGAACATATTTACTAGGACTTCTACTCCAGGTCTTATAAATTAGAAGCAGATATAAAGTACAGCTGTATCAAAATAGAGACATTATACAGAATGTGACAATTTGAACCCTGGAAATTCATTTCTTTTCCTGACTTTAACTTCTTGCATCACATCTTAACTACTTCCTTCTTTGCAACTGCAGCACTTTGTTCGTATCTCTGTTACAACACTTCTCCACTTATAATTATTCCTCTTTCTGGGCTTTATACTATGCTGTATACTATTATGTGCAAGGCACTGTGCTAGGCCTGTTGAGGAATTAACTGTATTTGTCTTTGTCCAAACAGGCCTAGCACAGTGACTTACAAATACCAGTCACTCAATGAACAGTTGTTGAAAGTTACTGAATATAGCCTCATAGGTATATGAAAGGAAACATTTAGAAGTCTTTAATGTATTCAAGCACATTTTACGGAGCACCTTCCATATATCAGGAAGTATGCTAGATGCTGGGGCTAGAAGGGCAAATAATGTTGGTATGGTCCCTACTGTCATGGAGTTCATAGTATATAGCATGTGACAGAACAGAACAAAACAAAATACTAAATATGTCATTACAATTGTTGGTTAGGAAAATAACAGGGTACCACCACGGAACCTACTTTAGATTGAGAAGGTGGGATAGTCTTATCTGAAGACACTTAAGCTGACACATGAAGGTAAGAAGGAGTTGGCTTGGTGTGTGTAGAGGGAAGAGCATTTCCAGCAGTGAATCTAGCCTTTCCTCTTTTACAGATGGAGAAATGGTTCTGTTTTAGACACCTGTGGAACATCTAGATAGAGTTGTCTATTATATAATAGTTAGATCTCTAAAGTTTTCTTATGTGAAAAATAATGTCACCAACCTTACAAGTTGTGAAGATTTAATGAGATAAAATATATAAAGCATTAACACATTGCCTGATTCACAGGAAGCATCAAATAAAGTGAGCATATTAGCTATAGTTTTTTTTTTTTAATTGCAATACAGAGGACAATTCAAACTAGCTTAAGCCAAAAGAGGAATTTAATGAGGACACTGAGATTGCTAGAACAGAGATGAGACTGGGCTCAGGACAACTGATTCTTATGCCTCTGAGACTCTCTTCTTCAGTGATCGCTTTTCTCTGTGCATCTGCTTGTGTGTCTGTGCAGGTTTCCACTGCAGAACTCCTCTGCTTCTCAGGTTCACCTGGTAGGAAACATGTTTCCTAAAAGCTCTCAATTCTTTTATCTTAGAGTTTGAATGATCAGAAACATACTGGTCTCTTTTTCTCGGTTTCAGTTTTAAACATTTCCTAGGGAAGAGCTGTGATTGAGTCATTTTGGATCAGATTCCCATCCCTGGACTAGTTAAGTAAGTGAGTGTTGGACAAAGTCATATATTGTGGTAGTTCCTGATACAACCATGTAGATGACATTGTGGAGAAGGAAACAGTTTTCCAAAGGAACAGCTGAGCAGACCAAATCCTATGTATCCTCTCTATTTGATTCCCCTCTGTGGAAAATATTACTCATTTTGTATCCTAAGGCTGTTGTATCCTTCTCTGTTTTCAGTGGAAATAGAGACAAGCTTCTCACCATCTTCTCATTAATATCTGGCTTAATGACTTCTCTATTCTGTTAATGAACCTAGGAAACATGCTGATCAGCACTGGTTCTCTTAAGAGGTTCTTTGTTGGAGTAATTGTTCCTGACAACCTTACTTTTATTAAGAATAACTTGATTTTATTTAACTCTTTATGACAGATTTAGCAAATTGAAAAAAACTGAAAACTAAGTGCCTGGAAAAGAGAAATGATGCAGATAGCAGAAGTTTAACTTCTTAACAAGCCTCTGCAATATTCTCAAGTAGATTTTTAAAAAAGATATTGCATCTATGAGACAGGAATAGACCGCCATAAAAAAAAAGGAATAATCAGGGAACAGAAAGTAGAGCCAAAGGACCAAAAAAAAAGAGCAAAGTGAAAAAAATAAAATGAAAGGATCCATCCAGCAATTCCAATATCTTAATCCAGAAAGAGATTAAAGAGAGAAGGAAAAAAATCAAAGTAATAATGTAACAGAATTTCTCAAAATTGAAGAACATTTGTTTCCAGATTTGAAGAATTCACTGAATGCCCAATACAACAAATGCAAACAGACCTAAGTCAAGATATATCACTGAAAAGTTTTTAGAACATTTGAGAATAATAGGAAGATTCTAAAAGCTTCCCCAGATTAAAAAAAAATGGGGGTGAAGGCAATCACATTCAATTGGAATCACATCTACTACTCAGTAGTAACATCATAAGCTAGCTAGAGGGAAATGGAGCATAGCATTCCAACTTCTGAAGGAAAACACACCCAACTTGGAATTCTATACCTAACCAAAATATCAATCAAATGAAACAGTAAAATAAATACATTTTAATATGCATAAAAGCTCAATGTGTACTTCCCATGTGCCCTTTCTTAGAAAGCACTGGAGAAATGCTCCACCAAAATTAAGGAATAAACTTAGAAAGAAGGAGACATGGGATTCAGGAAACCAGGAATTCAGCAAAGGAGAGAGGAACTCCCAAGAGGATGCCAAAAGGAAGTTCCAGTATCACAGTTTTGCACTGGGCCTAGAGAGCTACCAGTCCAAATTGGGTCAAGAAGATAGAAGGCACCAGGAACAGCTATCCCCAAGGACAAAAGAAACAGTGAAACTGATTGATAATCTGAAAAGGATGCAGAATTGGACAAAGAGACATTATTGAGAGCTGTAGGGAGGGTGAGAAAACTTAGCCACAGATGTGAAGAAAGCCAAGCAGATGAAAAAAAAAAAAAAAGGCAACTAACTCCAGTTAACATAATAATCATAAAAGAAACAAAAGTATAGTATACCATTTTGCCTTGGCAGTGAATAATACATGCAAAGGCATAATAATAAAAATGTGAATATGGTGGAGAATGTATTATAACTCTCTGAAGATATGCGTGGAGTGAGGAGAAATTATCTGTATGAAGGATTATGTAAAAGAGCTAAATTCTCACTTTTCATAGTTGTGAAAAAATAGTATCTAAAATTGAAAAAATTAATAGTGCTATAAGCATGTCATTTAGAAATATGAAGGCAAATACCAAATGGAATTACCAAAAGAGTTCAAAATATTTGCCTCTTGAAAAAGGAAATTGTAGCAAGATATAAGGCAAAAATTTATTTCGTATTATGTTTTATTTGATTATTTAAGGTAATGCATAATAAAAATAAATGTAAATTTCCAAAAAGAAAAAGTCATAGTCTCCACCAAATACTAATTTTTATTAAGACAAATATCCAACAAAGTCATCGATAATATTTATTGTTTTTTAAAGTCATGTATTTTCCTGCTCTGTAGTTGATTTCAAGCTCTTTATCTTTAATGCCAATCATCCCTATGACAGAGGACATAGCAGTTTTAGATTCTAAATTTTTAATGACTGGGCAAGACTATGAAGAAAGTGAATTTTCTGAAAAGTCCTTTGAAATTTCATGGTCAAAATGAGAGAGAACCTTTTGGTTAAAGACTATTGACCCATAAGAAATTGGTTTAAAATAATACTAATTTACCCAACTGCTAATACATTTTCTTTTAAAGTTTTTACATGTAAAAATTTATCACCAACTATAAATTATGTTTTTTTTTTCATTTGGGTTGGGACAGGGTAAATTTTTTAGATGATGTGGAAGTTTTTTTAGATATTGAATGAAACACTAGTTGTTTCACTAACTGACCTAAGAAAGTTTCCCTAGAAAAGTGTGACACTCTAGAGAAAAAGGAAATCTAAATTGAAAAACCAATTAACAGAATTTACATTCTTTTCACAGAATTTTCCAACAATATTCAAGTTTATAATCATGATACAGAAAACTAAGCATATAACACATGTTATTGGAAAAAATCCTCTCAACAATAAACAATCTAAAACATATTGCTGAAATGTTCATAAAATTTACATTTATAGAACTTTGGACATTTCTGAAAAGCTCTTGAATTATCCACTGCCCACCCCCAAAAGGTGGAGCTATAATCTGAAACCTAGTCTGTGTATACTTTTCTTTATTGTAATTATTATGACTGTAGTTGACCTCTGAACAATGTGGGTTTGAACTGCATGGGTCCACTTACATGCAGATTTTTTTGAATAAATGTATTGAAAAATTTTTTGGAGCTTTATGACAATTTGAAAAAACTCACAGATGAACTGTATAACCTAGAAATATTGAAAAATTAAGAAAAAGTTATGTCATTAATGCATAAATATATGTAGATACTAGCCTATTTTATTATTTACTACCATAAAAATATACACAGATTTATAAAAAGTTAATCGAAATTTACATGCACAAACACAGACTGTACCTGGCACATTTCACAGTCAAGAAATGTAAACATACATGAAGATGCAGCATTAAATCATAATTTCTTAAACTTACTTTTAATACATATGGTAATACCGTAATAATTTCATAGCCACCTCCTGTTACTATTGGCAGTGAGCTCAAGAATTGCGAGTATCCACTTAAAATGCTCTGTGATGCTAATCATTGCTATGTGAGCAATTTCTCTCTCTAGTAAATTGCCTATTGCTATAAAAAGTGATCTCTCATGGTTCTTGCCTGTTTTTCACCACGTTTAAGGCAATACTATAAACCTTGAATAACACCATGGAACCCATACAAAATGCCACTAGTGATGCTGAAAGTGCCCCCAAGAAACAGACAAAAGTCATGACATTATAAGAAAAAGTCAAATTGCTTAATATGTACTATAGATTGAGGTCTGCAGCTGTAGTTGCCCACCATTTCAGACAGATGATTCATCTCATAAACAACAGAAACTTATAGTATCGACAAATACAGTATAGTACTGCAGATGTGTTTTCTCTTTTTATTATTTTCTTAATAACATTTTCTTTTCTCTAGATTAAGCATATAGTATAGAATACATATAACATATGTCATATGTATTTTTATGTTCTCATCAAGGCTTCTAGTCAACAGTAGGCTATTAGTAGTTAAGTTTGATAGGAGTCAAAAGTTAAACACAGATTTTCTTTTTTTTTTTTTTGAAACGGAGTCTCTCTCTGTCAGGCCAGCTGGAGTGCATTGGTGCAATCTTGGCTCACTGCACCCTCCGCCTCCCAGGTTCAAGCAATTCTCCTGCCTTATCCTCCCGAGTAGCTGGGACTACAGGTGCATGCCACCATACCTGGCTAATTTTTGTATTTTTAGTAGAGACGGGGTTTTGCCATGTTGGCCAGGCTGGTCTTAAACTCCTGACCTCAGGTGATCCACCTGCCTCGGCCTCCCAAAGTGCTGGGGTTACAGGCGTGAGCCACCATGCCCAGCCTTAAATACAGAATTTTGCTGCACAGGGGTTGATGTCCCTAACCTATGCATTAAGGGTCAACTGTACTATCTGTATCAGGAAACATATTAAGTACCTTATAACCTTCTCCAATCATCTTCCATTTTTTACCTCCAGGTTCACTTTCCTTTCTTTTCTGTGTTGCTGTGTGCCCTGGAAAACTATCCTATATAGAGTGCTTCAGTAGGTTTCTTGAGCTCTGGCTTCCAATTAGGTTTGACCGTTAGAGGTACGGGAGGGAGATCATAGGACAGAGGTGAAATAAGTTAGAAATTCATTTCCCTAGTGCTCTCCTTACCGAATCACTCACTACAGGTTGGCTGCATCCCTCTCTGAAGGTCACAGATTCTGTCAGGCAGCCCTCTCCTTCCTGTTGCTGTCCAGATCTAGAAGGAGGAGTGCTCCTCCTCTCCATTGCCTGCCCTAAGATACTACATCTTTCCTTGTGGATATTTCTAAAAACCTGGTGTCTTAGTCAGTTTGGGCTGTTATAACAAAGTACCATAGATTGGGTGGCTTATAAATGAAATTTACTATAGTTCTTTTTTTTTTTTTTTTTTTTTTTTTGAGATGGAGTTTCAATCTTGTTGCCCAGGCTGGAGTGCAATGGTGCTATCTCGGCTCACCGCAACCTCCGCCTCCTGGGTTCAAGCGATTCTCCTGCCTCAGCCTCCCTAATAAGTGGGATTACAGGCATGTACCACCATGCCCGGCTAATTTTGTATTTTAAGTAGAGATGGGGTTTCTCTGTATTGGTCAGGCTAGTCTCGAACTCCCAACCTCAGGTGATCCGTCCACTTCAGCCTCCCAAAGTGCTGGGATTACAGGCGTGAGCCACTGTGCCCGGCTTTTTTTAATTTTTATTTTATTTTATTTTATTTTTTTTTTGAGACCGAGTCTCGCTTTTTCACCCAGGCTGGAGTGCAGTGGCGCAGTCCCGGCTCACTGCAAGCTCCGCCTCCCGGGTTCACACCATTCTCCTGCCTCCCGAGTAGCTGGGACTACAGGCACCTGCCACCACGCCCGGCTAATTTTTCATATTTTTAGTAGAGACGGAGTTTCACTGCCCACCTCAGCCTCCCAAAGTGGTGGGATTACAGGCATTAGCCACCGCGCCTGGCCTGATTTACTGTACTTCTGTAGTAACAAAGTACCATAGATTGGGTGGCTTATAAATGAAATTTATTTACTATAGTTCTGTAGGCTGGAAGTCTGAGACTAGAATGCCAGCATGGTGGGTTTCTGGTGGGCCCTCTTATAGACTGCCAACTTCTCATTTTATCCTCACATGGTGGAAAGAGGGTGAGAGAGCTTTCTGGGGTCTCGTCTACAAGAGTTCTAATCCCATTCATAAGGGCTCCACTCTCATGACCTAATTACTTCCCAAAGACCCCGTTTCCTAATACAATCACTTTAGAGGTTAGCACTTCAACATATGAATTTAGGAGGGACACACACAGATTATTGCACCTGCCCATACCATTGTAAATAGTTCCAACTCTAATTAGCAGTTTGTTTATGTGGGCCATCTGTTTCCTAGCAAGATCCTTATAAATGCACATACATAATCTCTTTGATTTATCAAAAAATTTTCAAGTATTATCTCCATTTTACAAATTAAGAAACTTAGATTAAGAGAAGCAATTTGCTCAAAATCCAATAGTAAAGCCAAGATTCTAACCCAGGTCTAAATGACTGTTGTCTCCTCTATCACATAGTCTCTAGAAACATTTATTCAGACAGTAGATAATCACATTCCCATCCCAAAAAGTTCTCAAAATTTGGATTCTTATGGGCTTTCATTACCCTCTCAATAACTTTTCTGGGGATACTGATATATACAGGCCAATAATTGTCAGGTAGGAGTACAGCAGTTACTAAAGTAGCTGTTTTCTTGATTTTGACCCCTATAAACCCTGACACCAGGCCTACTTCAGTCACAGGGAGGGCCCTGAGAACTCAAGCTAAAAGCTCATTCCCTTGCCAGGGCAGCCTCTGACCAAAGGAAATAAATCATGCTGCATAGAGTGGTACATAGGTGCCAAGTGAGGGCTCTTTCTCAGATGCCATGAATTCTCCTTATCATCCATCTATCATCTCTAGCTTTTTCTCATTTCTTCAGGGCATTTTTTTTTTGGAAACAAGATCTCACTCTGTCACCCAAGCTGGAGTGCAATGGCACAAAAATGACTCACTGCAGCCTTGACCTCCTGGGCTCAAGTGATCTTCCTGTCTCAGCCTCCCAGGTGGCTGGGACTGCAGGTGTGTGTCAGCACATTTGGCTAATTTTTTAATTTTTCGTAGAGATGGGATCTCACTTTGTTGCACAGGCTGATTTTGAACTCCTGCGCTCAAGCTGTCCTCCTGCCTCGACCTCCCAAAGCACTGGGATTACATGCATCTGCCATCGCACCCGCCCTCTTCAGGGCTTTTAAATTGCAGCAGAATTTCCTGAAATCTCCTCCTCTCTTCTCCTTTACCCTTCTTCCTGGCCAGTCTCAGGAGGGCCCCACTGAGGAAATACTGTCCCAAGACTGGGCCATCAGATTGTAGGTTATCCTGGAAAAATTGTTCACGGAGGCTCCATTTTTCTGCCTTTTGGAAGTGGGGCAGGAATGTGGGCAAAAAACAAGGTAGAATAAACAGAGTGATGTTTCTTCAGATTAGTACTGTTAATTAGATTCTTGCTCTTTCTCTTTTCTTCTGCTAGTCATATCTAAAAGGTAATAAAAGTGGGAGTCCTCATATCACAATGGTCTAATTAATTTTGTCAAAAGTATTAACAATAATAAATATAACAACAAAATCTAATTTGTATTGAGTAAGGCCCCATGCTAAGTGCTTTTCAGCTTTACCTAATTTATCCTGTACAACAGTAATATAAGCAGGTGTAACAGTCCTTCATTTTTAGATGAAAAAGTTGAGGTTTAGGTTTATCAGCATGACAGCAGGATTGTGGAACTTCCAGGACTTGTCTCTTCCCAGAAACATCAATTTGAATAACTGTCCACTCACAAAAATACCTTCATAAGAACCAATAAATCCAGATGGGCAACTATAGCACTTGGGTAAAGCACAGAAATAAGAAAAGATGAAGAGCATAGGAAGGATAATTTCACATTGCCTTCATCCCTTCTCCCACAAGCCCTAGCAGCACAGCATGAAGACAGAAACCCTCTGCATGGAGGAAGTAGAGTGAAGTGAGCACCCAACTTTTCCACAGACACCAGTGCCAGCCCTGCCTCCATGAACCAGCCCCCAGAGTCCCAGGCTCCAGTCCTAGCCCAATCACAGGCTGGCCCCTGCAAACTCAGGCTCGAGGCCCATCCCCAGTGCCAGGGAAGCCTCTGTGGATTCAGGCTCCTCCCAATGAACCCAGGCTCCAAGCCCACCCACCCACTGACCTAGGCACCAGGCCAGCCCATCAACAACTCTGCCAGTCAGTTCACACAGAATCTATAGACCGACTGAGTGGTGAAGGGCTTTCCCTGCCAAAGTTAATCAGTAAAGTTTGGAGAAGGTGCCTATGTCTTCCAATGTGTAGATACCAACACAAGGCCACAAGGATCAAGAATAATCGGGTAAGCATGACACTACCATTAAAACAAAATGAAGTATCAGTAACTGACCCTAAAGAAATGGAAAG
Source organism: Homo sapiens (assembly GCF_000001405.40). Taxonomy (NCBI): domain Eukaryota; kingdom Metazoa; phylum Chordata; class Mammalia; order Primates; family Hominidae; genus Homo; species Homo sapiens. The sequence continues at coordinate 93,208,654 of NC_000011.10, forward strand.
CTACTAACTGTCTGACAAAGAAGTCAAAATAATCATCTTAAAGAGGTTCAGTGAACTACATGTGAATACAGATAAACAACTAAATGACATCAGGAAGATAACATGTGAACAAAATTTAAAGTTCAAAAAAGAACTAGAAACCATAAAAATGAACCAAACAGAAGAACCAACCAGGAATTCTGAAGCTGAAGAACACAATGACTGAACTGAAATATTCAATAGAGAGCTTTCATAGCAGATTCAATTAAGCAGAAGAAAGACTCAGTGAGCTCAAAACAGGTCATTTGAAATAGCCCAGCCAGAGAAAGAATAATAAACAACAAAAGGAATAACATAGAGTGAAGAAAGCCTACAGGACTTATTGGGACACCATCAAGTGAACTAATATATGCATTATGGGCATTCCAGAAGGAACAGAAAAAGAGAAAGGAACAGAAAACTTATTTAAATAAATGACAGAAAACTTAACAATTCTGGAAAGGGAAGCAGACGTCCAAATCCATGAAGCCCAAAGAACTCCAAATAGTTTGACCAGAAAGAGGTCTTCAGCAAGTCACATTATAATCAATTTGTCAAAAATCAAACAGAGAATTTTGTAAGCAACAACAGGAAAACAACTTGTCACGTAAAAAGGAACCCCCACACGACTTATCAGTGGATTTCTTAGCGGAAACCTTGTAAGCTGGGAAAGAGAGTGGTGATATATTCAGAGTGCTGAAAGAAAAAAACATCCAAGAACATTGTACCTGGCAAGGCTGTCCTTCAATAATGGAGAGAGAAGGATTTGCCCAGACAAACGAAAACTGTGAGAGTTTATCACCACTAGACTTACCTTACAAGAAAGGCTAAAGGGAGTTCTTTATGCTGAAATAAAAAGACACTTTAGTGAATCATAATTTTATATTTCCTCAGCATCCATTTTAAATATAAGTTGAAGTTTCTTATACCAGAAGCAGGGCTTAGTCACCCTTAACACGTAGTTTGCAGTTCTCTGCCGTCTCTTAGTTCCTCAGTGTGGTTCATCCAGTTATCTGTCTTATGCAATTGCTTCTTAGTGACCACTTCCATATGGAACAGCTATTAATAGATGCAACTTATCTGACTTATCCTACTGACCCTCCCACCCCATAGGAACTGCTCACATATGCTGCAGTGACCACCTCTCAGTCACAGCATCACTCCATGGAACACTTATCTACTTGCTCCAAACTCAGCAATTAGAACTCCTCATGGAAAACCTGGTTAGGTAGTGCCCCACACCCTGGTAAAGGCTTTGGCCCACAGTTCCCTCTCTTTCTTTTGCTCCCCACTCACTGCTTGAGTGAGAATTTCCTCAACAGCCCTCTCCTTCCCATTGGCCTGGATTTGTAAGTAATACACTGCTTCCATCATTTCATGGGTTTTGTGGAATTGCCTCCTCTGTGTCTTACTTGATTGGTGCACCTGAAGCATAAATTTTTTTCTGTTCAGGGCTTTCCTAGAGAGCGGCTATCTTAGTAGAAATAAACAGGACACAGGTCACAAGAGCCATAAGGGTGTCTGCCTGTATAAAAAAGTTTCCTAGGAGAGAGACACATGATCACAGGTAGGACACTTAAGCATTAGGTCATCCACCAGAATAAAGAAGTATCACATGAAAGACACACTGTTAGCATCCATAACCAAATCCCCTGGACCCTCACGGCAGGGCTAGAGTTTATAGCCACTCTCACAAAAGACCTCAAGACCAACCTAGAAAGAAAAAAATACAAGTTTTTTTATAGATGCTAATTAGTAACATGAAAACATGTAAAAGTATAAAACTCATTGGTAAAAGTGAGTATATTGTCAAATCCAGAATACTCTGATACTGTAACAGTGGTATATAAATCATTTATAACTCTAGTATAAAGGCTAAAAGACAAAAATAGTAAAATAACTACAATAATTAGTTAACTGATATACAATGTAAAAAGATGCCAATTTGTGACATCAAAAGCAAAAAAGGTAGATAGGGAGTAGACGTGTAGAGTTTTTGCATGTAATTGAAGTTATTATCAGCTTAAAATAGATTGTTATAACTATAAGGTATTTTATGCAAACCTCATAGTAACTGTAAGACAGAAACCTATAGTTGATACACAAAAGATAAAGAGAATGGAATCAAAGCATACCATTATAGAAAATAACCAAATTACAAAGAAAGACAGTAAGAGAAGAAAGGGACAAAAGATCTACGAAACAGCCAGAAAACAGGTAACAAAATGGCAATAGTAAGTCTTTACCTATCAATAATTAGCTTGAGTATAAATTGATTAAATGCTTCAATCAAAAGACAAAGGGCAGCTGAATGGATGAAAAACAAGACCAAACTGTATGCTGCCCACAAAAGACTCACTCACCTTTAAGGACACACATATACTGAAAGTGAAGTGAGGGAAAAAGATATTTCATGCAAATGGAAACCAAAAGAAAGCAGGGATAACTATACTTATAGCAGACAAAATAGACTTTAAGTCAAAAACTGTAAAACAGAGACAAAAAGGTCACTACATAATGATAAAGGGGTCATTTCTTCAAAATAATATAACAATTTTAAACACATATGCATCTGATATCAGAGCACCTAAATATGTAAAGTACATATTAATAGATCCAAAGGGAGAAAGAGCAATGCAATAATAGTATGGGACTTCAATACCCCACATTTTACAATGGACAGGTAACCAAATAGAAATATAAGGAAATACTGGACTTGAACTATAACTTAGACCAAATGGGCCTAACAGATATACAAAACATTTCTCCCAACAGCAGCAGAATACACATTTTTCTCAAGTGCAGGTGAGATACTCTCCAGGATAGATCGTATGTCAGGCTACAAACCAAGTCTTAACACATACAAGAATTTGAAATCATATCAAGCATCTCTTCTGACCACAGTGGTATGAAACTAGAAATCAGTAACAGGAGGAAAATTGGAAAATTCATAAATTTGTAGAAATTAAACAGCATGCTCCTGAACAACCAAAGGGTCAAAAAAATCTAAATGGAAATGTTAAGATATCTTGAGACAAACAAAAATGGAAACACAGCATACCAAAATTTATTGGACACACCAGAAGCATTTCTAAGAGTGAGGTTTATAACAATAAATGCCTAGATTAAGAAAAAGATCTCAAATAAACAACCTAACTTTATACCTCAAGGAAATAGAAAAAGAACAAAGCCTAAATTCAGTAGAAAGAAGGAAACAGCAAAGATCAGAGCAAAAATAAATGAAATAGAAGCTGAAAAGAACAACAGAAAAGATCAGTGAAACTAAGATATTAAAAATTAAACTTAAAAACAGAACTAGCACATGATGCCGCAGCCCCACTGTTGGGCATATATCCAAAAGAAATTAAATCAGTATATAGAAGAAATAGCTGTACTGTCATGTTCCTTCCAGCATTATTCACAATAATAAGATGTGTCCATTGATGGGTAAATGGATAAAGAAAACGTGGTATATAATATGTATATGTACACACAATGGTATTTTATTCAGCCTTAAAAAAGAATGAAATCCCGTCATTTCTAACAATATGAATGAACCTAGAGGCCACTTTGCTAAGTGAAATAAGCCAGGCATAGAAGAAAAATGCTGCATCATCTTACTTACATTGGGATCTTAAGAAGTTGAACTCATAGATGCAGAGAGTAGAACGGTAGTTGCTAAGAGCTGGGGGTGGAGGAAATAGGGAGATATTGGTGAAAGAGTACAAAGTCTCAGTTATGCAGCATGATGACTGCAGGTAATAATTCTCGAGTTTATACTTGAAATTTGCTGAGAGTAGATCTTAAATGTTCTCTCCACACATTCAGCAATAAAGATAACTATGCAAGGTGAGGGATATGTTCATTAGCTTAATATTGGTCATCATTTTCACAATGTATGCATATAACAAAAGATCATATTGGACACTGTAAATATATATAGTTTTCATCAATTATGCCTCAGTAAAATTAGAAATGGAAAGAAAGAAAAGACAAGCTTAGACAGACTCAGAGACTTACCCAAAATTTCACAGATCAAAACCAAATCTAATTTCAACTTTAGGACATATACTATTATCCACTCTGCCTCATAGCTTCTTGAGATCCTAAGCAGCTAAGCTGACAGGTTGTGAGAGCCACTCACAGTTCTGACCATTGGTCAGTGGTGTGATTTAGTCATTACAACATTGTACATTTCTGTCTATCCATTTTCATATAGCTAATGAAAGATTCAGAAGATCAGCCTGAAATCAGGTAACTGAGCTTCACTGATGGCGGTTAATTCCAACATAAATGCCACAACCAACATATTAAGCATTGTCTTCTGAAAATACTACTCTTTGAAGGACAATAAAAAAGTGACTTGGCCGGGCACAATGGCTTACGCCTATAATCTCAGCACTTTGGGAGGCCGAGGTGGGTGGATCACGAAGTCAGGAGATTGAGACCATCCTGGCTAACACGGTGAAACCCTGTCTCTACCAAAAACACAAAAAATTAGCCATAGTGGCATGCGCCTGTAGTCCCAGCTACTCAGGAGGCTGAGGCAGGAGAATCGCTTGAACCTGGGAGGCAGAGGTTGCAGTGAGCTGAAATCATGCCACTGCACTCCAGCCTGAGGGACAGAGCGAGACTCCGTCTCACAAAAAAAAAAAAAAAAAAAGTGACTTATGGTGAGTGCTGGAAAGGACACTTTTATTTTCCCACATGTAAGTTATTCCCTTTGGTATTTAACATGACTGGTAAAAGGCTTTAAAGCTTATAATAAATCTCAAGTGTACTCCCGAAGGCTCAAAAGAAAAAGGGTGCTTTACGAAATTTGCTTCTTTCCATTCTAAGCATTATGTATTGGTTAGACATTAACTTGCAAGGAAATTATTTCACTTGTGTTGTCTTCAAATAAAACTATTATCATGCCGAGTACAAAAGTCTGGGTTTTCTCTTGATGCTAAGGACTCATGATCCTCACATGTAAATTTAACTTGATAAGTCCTCTCTATTTCAGGATTTTAACATCAAGGTCTAGTTTGGGATTTAATTTGACAGGCTGTACCTGTCAGTTTTTGTATAGTTTACTTTCATCACAGTTCAAAAGGAGTGTGTGAAAGACTTACTTGTGGTAAGTAGGTCACCTGAGACACATGTTATGCATGAGGAATCCTGGAATTCCTGCTACCTGGGACACTTTTCATGATTATTCAAGGAGCTTGCTCACAATTTAATAACCTTGTTGACAATACCAACCACATTGGGAAAGAATAGTTCCATACTCATTTGGGAAATCTGCTTAAGAGATATAGATTCCCCATAGAACTGATCAGAGAAAATAAACACCAACATATATGTGCTTTTTGGTAATAAAAATAAGTGGCATGGAAGTTAGAAAGCTTCCATTCAGGAAAAAGGAGAAGTTCCAGTTGGAGGACTGCATTCTAGCCCATGCCCTCAGAAGATTTTGAGATAAGAGGTCCTTGGAAAAAGGTACCATTTAAGAAAATGTCACCAACCCATTTTCTTTAAGACCAGGCTGGTAGCCAATCACATTATGCTTCATTTATAGGATACTGTTCCTGTTAATTTTGTTTTTTAGTGATAACACACAATTGTTCCTCATCTGATTTTTCCCTCATAAAACAGCTAAGCATTTTGATCTGACTTTCTCAATAGACTGCATTCATTGTATAATAAATTAGATCAATGATTGATTACTTAATAATAGGCCATTGTATTAAGTCAAAGAAGTGAGAAATTGACCAAGAACAGTTCATTTTGTGTATTATAAATGGATACTAATCCATCCATCCTCTATTTAGGTCTTTGGGTTCCATTACTTATGTCAAGAGGCTATTTACAATCTAACAAGTTTGACCTTATCTCCATTGGTGATCTTTCAAATGTGGCTCTATAAGGAAACCAAAATACCTAGAATTACAGGATTTGGCATACTCCAAAACAACATCAGTGACCCATTCAGATTGAGAATTATTTAACATTCACTGTTCTAGGCATCATGCTTAGTGTTTTCTTATACGTTATCTCATTTAATCTTCACAATAACCCTACAGAAATAAATATTATGATCAATATTTTACAAATGAACAAACTGAGGTTCAGAGAAGAAGTAAATTCTAAGGCTTAGTAGTCACAAGAACCAAACCCAGGATCCCAATTCCAATCTGATGAATTTTTTTTTTTCCCCCTGAGACAGAGTTGCCCAGGCTGGAGTGTAGTGGTGTGATCTCAGCTCACTGCAACCTTCACTTCCCAGGTTCAAGCGATTCTCCTGCCTCAGCCTCCTGAGTAGCTGGGATTACAGGCACACGCCACCATGCCCTGCTAATTTTTTTTTTTTTTTTTTTTTTTTTGAGACGGAGTCTCGCTCTGTCGCCCAGGCTGGAGTGCAGTGGCGGGATCTCGGCTCACTGCAAGCTCCGCCTCCCGGGTTCACGCCATTCTCCTGCCTCAGCCTCCCAAGTAGCTGGGACTACAGGCGCCCGCCACTACGCCCGGCTAATTTTTTGTATATTTTTAGTAGAGACGGGGTTTCACCGTTTTAGCCGGGATGGTCTCGATCTCCTGACCTCGTGATCCGCCCGCCTCGGCCTCCCAAAGTGCTGGGATTACAGGCACAAGCCACTGTGCCTGGCCCTTCTGTGGATTTTAACACTTCTATTCATCTTACCACTTCTGCTGTGTACTTTAGGCTTCTAGCATCACCCTTGTGAGTTAAAATATTAATTCATCTCCCAATTCCTCCAAGAAGTCTGATGTAAATTCCAGATTAGGAGGAATTTTTTTTTTTTTTTTTTTTTGGTGATATGGTCAGAAATGAAGGGAAAGTGCAGGTACATTTTGGTAACATAAATAGCTCGTCTATTCAGAACAAAACCAAGATGGTTCAACATACAAAATAAGATTTTCAAAATCAATCAATAAATATTCATCGATAATTGAGTAATGCGGATGAAGGAAGAACAATAATATATGACTTATATTCTCAATCAATTTGGGAAGACAAAACAGTCCAGGTAAAAAGAACAAGTAACAGTGCAAGGCTATGTATCACAAGGGCAAAGGGGACTCAACAACTCAATGCTAGAGGGATTCACAATAAGTAAAGATTCCTTTGAGGTAGGTTGGTAATGATTTTCAGCGGGGCTGTATAAATGTAAGTCACAACTTCGGTAGTAGAGAGGGTGTATCAGTTCTAAGGAAGGAGAAAGCAATGGGATTGGAGGACGGTGAGAATACCAACAGAGACATTCCTCGCTCAGTGAGCCTCGAAGGTAAGGTAGGACTTGGAGAGGGCTTCGCTGGACAGTCCAGAAAACAATGGATGCAATCAATAAGACTCTTAAGTTCAGACATCAGCCTCTGTATTCAGGCAAAGTCCATACCTGCCCCTCATCACACTGTGGTATTTAGAGGAGAGGCCTAACTTTCCTCAGAAGCCCCCAATGTGTGATTCGCTCTTTCAACTAAGAAGCCTGCTCTAACATTAGGCTGCAGTGCAGAGATTTATCAAATTCACCCCTTAGCTTTGTTCAGTCACTTCAGGATGAATCCTGCACATCCAGAGGATCTTTATACTTACTCTCAGGGTTCACACTCTCTCTTTTAGCACTTTATCTGGAGTTGAAAGAAGCAGCTGTCACTGACTCCATGCCCAGCGTGGAGGTGATCTGTGCTTTAATAGCTGAGGTCCCAGTTTGCCTGGAATAGTCCCAAAGGATTCTGTTGTGCTGAGCATCCACTGTTTTAACAATAAGTTATATAGCCACCCGTGTTATAGTCCTAACTACCATTCAACATGAAGCATGGGCTCAAAGAACCACTTTAGTCCCTTATCTCACAAAACAGATCTACATTTCTGCTGCTGTTCACAGGGACATCATGCCATGGGCCAAAAATCCCCACTTCTCCTAGGAGTATGGATTTGAGGAAGGCCTAAAATTATGGGAAACTCATGCTCAATCTAAAACCATTTAAACAGCCACCTGGCTGATGGTAACAGCAAATTATCCAGACAGTCTGACACTTAACCGTACATCATACTTTTCAAAGAGCACCACTAACACGTCAGTTACTCAGGATTGAGTGCCTGGCATTGCCACCCAGTGAACCGTTTCCTCTTTACAATGCTCAGAAACGACTTGAAAGGCACATTAAGCAAATATCAGACATAAATGTTACCTTAAGCAAACAATGGGAGGGAAGAATACAGAATAGGTCAGAAGCAGCCTCCTGCTACACAGCTGTTCCAAGGGCAAACACACTGCAGTGTTCTGGCAGAGTATGCACTCAACAAATGTTAACGTCTCCTTTGCCCAGGCTCTAATTGAAAATTCTTTTGCCACTTAAATACATGTTTAATTTAAAGGGCTCTGAGTCAGGTTTCTCCCCTGCTCAGCTCAGAGACAAAACATGCTGGACAAACAGGCAGGAAGTCCCGCTGAACATCTGTTTCTGGCTGGGGTGACAGTTCAAATAGATCATTTAGAACTCAATTTAAAATAGTAAAAATGTATTGAGCAACTGCCATGTTTTGAATATGATTTAGTACCTGACCAAGATAGAGTTCACCAACAAGGTTTCACTTCACCAGGAAAGGGAAGACAGGTACAAAAAGCAAAACAGAATCTAGCAGATACCCTAAAAGGAATAGAAACAAAGTGCAATGGAAACACAAAAGAAGGAAAGACTAGTTCTGATTTAGGGGGTGGTAAGGACTTCATGGAAGTATAAGGTATTATTTATCATTATCATCATCATAACAACATTAACTGCTATTACAGAGGGTTTATTATGACCCCATAACTACTCTAAATACTTTAAGTGTATTTTACTCTAAATTAGTCAAACTTGACCTTGAAGGAGGGTGTAATTGAGAGAAATAGAAATGGAGAAGAAAGGATATTCCAAGTGGCAAGAGCAGACTAATGAAAGGCATGATGTCAGGAGGCATTCAGGAAATAGTAACTACTGTGATCACTGTTTGTCAGACTTTGGAATATGTAAGGAATTAAAGGAGACAAGGCTTGAAGCAGAAGTTGGTGCCCTAAATATCACAGTGAGAAATTTGAGATCTGTTCAGTAGGCATTGAGGTTCCATTAAAGCAATGACACTTAATTGTAGGTCTATATCAAAATCCCTGGGTGGGGGTGGGGGGGTGAGTTTCTCAAAATGCCCATGCCTTATTTCTGGAAACTGACTGAGGAAGTCTTATTTGCAGCCCAAGAATCTTCACTTTTTCAGAACTCCTCAGCAATTTTTATGAACATCCCTTGGAGAACCATTGAAAGGCTTCTCTTCTGGGAACTGTCATGATTAAATCTGAGTTTTAAAAGACTTAAGCAGCCATGTAGAGGATGACTGGGTAGGGCACAGCCAGATAGTTGGGCACTGAGTTAGTAAACCCCTGCAGCAGGAAGGGAAATGTAAGGAGACTTGACGGGGGGTGCCTGTGGGCGTGTTCTGCTGAGGTGAATGTGTGTCAGGGTCAGAATCAGCAGGGCCTGTGCATTGACCAGATGTGAAGAGGGAATAAGAGATGACTCTGCTATTTAAGCTTATGCTGGGAGGATGGTACTGTTATTGATTGAGATTAGAAAGATAGAAAAAGGATCATATTTGAGGGCAAAAATAATGAGTCTAGTTTTAAGCATATTAAATTTGAGATGGTAATAGGTGATCTTAGGTGAGTTGAATCAGAAATATACATTTAGATAACCAGAAATGTACATCTAGAACTTGGATGTCTTGTTGCTTGACTATGCCAATAGAATATGACCATATATATAGTCATGTTCTCTAGACTATGTCTTCAAAATATTCTGAATTGAGGTGGAGTGTCTGGCTCATTCAAATTTTGTTTTGTTGATTTGAATAAGTGAGAATGTAAAAAAGATTCTCACAAATAATATTTTAGGAAGGGCCGGGCGATGGCTCATGCCTGTGATTCTAGCACTTTGGGAAGCCGAGGCAGGCGGATCACCTGAGATCAGGAGTTCAAGGCCAGCCTGGCCAACATGGTGAAACCCTGTCTCTACTAAAAAATATAAAAATTAGCTGGGCATGGTGGCATACACCTGTAATCCCAGCTACTCAGGAGGTTGAGACAGGAGAACCACTTGAACCCGGGAGGTGGAGCCTGCAGTGAGCCAAGATCATGCCACTGCACTCCAGCCTGGGTGACAGAGTGAGACTGTCTCAAAGCAAAACAAAAAAATTTTTAAAACATTTTAGGAAGCAAAACAAAAAAAATTTTAAAACATTTTAGGAAGTCTTTCATTCAAGGGTGAGGGAAAGAAGAGGAGTGACAGTGGGGCCTGAGAAAATGCTGCAGGACAAGGAGCCACAAGAATGCACAGGCAGCAAAGACACAGAAAAACAATTTCAGCAGGGAAGGGGATTCTTCAGTGTTCAATGCTTCTGAATTGTTAAAAAGGGTAAGAGAATTAACTGGTTAAGAATTAACCGGTTAATTAGGTTGTAAAGGGTAGAAGCTGACTGTCACTAGCTTAGACAGAAAGAAAAAAAGGAATTTAACGGCAGTGCCTAAAGGAGGATTCTAGGAGAGCTCACAGAGAGTCAGCGGAGGAGATGAACAACCAAGGTTCGGGAAGGGTAGGAACCAGGGCAGCTCTGGGGGCCTCCTAGGAATCTATGACCCCTCTCCCAGGTGGTGCAGCCATTAATACAACTCTGCTCCAGAAAATTCTGCACCTCTCCAGTCCATGCTCCATATCCTACGAGAGGGAAGTAACCTAGCTTGAGTGTGTGTCCCTATTTTAACTATGGCCAGGGAAAATGTCAGCAAAGCAAGGCATTCACTCCTTTCGGGGGCTAGCACTAGACCCCAGGGAGAAGAGGTCACTGAAGGTTAGCTCTACTCCAAGAAGCAAGTTCCACTGGAGTGTGGAACTTGTAGGAACCAGTTTGCAAGGTGTGTTCATACATGCAAGAGGGCAATGATGCATGACAGTGCTGTTTCCAGTCCCTCGACCATGAAAGGAAAGTAGCCTGAGAGTTGCAGACTTGAGGGCAGGGTTTTGGGGGCAGTGGAGACTTGACTATATTTGTAGACTGAAGCTGGATCCAGTGGAGTAATAAATTAACATACAAGAAATAAAGGAGGTAATTAATGGCACAGAGACCTAGGTGATGACCAAAGACTTCAGTCAACAATATACTGAATAGAAGGGATCCTGAGGAACTTCATGGAATTACCTATGTATTATATACAAGATAAGAGGAATGTCAAAAAGCAGGGAGATTGGATAGTTGCTCTCTGTATATAGGGGTGTCAGTGAAGTGGTCAGAAGAACTTGAGATGCTTGCACAAGGAGAAACAGTGAAATCAACAGGCTACAAAATCAAAGCAGAGATACACAAAAACTCTTTAGAGATGAAAAACTGGCCTGTGGGCTTGCAAAAGTTTGCTATAACCAAGGTAGATATATTAACTTGACTAAGCAAATAATACATACATTAAAAAGTGATTTTTGTGACTTGGGCACAGAAAAAGCAGGAAAAGTCACTGAAGCCAATGTTAGTAATTTCCATCTTAGCACTGTCCTAGAGAGGCTGTGACCTGGCCAGTATTTCCAGTTCTGTGGGCCAGAAACTTTCTTACCCTGAAGCCATTAAACAGTCAACTTTCTTAGCTTGTATTCTGCATTCAGGACAACCTTCCTCTTGATTATGGTTAAGCTAATCTCTTAAGGAAGACTGTGTTTGTCAGATAAACCTATGCAGTAATTTCTTCTGAAGGAATAAATTAATGGTTTCTGATTTTGATTGGACTTTTCATGGCACTTGGCACTGATCATAAGGACTCCAGAATTCTTATAGTAATTTATTATTGAAAATTAATAAACTGATGCCATGGTTGGAGCAGACACTGCTAATTGCCTATCCAATATCTGTGTTTAGTAACACACTATCACCAGTGGCCCATACATGGCCCTCTTTTATTGATTGATTGTATTAAATTATTGAAAAATAAAAACAATAAAAATTTAAAACTACAAATAACAGATACACTGGTTTGTATTCACTCTTGTAAGTTTGATTATTGTGCAGAACTAACACCTGAGATAAGTGTTTCTTCCTATGGATGAATAAAATTACAGTTCCTGGCCTGCATGGGTAATTTCAGGTCATGATGCTACCTTGGGAGGCCTGTGAGAGGTCATTAGTGGTCTCTTCCTGGTATATGTGCCCTTGGCATCATTGTTTGTTCTCTAGCCACTGTAGAAGAATGCTGATCTTTCTATACTGGCCATTTGGATCAAAGGAAATTGTTGGTGGAACAAACACAACTTGCACAACTTTTATTCCCAGTAAAGAAATTCATTTTTTGACTTTTGTTCACCGGCTTCTATACTAGAGGAAATTAGTTGATTAGCTTTCAAAGGTGCAAAAACTAAAAATAAGTGATAGTAAGCTTTAACTATGTGCCATGTAAGAACTCTGTATCTATGTGCATTATCTCATTGAAGCCACAATAACTGTCCAGCATCTAGTAAGAATAAAATCCCAGTGCCTCAGCCATGTCTCTGTCCTGTGTACTAAATCTTTTGAGTTTACCCAGCAATGACCTCTGTTTCCACCGTACTCCCGATCTTGATCTCTCTTTTTTTTTTCAGTGAATTTCACAGATCCATTTATTCATGCCATGAAGTAAGCGATACTTAAACAAGTGTACAGTCTAACACAGCTTACTTAAATTTACAAGCTGACTGATGTTTCATTTCATGTGTACTCCAGGTAAAGCTGGTTAGTGATGACTGTGAGCAGGCACCGGAGATTTCAAAGCTTTACTTCTTTTATTAGCACTCTGGATTTTATAAATGATGAGGCTCATCAGCCCCATTCCTACCCAAATATCCTGGTAAACTTGAGTATAGTAGAGCTTCATGGGGATCCACACATTTTTAATAATACTTTGAAGCATCTATACCTTTTGCCCACACCTGCCTGTACCTTGCCTCGTGCTCTGTGCACAGCAGCGCCATAGCCCAGGGCGTGTCCCCCTCGGCTGTAATTACTTGATGCTTCCATGTCCTCCTGGGCTATAATTACTCCCACTTGTCACAGCATTCTGGGTGATGACTCAGCCAGGTTCAGGCCAGAGCACAGGTGGGTAGCAACTATCCTGGCAACAGCCCACAAAGCCAGCATCCCCTCCAGGCTTGCCCCAAACTTTCTAGAGGGGAATCACCTCTCTCTTGCACCTCTTCCTGTTACTCTCACACCCAGTGTGGGTCTATGTCCACACTTCCTTCTGTAGATCAGGAGCACCAGATTTGTAGTATCTGAACTATGTCAAGCACCCCAGCTTCTCTTTTCTTCCTCCTGCCCCATTGGAATAGCTACTTTCTTAGTGCTTGCTTACCATCCAAAGAGTAAATCTTTTGTGAAAATCATCCCAGTAGTGTTTGTCTTGGTTTGCTAGAAATTTCCTTAGAAAGATATTTAGTTTCCTTCTAAATATGGCTTATTATTACAGTATTATTATTATTACTAAAATGATGATGGTGATGTCAGTTCATCAGCAGGCCTTTAATAATTTTCTTTGAATGCTATTTTTGTCTTCTGGAGGAGCCTACCTGATCAGATGAAAACAGGAAAGGAGTCAAATATCACCATGATCTAGGTGACCAACTTGTCCCAATTTACCCAGGACTTCTCTGGTTTTAGCACCGAAAGTCCTTCATCCTGGGACACTCCCCTATCCAGAACAAACTGGAACAGTTGGGCATTCTACCACCTCTAAAGAAAAGACCACAGTGAACTTAAGATAATCCTAGAATCACCACTGTCATTAACTGAAAAGTCTTTTCTAAGGAGATTTTTCACTCTCTTATTATTACATGTGATATATTTTATATCTATATCTCCAATAGGATCAGAGAGTGAAATATATATATTATAACAGCTATAATAATACACTTATTGAGTGCTTGCTACATTCTAGGCAATAAGTTAATGCAGCAACTCTGTGAAGTCAGTATTTTTAATTCTAATTTTCAGATAAAGAAAGTGAAATTCAGAATAGTTAGCAAGGTCCCACAACTAGACTTAAACCCATGCACTTAATGATTTATGGATTTAATATTTTATTGTAGGTAAAAAGAGAAAGAGCTGCAACAGTTGGATATCTGAGTAAAGCAAAGGTATAGTTCCATTGCCATTTATCTGGACAAAACAAAGATCAAGATACTGACAATTTATTCTATAAGTTACAACCAAAGTAATTATTTTGGTAAGCTTAAGAGGATACTCCCTTCACACAAAGTCCAACCTTAAATCACATCATTTTAAGGGTGAAATACTAGAAGCATTCTATTAAAGTCGGCAAGAAGACATGCTTGCTATCATTGTTATTCAATTATATCCTAGAAGTTTTAGGCTCTAAAATAAAAAGTTTCAAAATGTTAAATAAATAAATATTAGGTGTCAGTATAATTATTACTTGCAAATCATGATTGTTTACCCAGAAAAAACTTTTAAAGTCTGCTGAAAAACAGCTAGAACTAATAAAAGACTACATACATATCCAGAAGAATATGCTTCCAAAATTATTAACCTCTGGAAATTTCCAGTTATTGTAGGAGGATTTTGTTTTCCTTTTTTTCCTCATGAAAATGACATGCTAGGGATTAGAGAGGGGCCAAAATAAATATCCTGAGATGTTTATTACGTATCTCAGTGGTAAACTACATTTGAGCTATTGAGCATCGGGCTCATTGGGGAAAAGAGGCATAAGCATTTAGGGTATCCAATCCTCCGAAGGGTGGCTGGGGAGTTCTGTTGCCTGAACTGGAGGTAGAATTGGCCCTTTTGTGCCCCAGAAACAGGAGACTGTTAGACCCAGAAGAGGTCCTAGGGAAAGAAAATGGTTGCAGCTTTGGGTCTGAAAGATGGTAGACACCTGACCCACCCTAACTCCATAATTGGTCCAGCACCCTGGAGGAGTGGCACGGGGGAAGATGATGCACAGGGGAACTGTATTTAGAGAGATCATGTACTTTATTGACAAACTTGGGACAGTTCTTGAGATTGGAAAAGGACCCTTTTAACAATTATCCCAGGTATAAACTGAGGTGGTCCTGGGTCAACCAGCACACATGCTCACCCTTGTGAATGCACCTGGGGCCAGTGTCAGGGGCTGGGTCATGGCTTGCCTAGGCTGGCTGCCACTCTGCAATGGTTGCTGCCTCTCGTGGCTCAGCTGACATTGTTGGATAAGATTGCTGGTGACCTTAGGAGTGTCAATTTCTATCTTCTGGAGGCATTGTTTTCTGGTTCTTGGGTTGCTACGAGACTTGGAGACTGGGGCTTGGGCTCCATATTGCAGGAAAAACTGTTTATATATACATATATATACGTGTATATACACGTATATATAATTATATATATACGTATATATAATTATATATATACGTATATATAGTTATATATATACACATATACATATATATGTGTATATATACGTATCGTGTATATATACCCACGTATATATACTTATATATGTGCATATATGTATATAAGAAATATATATACGTATATAAGTACATATATATACGTATACATGTATACATATATACGTATATAAGTACGTATATATATACTTATATATACCTATATAAATATGTATATACATATATATACGTATATATATATACTTAAATAATGAGATATACTTATCTTTATTTTTTAACTTTCATCTGAGAACATATTTCAATAATAATAGTACACAACTTCCCCAGGCAACACCAGCCTGTGGGTGCAAATAAGGCCATCTTGTTATGAATTCCTAAGGTTTCCTGGCTTATTTTCCCACACGCCATGTGCCCCTAGTCCCTGAGCCTCATCAGGAGGTGTCACATGTGCTTAACTCACTCCGCAATCTGAGCTACTCCTAACTGCTCCCCCCATCAGCAGCCAGCATCCCTACCACTGTCCTGCAAGCATGGAATCCCCAGGCTGCTGAGGCTGAACATTACTGGAAACTGGTAACTATGAGAACCAGTGGTTTCCTATGGGGAACAGGTGTGGGAAGTAAAACTTACTTTTTAACTGTGTGCTCTGTTGCACCTTTGGAAATTTCATCTCATGCATTTATAGCATACTTTCAGAGATAGTAATAATTAAAAAGAAAAGAAAAGCAGTATGGGTAGCCGTAGAGGAGCCAGCTATGTAGCTCCCTGGTTTTTATGTTATATTCTGATTGAAGAAAACAAACTAAGCAGGGCTGCCTGTGAATTAGTGTGTTCCAGAAACAGCCCTGCCATTTTACTTCTCAGTCCTTTCTCTGCTTAGAACCAAGGCAAGCATTCAGGAGCCAGGGGCCAGGGGACAGAGTCAAATACCAGCAATGCCCCCATAATTCCCACTTCCTTCTGATGGTTAAAGGCTTTGTACCATGATGAGTCAAGCTCACTCTGCCTGGGGTCTCCGCCTTAGACCCTAAAAAAAAAGACTCCAATAGGTTACCGCAAACTCAACACAGTCCCAAGATGAATGAGCCACCAACATGGAACCCAATGAAGGGTTAGCATAGGTCTAAGAGGGGGAAAGTTATTTTTAAAAAAGATAAATGCTCTGAGAAATACCAATTATAACTGAAAATTGTTCATAAAACCCTGTAAAGGGCTCTTGACTAAATCATTAATATGCATAACCAAACTCCTCCTCTCCTGGGCAGGGTAGTTCAGCCACAAGCATGTATTTATGTAATTAGTGTTATGGTTACAGAAGTGGCCCAGGGAAGACTTAGTTCTTTATTAAAAGAGGGGACTTGTGGTCCCTGTGAAACCTCTGAGAGGTTGGGTAGTATCAAGAGCCATGCGCATTTATAAGAGTGCCTGGCACACAGCAAATGGTTAACACATATTAGCTTTTTAAATTATTGTTATAGTTGTTTCTATAAATTCAAGTGACTTAGAATGTCAAACACTAAAATTGGTTTTTTTAAAACTGGAGTTATTTATCTCAGAAGAGTAATGACAATATCTCGAGGCCATATGTCATAATTTTAGCAATAATTACTCTCTCCAGAATGGCAGGATCTGCTGCTTTTGGAAGATTCTCAAACACTATTTATTCAAGAAGAACAATGATTTAGATCATATTATGGGCTTTGCTGTCACCTAGTGGAAATTTGATTATTATAAACAATTCTCAATAACAAACTCATTCTGAGCTACCGAACCCCCAAGTTTCAGTGATTGCCAGCTGGCTTCCATTGGCTTGCATTCTACAGTTAATTATATTACCAAACCTCTGGTGACAGTCCATCTCTCTGTGGATGCACTTATTTTTAAATCCAAGACAGCAAATCCTGTGTGAGCTGCCTCATTAGAAGCCAGCAGTTGCAGAGAACATTCTTGGCAACTTCCAGATCTCCTGGTCACTGGAATATTGCCAGATCCTAAGAGCAGAGGGACAAACAAACAAACAAACAAACACCTCAAAAAAGCTACCTAATCGCAAGTCCCTTTCTAAAGTGTTTTCATATATTGTCCTACTTTATTACATGGAGTACATTTTTTTCATTTTAAAGATGAGGACATTGCTGCTCAGAAAGGATAACACAGTCAGGAAGTCAAGCAAAAAACAAGAAATTAAAGCTGTCTTCCCACTCCAAATTCAGAACTCTACCTAAGTCAATACCCTGCCTACCAGGATCCTGTGGTTGGCTCATCAGAAATATTAGGAAAGAGGCTAACAGTTTGGTTTCTTTTGAGACAGATCAAGACAGAAGACAAGGCCCTAGGGTTCATAGGCCACTGGGTGGGAAGATACATTCTTTCCCTACTCAGGTTAGTTCCACCACTCTACCCCTGATCTCCTGCCCTCTGGTTCCTCTGGGCTCTTGCTAATGTAACTATCCCCCTTTCCAATTCTCTAACCTCCCCCTCTCCATGGGCAAATCCCTTCCAGCTCTAAAGACCAAATCCAAAAATCTGCCTTCATCTATATTTCTCTCCTGCCCTTCCAAATAGGCTTATCCAAATACTCTTATCACATTTCACCTCCACAATTACTTTTTGTTTTTGTTTTTGTTTTTGAGACAGTGTCTAGCTCTGTTGCCCAGGCTGGAATGCAGTGGCACAACCACAGCTCACTGCAACCTCCGCCTCCCAGGCTCAAGAGATTTTCCCACCTCAGCCTCTCAAGTAGCTGGGACTGCAGACACACACCACCACCAGACATGGCTAATTTTTTTGTATTTTTAGTAGAGATGGGGTTTTGCCATGTTGCCCATGCTGGTCTTGAACTCCTGAGCTCAAAGATATCCGCCTGCCTCAGCCTCCCAAAGTGCTGGGATTACAGGCCTCAACCACTGTGCCCGGCCTACACAATTACTTTTTTTTTTTTTTTTAAAGACAGAGTCTTGCTGTGTTGCCCAGGTTGGACTGCAGTGGCACGATCTCAGCTCAGTGCAACTTCCACCTCCTGGGTTCAAGAGATTCTCCTGCCTCAGCCTCCTGAGCTGTAGCTGGGACTACACGTGCCTGCCACGACGCCTGGCTAATTTTTGTATTTTTAGTAGAGACGGGGTTTTACCATGTTGGCGAGGCTTGTCTCAAACTGCTAACCTCAAGTGATCTGCCTACCTCGGCCTCCCAAAGTGGTGGGATTACAGGCATGAGCTACCACACTTGGCCACACGATTACTCTTTAATGCACCCTGGTGTGGTTTCACCCAATCCCACTCCTCAACTCCCTCCCCTATGGAAGTCATTCAGGTTACCAAGGACCACCTACTTGCCAAATCCAGGGGACTTTACAGTTGTCTGCTTTACTCCTTGGGACATTTCAGGCTATGGACCATGGTCTCCATATGAAATGTATCCTTCCACAGCTGCTGAACCATGGCTCCCCTTGGTTCTCCCACCATTCACTCTTAGTCTCCTTTACAGTTGCCACTCTTATTCTCCAAGCTCCCTCCAGGAGAACTCTCAAGGGACTAATATCACCTGATTCCATGTCTTTGGCTGGGACCTCTTCCCTGAGCTCCTATCACATTGGATCTCTCGAGACACATTGGATCTCAAAGACACTGTGTCAAATTGCACCCATCACCTTCACCCAAACCTGCTTCTCCATCAGCTGCCTGTAAGAAGTAACTAAAACTTATCAACAGGAAAATGTAATAGTGACAAAATTAGTGGAAAATCCCTGGGCTTAAAGGGAGGATAATTTTTTTATGCCATTTAGTTGGGGAGAGAGATTCACCTAAAGATTTTCAAATTTGTTTTATCTTTTTATTTTGTAAAAGTTTCACATTTATAGAAATGTTGCTAAATTAGGACAATAAACTGTCATATATCCTTCACCGAGATTTGCCAATTGTTAATACTTTACCACGCTGGCTTTATATCTTTCCACCTATAACTATGTTATTGTTGTTGCTCTTAAAAGATAAATACTAAAGTATTTAGGGCCTAGTGAAAGGGCCTAGAAGTAATGCAACCTGAGCTACAATGAAGACACCTAGCACCTAGATCTTGATGCCTACATATAATTCCCCTTTAAAAATAGCTGATTCAAAAATACAACTGAAGCACATTCACTCCTAATACTTTAGTATTTGTATTTTAAGAACAGGGACATTGTTTTACATGGAGCAATGACTGTTCAAAAAATTTAATGATGATACAATAATACTACTATGGAATATGCAATCTCTGTCCAAATTCTATCAGTTGTCCTAGCAATATCCCTAATAGCAATGTGTTTATTTTTTTTTCTCATCAGACATTCAGTAACGAACCATGCTTTTCATTTAGTTGTAATCATTTTTTAATGACTTTTAATCTAGAATGGCTCCACAGCCTTTCTTTCTTTCTTTATTTCTTTTTTTTTGAGAGGAGTTTCATTCTTGTTGCCCAGGCTGGAGTACAATGGCATGATCTCGGCTCACCACAACCTCAGCCTCCCAGGTTCAAAAGATTCTCCTGCCTCAGCCTCCCAAGTAGCTGGGATTACAGGCATGCGCCACCATGCCCTGCTAATTTTCTATTTTTAGTAGAGACGGGGTTTCTCCATGTTGGCTAGGCTGGTCTCGAACTCCTGACCTTGTAATCTGTCCACCTTGGCCTCCCAAAGTGCTGGGATTACAGGCTTGAGCCACCATGCCTGGCCTTTCTTTTTCTCTTCTGACATTGATATTTTTGAAACATTCAGACCAGTTGCCTTGTGGCTTATCCTTCAATTTGAGATTGACTGGTGGTTTCCTCATAATTAAGTTCAGGTTATACATTTTTGGCAGGAATGTTACATAAGTGATGTTGTATTCTTAGCCTTTCTTATCAGGAATCATAAGATATCAGTTTGTCCCATTGTTGGTGGTCACTTAGCTACAGTGTTATCTGTTATGTAGAAATACTTTTTTCCTCTTGTAGTTAATGAATAATCTGTGAGGAGAAATTTTCATGCTGTGTAAATATACTCATTCCCAACAAACTTTCACGCAATGGTTTTAATATTCCTGGATGATTCTTATCTAAACAAAATATTACTATGATGGGTGCAAAATCGTGATTTTCTGTGTTATTCCTTCCACATTTACTAGTTGATGTTCTATTATAAAGAAAAGCTCTCCTGTTATTCTTATTATTTGTTTTTCTCTTTGTTTAGTATCATTAAGGGCACTGGTGGATTCTTAGGTTTTTTTCCACAGTGTTATAATCCAGTAGTGTCAGGATTCTTTGGGATCTTTTTTTTTTTTTTTTTTTTTTTTTTTTTGAGACGGAGTCTCGCTCTGTTGCCCAGGCTGGAGTGTAGTGGCACGATCTCGGCTCACTACCAGCTCCGCCTCCTGGGTTCACGCCATTCTCCTGCTTCAGACTCCTGAGTTGCTGGGACTAGAGGCACCCGCCACCATGCCCAGCTAATTTTTGTGTTTTTAGTACAGACCAGGTTTCACTGTGTTGGCCAGGCTGGTCTCAAACTCCTGATCTCAGGTGATCTGCCTGCCTCGGCCTCTCAAAGTGTTGGGATTACAGGCGTGAGCCCCTGCGCCCAGCCGTCTTTGTTCTTTTATTTGTTTTGTTTTTGATCATTGATTTGGCTAGAGGTCTCTTTGAGATTCTTCCTCTTTGTAACATCCTTGGGCCTTTTTATTTTTCAAATAATTTCTTTATTTTCTACTACAACAAAATATTCTAGTCTTATCTTGTATTTATGTTGTATTTTAGAATCAGCTATTTTTAAAGGGGAATTATCTTTAGACACCAAGATCTAGGTGCTAGGAGTGCTCATTGTAACTAGAGTAGCATTACTTCTAGGCCCTTTCAGCAGAAAGAGCTAGGAAAGATATATACATTTTTATTATTTTTTATTTCTTAGAAAAAACATGATTTTATGCTGACACCTCTAAATTTTCCGCATTCCATAAATTATATCACCTCTCTCTCATAGTGGGAAACCTGGCTACCAGAAACATTAGTATATTTACTAATTTACTCAGTCCTAAAATGCTCACCAAATAATTTCAAAATTGCTACACCCATATCACTAACAAAACAATATTTGTTTGAACTTCTTTTTGTTTTTAGACTGAGGGTGTATATCTAAGTATTGTGTTCAAAGTGACTTGGATTCGGCCAGGCGCATTGGCTCACATCTGTAATGCCAGCACTTTGGGAGGCCGAGGCGGGCGGAGATCAAGACCATCCTGGCTAACACGGTGAAACCCTGTCTCTACTAAAAATACAAAAAATTAGCTGGGCGTGGTGGCGGGCGCCTGTAGTCCCAGCTACTCCGGAGGCTGAGGCAGGAGAATGGTGTGAACTCGGGAGGCGGAGCTCGCAGTGAGCCCAGATGGCGCCACTGCACTCCAGCCTGGGTGACAGAGCGAGGCTCCGTCTCAAAAAAAAAAAAAAAGAAACAAAAACCAAAGTGACTTAGATTCATTCAATTTTTTTCCCTTTCATGCAGTTCTGTCATCTATTTGATATACTCTTAATTTTGTATTTTTAATTCAATTCTAGGCTTCTTTCCTCAGACTTGATTTAATGTTTTAAATATGAAAACACTAGCATGCTTCCAACAGTCAAAACTATATATATATTTATAGAAAAAAAATGGCATAATCAGAGAAGTTTGTCACTCTTTTTCCTGTTCTTTCTACCCTATCCTATGTAAACAATTCTATCAGTTTCTGGTTTATCTTTCCTAAGTTTTTTGTTTGTTCGTTTGTTTTGGGTTTTTTTTTTTTTTTTTGCAACAACAAAACATGGATATACATGTTTATATTCTTTATTTCCTTTTCTTTGTTACCAAATAGTCAGCATAATAAATTCTTTTTTGCCTATGTAATTTGATCCAGAAAAGCTCTGTAACAAGTATAATTTGAGGGCGTGGCACAGTGGCTGACGCCTGTAATCTCAGCCCTTCGGGAGGCCAAGGCTGAAGGATTGCTTGAGGCTAGGAGTTCAAGACCAGCCTGGGCAATATGGTGAGATCTCATCTCTACCAAAAAAAAAAAAAGTATAATTTGAAGCTTCTACCTGTTTCTAAGGGTGGGAAGCCAAGAAAAACAACTTAATGGAACTTTTTGAGAATGGAAAACATGGTCTAGGCCAGTGGTTCTCAAAGTGTGATCATTGAACCAGCTTCATCACAGTACTTGGGAACTCGTTAGAAATGCAAATTTTCTGTCTCCATCCCAGACCTATTGAATCAGAAACTCTGGGTCCCAGCAACCTGACATTTAATAAGACTTTTAGATAATTCTGATATGTGCTAAAGTTTGAGAATCACTGGTCTAGGGTAGTGTAGGAAGGAGGAAGTAGAGAGAATAATACCTACATTTCATTGAGTGTTTACTTTGTATAGGACAGATGTAAGCATCTTATTTATTTGTATTTATCATATAATCCTCACAAGGGCCCCAGCCAGTAGGGGCTACAACCATTCCAAGTTTACAGATGGGGAAACTGGTACGGAGAGGATGAGCAACTTCTTAAAACCACACAGCTAGTAAGCAATGAAGGCTAGATTTGAACCAAGGTAGGCTGGTTTTAAAATCCATGAGCTTAACCATTGCTGTATGCTAATTCTACCTTAGCATCTGATAAAAAGGAGCTAAATTTCCCTTCATAATAGAATTACAGGTTAGCTACCTGCAGGGGGGCGGTAGGGACAGTAAATGAGTGTCTCTGAACTGAGAAAGTTGACAGAAGTGTTTGGCTAGAAGGAAATAAAACAAGTCCCAGGAAATGATGGCTTTGTGAGAAAGTTGGGAATGTCACCAGCAAGACCGTCACTGTGGTAGAGACAGCTGAGGGCCTTTGGCCAGTGCCTTCTGTTATTTGATTTAGTTGTTTCCCATCTTTTTTATTTATTTATTTATTTATTTATTTATTGATGCAGCCCCTCATCATCATCCCCTAACCTTCAGTAAGAGTTTGTTACACATAACAGCAATGTGTTATGGTGCTTTGAGACTTGCAGGTAGAGGGATGGGGTCCTGGTGTATGGACAGCAGTGTGGATAAATCTCAGTAGCTGCAAGAAGCCGGGCAGTGAGCAGGGATAAAGAATTCACTGGGCAAAGGAACTTAGATCCAAGTCTTCCTGGAGGGTATTTAGTGAAGCCACGAGACTCGCCAAAGGTATGATGAGACAGGTATCATGCAGATATCATTTCCCAGGCCTGAGCACTGGCAGACAGAGGCAAAGGCAGAGAGCAAGAGGAAAACAGGGTGTGGGGGTCCCCATATTTCTCATCTGGACTGTACTGGGAACAACTCACTAGGTTGGTAAAAGATTTACAGCCCTTGCTCATTTTGGTCTCTGGGGCAGCTCTCACAGATCTAATGGTGTGGTGTGGTCCAGCAGAGAGAGGCCCTGAGGTTTAGCTTTTCTGAGTCCCTTCAGTTCACAAGTTGAATAGGTGTGGAGTAGAAAGTCAGTAGCTCTGCTACTGGCTCAGCCATTGCAGAGTGAGGTGACTCTCACAGTAGAGGTTAGGAGTAGATTGTCAAGCCAACAGACTGGAGAGCAAATGTGGTAGAGACCTAGGTTTTGCAGCTGGCAGATGCAGGCAGGGGACCAAGCCAGCCAAGGGTCAATCCCAGGATCTGACAGAGCCAAGACAGGGTCTGAGTGACACTAGCACAGACTTTACCAGCACATAGGAGGACAAGAGGCACTTCTCTGGAGACCAGAAGACAGAGAGGACACATTAGAGGACCCCAACTCTTCCCCTGTGCCTCATGTCCTGGAAATGACACCTCCTCCCTGCAACCCCCTACTATCCCCCCATAAACCGAGATGCTAGTTTCGGAACCAAAACAGAAGGAGGGGAGGGCAACCTGAAAAGCTGAACATTTTGCTGGGGATTCTGAGCATTGCCTGATTGAGAATTGTATAAAATATTGGATTGAATGGAGTTTAATGACATTGGACATTAGTTAATTTTCCCACTAGCAGTTGAGGGTTCATGAGGACAAGAGTATAACAACAATATTAAACATTTTCTTTTTTCCTGTGTTCTTAACGAGAGTTTAATGTTGCCACATACACACTGTATTAGTCCACTCTCGCACTGCTATAAAGAACTATCTGAGACTGGGGAATTTATGAAGAAAAGATATTTAATTGACTCACAGTTCCACAGGCTGTACAGGAGGCATGGCTGGGGAGGCCTCAGGATACTTACAATTATGGCAGAAAGCACCTTCTTCACATGGTGGCAGAAGAGAAAAAGAGTGAAGGGGGAAGTGCTACACACTTTCAAACAACCAGATATCTTGAGAATTCACTCACTATCATGAGAACAGCAAGGGAACATCTGCCCCCATGATTCAATCACCTCCCACCAGGTCCCTCACCCAATATTGGGAATTACAACTGGACATGAGATTTGGGTGGGGACAGAGCCAAACCATATCACACACACATAGTTATTCATATGATTAGTTTTAAAATTCCTACCTTCCTCATTAGACTGTAAACTCCTAAGTGCAGGGACTGCCATTTTACTCCCTGCTCTAGCCCCAGTGCAGGAAAGCAGGGATATATCTGCCTTAATATCCGTGGTATCTCCAGCACTGAGAACAGTTCCTGGCATATTGTAGGCACTCAATCAATATTTTTGATGTTGAATTTTGCTCATAACTGCTTTTTGAATGAATTAATCAGTGAAAGAAATGAGACAATCAAGTGAAAGGAATACTAGTCAGTGGTTTCCCTGGATTAACAACGAGAGACAGTGAGGATTTCACAACATAAAAGTACATTTCTATGGAATCATTATTTTATACATTTCCAGACATATTGGACATAATAATACTTTACACGTGTGTAGTGCTTGCAGGTTCACAAAGGGCATTCCGCATATTGTACCATTTGATTCTTCAACAGCCCTGTAAGATAGGTCAGGTATATTAATATTTATTTTGTAGATCAGCTAACTGAGGTTCAAAGAGATTAATCAACTAACCAAAGGTGTAACGCATAGGAATCAGCAAACCCAGGGTTATAATCTAGATTTTCTTGCCCCCAGTTCATTGAGCCACACAGTAACAGCCAGACAGAAGTTTGGGGGACTGGCTAGGAGACAAGTGAGGAAGGTGCCCTGGGTGCTAGTTCATTATTCCCTTCCAGGATGCTGATCAGAATTCACCAGCATTTAAAGCTCCCTGGAGAGAAGTAGGGTCACTAAAGAGGGGAATATTTCAGCTAAAGCATTTCCCTCCTGTGCTGAGGTGAGTGTGCAGGCTTCATGCTTACCCCAGGGGGTCATGCTTACCCCAGGTGGCTCTTCCAGGGCAATGGGAGGGGTGGGGTAGGAACTGGATTCCTCCTCTCCAACCCACACACAAGGAAAAGAATGTGACTCAATTCCTCTGTGTCCCCAAAATTGTGCCATGAAAGTGAGGTTCGGTTTCCTTAGCCAGCCTGCACTTTTAAGAGAAGACTTCATGCCCTTACTTTGCAGTAGGGACTGAGGGCTGCCTGAGCAAGGACTGTGACAGCGTTGAGAGACCTTTCCTTCAAAGAGGAGGCTGCATTGCTAGTGCTTTCACCAGCCTGAAGCTGAGAACCAAAGCGGACATCAGTGTCCTGTCCAATCCTGGCACTACCCAGACTGCCCTCAGAGTGGCAGTGTAGCCTTAATTAGCGGATGCTCAGCAACTGGCTGCCTGGAGGACACAGTAGTGACACTGCTTAACTAGAATGCAGCATCCAGCCTGCACCCTTTACAGATGAACACTGGCATTTCTACTATATAATGCAATTAGGTCTCCCATCATTCATCATTTATTCATTCTTTCAATTTTTGTGTCACTTAGCAGCTATGCATTGAAAGCCTACTAAGTGTAGGAGCTCTACCAGAGGTGCTGAGGATACAAAGATTTTTTTTTTTTTAATAATTTACATGATGCTGTAAGACCTCTGGGAGCTCAATGCTTAGTGAGAGAGAGATTTGAAAATAGCAAATACTATGTAACTGGGGTAAGTGCTTAGCATAGCAGTGGTGGGAAGGAAGTGTTGTGCGATGCAGGACAGAATCCTTCAGGTCTCAGCTTAACTGTGACTTCTGCAGGGATGCTGTCTTTGTCTCCTAGACTAGGTTATGTAACCTCTTTTTTTCTGGTGTCTCAGATCCCTGTCTTTCTCCTGTTCTAACACTCAGCACTCTGTCTGGTTATTCCTTGTTTAATTGTCTATCTGTCCATTATAGATGTAACAAGCTACTCAAAAACAAGATCCATTTCTTTATTATTCTCCCCTATATCCCCAACACCTACTAGAAAGTCTGGCTCATAGTAAGTGCTCAATAAATGCTTGTTGAATGAAGATTAACAGATGTACAATCATTCCATGACATCTCAAGTATAAGAAACATTGTATGTCTTTATTTTTCTATATCAAATCAAATCTTAATTTGCCAAGATTAGTGACAATTCCAATATTCGCTTTTTAAATTTGCTTCCATCTCCTATGGATCATACTAAAATCCCAGTAGGTAAGCAGTTGAGGAAAATGGAAGTGAAAGGTCTCTGTCCCTTACATCTGCCTCTTGGGAAGCACAGGCTGAGATCTAGTCTATTGCTACCAGTCAGGCTTCTTGCGCCAGGCGGGTTATAGTTATACCTCTCACAGCAATCGCTCTACCCCTACGAGCACCACCACCCTCATCTAAGTTGTGTCCTCTTGTGATGCTTGCAAGCGGTGCACAGGTGCAAAGTGAGACCCAGAACACACTGAACATCCCAGCCTTCCCAGTCCCTGGGAAGTCACCTCCAGGATGGGGCCACTCCCCACTTTCCCACCAAGCATCATCCTCCTTCCCCTTGGAAAACTGTCCAAAGCACCTTGGTGGCTCTCCTTGCTATTATCTTGGAAGGAGGAGGTAAAGACACTTTCCAAGTTAATACTGATAAATTCACAGCTTTGAAAAGACAATATATCATTTAATTCTCAACAACTCTCCCTGTTACTACATAAATGAATATGTTATTTTGTGGAGGAATCTTTTAAAGGACATTCCATCTCCCTGTTAGAGGTAATGGAACTTCATACATCAACGAGCATCCATTATTTCTGAGCTAGTAACTTCCTTTGAGTCCCAGAAAAGAATACCTATGTGCTTGTGAGAATTAATGGAGATAATGTCTGACTGCACTTTCAGAACTAGAAGTACTACACAAACGTAGAGTATTGTTGTCATCAGCTAGTGATTTCTATATTCTGCAGCCAGCAGAGAGACGACATGATAAATGACCTCCTTGGGGTCTGTTCCAATTATCCCATGACAGCTTTCCCCCCCTCCCCCCAAACGGTCCTTCAGCCATCCATTATTCTAGAATGCTTTTAACTCCCTAAAAAATCCATGTGTCACTGTTGCTTTCTCTTTCTCTCTTTCTTACTGATTCCTAATTCAAACCTGAGACTGAGGTACTCAAGCCCAAACCACTTGTAAGGGGAATAGACTTTACTGGTCCCTTTTAATTCTAAAATTCCTTGACTTCTCAAAGCTCCTATATGTGAATGAAAGCAAATCCGTTGTCTCTCCTCTTTTCATTCATTCACTCATTTGGATAATATTTATTTAGCACCTATTCTGTGTAAGGCACCATTCTATGCATTTCTCATGTTTATAATTGCCTACACACACACCTATTTGACATTTCTACTAACGCCTGAAATTTAGCACAGTGTTTGAGCTTGCAGTGCTCTCCCACAACCACCACTGTCAATTCTTCCCTCCGAGCCCCACCTACTGGCTACTTCATGTTTTTCTCTGCTTTATCTTGGTGTCCTTGGATGCCTTACCGCTAGTGTGTCTCCACTTCTATGTCAAGGTTCTTGTCTGTTACGGTGTTTATTGTGTTTACATTGTTTGTTCAAGGAGAACATTCAGAAACCCTGAGATAAAATAGTGAGAAACAGAGCATTGAGATAAGTGATGGGATTAAAAACCCAGTGAGATACAAAATTAAATTAAATGTTTATCTCAGAAAGTGGGACCTGCTTTGTTTTATTTCTAGCCAAAGAAATACCAGTCATGACTTATCGAAGCAGAGAGTTAAATCTGGGGCAAATACTCAGGCTTAACGTACACTTCTACATTGTGTGTATAAAGGCACAGTTTCATTCATTTTGAAGAAAGGCGGACCCACCAATATGCTATTTGTACTGTACTCCTCTTGATATCATTCAAATCACTCCTCGCTTGTTTGTCTGGAAACTGACCTGCCCCTTTTGTTGAACGTCTGACTCCCAATTCACATGGTTTGGTGGGAGTGGTCATTTTATAGAATGTGATCCTGTTCTCTAGTCATAGCTTTTATGGACAGGAAAGGTATCTGGCCTGGGAACTTTGGAACTAGGACTAGGAAGGAAGAGAATGGTTTCCCCTGCTTTCCTATAAAACATGTGAGCAGTGGACAGCCATGCTCTGGTATATAGATTGTGAGAGCAGAAAATGATGCAGATGTAGTCGTTGACACATGTTGAGCCCCCAGCATGGGACAAGCACAGCTGGGAGTGCTTGACAAGTATTACATTTTGACTTCTCAGGTGCATTTCACAGAAGAGGGCCTGAGGCACAGAGAGGTTCAGGAAGCTGCCCAAAGTAAAACAGAAGTTAATGGATTTGAGAAATCAACCCAGGGATTCTGGCTCCAGCATCTCTGCATATAACCACTGTGCCCCATAACCTCTGGTCCCCAGATACCAGCTTTCTGGGGCTTGATCCCACCAGTCTCTGGCCAATTTTTCATCATCTGATTATGGCCTCACTTTGCTTGGAACTGTCTTTCTTCTTCAAACTTTGGCTTTTCCCATTTGGAGTGTGATTTTGTCCCTCCCCACATATACATTAACACAATCTCCAGCTACCCAGGGAGAAAAACCTTCCTGGTTCCACATGACCCCCAGGAATGGTGAGGAGCAACTCCCTTGTGAAAGTGGGACCTAAATAAAACCTTGGTAAATGCAGCAAATGGATAACTTTTATTAAGAAAAACTCTTTTTCATGAAAATGGTGCATAAATCCTAAGTGTATAGTTCAATATATATCACAAAATGAACATAGCTGTGAAACCAAGTCAAGATATAGAATGCTACCAGCCCCTCAAAAGACCCCCTCATGCCCTCTGCCAAACACTCTCCCTCTCTCCCATCCTAAAGTGAACCACTTCAAAACTCTGCATTAACTTTGTCTAGTTTTGAACTTTATGTAAATGGAACCCATTATGCATTCTTGCTTATCTGGATTCTTGTGCTCATTGTTAGCTTGTGAGATTCATCCAAGTGGTTCCGTGTAGCTGTGTTTTGTCAGCTTTCATAATGTACAGCATCCTGTTGTAGGAATATACCACAATATATTGATCCATTCTCCTGTTGATGGACATTTAGGTTGTTTCCAATTTGAAGCTATTACGAATGGCGCTACCATGAATGTTATCCTCCATGTCTTTTGGTGAACAAGCGCGTAATTCGTGTTGGGTATATACCTGGGAGTATAAAAGGAGAACTTTTAACCTACAGAACAGGGATTTATGCAGGGATGGTGAATGGGATATACTTGATAGTGGGATCATAGTGAAAACAATTTCTGACAAAGGAGGATATCTTCAGGCTATTGCTCCAAAGAGAGATGTTTTTTTCTTCCATTTAATTCAGGGAAGCTTATAAAAGCCCCTTTGGAAAAAAATGATCTTTGCAGAAGGTGTTCATGAGCAGAGAGCATTTTCTTTCAGAGTACACTCATACTTGAGGGACACTATACCTGCCATTATGTGGGTTTCTCTCATAGTGAATAGGAACAGAAATAAAGGAATAGAAGTGCATGTGATGGAATGCGTGTGGTTACCATGCAAAGGTGTGAAATTTCAGCCATCTTAAGTCTGAGAACTCTGCAAACCAGCCTAATCACAGGGAAGCAATTCATCTGCAGTGGAATGCTGAGGACTAAGCTAGAGCAGCACTTTGAGTGAAACAAAGAAGTGTAACATCTAACAGCAGGATAGGAGAAATGAAAAATTCCAGACAAGTACCAGCACAGGCAGAATGCTAGACATTCTGGCTAAGGCATTCACCAGGTTTCGCTCATCAGAATGCAATGTCCATGAAGGCAGGGACTTTCTCTCTCCAATCAACATGGTATCCCCAGCATTTAGTCAGGGCTTGGTGTAGAATGGGAGCTTAATATTTATTGAGTGAAACATGAATAGTATGTTGGTTCAGAAGGGATGATTATACCAAAACCATAGCTAATCACTTGCAGTGCATGTCTTTATGCTTAAGTATTAGTAAGTACTCTATAATTCATTTTGAAGGATAAAATGAATATGCCAATGATTGATACTTGTTATATTAGGTAGGTTACTAACTCAACTAGCAGAAAACTTCTGAATCTGCTTCTTTCTATCAGACTCTGTGTAATCTTCTAAAGGTAGACGACTTTGAATAGCTGGGTTGTTGTCTTTTCCTTTTGTGGTTTATAAATAACTGATTGCTCCTGAATAGCACTGTTAGTTTCAACATTTCCTGATTGGAACCACTTCCACTGATAAGGGAAAACCAGAAGAACTTTCTTCTGAAAACTTAATTTTTAGTCATAGAATCTTGAGTGATTAAAGAAAATAAAAGGCCCTGGATAATATAATTTTTATAATGTTGTTTTTCTTCTTTTTGCTTTTTTACTTTCATTCTTTTGGTGAAGGGGTATATATTAGGGAGAATATATGGCTGTTTGGAAGAGATTGGAAATAGTATAATTTTGTATCCTGTAAAATTTTTCAGTATTCCTCTGGCAAGATGATCTCTGCCAGACTCTCTCTATATATTTTTAAATTATCTCAGTGTTCTAGGTGTTATAGGTCAGAGGAATGTGTTCTTATGACATAGATACTTCATTCTCCAATGAGGGGCTGCTATCTTTCTTCTGGGATTCTCACACTGTTTGAATATAAATCTGTACTAGTCAGGGATATTGCTGCCATCACATGGATATGATCTCACTGAGAATGAAACTAACGTAGAAGAAAGCAAAGATAAGAGAGGGGAGAGCAAGCGCACAAGAGGTATTGTGTATGTAGTGCTATTCAGCCATAAAAAAAAAAAGATGACATTCAGTCATTTGAAATAATAGAAATTGAACTGGAGATCATTGCGTTTAGTGAAATAAGCCAGACACAGAAAGACAAACATCTCAGGTTCTCACTTACTTGTGGGATCTAAAAATCAAAACAATTGAACTCATGGACATGGAAAGTAGAAGGACAGTTACCAGATGCTGGGGAGGATAGTGGCAGGCTGGCAGGGAGGTGGGATAGTTAATGAACACACACACACAAAAAAATGAATGAATATGACCTACTATTTGATAGCACAAATGGATGACTATAGTCAATAACTTAGTTGTACATTTTAAAATAACTTAAAGAGTGTAATTGGATTATTTGTAACTCAAAGGATAAATGGTTGAGGCAATGGATACCCCAATTTCCGTAATGTGCTTACTTCACATTGCATGCCTGTATCAAAACATCTCATGTACCCTATAAATACATATACCAACTATGTACCCACAAAAATTTTAAAAACTTAAAAAAAGTTAAAATAAAAAAAGTAGTATTGATTGACATCCTAGATGAAGCTACACCTGGATTCAGCTGTGTCTGTTCCTCCTCAACTTACCAGTTTCATGTGCAAAACAGTTTGAACTAGGTTTCCTGATGCTTGTCTGCAAAAGATTATTCACTGATATCGAGAGAGATGTTACTTGTTGAAGTAAAGAGTGAAGATTTGTTCTACATCCTATTCTCTTACCTCCTGTGCTGCACTGAAGGAAGGAGCAGAGCTGAAAATGAACTTGATAAAATACACAAGATTAAAATTATTATACAAAAATAAAATAGATTTGAGAACCAGAGCAATGTCCAATGCTTGTGATGAATCTTAGATAAATAATGGCTGCTAGACAAATAAAAAGGACAATATTCTGAAAGAAAAATGTCATTTTATTCCTTCTATGTGTACACCGACATCGCTTTGCATCACAGCCTTTTTCATCTAATGTGGCAAAATCTGTGTCTCTCTAATGTATTTGTGTGAAGTTCTCAGCATAGAGACATTACTATGGCCAGGTGATATAAATCAATGATTCTTAACTTGGGTACTGTATACTATGCAGAGAGGGCTTAAAAATGTTGCCTGGAGTTGACCGGGTGAGGTGGCTCATGCCGGTAATCCCAGCACTTTGTGAGGCCGAGACGGGCGGATCACGAGGTCAGGAGATCGAGACCATCCTGGCTAACATGGTGAAACCCCGTCTCTACTAAAAATACAAAAAATTAGCCGGGCATGGTGGCAGGCACCTGTAGTCCTAGCCACTCAGGAGGCTGAGGCAGGAGAATGGCGTGAACCCGGGAGATGGAGCTTGCAGTAAGCCAAGATCGCGCCACTGCACTCCAGCCCAGGCGACAGAGAGAGACTCCGTTTCAAAAAAAAAAAAAAAAAATTGTCTGGAGTCTATGAACCAATAGGCATCGTGTCAGGCTAGAAGTAGATCTCAATAAAGCTTTGTGATTCAATGAATGAATATACACATAAGGCATTACCAATGACATTACAAATGAAATACTTGACACATACGGATACATTCTTTTGTTTTACAAGTAGAAAGATGTGTTGTAATTAATAAAATAATAAAATAAAAATTCATTAAAGAACCTTACTGATTTAATAAAAGCTTCTCCCGTCTCAATTAATAGACACTCAAGTAATAGCTACCAAAATAATTGCTGGTGTTTGACACTTTTCATGTTAAAAATGCAACATCAAACTTGAAAAGTTTGGAAACCACCATACCGATTATAAGTTTCTTGAAGTCAGAAACACATCCCCCAGCACTCCTACTATAGTGTTTTGCGTGTACTCAAAATTATATAATACACAGAATACAAGGCTGACAATAAATCATATTACAGGAGAATACTCACTTCCCCTACCATTTTAAATTTATGATTGAAAACATCATTTTATTATTAAATATAATCTATATTCATGTACATTTTTACATATATTTATAAAGTGGACATCATAGTGTCATTTGCAGGATAAAAAATAGAACATTGCCAGTTCCAAAGCCTCTGACCAAACGTGTCTTGCCCTGATCACAAACCTTCCTTTTTCCCAAAGGTAACTGTTATCCTATCTTTAACGATAATGGTATCATTGCTTTTAAAATCGTTTAACCATTTATATATGCAACCCTAAATGAGGTAGTTTAGTTTTGCCCACTTTTGAACTCTATTTAAATGGAATGTATTATATGCATTCTTTTGTGTCCTGTTTTTGCTTAGTATTTTTTGTTTGATTCATTCATGCTGTTGTATATGGCTACAGTTTGTTGTGTTTTATTATATTTGCAGTAATATTCCATTGTATTTCTATGCTACGATGTATCCATTCTACTGTAGATAGACATTTCGGTAGTTTTCACTTTGGACTAACAGTTTTACCAGAAGCATTAAGTTACATTTCATGTAACCAGCAGTATGTTTCATTTTAAATTTATCAGCTGATTTTGTGCTTCCATGTGTCCTACCTATCCTCTTTATTATTCCCCTTTGTCTTTTTTTGGATTATTTTTTATCATTCTATTTTTCCTTCTACTAGTTTAGAATATATACCTGCTATTCCTTTCCTTTAGTGGTTCCTTAAATTATAACATTATGCTTAAGTTATCAAATCCCCAAATTAATCAATACTTTGCTGCACCATGGACAATGTTAGAACCTTAGAACATTTAACTCAATTTTCTCACCCAATCAATTTACATGTTATTATTGTCATGTATTTTAATGTATGAGTACTATTTGAATATACTCGTTTATCACTTTATTTGTTCTTAATTTCTTCTTGCTTCTCAGACCTTCCATTTGATATTGCTTCTCTTCTGCCTGAAGTATATTGTTTAGAATTTCCTTTCATGAGAGTCTGGTTGTGTTAAACACTAACAGATTTTCGGCCGGGCGCGGTGGCTCACGCCTGTAATCCCAGCACTTTGGGAGGCCGAGGCGGGCGGATCACGAGGTCAGGAGATCGAGACCATCCCGGCTAAAACGGTGAAACCCCGTCTCTACTAAAAATACAAAAAAATTAGCCGGGCGTAGTGGCGGGCGCCTGTAGTCCCAGCTACTTGGGAGGCTGAGGCAGGAGAATGGCGTGAACCCGGGAGGCGGAGCTTGCAGTGAGCCGAGATCCCGCCACTGCACTCCAGCCTGGGCGACAGAGCGAGACTCCGTCTCAAAAAAAAAAAAAAAAAAAAAAAAAAAAAAAAAAAAAAAAAAAAAAAAAAAAAACACTAACAGATTTTCTTAGTTAAAAATATCTGTTTTCTCTTCATTTTAAAAACCAAATATTAACTGGGTATAATATCTAGATTGGAAGTTATTTTCAACACATTGAAGAAATTCTGTCTCCCATTTTTGTGGCTAGAAGTCACCTTTTGGTCCAATTGTTTCTCTTTTAAAGGTAATACTTTATCTCTGTCTGCTTTTAAGATTTTTTTTCCTATCTCTGGTACTCCATTGTTTCAGTGTGATTTGTCTATGATGAAATTTTTTTTATCTTTCTCGAGATTGTTTATGCTTCTTGCAAGTGTGTATTATTTTCTTTAGTTTTAAAAAATAACTCTAGCTATTAACTCTTTAAATATTGCTCATGGCCCCGCTTTCTGGCTCCTTTTTCTAGGACTTTAACTAAATGTGTCTTAGACTTTCTTACTCTACTCTTCATGTCTCTCAACCTCTTTTTTATGTTTTCTATCTTTTTGTCTCTGTATGCTTTATCCTCATTAATTTCTTCAAATTATCTTCCAGTTTACAAATGTCATCTTCAACTGTTTTCAATCTGTTGTGAAATCCACACATTGAGTTTCTAATATCAGTTATTAGACTATTTTTTCTAGAAGTTCTATTTAGTTCTTGTTCAAATATGTTACATCACTCTTCATAGTTTCTGCTCCCTAAGATGTTTTCAAACTTGCCCTTGTATTTCTTCAAAAATGGTTAGCATGGTTTTGTGATCTCTGTCTGATAAGTTCAATATCTGAAATCTGTGTGGGTATGTTTCCCTCTGCTGCATCTAACTCACAGGGCCTTGTTTCCTTAGATACCAATTTTTTTTTACTCTATGCTGATCATTCTTCTTGAAAAATTATTTGTGGGGATTCTTTGAGACTAGGATAAAGACGTCTTCCTCCAGAGAATATGTGAAATTGCTCTTTCCTGGTGGCTAGGGATTTACTAGCACGGGACCACTTTTATTTTTTATGGCTAAATCATAGTTATAAATATTTATGGGGTATAATATGATATTTTGATATATGTATACAAAGTTGCATTATTAAATCAAGCTAATTAACATATCTATTACCTTGCTTACCTATCACTGTTTTATAGTGCGATATTTCAAATTTATTCTCTTTGTTATTTTAAAATACATTACATTATTATTGACTATAGTCACCCTGGAGTGAAATAAATCTCAAAATCTATTCCTCCTGTATCTGAAACTTTGTACCCTTTGATTAACAACTTCTCATTCCTCTGTCTATCTGAAACTTTGTACCCTTTGATCAGCAACTCCTGATTTCCTCCCTCCTCAGCCTCCCTCTCCACCCACCCCCCCAGCCTTTGGTAACTATCATTCTACTCTCTACTTCCATGAGTTTAACTTTACTAGATCCCACATGTAAGTGATCATGTGGTATTTGTCTTTCTGCGCACACCTCATTTCACTTGGCATAATGGCCTTCAGATTCATTTATGTTGTTGCAAATGACAGGATTTCCTTCCTTTTAAGGCTGAATACTATTCCACTGTGTACATATACCACATTTTCTTTATCCATTTATTCACTGATGGACACATATTGTTTCCACATCTTGGCTATTGTGAATAATGCTACAATGAACATGGGAATGCAGATATCTCTTTGATATAAGTATTTCAATTCCTCTGGATATATAGCCAGAAGTGGATTACTGGGTCATATGGTAGTTGCAGTTTTAGCTTTTTAAAGAACCTCTATACCATTTTCCACAATGGCTTATATTATTTTACATCCCCACCAGCAATATATAAGAGTTCCCTTCTCAAGTATTCAGACAGGAAAGGAGGAAGTCAAGTTGTCTCTGTTTGCAGATGACATGATTGTATATTTAGAAAACATTTCATCTCAAACCATCTCAGCCCAGAATCTCTTTAACCTGATAAGCAATTTCGGCAAAGTCTCAGGATACAAAATCAATGTGCAAAAATCACAAGCATTCCTATACACCAATAACAGACAAACAGAGAGCCAAATCAGGAGTGAACTCCCATTTACAATTGCTACAAAGAGAATAAAATACCTAGGAATACAACTTATAAGGGATGTGAAGGACCTCTTCAAGGAGAACTACAAATCACTGCTCAAGGAAATAAGAGATGACACAAATAAATGGAAAAACATTCCATGCTCATGGATAGGAAGAATCAATATCGTGAAAATGGCCATACTGCTCAAAGTAATTTATAGATTCAATGCTATCCTGATCAAGTTACCATTGACTTTCTTCACAGAATTGGAAAAAGCTACTTTAAACTTCATATGGAACCAAAAGAAAAAAAAAAAAAGCCCACATAGCCAAAACAATTCTAAGCAAAAAGAACAAAGCTGGAGGCATCATGCTATACTATACCTGCCTTCAAACTATACCACAAGGCTACAGTAACCAAAACAACATGGTATTGGTACCAAAACAGACATATTGACCAATGGAACAGAACAGAGGACTAAGAAATAACACTGCACATCTATAACCATCTGATCTTTGACAAACCTGACAAAAACAAGCAATGGGGAAAGGATTCCCTATTTAATAAATGGTGTTTGAAAAACTGACTAGCCATATACAGAAAACTGAAACTGGACCCCTTCCTTACACCCTATACAAAAATTAACTCAAGATGGATTAAAGACTTAAGCATAAGACCTAAAACCATAAAAATCCTAGAAGAAAACCTAGGCATTACCATTCAGGACATAGGCATGTGTAAAGACTTCAGGTCTAAAACACCAAAAGCAATCGCAACAAAAGCCAAAATTGACAAATGGGATCTAATTTAACTAAAGAGCCTCCGCACAGCAAAAGAAACTAGCATCAGAGTGAGCAGTCAACCTACAGAATGGGAGAAAATTTTTGCAATCTACCCATCTGACAAAGGGCTAATATCTAGAATCTACAAAGAACTTAAGCAAATTTACAAGAAAAAAAACAACCCCATCAAAAAGCGGGCAAAGGATATGAACAGACACTTCTCAAAAGAAGACATTTATGCAGCCAACAAACATATGAAAAAAATGCTCATCACCACTGGTCATTAGAGAAATGCAAATCAAAACCACAATGAGATACTATCTCACACCAGTTAGAATGGCAATCATTAAAAAGTCAGGAAACAACAGATGCTGGCATGGATGTGGATAAATAGGCATGCTTTTACATTGTTGGTGGGAGTGTAAATTTGTTCAACCATTATGGAAGACAGTGTGGCAATTCCTCAAGGATCTAGAACTGGAAATACCATTTGTCCCAGCAATCCCATTACTAGGTATATACTGAAAGGAATTTAAATCATTCTACCATAAAGACACACACACACTTAGGTTTATTGCAGCACTATTCACAACAGCAAAGACTTGGAACCAACCCAAATGTCCATCAATGAGAGACTGGATGAAGAAAATGTGGCACGTATACACCATGGAATACTATGCAGCCATAAAAAAGGATGAGTTCATGTACTTCCCAGGGACATGGATGAAGCTGGAAACCATCATTCTCAGCAAACTAACACAAGAACAGAAAACCAAACACTGCATGTTCTCACTCATAAGTTGGAGTTGAACAACGTGAACACATGGACACAGGGAGGGGAACATCACACACTGGGGCCTGTTCGGGGTGGGGAGCTAGGGGAGGGATAGCATTAGGAGAAATACCTAATGTAGATGACAGGTTGATGGGTGCAGCAAACCACCAGGGCACGTGTATACCTATATAGCAAAACTGCACGTTCTGCACATGTACCCCAGAACTTAAAGTGTATTTAAAAAAGAGTCCCCTTTTCTTCACATCCTTTCTAACACTTGTCTTTCCTTTTCTTTCCTTTCTTTTTTCTTTTTTTTTGATAACAGCCATTTTAATAGGTGTGAGATGATATCTAATTGTGGTTTTAATTTGCATTTCCCTAATTATTAATGATAACTGAGCATTTTCATGTACCTATTAGCCATTTGTATGTTCTCTTTTGAGTAATGTCTATTTAGTCTTTTGCCTGTTTTTTTTAAATCAGGTTGTTTTCTTGCTATTGAGTCATTTGAGTTCCTTACCTATTTTGAATATTAAGCCTTATCAAATGTATGGTTTGCAAATATTTCTTCCCATTCTGTGGGTTGTCTCTTTACTTTGTTAGTTGTTTCCTTTGCTTAGTTTCATACCATCCCATTGGTCTATTTTTGTTTTGTTGCCTGTGGTTTTGGGAGTCTGGGACTACTTTAAATTAAATTCATGTGTTGCGGGTATTTTGTACCTCCTAGTTGAAATAAATTTGGGCTGCAAAACTGTTTGAAGGCCAATTACTCTGGGACTAATTTCTCCTCCCTTCTACCACATATTCACATTCTGATCAGCACCAAGGCAGCCTTCTTTGTAGTCCACAGGGAAAGTGATGAGGATGAATTTGCTGTGGTTCACTCTTATTTTGAAAGTATAAACCTTTGGCATTCCAACTTAATGTTGGAGCAGGTTCCCTTTAAATCCCACATTTTAGGTAGGCTCTGGGCTTTTATTTCTGTTTTCTTCACTCCGTGATACATTAAAAGCAAAGGTCACATTTTTCTGGATTGCCAAAAATACTTAAGATAGAAGTGGCTTCCATGTTCTGCCAAACTCTCTGGGTTCCTGTTTTCTCATAGGTTTTTGTCTGGTAATTTTTTATAATCTGGTCAACTCTTTAATTAATTTAAATAACATTTAGCAAGCCATATCTAGCATTTTTATTTTCAATAGTAAGATTAGTATGAGTAATTTATTCACTGTAAGAGGTTTCAAACATCACGACAAATTTTTTGCAATCTATGGAAGCCCCTTTTTAATATGTATTTGTCAATTTTCCCATCAGGAAATGAAGTCTATTATTCTACACCTTGAATCTAGGCTTGGCTATGTGGTTTGCTTTGGCCAATGGAATATAAGCAAAAGAAATGGAAGCAGAGACTTGAGAAGGACTTCTGCATTGGGACTTTCCCCCTCTTGGTTCTCTTGGGGACTCTTTGATCACTACCATGTAAATAAGCCTAAGCTAACCTGCTGGATTTTGAGTTACTTCCAACACCCCTGCCAACAGACAACCATCATCAGATATTTTAGTGAAGAGGCAACCCAGCCAATACCATGTGGAGAACAGACAAGCCATCCCACCTGAGCCCTGACTGCCAACCCATAGAATTGGGAGCAAATAAGTAATGTAAGTTGCTTAGTTTTAAGATGAGTTGTTATGGAGCAAAAGCTAACTGATATGCCCTCTAGTGTCTGAAAGGGAAGTTCCTACTCATAATTTTTTAAAGTGTTCAATAAGAACCACATTACTACCATAGAAAAATTGAATACATCACAAGAAAATGTTAAGCATATCTAAAGTCCTACTACCCAGAAGTAACCACGTTGATGTTTTGGCCTATCAGTCTGAGTCTCTACATGCACTCTACAGTTGGCCCAAGCCCCATCTACTCTCTATTGTCTTCCTTACTTGGAAGCTCAGTCTCTGAGGCTGTGTGATATTTCACTCAATTGCTTCCTGCACCTATTTTTGCCTATTGGATTCTATATTCATCTTACCTGGAATCTCTTGGTCTAAATGTTTGTTTAATTAGTAAATAGAACCATAGCCAGCTGTTTGGTACCCCAATCCCTCATTCCTCAGGCTGCATCTTTCTCTTTGAGGGTTGCTTCTTCTTTTTTCTCTCTTTGAAAGCTAAAATTCACAGTTCCTTTCATCTAGATTTCAATGGCATGAAAATGTGGGCTGTGGAGAGGCCCACATACTGTGGTTTACTCTGAGAGACCTGAACCTTTAAGAGACAGCCCTGTCATTTTTTTTGATGACTTCTTGGGGATTTATATTATCCCTTGCACATGCCAACAGTGTTACATGGGTCTGGTAGGCATCTTCCCAAAATAAAGAAAACTAAGAGAGTAATTTTTTTTTAACTTTGATATTTACTTCATGTGATCTTTATTTAGGCCATTATACACTCCAGGTAATTCTGTTAAAAGAAATCTGACTCTGACACCCTGCTTGTTCCTTGACCACTGATGAATCACAAGAGTGGGATTCAGCTTTGTACATGTTACTATTTTAGAACCGGGAAAATATTTCTTAAGCTTCCTTCCATCTGGGCATATTGTTGGGCAAGGCAACACAATCACCATAAAACAGTCCCCTGACCTCTGGCTTTGAAGTTGTGTATAGGACGCCAGAAAATACAGAGCTGTTTTTCCTCTGCATTTGTATATTCAATTTGAATCATATTATTATAGTCTAAGTACATAATCTATTATTTTCTTTTGCATTCAAGTTGCTTCATCATTGCATGTTTTATTTTCCTCCTGTGACTAGCAGCTGCATAGTAGAAAGCACAGTTACAGACCATTGGTTTTTCTCAGGACTCTGTGAAAGACCGAAGTGAGAGAAACCTGAGGGGTCACTGGCAGGAGACTATTGTAATAGTCGAGGTTCGCAGAGTCATAAAGATAGGCCAGGCTTAGAGCAGTGGGAGTGAAAAGAAAGGCAAACATCTATTACGTAATTGAAGGGCAATCAATTAGAAAAATGTTTGAAAGCTGGAAGCCAAGAGGAATTCCTTCAAGCATTGAAAGAGCCTCAGCCAAAGTTTGTTCTCTAGAATCATAGTTTCTTAAAATACGAAACATTTTGGAAATACTGAATTTAGGAAACAGATTGTTGTACTGTAAGTCTTTTCTGAGATTTCAATATGTTCCTGTGTTTTGTGAGTCTGCAAGAGTGAGATAAATTATGCCACATTTCCCAAGTTTGTTTGACTATGGAATTCTTTTAGGGGGAACAACTCTTAGCATTACTGTTCTAATACTAAATGGAGTGAAACGCATTTTGAGAAAAAGGAAGACAGTCAAGATGCTGAGGACTTGCTAATGAGGTGCTAGCCTGGACACTGAGAAGAGAATTTTCAGACGATACTTAAGTGCCTCCAGAGAATGAGCTGTTGATACTGTATTAGATGCCATGAGACAACACCCAGATGCTCCTTCAAGATCAAGGAACCCCCCAGCTTTGGGTAGTGTCGCCAGCTGACAGCTTGCCAGCCTTCTCCAGAAATTGCACTCAGTTGAAGGTAGCTGCCTTGCTCAAATGTATGCCCCCACCGCACTCAGAAGTAGCCTGTATCTAGTCACTATGGGGGTACAAAGGCCTGGTGTCTTGCTTTTATTCATATCATCTCTGAAAGGCCATTCTAGTTCACAGCCAATTTTCAGTCAAGGAACCTACTGAATGAAAGAGAGACCAAGTCCCCATAAGGAAAAAACTTGCAACACTATGGCAAGTATATGAAGGTAATCAGTCTCTCAGCCCTTCCTCAAAGTGACCTATAGCCATTTAGTCATATACTGAAAGGACAATATCCAGATGTTTCAAAGATTGTTGAACACTGAATCTATGTTGACACTGATACCCATATGATCCACTGAAGCCTCTGTTGCAACTATAACACCATGGCTCCTTCATTAGATGGGGTCATAAGGGGATAAAGTATAAATGGAGTCATGCTCCAGGTCCTCGTTCATTGTGTGTTCACTGGCTCCATGGACCCACCCAGTGGTCATTTCCCCAGTCCCTGAATATAGAATTGAAATTAGTATCCTTGGTAATTGCTTGAACCTTCACATTTGTTCTTTTCTCTGTGAGGTAACAGCTATTGTGGTGGGGAAAGCCAAATAGGAGCCTTTGAAACTTCCTTTCTCCCCACCTAAGATTGTAAAATCAAAACAATATCAGTTGATGAGGGGAATGGCAGAGATTAGTGCTACCCTTAAAGACCTACAGGATACAGAGCTCTCCATCATATCCTCATTCATTTAATTCACTAGTCTGGTCCCTATAAAAAACAAACAGATCCTGGAGAATGAAAGCAGATTACTACAAACTCAACCAAGTAGCACTGGTTGACATATATTCTTGGAATGGGGTTACCCTTCCTGCCTGCTTGGCTTCAGCAAGCACCACTATCTGAGGGCATGGAGTGAACTGACCTGTTGACATGGGCTCCTAAATAATGTTGCAATTGACCAAGGGACCCATTGTATAATAAAGGGATATATATCATGGGACCTATTGGTCCTATTTCATATTGCCGCACCCAGAAGATGTTGGCCTGATACAGCAACAGAATTGCTCTTTGAAGGCACAATTAGGCACTAGATTAGAGATGATGCTGTATGCGTATAGGGCTCCATCCTTAGGGCCCAGTATATACCCTAAACCAGTGACTATTATACAGTGTTATATCTCCAATATGCAGACCGCATGGGTCCAAAAAACAAGGAAGGGCGACAAAAGTAGTCCACTTATCATCACTCCTCGTGACCCACATGGATAATTTATTCTTCCATTTCCACAACTCTAGGCTCTACATGACTACAAGTTCTGATTCCCAGATGTAAAATGTTTCCACCATGGAACGAACAAGAGTGCCAATGAAGTTCAAGCTATGGATGTCACCTACTCTCTTCAGGCTCCTTTGCTAAGGCCAGTAGGCAAGATAAGGAGTTGCCAGCCTGGAGGTAATTCACCCTCACCAACAGGAGGCAGGAGGACTGCTCTTACACAGCAAATGATCATCACAGCATGCCAGAGGACCTTTGTGCTTCAGTGGCTAAGGGAGTGATAAGATTTCAAAGATAAACTTTGACTTCTTTCTCTAAAAGGAATTACAGGCTCTTGGAGAAAAAACTGTAAGTCTTAAATTTCACTTTTTATTGATATATA
The DNA here is from genome assembly GCF_000001405.40 of Homo sapiens. Taxonomy (NCBI): domain Eukaryota; kingdom Metazoa; phylum Chordata; class Mammalia; order Primates; family Hominidae; genus Homo; species Homo sapiens. The sequence goes on from NC_000011.10 coordinate 93,252,294, forward strand.
ATGGTTGCACATATTTATAGGGTATGTGTGATATTTTGATACATGTGAACAATGTGTAATGACCAAATCAGGGTAACTGGGTTATTCATCACCTCAAATAATGATCATTTCTTTGTGTTTAGAATGTTCCAAAGATTCTCTTCTAGCTATTTTGAATTATACAATTAATTGTTTTTAACTATAGTCTCCCTACTGTGTGTGCCATTGAACACGGGTACTTCTTCCTCCTATCTAACTGTATTTTTGTATCCATTAACCAACATCTCTTAATTCCCTATTTTTCCTACCCTTCCCAGACTCTAGTAACCACCACTCTACTCTCCACCTCCCCAAGACCACTCCCACATATGAGTGAGAACATGGAATATTTGTCTTTCTGTGCTTCACTTATTTAACTTAACATAATGTCTTCCAGTTTCATCCATGTTGCTGCAAATGATAGGATTTCATTCATTTTATGACTTAATAATATTTTATTGTGTATATATAGCATTTTTTATCCATTCAGCCTAATCATCAGGGAAATGCAAATCAAAACCATAGTGAGATACAGTTAAAATAGCTATTACCAAAAAGACAGAAAATGCTGGCAAGGATGTGGAGAAAGGAGAATGCTCACACACTGTTTGTGGGAATGTAAATTAGTATGGCTGTTCTACTTTATATTTTTTAATTATTATGTTAGTTTACTACTTTTAAACCTGACTTGGCTAAAGATTATGTATTTTTGAGTATCTTAAATGTGCAGAACTCTGATCCTAACTAAAAAAATCCCATTAGCCAGCAATTTCATCTTTGGTAAACACTCCTTTACAAACTCTAGTATATATTGTGAAAGTTATCAGAATCAAAGTGTAGTCACTAATGTTAAGAAAACTCTGACACATATAGCCAGAGAAGGCCATGAAGAGAAGATTCTCATGATTGTATGCCTAACAATGAAAAAGACTCCACAAAAACTACAGCATTGCACAAAAGCCATTGCAATCTTAGATCAAAAATACTTCTGCAAGGACATCTGCCTGGCAATGGCTTATTCAACCTTGGACTGATGTCAGTCTTGCTATTAATCTTTGTAGCTAAGAATAATTATTTCAAAACAGTTATGTAATCTTCCTCATTTTTTCCCTTTAAAAACCTTTGTCTTCCTTTACCTCCCTGAATATACACATTGTTCACTATGACATACGTATTCCCATTGCAATACTATATTCCCAAACAAACATATTTTCTTTTAGAGAGCCTCTTCTTGTTTGTTATTTAGGCTGACAATATGAAAGAATATTCATATAGCAGCATTGTTCACATATTGAAACTTTGAAGCAGTACAGGTGTCCATTAAGAGAAAAATAGATGAATATTCATATAATAGAACATTGTTATATTCAGCAACAGAATATAGCAGTTGGACTGAATGAAACTACAATGAAATGCAAAAAATATGGATGAATCTAGCATTATAATATTCACTGAAAAGTAAGCACCAAACGATTATACACTTTATTCTTTCATCTTTATGATGGTAGAGATTAACTAAAATAAATAGTCTGTAAGAATACTTAGAGATGCAATAAAACATGAAATTCAGGGTGATGCCATCATTCTTCACAGAACTAGAAGAAACAATCCTAAAATTCATCTGGAACCAAAACAGAGCCTGCATAGCCAAAGCAAGACTAAGCAAAAAGAACAAATCTGGAGACATCACATTACCAAACTTCAAACTATATCATAAGACTATAGTCACCAAAACAGCATGGTACTAGTATAAAAATAGGCACCTAGACCAATGGAACACAATAGAGAACGCAGAAATAAAGCCAAATACTTACAGCCAACTGATCTTCAACAAAGCAAACGAAAATATAAAGTGGGAAAGGACACCCTGTTCAACAAATGGTGCTGGAATAATTGGTAAGCCACGTGGAGAAGAATGAAACTGGATCCTCATCTCTCACCTTATATGAAAATCAACTCAAGATGGATAAAGGACTTAAATCTAAGACCTGAAACCATAAAATTTCTAGAAGATAACATTGGAAAAACCCTTCTAGACATTGGCATAGGCAAAGATTTTTATGACCAAGAACTCGAAAGCAAATGCAACAAAAACAAAGATAAATAGATGGGACTTGATTAAACTAAAAAGCTTATGCATGGCAAAATAAAAAATTAGCAGAGTAAACAGACAACCCACAGAGTGGGAGAAAATCTTTGCTGTCTATACATCTGACAATGGACTAATAAACAGAATCTACACGGAACTCAAACAAATCAGCAAGAAAAAAAAACAAATAAACAATCCCATCAAAAAGTGAGCTAAGGACATGAACAGGCAATTCTCAAAAGAAGATATACAAATGGCCAACAAACATAGGAAAGAATGCTCAACATCACTAATGATCAGGGAAATGCAAATCAAAACCACAATGCAATATCACGTTACTCCTGCAAGAATGGCCATAATCAAAAAAATAAAAAAATTTTACATGTTGGTATGGATGTGGTGAAAAGGGAACACTTTTACACTGCTGATGGGAATGTAAACTAATACAACCACTATGGAATATAGTGCGGAAATTCCTTAAAGAACTAAAATCTACCATTTGATCCAGCAATCCCATTACTAGGTATCTACCCAGAGGAAAAGAAGTCATTATACGAAAAAGATACTTGCACACACATGTTCATAGCAGCACAATTCGCAATTGCAAAAATGTGGAACCAGCCCAAATGCCCATCATTAATTGACGAGTGGATAAAGAAATTGTGGTATACATATACACACCATGGAATACTACGCAGACATAAAAAGGAATGAAATAATGACATTCACAGCAACCTGAATGGAATTGGAGACCATTATTCTAAGTGAAGTTACTCAGTAATGGAAAACCAAACATTGTATGTTCTCACTTAAGTGGGAGCTAAGCTATGAGGATGCAAAGACATAAAAATGATACAATGGACCTTGGGAACTCTGGGGAAAGGGTGGGAGAAGGTGAGGGATAAGAGACTACACATTGGGTACAGTGTATACTGCTTAGGTGATGGGTGCACCAAAATCTCAGAAATTACCACTAAAGAACATATTCACCTGCTCCCCAAAAACCAATTGAAATAAAAAATAAAGCAATTTCCTTTGGAAAAAAAATAATAAATTTTGTTATCTCTTCTTTCCTAAAAAAAAATTCAGGGTGATGTTTCCTAGGGCAGTGGATATATGGGGAAGTTGTATTAGCTATAGGTTATTGTCAAGGACCTAACTTTTATTTTAGTGATGGGTGGTCCATGATGTTTATTATATTATTAATTAATTAATTTGGTGGCCATATGTCAATCAATGGTACAAGAATTTTATTAACCAAAGACTATACTTAATGTAATTCCTGTCCTGAAAGGGCAAAAAAAATTAAACGCAGCAAAATAACCATATCTGATTTTAACGTTACTCAAGCTTTCAGTATTATCCAGTTACATATCCATGGTAAATACTCTAAATTAACTCATTCGGCCCTATCCTGGCTCCCTTTTAGCAGGCAGAGGCCAGAAAGCTAAAAACTATACTTCTCAGACTCCTTGCAGCTAATGTTGCCCCAGGTGTAATCAAATGACACTTTGATTTAGAACTAAGCAGCATGGGAAGAGGGACAGGATGTCACACCATTTTGCTGGTGTGGACAGTAGCATTGGCAAAGAGACAGTGTGGCTCAGGAGCAGATGGTTGGCATATCAGCTTCCTGAATCTTCAGTCTCTTGACCATTGCAGAAGCAACCGCTCCTTTGACTCAGTTCCACACACTGGTTTTAGAAGTTGTTTTTAGAAGGTCAGCCTAGAGGGCAATTCTTTGCCTTCCAATGGTACAATAAACCATACAATACCTTTTAATAAATTCATTTCTCTTGAACTTGCTGAATAGATGCTGTTCATTACAACTTAACTCCAGCTGATACAATATCCATAATAGAATATTTCCTATTTCTCAATTAGTTAGATAATCTTAAGAAACAACTGTCATTGATTAATTTTTATTTTTTGCTCAAAAGCTTTCTTCTGATCAAGAAAGGGCTGAAGCTTTGCTGTTCTTCTATTTAAACAGGAGTGATACACATGTAACTTGAAAGTATGACAGATAAAGGGTTTTATTTCTCAGAGTTCATCTTATTTGAGATAGAGAATATATGTTTTAGTAATACCAAATTGCTATACACCCATCATATTTCTTTATAGTGAAACAATATTGTGCTTATTGAGTATTAAAATTCTACAAATGTAGAAAGGCTTGTGACAATGTGATAATTAAATAAAGTTCAACTTACTATTAAAGTCACATCTACTCAAATGTTCCTAATACATAATCATTAATGAAGAAGGCTTATTACAATTCTGAAGTGACATGAAATGTATGTGATGTGGATACTTACACAGATAGGTCACACATCCTGCAAAAAGGACTCAGCAGGGTATCTGTTCATCTTTAGAGAATAGCTTAGTCTCTAGGCAGGAGTCCTGCCTGATTATGTAATGTGGCTCTTCACTGAGAGATGCCTAAATTGCATATAGTTTCTGCAAATGGCATTTCCCAGGGAAGAGGCTTCTGTTTCCCACATGTTGCATATGCAGCAAGATGACAATCAAGAGAATGAGAAATTATAATGATGTAATTATAGTAAGGCTACTACTTGCTGCTAAGTTTATTCTTCCTATTATTGTATTCTGCCCTGTGTGTAATAGACTCCTATTAAAGCTACATAGTAGAAGACGTTTCATCAGCTGCCCCACCACATCTTGCAGAAGGGTCAGGGCCTGCAAGGGTATTAGGGAGAGGGAAAGATTTTGCTACAGCTAATTGGATGTATGTTGAACACCTGACTAGAGGATGCTGTAGCAAATGCTTACGAGAGAATTTAAACTCAAAGCCACAAAGATTGAACATCAGTGGTAGATCTGATGCTGAGTGAAGGCTGGGGACTATTGGGCCGTGTGCAAGAGATAAGCAAGTAAAAGAAGTTATGGAGAAAAAGAGCCAGAGTGAAACAAACAGAAAGAAAGAAGCATACACAGGAAAAGGCTGTCAGTCTCGATTTCCATTCTGCTAAAAGAATATAATCTATTATAAACAATACCTCAAAAACATGCATAAACACACAACAAACAACCTTCACAAAGCACCTGCTTAGGTACTGACAAATCACCATGTTGAATCAATAATTATTCCCAGGGCCCCATTATGACTTTCATGGCACTTTGCCTTCATGGGTCCCTTCTTTCATTAAAAAATTTATTAATTATATTTTAAAACTGCAATGACATAAAGCAGGTATAGTCCAAGCTGGATTCATTATTATACATTCACTATTATTCATTTTTCTTCTGCTTTTAAAAGAAACTAAAATTAAGACATCTTCATGGGCCCGGAAAGTATTGTGAGCCATATGTACATAGGAACACTGTGTTATGTACCTAAACGGGTAAGTCAATTCTGTGAATTTCTAATACCTCAGAGGATTAGGCATAAGGAACTTTTGTCAAGCAAATGGTGAGGGTTCACCTTTTAACCCTCACCATTTCTTTTACGAGCTTTTCAATTTTCTTAATGTGGGCTTTATATTCTTCATGTACATTGTTTTAAAAATGCTTGACTTCGTTGTCAGCTGGTATTTCCCATTCCAAGTACATCTGCAATTTGCCTGTCAGTTTTAAGTGGTCATCATTCCCATCCTAAAAATTGATGCATTTTACTGTCCTGTCTCTCTTAGGGAAGTACATGACTTTGAACTGATTCACCTTAGGGACATGATTAGCTTTCCAAAATGGGCTGCCTTCTCAGAGCATCAACAGAGGAGTATCAGAGAAAACATGGAGAGTACAAGAGAGGAGACTGCAAAGGACTCAGTGCAAAACTTACAGGGAAAATGGAATATATGTGACCAATTTATTCCAGAGCTGACAGATTTGGATGAAGTGGCTTGACCCCTTTTCCTGCTATCCTTTAGAAAGCCAACTTCCTTGTGAGTTCCATTCCAAGGCCTGGAGTCAAATAAGCAAAGGCCACTTAGCACTATTTACAGAATGGATAGATAGTAAATATCAATGTGACTATATCTTGGAATCCTGTATATTAATAAAATAATTATAATTTTTATTTGTTTGATAATACTTTTTAATGTTAATTTTAAGCTATATTCAGTAGTTTAACTTTCCTTTCCTGCTCCTTGACAGACCTCCTTGCTCTGTCAGGCAGAGTTTCTTAATATTTTGAGAGTCACAGATCCCTTTCAGAATCTGAGATAACCATGAACTCTCTTCCTATAAAAAGGCACACACAGATCTCCTGAAGTTTGCCCATGGATTATCCATTTGAAAGCCTTAAAACAAAGAAGATAAATAATTTAATTAATGTGGTAATGTAATAAGTATATACAGTATGTAGAATTCTGCCCTATGAAAATGTAAATATTGCATTTTTCCTTTTTGTGTACTCACAGAAATATTTAAAGAAATTGATCATATAGTGAGCCACAAAGAAAATCTTAATAAATTCCAAAAAGAAAAATAAACAGAAAACTTGCCATCGATATTTTCTGATTACCATAATATAGAGGTAGAAATTACTAACAGAAGTATAAACAAAAGAATCCAACTTCCTGAAAATGTCAAAACTTTCTCCTAAGTAATTTAGATCAAAGGGAAAATCAAACAGTAATTACAGACTACTTAGAAAATAGTGATAATAACAATATACATCAAACATTTGACATATGGCCAAAGTCACACTCAAAGGCAAATGTGTATTTTTAAGTTATTTCATTGTTAAATAATAATGAATGGAAATAGATGAATAAAACACTCAACCTAAGAAATTATAAAAAAGAGCAAAATAAACTTCAGGGAAACATAAGAATGGAATTAATAAATATTTTAAAATAAATTAAGAATTATGAAACAATTAGCAGAATTAATATTTAATTTGCATAATTCGTGCATATTCAGTGAACATTAGGGAATTGCTTTGACTGCTATCATCTTTACTATGTTTCTGAATATTTATCTTTTTCTTGTTTCTGTTAGTACTGAATGAAATTATGGTTTACATTTTGAAGCCAATAAAAATATTACGTAGTATTTTTAAGCACTTCAGTGATTCACAAAGCACTTTTTTTTAAAGAGATGGAGTCTTCTTGTGTCAAAGCGGCTGGAGTATAGTGGTGTGATCATAGTTCATTGCTGCCTCAAACTTCTGGGCTGAGAAGATCCTCTTGCCTCAGCCTCTCAAGTCACTGGGACTACAGGTATACACCATCAGTCCTGACTTACAAAGCAATTTTATATGCATTTTCTCATTGAACATTTATAACAACTCTGGGGGTAAATGTCAGCATTATTAGTTATTCCCACTGTAAAGGTGAGAAAATCGAGATTGAGAAAAGCTAACAGACTTTCTGTATAGAGTATTTCTTTACGTTTCATTTGTGATTATCTAACCTTAGAAAATGAGGAAAGGTAAAAACAGGTGTGAGTCAATGTTTGGGAATTTCACTATGCCTAACATTATTTTATACATTACCCCTGGAAAGGAGAATAAAATGCATGCTATCATATTTAGAATTCAGACAGTAAGTATGTTTGAGTTTAAAACCTGTTAAGAACCAGGTCACTCAAGTCAACCAGGGGAATGATATGCTTTATTGGCTTTGACTTCCTGAAAAGTTAAAAAAAAAACTGTGAGCCTGTAAAAATTAGACCTTTGCTTTTTTGGTTGGGCATAAGGAGAAATACACCAATGATAACTGTGCCTCTACTTATGATATTGCAGTTGTGCAAGACGGGGACCAGTGAGAGGTTACGCTGAATCTGGTGGTTAATACCTGGCCAGGCATGGTGGGAGGAGAGCGCCGCAGAAGCTCAGCAGTTGTTCTTTTCACATCCATCTTGTTCTGAAGATATCCTGAGACACAGGCTGGCCTATTTCTGCAGCTCTTGTGGAATGGGAAAGTTGGGTTTCAACCTAGTTCTGGAGGAATTATTACATCCATTTCCATCCATCTCAAAAAAAAAGTGTACCCTAGAGACAGGAGTGGAAATATACATCACTTGGCAATTAGTCCCCTCTCTGTTTATTCCTTTTGTTCATATCACCCAAATAAGAAAACATACTCTCTTTCCTTTTTTAAAGTGTCTTCTCTACAGAGGGCTTACTGTAGTGACAGCATGGGGGTGGGCTAAATGAAAATTTAAAAGTATATCTGAAAATGATTTGCACGAGACCAGAAGATATTCTGTCCACTTACCAGTGATCATACTGTTAACAAAAAGGTGTCCTGATTCTGAATCAGACGTTCCTTTCACTCTTCTCCTATCCCACTACTTGAATAACTTTAGCCCAGATTCAATGCTGATCTTACTGTACTCTGAGTCCCAGCTTCCTGCTATCCCTCTCAAATTTCTCATCACCGGTGCTACATAAAGGATATTAGAGATGCTCTTGCCATTGCTTCACCCGTGAGACACACCCTTCTATAGAAGTAAAATTGCCTTGCTGAGAAAATTAATGTTCGAATGCTATTTCTTTCGTGGCACTGAAAATTTATTTCTGACAAATTTGGGGGCCCATCCAGAATTCCCATTCTCCTCTGGGGAGGGTCTAGACCTCTCCCGTGAGGAGGCGCACCCAGTTGCCTCATTGCAGTGGCCTCAGGGGTAAGGAATTGAGACCCACCCAGTGTGATGGATAAACCCGGACTCAGCAACGCAGGAAGAAACAGGCCAGCAGCTTGGGAAAGGATTTTCATGTACCGTGGTGACCAGGTAACTCTGTGCACAGACCAATGTAACAAACGTAGCAAAAGCGGCAAAGTATTTCCTTGGTGGTTGGGACCAAGGTAAGAAAAGCCACAGAGGAGGTGAAGTATTTCTTGGTCAGGACCAAGGTAAGAAAAATCACAGGGGCAGTGAAGTATTCCTTGGTCAGGAAATACCGAGGCAAGAAAAGCCACGGTGGTGGTGAAGCATTCCTTGGTCGGGGTGTCTTGGAGGTTAAAAAGAGGTGAGGAATCTCCACTGGGGGGGATTGAGCCTCACACAAACCTCCAGTAGTAGGGAAGGTGAGAAATTTCCAGTAAGGGAAATTGAGCCTCACCTCAAAACCATCAAGATGGGAAATACCCCAAGTAAGGTAAGAGATAAAAAGAATAAAGCTAGCAACAATAATATTCCCCCTAATAATCCCCTAGGCCTAATGTTAAAATATTAGAAGGAAAAAACCAAAAACAAGAAAAAGCAGCTGCAGTCCCAGACCCTTCTCTTGTCCCTGTTGTCCCCCTCCTTATAATCCTGCTTCTTGGGAATCATCCCAAGAGCCCACTCACTACCAGCCTAAGTACCCTTCCCTAAAAGGACTTCAACATGAGATAGAGCAGTGTAAAAAGGATATCCAGAACTTCCCTTTCCCCTCTTCTCAGGGGGAAGAAAGAGGCATGATCTGTAGAGCTGCTATGGGAGCCTAGGAACGTGAACACCCTCCTGGCCAAAATGTTCCTACAGCAGATCAAAAATATCCCACCCAAGACCCCCGGTGGGATAATAACAATGCAGCCTACCAAGAAAATATGCAGGACCTTAGGGAATTAATAAAGGGGCTTAAATAATCAGTACCCCGAACCCAGAATCTTACCCAAACATTTGATATACAGCAAGGGAAAGATGAAGGATCTATAGAATTTTTAGACAGATTAAAGGAACAAATGAGAAAATAGGCTGGTCTAGGTCTCGAGGATCCTCTTGGGCAGGGAATGTTAAAACTTCACTTTGTCACTAAGTTGGCCAGATATTAACAAGAAATTACAAAAGACAGAGAACTAGAAAGATAAACCTATAGAAGAGCTTATAAGAGAAGCCCAACAAGTATTTGTAAGAAGAGATGAAGAAAAACAAAAGCAGAAGGCAAAAATTCTGCTGTCCACCATACAATAAAGTACCCAGGGGGCCAGAACCTATAAAAAAAAGCCTAGACCCCCACTCTCCAGGCAATATAAAGGGTACAAAAGAGTAAAGCCAGGAGACTCAAAGGTAGAGAAAAAAATTCTAAGAGGAGAGAGAAAGACTGACAGAGGGAACAGAGAGAGTCACAGAGACAGAGAGTCAAAGAGAGAGAAGGAAAGAGAGAGAGAGAAAGAGACAGAGAGGCAAAGAGGGAGTCAGAGAGAGAGAGAAAGAGAGAGACAGAGAGAGAGAGAGAGGCAGAGAGAGAGAGAGAAAGAGACAGAGAGGCAAAGAGAGAGGGAGAGGCAAAGGGAAAGAAAGAGGACAAAACAAATGTTTCAAATTAAAAATAGGCCACTTCAAAAGAGAATGTCCCAAATGGGAAAAAGAACAAAAGTCATACATAAAAGCAAATCAGCTAATATTAAATTTCTGTTAATTCCGGTAGCAGGGGGAAGAGATTTAATGCTAAAATTAAGCTTAGGCCTCCAAATCAATCATGGAAAATTCCTCCCCTCCCTAAACTTGCTCACCACTGCAGACGAAGAACACATTCATCCCGAGATACGGCCAAAAGACGGGAATCAAGGAAAGTTACAGATTCCTCTGATTCATGTTAAATTAAAAACCCCTGGGGAAATAGTAAAGAGAAAGCAATGTACCTTATTCCTTTAAAAGCTAGGGTAAATTTAAAACCTATAATTGATAATTGAAGGTCTTCTCCGTGATGGGCTCCTTAAACCCTGTATGTCTCCCTATAACATTCCAATACTGCCTGTAAAGAAGCCAGATTGGTCATACTGGTTAGTGCAAGACCTTAGAGCTATTAATCAAATAGTCCAAACTACACACCCTGTTGTTCCCAATTCTTATAGTATTATCAGTAAGATCCCAAGCTGTCACCAGTGGTTTACAGTAATAGATTTAAAAGATGCCTTCTGGGCTTGTCCGTTAGCAGAGGACAGCCAGGATGTATTTGCCTTTGAGTGAGAAGACCCTCAGTCCGGTCGAAAATAGCAATGCCGATAGCCTTACCCCCAAGGGTTTACAGTCTCCAAATTTATTTAGTCAAATATTAGAACAAGTCATTTAATTAGCAAAGGTAAATGGAAAATTGAGCTTGAACGGATTGAAGGCATCATATCCTTGCCTCTGCCAGAGACTAAACAAGAACTTAGAAAAGTTTAGGATTAGTCGGGTACTGTCATCTTATGGATAGACTCTTATGCCCTAAAAACAAAACCCTGATACAAAAAGCTCACGCAAGATGGGCCAAAACCCCTCATTTGGCAATTACCAGAAATCCAACAGGTAGAAAGGTTAAAACATCTGTTAGTAACTGCCCCTGTCCTAGCTTTACCCTCCTTAAGCAGCCATTCCATCTTATTGTCACTGTAAACAAGAGTGTAGCCTTAGAAGTACTTACCCAAAAGCACGGAGGCCACTGACAACCCGTAGCCTTCCTATCAAAAATCTTTAACCCAGTAACCCACGGATGGCCCAAATGCATTCAATCTGTAGCGGCAACTGCTTTGCTAACAGAATAAAGTAGAAAAATAACTTTTGGAGGAAACCTCGTTGTGAGCACACCTCACCAGGTCAGAACTATCCTAAGTCGGAAAGCAAAAAGGTAGCTTACTGACTCAAGAATCTTAAAGTATGAGGCTATTCTGTTAGAAAAAAGATGCTTTAACATTAACCACTGATAATTTGCTTAACCCAGCAAGTTTCCAAACAGGGGATCCAAATCTAAAGAGAGAGCACACATGTTTAGATTTAACTGATTATCATACAATGGTCCAACTAGACCTAGGAGAAACTCGCTTCAGGATGGAATGACACTTATTTATAAATGGTTCCTCCCAGGTGGTTGAGGGAAAAAGACACAATGGGTATTAAGTAATTGATAGAGAAACTCTTACAGAAATAGAGTTAGGAAAATTGCCTAACAATTGGTCTGCTCAAACGTGTGAGCTGTTTGCATTCAGCCAAGCCCTAAAGTACTTACAGAACCAGGAAGGAACCATCTATACCGATTCTAAGTACACCTTTGGAGTGGCTCATACATTTGGAAAAATTTGGACTGAATGAGGTCTTATTAATAGCAAAGGCCAAGACCTGGTCCGCAAGGAATTAATCACCCAAGTATTACATAACTTTCAATTGCCAAAAGAAATAGCTATTGTCCATGTTCCCAGACACTAGAAAAGCCTTCCTTTTGAAAGTCGAGGAAATAACCTAGTAGATCAGATAGCCAAACAGGCTACTGTTTCTTAGCTGTACAACTGGCCTGCTTTGCAGCTAGGACACATGGAGTTAAATGCTACAATAAGCCAGACCTTATCCGAACTTCTGTTAGGTCCTAGGCTCTACACCTAGCACATAATTAAAATCCCAAACTTACAAGGTTTTCAACAAAAGTAAAGTTTGCTAAAGTTTGTTACAGTGTAACATGTATTATCTTAACTTCTAATCTTGGGGCCTTAGGCAGTCTAGTCCACAGACATGAAGGAAGTTTGCTTTGGGAAAGAATGTTTATCATCTTTGACATTAAAAAAGGAGAATTTATGTAAAAAGAATTTTATATGGTAAATTCTTGTCCTAAAGTAAATTAACTGTTGTTTAAAGAAAGGAATGTTTACAACAAGTCAGAAAGTTAAGACATGTCAAAGATTGTCTGTGAAAGTCGTGAAAAATGTTATAAAAGGGAATTTATGCAAGAAATGTTCTATAATTTAAAAGTAATTAGGTCTCCTGAATGTAAAACTATTGAAGAAATAGTTTATGTGCAAGGTGTGTAAGGAAAGTAAAATATACTTTTGGTAACAGCATTATAAGGAGGCATAAGAATGTGGATTTTTACCTACATTAAAAGGTTAAAAAATTGTTTTGAAGGTTTAAGCAAGTTTTGAAACGTTAATTGTAAAGAAAATTCTGTGTGTAAACATATTGGCTAAAGTTAAAAGGATATCATCCAGTTTTTCTGTAAACCGGACATTAAAATAAAAGCACAACTGGTTTTTCTTAAAGCACTAACCTGATCTTTAACAAAAATGATAAAGGGTTAAAAAGAGTCTATAAAAATCTTACCTTATGGTCAGACATTAAAATTGGATAAATGTGTCTACAAGGTTTTATTAAAATTGAGTTTAACATTAATAGCACACTTATATAAAGGTGAAATTTAGCTTATCTGGTATAAAATCATACAGGAAGCACTGTCAAATATAAAATGGTGTTTGGCTTTCTTTGGTCTAACAACTAGTAAAAACAGGTGCTAAAGAGAATTCAGAAGGAAAATGGATATTGCCAGACCAGAGAGAAATGTTATCCAAATCCCTTATAAGGGAAATCTTGTTCCAGCTGCATCAAGAGACCCTTTGGGGGCCCCAAGCCATGTGTGACGGAGTCCTCAGAGTTTATGCGTGCATAGAAATTTATACCCTGGCCAAAGGGGTTACAGACAGTTTGCTCAGTATGTAAGAAAACCAATAAACAAACTTAAAAAGATTATCCCTTGGGAGAAGGAGTCCAGACTTAAGGCCATTCCAAAGTATCCAGATTGATTACACAGAGATGACTCCAATTGGTCATCCAAAGTATTTATTAGTAATAGTAGATCATCTTACTCACTGGGTAGAAGCTATTCCCTTTTCAAGTACAACCGCTAATAATGTAGTCAAGGCATTAGTTGAAAATATTATACCCAGGTTTAGATTGATAGAAAACATTGATTCAGATAATAGGACTCATTTCAGTGCACATGTCATTAAGAAATTAGCCCAGGTACTGGAAATAACATGGGAATATCATACTCCCTGGCACCCACCTTCATCAGGAAGAGTGGAAAGAACGAACCAAACTATAAAAAAGCCACCTAACCGAATTAGTCTTAGAGACTCAGTTGCCATGGACTAGATGCCTCCCCATTGCCCTGTTGAGAGTCCGAACTACTCCTCGGAGAGATGTTGGTTTATCCCCTTATGAAATGTTGTATAGGTTCCCTGTTTGCTCTCCACTGCTGACATTCCCATGTTCAACACAAAAGATCAGTTTCTCAGAAATTATATACTTGGTTTATCTTCCACCTTCTCTTCCCTCAGAACTAAAGGTCTTTTAGCACAGGCGCCACCCCTAGCGTTTCCAGTACACAAACATCAGCCTGAGGACCACATCCTCGTCAAAAGTTGGAGGCAAGGAAAACTCAAACCTGCTTGGGAAGGACCCTACCTAGTGATTCTAACCACCGAGACTGCAGTTAGAACAGCAGAAAGAGGATGGACTCATCACACCTGGCTCAAAAGAGCACCACCCCCTCCAGAATCATGGACAGCTATTCTAGGGCCAACTCCAACCACGCTAAAGCTAAAATGGGGTTTGATCCCCTTATATTGCATCTTTTTCTTTTCCCCTTCCATTGCTAGTCCTCTCATTATTAATGTAACTAGGTCAAGTTCACCCCAAACTATTACTTTTGATGTCTGCCTTGTGATGCCCTGTGGAGATTTGCCAAATCAGAGGCAACTCTCCACTTCAGAAAAGTATCTTTATCCTTCCTAGCTCTCCTCAGACTGGAAATCTGTTAACTGGGATAAGTTAGTTTGGGAAGAGTTTGACGAAGATTCCAGTATAAACTGCAAATCTTGTCCTCCTAGAGCAGAGCTTCTCTGCTGAAGTTGGTCCAATGATCTACAAAATACTAAAGAGCAAGGATGGACCACCCCAACAAGTACCTGCAGTTTCTTAAAACCATATATTCATTTCACTAAAGGAGTTACCCATCCCCATGGTCAGCTGAACCAATGTAATCCAGTACAGATGACCATCTCTGCTCTCCAGAGTTCTTCCCCTTCATTAAGCCATTTCTATGGTCTAGCAGCAGAAGTCTCAGGGAAGGACCCCATAGGATCCTTTGAAATGCACTTCATTGACTCCTCACTTCCTGCATCCCCTTCTCCCTCTCCTAAGTTCTCTGCTAACCAGATCTTCTCTCATTATATACCCAATGATAAAACCAAAGTAGCTGTTGTAGAGGTTAAAGATCTAAAACAAACTATAGCAATTGGAACAGGGTATAAGGACACAAATGCTTGGCTGGAATGGATTAAATATTCTGTTTGCACACTTAACAAAAGCAACAGTTACGCTTGTGTGACAGGCAGGCCAGAGACCCAAACTGTCCCCTTTCCACTTGGGTAGTCCTCTCATGGACCGGGCATGAGCTGTATGGTAGCTCTCTTCCAGAACCCCACAGCCTGTGGCGATGAGTCATGCAAGATTCTTTCACTGCTGTTCCCTGAGGTCAAGAGCCCTGCAGATCAGCCCCTGAGGGCCATCCAGCCTCTAGCCTCCGATGTTAACTTCACCTCTTGCCTTTCATGGCAGGGGGAAATGTTAGCATTCCTTGGAGACTTAACAAGGTGCAGTGAAACCAAGCCTTTTCAAGAGCTTGCCAATCAATCTGCCCTTGTTCATTCCTGAGCAGATGTGTGGTGGTATTGCGGGGGACTACTTCTGGGTACTCTGCTAAGTAATTAGAGCAGCACTCGTGCTCTAATCCAATTGGCCATCCCTTTCACCCTAGCATTCCGTCAACAAGATAAAAAATAAAATCATAAAAGAAGTAGTGCGTCACGTGGGTCGTTTGACCCCCATGTTTATATAAACACTATTGGAGTTCCACAAGGAGTACCAGATGAATTTAACGCCCGAGATCAAATAGCTGCAGGATTTAAGTCAATATTTTAGTGGGTGACAATTAATAAAAACGTAGATTGGATAAATTACATCAATTATAATCAGCAGCAGTTTATTAATTACACCAGGGATGCTGTCAAAGGGATAGCAGAATAATTGGGGCCCACTCGCTAGATGGCCTGGGAAAACAGAATGGCCCTAGATATGATATTAGCTGCAAAAGGTGGTGTTTGTGTTATGATTAAAACTCAGTGTTGTACCTTTATCCCAAACAACACTGCCCTGACTAGGAGTATAACAAGGGCCTTACAAAGACTTACTGCTTTATCCAATGAACTAGCTAAAATTCTGGAGTTGGAAACCCTTTCTCAGAGTGGCTAGAAAGGTGGTTTGGTAAGTGGAAAGAAATCATAGCCTCAAGTCTTACTTCTCTTGTAGCCGTAATAGGTGTACTCATTCTTGTTGGGTGTTGTGTCATACCATGCATCCGTGGGCTAGTACAAAGACATATAGAAGCAACACTTACTAAAACTTCCTTTAGCTCTCCTCCACCCTATTCAGATCAGCTTTTTCTTGTAGAGGATTAAGTCAAGCAGCAGAGCCAAGACATGTTTAAAAAGTTTGAAGAGGAAGTACTCTGAAAATTGAAAGGGGGGAAATCGTAGGATACAATAAATTCGTCTTCAAAGGTTTTAGCCTGTTAAGTACAATGAGTTTTGAGATCCTCTCCAAAGAACCAATGTATCAGTATATTCAGCTCCCCTATTCTTTGTTCTTCATTTTAAAGTTTAACTTCCTTGTTCTTTACATCTCCTTGCCCCTAGTTTCAGTAAACAACTACCTCCTAGCCCCTACCACCTGCTCTGACCTTAGTCATCCTTGGTCACCTGCTCTGTTCTTAGTCATCCTGAGTCACCTGTTCTGTAACCGTCCTTCCCACCAAACTACTCACCCTGACACTCTGGCTCGTACCCCTGCTCTCTTTAAAACAGCCAATCAGAATTAGCTTAGACTGTGCAGTCCAACCCTAGCCAATAGGGGAATGACACAGCAGTAGGGACTACCTGTGTCAGGGCTAAGAACCCCTTCCCCTCCCTTGTTCAGGTGTGCTCTCACCATTGTTCCACCGGTGAGATGCACCCTTCTATAGAAGTAATATTGCCTTGCTGAGAAAATGTTTTTAAAAAAGGATACTAGAAAGGCTTCCTGTTCCCAAAACATCTCCTCCATTCTCTTCCTAAAATGCCACAGCTAGAGTCATTTAGATGAGGCAGTTGGGATCTAATTTTGACTCTTGAAACATCAGAAAATTGTATAATGGGGAGGAGATGGATATGATGAAATACAGAAATAAATAATTGCATAACAGAGACAACAAAATGAGAATAAAACAGAAAGAATGTGAAAACAGTTAAATAAAACAGACACAAAAAATTAAGGTCTGCACTTAGTCTGATGGGATAGTTAATATAGTAATCAAATTACTATAGTTTTAGAAGGTAACCTGCCCATATCTACTAAGATCCATCATACATTCATAATAACAAGTAACAATGATTTAAATTCTATACGATCACAGCACAGAGAAGTCAAGAAAGCTGCCCCAAACCACACAGCCAGCTGGGATTGATCCCAGGTGGTCTGTTTCCAGAGCCCATGCTCAGCATCTATACTCTGTGCTTTTGATGGTCTTTGACCTAATAATGCTACCCTTAGAGATTTATTTCAAGAAATAAATCCAAACCTAAAACAAAAAAAGCCAATGGTTCACACCAGCATATCTGAAACAAACAAGCAAAAAACTAGTTATAAACTAGATATAAAAGGAACTATGAAGTATTAATAATAACCACCCCTATTCACTGAGCACATATCCTTTCATACTGGGCACTGTTCCTTATGTATACCTGTTTATCTCATCCTCACAGCAGATGATCTTCCACACATTATCAATGAAGAAATGAAGGCTCAGGAAGGTTAAGTCACCTGCCGAGGTTCATAGAGCAAGTAAGTGACAGAGCAAGAATTGAATTCAGGCTAATTCTAAACACTCTGTTTTCAACCTTCACTTGTCTTGTCTGTAAGAGCACTGAAGAGTGTTCCCATCTTTCCCAATCTTGGCCTAGTGGTAACTGACTAAAAATACCTTAAGCAGAAAATTTAGACAGGTAGGGCTTTGGGCAAAACAGAATTACAACCAGTCCTTGCAGGTCACTTCCACTCTCCAGAGGCAGAGTTATGGACATTCCCCTGTGTCCCAGCAGGGCTTTCCTGTACTTTTCTGCAACTATGTACAGGGAATTTTCTGTGTCAGCAGGTATGGAGAACGGTAACGTTTGCAGTGAAAATCCCTGGTGGATAGCAAGAACAGGGCTGAATCAAATAATCAAGAGGAGAATAGAAGAGAAAAGAAGAGAAAAGAGAAGAGAAGAGAAGAGGCATCTACCCTTCTGATCCTTAAGGAGAGCCATGTTTTTCCAGTCTCTGTCATTCTGAATGTATGGGGAGAACTTAGCAAAGGGTTGCCAGATCTAGCAATTAAAAAAACAGGAGGCCCAGCTAAATTTGAATTTCAGATAAACAATGATTTTTTTTTTAGTATAAGTACATCCCATGCAACATTTTATCTGGCAATCCTAAGTGGACACTGTTTTTATTTTGTAAAAATGGGACTTCCACTTTCAGGTCATTTGTCTCCATGACAGTGCCCTGTGATATTTAGCTTTCAAGCCTGATTTCCTCATTCAAAGGGCAGGGGTGATGTCTTACTCCTTAACTTCACCTCTGTGCCTAGCAAAGGGCCTGACACACAATATGCATTCACTAAATTCATTTCAACCCTAAATATATGTCAAAATGAATGAATGACAGAGAAATGTACAATGTACAATTATAGAGTGGATTATGTATAGATA
The DNA here is from genome assembly GCF_000001405.40 of Homo sapiens. Lineage (NCBI taxonomy): Eukaryota > Metazoa > Chordata > Mammalia > Primates > Hominidae > Homo > Homo sapiens. The sequence continues at coordinate 93,270,888 of NC_000011.10, forward strand.
GATAATGTATTATTTCAACATCTCTCGGAAAGATGATGTCCTCTAGGAAAACTTCCCATATCTGTATTAGAGTTCTTCAGAGAAACAGACCAATAGGATGGAGAGATATATGAACACACACACACACACACACACACACACACACACACACACACACGATGGACGATGGGTGGGGCGGGGGGGTATCTATTATAAGAAATTGGCTGACATGGCCAGGCTCAGTGGCTCATGCCTGTAATCCCAGCACTTTTGGAGGCTGAGGTGGGAGGATTGCTTAAGCTCAGGAGTTTGAGACCAGCCTGAGAAACATAGTGAGACGTTGACTATAAAAAAGTAAAAATTTAGCTGGGCATGGTGATGCATGTTTGTGGTCCCAACTACTTGGGAGGCTGAGGTGGGAGGACTGCTTGAGCCTGGGAGGTTGAGGCTACAGGGAGCCCTGATTGCACCACTCCAAGCCTGGGCAACAGAGCGAGACACTGTCTCAAAAAAAGAAGAAGAAAAGGAAATTGGCTGACGTGATTTTGGAGATTGACAAGTTCCAAGATCTGCAGTAAGCAAGCTGGAGACTCAGAAAAGCCACTGATAGTTTTAGTCCAAGTCTGAAGGTTCAAGATCCAGGAGAGCCAGTGGTGTAGTTCCAGCCAAAAGGTCAGCAGGCTTGAGACCCAGAAACAGCCAATACTTCATTTGGAGTCTGAAGGCAAGAAAAAAACAATGTACCAGCTCAAAAGCAGTCCAACAAGAGAAATCCCCTCTTGTTCGTGGAGGGTCAGCCTTTTTGTTTTATTAAGGCTTCAATGGATTGCGTGGAGTCCACCCACAATAGGGAGGCCAATCTGCTTTATTCAGTCAAATGCTATTCTCATTCGAAAACATCCTCCCAGACACACACAAAATAATGTTTAACCAAATATCTGAGCACCCTATGGCCCAGTCAGGTTGACGCATAAAATTAACCATCACACCATCCTCAAACAGAATTAGTCATTCCATGTGGGCTCACGTAAAAGGGCTTATATTTAAGGATAGATATGAGGCACTGGTCTAAGCACTTTAAAGTTATTAGCAGCAATTTCAGTTTGGCTATCATTATTCTTCTACTTTAAGGCTCTTCCAGTCTTTTTGACCCTTCTGCATGCTCCTATGATGGCTACAAGTCTATGCCACACCTTACTGTAAGCACCTCCAAAACAGAAATGTAGTGCCTGGCATGAAATAAAGCCTCAACTAAGAATTATTTTAAAAAATTTTTTTGTTTATCCTCTTTTCTGAGCATTGCTTTTGTAGATAGGATGCATTTGGTTCAGCTATCCTGTTAGAATTTACAAATGTGTTCTCCTGAACATAAAGAACAGACAGAATGCCCCGAAGACATGCCAGTTCTCTGAGTGGCAGAGGAGAATCATGGTCTGGAAACCTCAGTCTGTGCAAGTGGCTGCCAGATCCTGCCACTGGAATGGAAAATCATTGTCCTTATTTCATAGATGTGACTTCTAAAATGATACACCCCAACCTTCTTGGTACCTGCAAAGATGTCTTCATTCATGGGAGACTGTATATGGTAATTTGGACCTTTGCTTTCCTCTCTCTAAAACCCTCCTCCATGACCCACAATAGGGCTTGAATTCTAATCAACAATCACACATTAATGACTGGAGGTGTAATCCATGAACCACCTAAGTCTGAAAATCTGAGGGATTATTAAAAATACGGATACATAGGCTCAAACCCAAAAATGTCATATCAAAATGTCTGAGGAAGGAAATCTTCATTTTACAAGCTCCCAAGTGATTCTTACGTCCTCTAAGGTCTGAGATTCAGAGCTTTAGAATTTTTAAAATGCCTTCATATTATTATATATATTATCCCTTTTAATCCTCACGTCAATGCTTATATTAGCCTTGCTATTATTAGCTTCATTTTACAGATTAAGAAAATAGAGACATTGTATTAATTTCCTAATTATAACAAACGTAGTGGGTTAAAACAATAATCATATTCTCTTACAAGTCTGGAGGCCAGACATCTAAAATCAGTCATTCAGGGCTAAAATCAAGGTATTAGTAGGACTGGTTCCTTCTGGAGACCTCAGAGGAGAATCTACTCTTTGCTTCTTTCAACTTCTAGAGACTGACCTGGCTTGTGGCTACATCACTCCAATCTGCTTCCTTCTTCACATGGCCTCCCTCTTATAAGCATTCCTGTGATTACATTGGGCACACATACATAATCCATGATGATTCCCCCATCTCAAGATCCTGCTGTTATCACATCGGCAAAGTCCCTTTTGCCATATAAGATAATATTTACAGGTTCTGGGAATAAGAATGTGAGTATCTTTGGAAATCATCTATTCAGCCTACCATAGGCACTAAGTGACTTGATGAGATCCATAGTTGGTGAATGGCAGAGCAAGAATATGAACTAAGAACTTTTGTTTTCAAATTGAAATTAACATGTTAAATCCTATTGTTCATTGACATTATTGAGCAGTGACTGGTTTCTCAAATTGCCTTCTGTCAACTAATTCAATCAGGAACTTGAATTGATTGGATGCACGACAGGATAATTCAGAGCATAAAGAAAGGCTATACCTAGGTGGAATACTACAGTGAGAACCCTTGGCTTTCACAGGGCACCTTGCAGAGCACATCTGGAAGGATGAAGAGAACGGAGAACTACTGAAACCTTTGGCTAATCTGAGGCAGGACTCAAATGCAATGCTGCCAGCCTGTAGAACTTTTGCAATTACTGGAGATAAGCCCTATTCAAACTCCCAGTTGGAGCATTTATGGATACCCAGGGCTACACAAGAGGGCTTATATTCTTGCTACTCAAACTGTGGGCCCAGAACAGTAGCACCAGCAGCACCTTGTTAGAATGCAGGACCTCAGGCCCTGCCCCAGACCAGCTGAATCAGAATCCCCATTTTAACAAGATCCCCAGGTGATTTGCATACACATTAAATCTTGCAACATCTCGGCCTTATCACAGCCTACTGCCTCCATGTACATGGGACAGTGGAGCTGCTTTTACATCCAGGCCCACGGAACCATTCTCAAAGGGATCCTGTAAACTCTGAACAACCTGACTGAGGTAAAACATAGAGCAAAGCTCTGAGACAAAATGACCTCAAGGTTATTTGCTATACAGAATTGGGGTAGATACTAGTTCATGAAAAGAAACAATTCCAAGCCAGAGAGGACAAGAGTCAAGGCCATCCTTTGAATATAACTTCCATTCAATTTAAGAAACCTGGAAAACATCCAAGTATGATCTTAGGGCTATAGTCATGAAATGCTAAAAGCCACTGCTGGGTCAGAATAAACTGAAAAGAAGCATAAATGTCACCTGAATAGAATATAAGAATGTATGTCATCCAGAGGTTAGTATATTAATGGAATTGAAGATGTAAAGTACAAGAAGTCATTATGGTACTTTATTCAATTATTTTTAGAAAAATCGGTTACTAAAGCCAAAGCAGAAAAAGTTGTATATGAATTGTGTTTTGATTTGGTTAAGCCAGACTTGGATACATTTATTATTCAATAAGGCAAACATTTATTGAATCCTCCTGTGTGCCAGGTACAGTGGGTATAAAAATAAATAAGACATAATATTTGTTCTCAAGAAATTCACAGAAGAAACACACACACACACACACACACACACACACACACTTTATGCTTTTTTAAATGGCGCAATACAGGATAATGAGACAAAATCTGTTACAGAGACAAAGAGAAAGAAGCAACCACATTGATGAGTAGAATGAATTGAAAATTCAGAAAATACAAAGAGCAGAGAGAAGAAAATAAAAAGCATATATAGTCCCATCACAGACTTTCCCAGTTAAAATTTTGCCATATGCCCTTTGAGACTTTTTCCCATGTACATATCTCTATCTTGTATTTATTTCTGATTTATCAATTGAAGCAACTGGAATTGCTCATTTTGCAGGTTAAACATGACTAATGACAACTTCAGATGGTTCAACCTAACACTTCTGAAAATGTCTGGGGATAACTTATAATAGTAAAATATATAAAACAGGTCATTTTTTTAAAAAATAAAAACAAACATCTTGACAACAGCAGTCATATAAATGGTCCCAGGCATCTGAGATCCATTAGTTGCTGCCTTTGCTCTTTATACTGTAGCTATGAGATTCCTGGCAGCTAGGAAAATACAGAAAAGCTATTCTGTTATTAAAATCATCTTTATATTGAAAGGAATCATATGTTGTTTACTTGGAAAAATAGATTTTTTCCTCCCTGTGAAATGAAAGGGATTTATTATTTTAAATGATGTTCTTTAAATGACTCTCCATTAGAGCAAAAACTGTAATACTAAATCTTTACTCAACGATGACCTAATTTAATGCTGGGAGAGGATTTCAAGAAGATGAAAACTAACAAGTTTCTCAGAGTCACTCTCAGATACTGCTTCAAGTAAGCTTTTAGCAGGTACTCACTCACAATCAGATTAGCTCCTAAATTCTCTTGAAGTGCTGATAATATTTGTCCTTAAGAGCACTCCATGTGTTGTTGGTTCTAGAAATGTTGTCAGAGTTAACTTTCTGCTATGGCAATTAATTTACTAACATGATCCTTCCCCAAACAAAAGATCCCTTCTGTGTTAGTTTTGCTCAAAGAGTGAGGGCCAGAGATGTGCTCAGGTGACTTCTGTGGGGAAATGTCATACCATCAAGCTAATGAGAGCTGGAATGTTGACTATCAGGGACACTCAGTGTGCCCCAGCATCTCTGTGACCTCGCCTTAGCCCTAGTAACATGGTTGTCCTCTCACCCTTCCTGGTTCCTGCTAACACTCACTTTCCTAAGCTTTTTCTCTCTTTACTTCTTTTCTATTTCTGCCTCTTCCATCCTCCATAAGAGGCACATTCAAGATACCCTCTACAAGGAGAAGATTTGATTGAGAAATCATTTAATGTGGAGCAGAGTCAGCCATAGAGTAGGAGGAGGGCACCACATGGACTATGGGTGAAGAAGGAGGGTGGGAGAATCAGGCAGACAGAAAGACCCAGGGTTCAAGCCCCTGCAACTCCATTTGCCAGTCTATGAACTGGACCCATGACTAAGCCTCTGGAATGCTATGGTCTGGGTGAGACACGTGCATTTAAAACTGAATGATTATTGCACATGTTTGAATCCTGTTAGGGTATCTCTGTGGCTACATGTGTGTTATTACTAAGATGGATTTAGTAATATTGTAACCAATCTCCTAGGACTGTTGTGAAGATTAAATCAAAGCAATCATCAAGTGAAGATCTCAGCAGTGTTTGACTCACAGTAAGTGCTCATTAAATATTTAGCTACTATTACTATGTTCAGCTGTTGATAGTTACCTTTGGCCTCAATTTCTGGTTCAATCTATTTCAGCCAGGTAATAGGGTCACATGACACAAATCCTAGTAACTTGGGGTACCAGGAATCGTCTTTTCTCCTAAAGTGATGATGAACATGACTTGTGCTTCGTGTTTTACCTGTTCAGGAAGATCCCATTTTTGTATGAAGATGGGCTGTAGACAGGCTTACAGATAGCAACAATTCTGCAAAGGGAGGTATGAGTCTGCTTAGATACTAGAACAAGCATTCAACAAGAGAGAAGCATATAGCATTGTAAGGCCTGAGTGATAAGATTTGGGCTTTAAATCATTAAATACATTATTATAAACTGTCTTATTTGACAGTAAAAGGAAAGAGCCAGTAAAATAGTATCCTGAGGAACTGTCCAGGATTTATCTACCATTGTTTCCTAATCATTTCTTAGACATATATCTTGATACCACATCTACAAGAGCTTAAGAATAGAAAACCATGAATTTTTATTTCTTTTTATTTCCCCCAGATTCTTAGGCAAATGATAGATTCTCAAATAGCAGTTGTAACCTGTCTTGTTGAAGACAGATAAATATTTATTCATGTGGTAAATAAAAATACCTGCATTTTTTATTTTTTGCAATTTTCAGGATGTGACTGGAACAGAAATTCTCATGGAACCCTTTGAAAAAGCTGTGCTTTCATAGCCCCGTGTGCCCCTCTCCACCACATTTATCACAGTGCCTTAGCAGGCCTCTATGACTTCTTAGAGAACGAGAGAGGGAGAGGTCACCTCCATTTTTTTTGTGGCTTCTGCATTTAAAAATTTTCTAAAAGTCAAAAGAAAATAAAAAGCACAACACAATGCAATATAACATTCCTATTTATAAGATAATTTAATGATTTATACAAATATTAATGAACCATAACAAAAATAATTATAATCGTCAATTTATAGCATTTCTGTAGTTAACTTTTTCTCAAAATTATAAAAGGAAAAGTAAAAATATAAGATAAATATATTAATTGACACCATAGTACAGATGGTCTGGCAATGAGATATGCATATTTAAGTTGTATGATCATTGACAACTTCTTTGAACCTGTCAGGAAGTCTCTAAAACTACATATATGTGATAATTTGTAAATAATATCTTGGGGTCAAGTCCAAATGGCCCTCGTCCAGCCCCCCCACCAGCCAAGTATAATAATTTTATCAGCTGCTTTATGAATAATGTCTACTTATAAATTATCTGAATTTGAAGATCCCTTAGATTTTTTTCTTTTCCAGCACCATTCTCCTGCTCAACTTTCTTCTTCTTCCTCTGCTCTTCCACACCCTGCCAACATCTGAGTTTAGTCCTCAATAAAAATAAGAGTTGACACTTTTGATAATCAGCAAGGTGATCTAAACTTCCGAAACTTAACTAATGTAAGTCTATAACTGGACCCCTCCTAGCATTCTAAAAATGGCACAATACAGAGGGATTACAGTTTGTCCTTAATGCTCCTATCATAAAGCTTCATCCATTTTATCTTCTGTGCCAGAAGGAGTCCTTTTTCTTCTACTCCTCCCATGTATCAATCAGACGGCAAACACTGTCTCTTCTTTCTTTAAAATATTGATTTTTATCTTTTGGATAATAGACCTCTATAGAGTAAAAATTACTGGATGATAGCCACTTTACATTATTGTTGTTGTTTTATTATCTCCAGGTTAAGTAACTTTCTAAGATTTCAAAGCTAGTAAGTGACGGTGTGTGAGCCTAGCTTTCCTTTTCAACTCCAAAATTAGGGATTATAGTAGTCAGGGCTCTTCAGAGAAGCAGAAGCAATAGGAAAGATACAGATATATAGTGATTATAGTAGTCAGTAGAAGAAGAAAGTTGAGCAGGAGAATGGTGCTATCTAGGCATCCATTATCCCAGTCAAATTGACACATAAATTAACCATCTCAATTATCCCAAAACAGTATGCTATGGTGCCGCCATAGAGAGGTTGGTAAAACCTGTAAAACTTACTGCCCATAGAAAACTACACAGATAAACTGTACATAAAATCTAAACTTGAGGTCTTAAAAATCCTAAAGTTTATCCTTGTACCCCCTAAAGGGATTCATGGACCACAGATTTTAAAATTTTACTTAAAATCTTGCCTGGTTTCACATTCTTTCCCTATTCCCATTGCCATCGCCCATGCCCGTGTCTCTGGTAACATCTTTCTTCAACACATATCTATCCTGTTCAATCTATTCTGTGCCAGCTTGATCATCCTAAACACTGCATTCATCATATCATGCTTCCGTTGAAAAAATCCACAGCAATGGTGTGAATGAGTCTTTGCACATTTTAATCATTTACTTAATTTATAATTTTTAAATGATGTTTTATCCACTATACTGTAAAATTCATGGAAGGCAAGGATAATGTGTTTTGTTTACCACTGTATGGCAGTTCTTAAGTATACAATAAATGTTTGTTGGTTGACTAGATTTTGGAGCACTTTTCTGCATGAATAGTGGGAATATAAATTGTAGAAAATTTCACTGACATATTTATATGCATAGAAAAACTGCTGGAGAAACACAAATATGTTAACAGTAAATAGCTCTGAGAAGTGGGATTATGGAGGACTTTTATTTTCTGGGTCATTAAAAAAAGCTTTGATGTTTTCCCTTAACCTACTTAAACATATGAATTTTTTTCTCCCTTTTTCCTTTCCTTCTTCCTCCCTTCCCTCCCTCCCTCCCTTCCTTTCTTCCTTCCTCTCTCCCTTTGGCTTGTCTTTTAAAAGGTCTTTAAGAGTCTGGACCCATTTTATTACATCTCCCGCTGGTCTCAAATTAGGAAGTTCTTCTCCAGTTAATTTATCTATCCATAGATATAAACAATATTTATTGAGAGCTCATGACTTTCCAGGCACCATTGAGTGAGGAAAATAGAGACATGAACAATTTATTACTACAATGTCGTTAAGTGTTGTGTTAGATATACATACAAAAGGCTGTGGGAGCCCAAAGAAGGGACTGACTGACTTTGCCCAGGGGCCAAAGGAGGTAAGGGAAGGATCTAGAGAGGAAATCATATTTGAACTGGACCTTGAAGGGGGATTTGGCCAGGCAGAAAAGTGGAAGAAAAATATTCCAGGCAGAGTGAGCAGGCCATGAATAATTTTATAAGGGAGGCCTATTCTGGAAATGGCATGGAGTATAATACTGTGTACCCGCATCACAGGAGTTCACAAGCAGGCATGACAGTCCAAATCCAAACATTTCAAGTCCTCCCTCCTCCCATAAGCCTTCCTGGGTGCTCTTGGTACCCTGGGGCCTCTCCCTTCTTGTAGTACTATCACTCAATGATTTGGTATTGGAGTCAAGACTTCTTTTAGGATTCTATTCCCCATTTGGTTTGCATCCTTCTTAAGAGCAGACTCTGCCTAATGTTTTTTTTTTCTTTACTGTCCACTTAGGTGACTGATTAATGCACACTCTGGTGCATAGTAAAACACTGAAAACTCATTACTGATAGACAGGTGACCCTTTAGCCTCTATGTTTTCAGATACAAGAGTGTCTGAATAGCCACACAAAAATATAGTTAGTCCTAAAGGTGACTAATCGGAGCATTTTGATATACCACTGGCATAAGGACTGGTGTGCAACCACCCTAAACTGTCTTTTGAATCCTCTCTCAAAATAAAAAGGGCAGACCCACCACTGGTGCAGAACCAGAGTTTCTATAAATAAGTCTTGCTGAGGCCCCATCAGACCTTTCGATGCTGACTGAAGAGCTTGCAGTGTTTACTAAACTCCTGAGATCACTAAAGTCTGAAGTAATCTCTCATGCCTCATTAATCTCCAATGTTTGAAGTAATCACTAATGTATAATAAATCTCCAGTCTCTGAAGGTTTAAGCCACACAGATGTGTTGTTTCAGATGAATAATGACAGCCATGAGTTTGCTGTTCAGTCATCCAACCCACACTGAGGGAATGCCTACCTGTTCAAAGCACTGAATGAGGTTCTTTCCCTGAGACCCACACTTCCATGTCCCAGCTGCTCTGTGTCATAATGAAAAGTGAACAATATATAGAATGGAAGTGTTATGAATGCAACTTAAAGAATTATTTGAAGATTCGAATAGATCCAGGAAACTTTTTCCATTGGTTTAAGTAAAGACTTAGAGATTCATTCATTCATTTATTTATTCAATAAATGTTTTAGAGAACCCCATAATGTGTCATACGCTGTACTAGAAGCCAGAGATATAATGATGAACAAAAGAGACATGGTTTCTGCCTGTATGGAGCACATTGCACATAGAAGGCAGAGTGATCTACAGCGTTACATTTTACCATTATTTATTGAATACTCATTTTATGCCAGGCATTAGTATAGTCAAAATAAGTTGAATGAATTAGATATGTTCATTATTTTAAGATGTGCATTTTATTTAAACAATACTACTAACTGTTTAGGATATGGGATTTGAAGTTAAAAGACTTGAGTTCTACTCTGCCTTGTATTAGGTATGTAGCCTGAGAAAATCACTTACTTTTTGTGTCTCTGTTTCCTCATCTATAAAACTGCGAGAGTCGGAAATGCCTACTTCCTGGGGTTTTGCAGGCAGCACATGAGACAACTCCCTGTGCCTTTGTGCATCCGTTTTTTTTTTTTTAACTCCCTGAATTGTCTTTGCCATTTCCCTATCCCTTTTGCCTGATAAACTCCTACTTATCTTTGACACACCAGCTTAAATAAAGATCACATCATCCAAGAAGTCTTCTCTTTCTATCCCTGATGGTGAGGAGCACTCTCTCCTCTGGGCCATCACTGTGCCCTGACGGGCTTTTATATTGTGATTACCACATGATATCCTCATGGGGAAGGGTACAGCCTATGTCTTACTCACATATTTGGTCCGTAGCAGAGTGGCTAGCCCATAATCATGCTTAAAAATTTTTGCTGAATAAATAAATGAAAATATGTTAGGAAAATGCTTCATAAACTCCAAAGTATTAAACAAAAGCAATGTATCACTAACATCATTATGCATCTTAACTGGGGCTACTATAACCAAATAACATAAACCAGGTGGCTTATCAATAACAGAACTCTGTTTATTATAGTTCTTGAAGCTGGAAGTCCAGGATCCTGGTACCAGCATGGTGGAGTTCTGGTGAAGTTTCCTTCCTGGTTGCAGACTGCCAACTTCTGTTGTATCTTCATGTGGCAGAAAAACAGTGAGCTTGCTCTCTGGTTCTTTTGTCTTATTGATACAAATATTTCATATATTTATGCACACATGTGAGTGTTTTTATATGCATAGAATGTGTGATTACCAAGTCAAGGTGTTTGAAGCATCCATCACCTTGAGTATTTATCATTTCTATGTGTTGGTATCATTTCAAGTCCTCTCTTCTAGACACTTTAAAATACACAAAATACTGTGGCTAAGTATAGTCACCATAGTCTGCTATTAAACATTAGAACTTTTTAATCCTAGCACTTTGTAATCCTAGCACTTTGGGAGGCCAAGGTGGTTGGATCTCGAGCCCAGGAGTTTGAGACCAGCATGGTCAACATGGCGAAACCCTGTCTCTACAAAAAATACAAAAATTAGCCAGGCATGGCGGCACATGACTGTAGTCCCAGCTACTCAGGAGGCTGAGGCAGGAGGATTTTTTTTGAGCCTCAGAAGTGGAGACTGCAGTGAGCTGAGATCACGCCACTGCACTCCAGCCTGGGTGACAGAGCAAAAGCATGTCTCAACACACACACACGCACATGCACACACACACACACACACACACACTAGAAATTTTAAATTCTATCTCACCTTTTATTACATGGGTATTAATCCCATTCATGAGGGTTCCACCCTCATGACCTAATTATTTACCAATGGCCCCACCTTCAAACCCCATCACATTGGAATTAAGGTTTTGGCATATGAGTTGGGCAAGGGGACACAAACTTCCGTCCATTGCACTTCTCATTCAAGCAGGATTCAATTCATCTTTACAAAATATAAAATTTATTTTGGCCAAATTCTGATAGGTAACTGTGCTGGACATTATGTTGCTCACTGGTGTATCAGTTCTCCTCTTCTTCTGACATGTAAGAGATTGGCAGTTCCCTGCCTGCTTGAAGACAGGAGTAAACATATAGGCCTTGCCTTAGCCAGTGAAACATGTGGCATACGTAACTTCCGCATGGAAGCATTTCATTACCAGTGTTTGACTCTCCAGCTCTGTCTTGGCCACCTTGGCGATTGTGGGAGCGCATGCAGATACAGAATAGCCATGAGACTGAAGCAGCCCAGAATGGCAGCCTTGTACCACACGGACAGTGACTGCCTTCAGAGGCACTTAGACCCACAAGGGATTTGGCATGAATGAGAAATAAACATACGTTCTATCAGTTCTCTGAGATTTTGCCATTTGCCATTTTTTATTACCACAGCATAATCTAATTTATCTTGACTGATAAGGTCACCAACCCACTTCCAGAAAATTATATGGCACTTTTCTGGGAATATAAACATGGTAATGATCAAAGACAAATGTATGAAGAAAAACCTTACTGAGAAGTGTACATGTGAGAGTTAACCCACAATACAAAGAATCTGGTTCACTTTATAGGAGTATTAAGCCTCTCTTGGGTCTTCTTCCCAAAATCCAGAGAAATCTCTCTTGCAGTCAATGCTGAAGTAGGGATCAAATCCCCTACCTACATGTAAAGGAGATTTTTGAAGCAAAAATATTTTTTGAAACAAGGCATTTGGCATAACTTATTCAAAGAAATGTGCTTAGGATCTTCCACTAACATGATCACTGCTAATATGCTCTGTTCCTTGCACCACCTTCCCCAACTGAAAACAGGAATGAGAAGAGCCTCATGATTGTACACTACATCGATGGCCAGAGAAGGAAACATTCTTTTCTAAATTTAGCTATGTTTTCACTTCTTTGTTTTATTGTGAAATATACACATACACACAGAAACACACATACATATACATAAAACATATATTTACAATTTAACAAAATAATTGTAAAATGAAACTGATATAGTCATACTCAGGTCAAGAAATAGAACATTGCTAAGACTTTAGAACTTCCCTTACCCCCGTGTATTTCTTTCCCTGTAAGTAACCATTGGTCAGGCTTGGGGGATAATCATTTTTTTCATTTTCCTCATAATTTTACTATTGTGCCTACATTTAAAATGTGTTATATTTAGTATGGCATACTTTATCTACAATAGAATGCACCAATTTAAAGTTAGTTTGCTGAGTTTCGCAAATGTACATGCCTTTGTTTGCTGAGTTTTGCAAATGTACATGCCCAATCAAGATACAGAATTTCCATCACTCCAAAAAATTTTCTCGTGTCTCATTGTGGTAAATCCCCCAAGTTCCAGCCCCAGGCTACCACTAATCTGCTTTCTATCACTATAGGTTAGTTTGGCCTGCTGTAGACTTTTATATAAATGCCATCATACCATATATACACTTCTTGTCTGGCTCCTTCACTTAGCATAATTTATGTGTGATTTTGAACTGCATGTAAACGGAATTGTAATGTATGTTATAACTCTTTTTTGCCTTGTTTTTTTTGTTCAACATTACGTTTGTAAAATTCATCCATATACTTGCATGTACCTATAATTCATTCACTTTTATTACTATATATAAACCATTACATAACTATAGTAGAATTTATTTATCCATCTGTTATTTTTTTTAATTTTAATTTTATTATTATTATACTTTAAGTTTTAGGGTACATGTGAACAACGTGCAGGTTTGTTACATATGTATACATGTGCCATGTTGGTGTGCTGCACCCATTAACTCCTCATTTAGCATTAGGTGTATCTCCTAATGCTATCCCTCCCCCCTCCCCCCTCCCCCCACCCCACAACAGTCCCCCGGTGTGTGTTATCTATCTGTTATTAATAGACACTTGGGTTGTTCTATAGTTCCACAACTGTCATGTATTGATTCTGTACATTGATTTTATATCCAGCTAGCTTACTAATTTTTATTCTTAATCACTCATCTGTAGATTCTTTTGGATTTTCAGTACATATGTTCATATTATCTATGAATAGCAACAGTTTTCAATCCTTACAATCCCTATATCTTTTATTTCTTTTTCTTGTTTGTGTAACTGTTCTCATGAGGCCCTCCAGTATAAAGTTAGATAGAACTACTGATTGTGGCATCCTTGTATTGTACCTGGCCTCAAAGGAAAAGCTTTCTAATATGTCATTATTAGGTATGGTGTTCACTGAAGGTTTTTATGGTTATTCTTTATTCTTCATAAGAATTATCTTTTCATGTAAGAAGTTTTAGGGGAAAAATCATGAATTAGTGTGCTAACATGATTGGAAAATGAATTTTTTCATTCACTTTTTCTGCATATATTGGGATGATCAGATGAATTTCTCCTTTAAGCTGTTGAGGCAAACTACCTTAATAAGTACCCTATTTTTAAGCCAATCTCCCATTCCTGGTATAACCTGACTTGGTAATAATATCTCATCTAATATTCATTTTGGGTTTTTTTTTTGTTCACATTCAACTTCATAAGTTAAAGTGACAGGTAATTTTCTTTTCTCATATTCTCCTTGTCAGGTTTTAATCTCAAGATTTTGTTAGTCCCATAAAAGTTAGAGGAGTTTACTTTCTTTTAATATTTCAACCTTGTAAAAGGTTGAGCTTATTTTTTCCTTAAACATTTGGTAGAACTCACCAGTGAAGTTATCTGGGCCAGTAATTTCCTTTGTGGAAAACTTTTAATCATGTATCTGAATTTAGGTTTTTAACATCGATTCCTTTTTGAATACATTTGGTAAAATTTTTACTAGGAAATGTTCTATCTTTTCTAAAGATTTCAAATTATTGGTATGAAGTTCTTCATAAAAATCCTTATATTAACATTTTAAATCCTCAGTATTCTGCAGTGTTCTATATGCTTTGATTAGGTCATGTGACTGTTCATTTTGTATGTCAAATTGACTGGGCAAAGGGATACCCAGGTAGTTGGTGAAACATTATTTTGGGGTATGTCTGTGAGAGTATTTCTGGAAGAGATTAGCATTCGAATCAGTAGATTGAATGAAGAAGATCCCCCTTCACTACTGTAGATAGGCGTTATCCAGTCCCTGTGTGGGAAGCAAGGACTGTACAGAGTCCATTCTGGGGATGAATGGTGGCAGCAATAATGGCCATATCCACGTTCCAAGGGCCACAAGTCAGTTAGTGGTGCCATCAGTGGCAGCATTAGTGATATTAGCAGTGTAACCTATGGCGTCTACTGCTTAATGGCACCCACAGTGGCAGTGGTGTCTCCATCATATCAAAGATTTGGGGCAGTGTTCATGGTAGTTTGGCTAGTCTCCAGACCACAAAACTCTCATCATAAATCTTTTTCTACTTGTCAGCCAGAATTAGTTTTTGTTGCTTGTGGCTAAGGTATGGAACTGTTTGGTTGTTTGATTTAATACTCTTTCTTGACAATCTTGAAAGTATCAACCTTAAGCAGTCCCCCAATTTTTAGAAAAAAATATTGGTTTATGAGATTAAAATTTTTTTAGGAACTGCTGTTGTATACTATAATGCTAAGTTGTGCATTCAATGCTCTATGTAATGAACAGAGTTAAATTGACCTAAATAGAATTGATTTTCTCTTGAACTGGTATAGTGACTAAACATAATTCTGAATAACCATGTAGTCTGCATTATTTGGTTGTTAATATGGCCAAAATAACCAGACTGACTCTGGCAACAAGTCTGTCTTCTTAGCAAAGTAAACGGATTGACTATATGTCTATATAATTGCTTTCTCAGCAGTTGTGTAATGCTTGATCCAGTTAATATAGATCAGTTCCTCTTTTTAAGAGATTAAAACAGCATGTATTTAATTAACTAATTAATGTATTGATTCATTATATTTACTTACTGAGTATAGCTATAGGTTTTCACCAAGGAAAATGCCCAGCATACACAAAAGACACAAAGCTCATGATCTATTTGGGAGACAACAACAATTATAAACCAGTCTTTCCATCTCCCCTGCAACCACCCTCATGGCCAGCCACTGTCCAGACCTCTTGCCTGGACTTTTGTGATTACTCCCTAGCTAGTTTCTTTTCTTTCGCTCCTGCTCTTCTGCAATCCATTTTCCACTGAGGAACTAGGGAGTTCTTTTAAATCATTAATTGGGTGATATTACTGCCCTGCTATAAACCCTTCACAATTTTCCCAATATCCGTGGATTTAAATCTAAAGTTCTTAACACAGCCTAGAAGGCTCCATGTGATCTGCATATATATATATATATATATATATATATATATATATATTTTTTTTTTTTTTTTTTTTTTTTTTTTGAGACGACTCTTGTTCTGTCGCCCAGGCGGGATGGAGTGCAGTGGCGCGATCTCGGCTCACTGCAAGCTCCGCCTCCCGGGTTCACGCCATTCTCCTGCCTCAGCCTCCCGAGTAGCGGGAACTACAGGCGCTCGCCACCACGCCTGGCTAATTTTTTATATTTTTAGTAGAGACAGGGTTTCACCGTGTTAACCAGGATGATCTCGATCTCCTGACCTTGTGATCCGCCCACTTAGGCCTCCCAAAGTGCTGGGATTACAGGCATGAGCCACCGCGCCTGGCTGATCTGCTTATATTTCTAAGCTCTTCTCACTCCTGCTACTGACCCTCTGCCACCATGCCCAAACATACTGTCCTTTTAATTCCCAAAATGCTTTGCTCTCTCCCCTGACTCAAGGTCTTTAAACATATAATTCCTTCTGCCTGGAATGTTTTTCCTCCTACTGCTCATGTATCTAACCCCTACTTACACTTCCTGTTTTAAATATTACCTCCTAGGGGCCAACTCCTCCGACCACCCAACTTAAGACAGACCCTTGATTTACTCTCTCAAAGCACTTTGTAATTTTCCTTCATAACTCTTATTGCAATCTGGATTTTATATTTACATATTTGCTTACTTGTTCAATGTCTGTCTCCTCCATACAAGTCTGTAAACTTTAATAGGACAGGGACCATGCCTATTTTGTTCACCACCTAGCACCCGGCAAAGCACCTTGAATGGGTCCTTACATGTTTGTTAAATGAATGAATGAAGTAATGAGCAAACAAAGCAAAGTTTACACAATTCAGTGTAAAAAAAAATGATGTTCTGGGCAGGACATGCTGTGAAATCACAGAAAAGCAGGTGCTCAAAGGAGCCAGGTGGAAAGCCTAAGGAAAGGCTCCTGGAGGGTGCAGCTCTTCAGCTGGGCCCCAGAGAATGGGTGTATTAGTCCATTCTCCCACTGCTATAAAGATACTATCCAAGACTAGGTGATTCATAAAAGAAATAAGTTTAATTGACTCACAGTTCCGCATGGCTGAGGAGGCTTCAGGAAACATAATCATGGCAGAAGGTGAAGGGGAAGCAGGCACCTTCTTCACAAGGTGGCAGGAGAGAGAACTGCGAGCAGGGGAAATGCTAGACACTTTTAAAACCATCAGATCTCATGAGAACTCACTCACTCACTATCACAAAAACAGCATAAAGGAACCAACCCCATGATCCAATCACCTCCCTCCCTCAACAAATGGGGATTATGGGGATTACAATTCAAGATGAGATTTGGGTGGGGACACAGCCAAACCATATCAATTGGATAAGGTATGAATGCTCTCTGATTAGACCTGTGAAGAGAAGCTTCGTTGTTTAAGGAAACAGTGGGTCTAGGGAACAGCTGGCACTTAGCAGGAGACAGTGAGGGGGTCACACCCGGATGGCAGTGAGTAGTCAGCTTCCAGGTCTAGTGAGGCCATGAAGTGGACAATTTCTTATAAATTTTCTCTTGAGTAAACACATTTATGTGGTGAAACTACCCCGGACATAGATTGCCAGGTGTGCGGTGTGAGCACTCTGTCAGACACTGCAGGCTGGTTGCCTTGATTCCGTGCCAACTCCTTGCATGGCTGTGCATGCTGCATACCTGAGAATAGAAAGGCAAGACTACATCCTCAATCTCCCTTCAGCTCTGGTTCTGCACCTGATCTCAATTCTGTCAGGCAGATAGCCCCATGCCAGATTTGGGAGGAAGTGAACATCATGCATAAGAGGTCACACTGCTGCTGCTCCTGCTGCTGCTGCTGCTTTGTGCAAGCACAGTAGTCAGGACACTTGTTTTTCTGAGCATCTGTAGCAGAGGTCTCAGGGTCTAGTCATTAGTTCCCTGGTTATTGACAGACATGGTGCAAAGTATCCCTTTTTCTTACGCAGATCATGGCCAAGGTAAAGTGGCTCCAGGATGAAAAATCCCAGATCGTTCATGATTTTAGGTCTCTTGTAACTAATAAAAAAGTTTAAAAGTCACTTTAGGATGTAAACACAGCGTCAATTCAATCATTTAAATCTTTGGTCCCAGATAATAATTACAATTCTAAACTTGATTAAATTTAAAATCTTCTCCCCTCCCACAACTAAATTAGAGCCTGCTATAGGCTGGCCACTTGCAGAGATTAAAGAAGCTGGTTCTTCTTCTCTTCTCTGTTCTTCTTTCTCTAGCTTGCGTTCCAGCTATTGACCCCTCTGGGACTGGTGATCAAGGAGCTTAGAAAGGAAAGAGGATAGGAGAGTCCTCATTTGACTGGTAATATTGTAAGATGGCTTCACACTTGCTGGGTCTGGCAGATGTTTAAAGTTGACTCACTTTGGGGTTTCTTTAGAGAACTGAATATCACGGTGGTTTTTCACCTGCAGTTTCTCTGATCTGGGCAAATGCACACCATTCCTGCACTTCATGCCTCTTCAAGCTCTAGGGAATGGGGGACCCACTTCAGTTTCATTTTTGTGAGGGTCATTGTTCCTCTGATGTATGTAATGGAAAGGATCTAAGATGATTTCCATAGCGCCTCTCTATTGCATATCTACCACCCACATCCAGGCCACAGGAAACATTCACACATTCCTTGTTCCCAAAACTGTGTGAATACATATCCAACCCATTATAGCAGCAATCCTCCTTCACTCTGCCTCCAAAACAGCATGCCAGCCCACCTCCAGCCTCTAGATTTTCCAGGGTGAAAGTCAAGTCACATCCACACTGATTCTCTAACTGCAAAGGAAACAGCACACTATCCAAGTGATTCCAACGCAGCCTTACTTACTCAGCTTCTGCTAAGATTTGACACTCAACCCGCTTAGGGTAGGAGCTTGAGACTCACAGCACACCAGCATCTCTTTCTTTAAAATCCTTTCATACCAAATCCTCTCTCAATTACTACTCTGTCTACCATTTTATGTACTTAATATAATTGATTCATCTAATCAGTTCTCTGCCATCTCTGCCACCTACTTTGAAATTTCTGCCAAGTAATCTCTTACAACTCACTGATAGTATTGCTGTCTTAGTTAACACATAGATTTTAACATCTTTTTGCATTAACATTCATTTCTCCACCTCTAACTTCTGCCTTTCTGAGAGAACACTGCCCATTTTGGATACTCGTTCCATCTCCAGGATCCTGACTGGTGTACTCCAATCTTACTGTTTTATTCCTCTTACTATAATGATTAAGTCAGGAATTAAGGCATAAGCTACTCAGGAAAGATTTTCCCTTGGTCTGTGGTTGGCTCAGGTTGAGCATATGTCCTAAATTAGCACAGTTATATCAAAGGGCAGGAGGCTCCCTCTCTCTTTCACGTGGGATGAGAAAGGAAGTATGTCACCCTAGCTGCTGCCAGCAGCCTTCTTGTGATCACAAGGAAAATCATCCTGAGGACAACATCAACCTGTGGAGAAGGCAAAGCTGAGTCCTGGAGCCCTTACCATGGTATGGCTGGGATTGCTCTACCTTTAGACTTCATATTGTAAGAGAAAACAAACGTCCTTATTATTTTAGCCAATTTGACTGAGAGTTTCTGTAATCAGCAACCAGATGCTAGTGATTGTCCGTAGATTTCCTTGTCAGGTCACGAGCCCTGAACCATCACTGTGGAAATGGAAACATCTGGTAATTGAAAACACATGGTGATGGAAAACATTGTCATAGCACAGGTCAGTTGTTTCTTCCCTGGAACCGGAGGTAGAAGGACTTTCCAGGAACCATAGTACTCACTGTATTTTGGGGAAAGAAAAAGAGGTTAAGGAATGCCAGTAAGGCAAACACCCCCACTGAGACTATAGGCAAAAGATTTTAAAATAACTTTTGAAACCATTCTTTCTTGTGGGAAGGAGTTGGGCTGCAGTTTTAATGTCCCAGTTGCCTGGGACCTGATTAACAGCACCCGGACAATTAATGTTCTTTGAAATAATTGCTTCACTTACATTGCAGAGGTCCACTATGCTTGATTATTTCCTTCCCAGAGAAATTTTTAACCTAAATTTTATTAATTTATGAGGCTAGTGGATTTATTTTAAAACCCTGAAAATGTATTTTATAGGAAAATATGAAATCAACACATGACCTTCTGAGCTTCATTTTTAATTGAATAAATGTCTTTATGGGAAGTTGCTGCTTCCCGCCAACAAGGCTCTTTAGTTAACCATTTTGTTTTTATTCCATTAGAGTATTTAATTCTATCCATTTGGTAAATTACCTATGCACTCTATGTGTTCCTGGGAAGCTCAGGATCTTTTTGTGGATATTTTAGGTGTTCACTGTGAAAAAATATGATCACACTATAAGAAATGACACTTTGCTTCTAGCTACCTGTGCTTCTAGTGTCAATGATAAAAATAGACAGGAATGAGATGGAGGATGGCATCATCTGTGTTATTCACAGATGATGCCATCCTCCGTCTCATTAGAGAAATAATCAATAACTTTTGAATCTTGAATCTTCCCCCACACCTTCTACCACTTTAGTTCAGACTTTCATTATCTTGCTGGATTACTGCAAAGCTGCTGAAGTGGTATCTTAAATCTCCTGTCTTTCCTCTCTTCACTCCAGGCATCACACTATTTCCAGATAAATCTTAGAAATGGACAGCTTCCATTGTATCACTGTCTCACTCAAGAGCCTTCAGGGGCATTCCAGTGCTGGCCAAAATCAATGGCATGTGGGGCCCTGGTGATCCAGGGCCTTGCCATGCAACCCGAATACATTTTTACACTTTTCCCCTACTCTTTTCCTGCATGTATCCCATGATTCAATAAACTTGATTGTTTACTTTTTCCCAAATACCCCTCATACTCCCACTCCTCTAAGCTTTGGCTGTAATCTTTCTCTGATGTCATCTCCTCTAATGACTGTCTTCTGGTCTGTGCCTCCTGCCTGTGTACTCATTCTTCAGAGCTCATCTCCAGGTAAATAATTCCTTCCACACACATTTATCAAGCACTCACTATAGGCTAGGTACAGGAGATAAAAAGATCAGAAAGGCCTGTCTCTGCCTTCAAAGGGCACATCACCTAATAGGGCAGTTTTCTGAACTTAACTAATCAGAAGGATCACCAAATGGGAGTGGCAGCAGTCACTATTACACCTAGTGATTGAATAATAAAGAAAAAAATCCCATATCACTTGTTAAAGATAGTAAGAAATACTTTTTTCAAGAGGGACTATCACAATGAGGGTTTTACTATAGGGGAGAGAAATCAGGCTCAACAATGAATATAACAAGTTAAGATTTATAGCCAAGGAGCAGGGCAGTGGTCAGTGGGTGGAAAATTACTAAGAAGCATCAAGGATAGAGGGATTTTGGCTAGACTGATTCAACAGGATTCTTACTGACCAGGATGCTAAGATATTGGGGATGGGGCTGAGGAAGTTGGCCAGATATTGAGGGTGATCAGATACCAAGGGGATTTTCACTAAACTGACTCAGCAGTATTCTTGCTAAAACTGGACTAAGCAGGCCAAGAACAGAGCCAAAGGTCAGGGCCTAGTCAAAAAGAGGAATACAAAAGACCCTGACTCAAGTTTGGTCAAAAGAGAGGGTCTTTGTCAACACTAGCAAAACTTCTGCTTCCTGCTCCTCTGAGATCTTATGCTTCCCTTGTCTCGAGGTCTTAGTTCCAAGGGAAGAAATGCTTTTACCAGGAGACAGAACAATAATTCCAACGACTGGAAAGTTAACACTTCCATCTGGCCACTTTGTGCTCCTTATGCCTCTGAATCAACTGGCAAAGAAGGGAGCTACTGAAACGGTTTCAGTGATTGATCCAAGGGGAAATTGGACACAAAAGAAGTGAGGAAGAGTCTGTATGGAATACAGAAAATCCCTTAGTGTATATTCCCATACCCTGTAATTAAAGTCAATGGAAAACTACAACATTCCAATTCAGATGCGAATATTAACAGCCAGAATCTTCAGGAATGAAAGTTCAGGTCATTCCACCAGGTAAAGAACCACAGCCAGCTGAGGTGCTTGCTAACAGCTAAAGGAATAAGGAATGGGTAGCAGAAAATAGAGTTATAAATACCAGATACAACCATGTGACCAGTTTCAGAAATGAGTACTGTGACTGTTAAGAAAAAAATATTAATATAGATGTATGTGTATATAATATATATAATAAATATATATTTATTATGTATATTAAAATCACATAAGGGGCTTGCTAAAACACACAGATGCCTAGGCATCATCTCAGACCCACCAAATCTGAATCTTTAGAGAAAGCTAAGGAATCAGCATTTTTAATAAGCACCTCATGTACTTCCTATGAATAGATAAGTTCCTTGTATGCTATAATGATAAGATATTGGTATCATTGGTAAGTGCTATAAAAGATAAATACACAGTAAAGAGAAGGTAGTAGTCATCAAAAAGTTCATGGGAGAAATGATTAAGTTGCTTCCCTGGCAAAGAAGGAAGAAAGGGCATCCCACATAGAGGGAAGAATGTGTACACAAAGATAATTTTTTTTTTTGAGACAGAGTCTCACTCTATTGTCCAGGCTGGAGTGCAATGGCATGATCTCGGCTCACTGCAACCTCCACCTCCCAAGTTCAAGGGATTCTGCTGCCTCAGCCTCCCAAGTAGCTGGGATTACAGGCATATACCACCACGTCTAGCAAATTTTTGTATTTTTAGTAGAGATGGGGTTTCACCATGTTGGTCAGGCTGGTCTTCAACTCCTGACCTCAGGTGATCCACACACCTTGGCCTCCCAAAATGCTGGGATTACAGGTGGGAGCCACCACGCCCAGCCACAAAGAAAAATTTTTTTTAAAGTTTCAGCATATATCAAACAGTTTATATACTATCCTCTGCACTAAGAATTCTCCATATGTCATTTCACTTAATTCTTACAATAACTCTATGAAAGGAGTCCCAAATATTATTATCTACATTTTACAGGTGTGGAAATTGAAGGTAGTAATGAAGAGCATAGGATTCGAAGTCAGATAGACTTGTGTGTAAGTCTTACCTTCATCACTTAGCAGCTGTGTGACCACATTTATAGGCAGTTTATATTAGTATTGCTAAATTTTCCTTTGTCATTCTTCATCTTTGCCTCACTCATACAAGACCTCTTCACTTTCCCTCTCAACTTTTCCATTATCTAACACTATCTACCACTTAATCCAATAATATCAGTTTGTTTTCATCTTAGCTAGAGGTAATAGAGATAGAAAATAAGAGTGGCTTAAACAAAATAGAGGTTTATATGTTCTAAGCAGTCCAGTTCAGGTTTGGCAAATCTGCTCAGAAAAATCCTCAAGGAAACAGAGTTGAACTAATTTACACTCCCACCAACAGTGTAAAAGTTTTCCCATTTCTCCACAGCCTCACCAGCATCTGTTGTTTCCAGACTTTAATGATCACCATTCTAACTGGCGTGAGATGGTATCTCACTGTGGTTTTGGTTTGCATTTCTCTAATGACCAGTGATGATTAGCTTTTTTGAAGTCATCTCTTTCTCTCCCCCTTCTTTTCTAAATAAATCTGTGAACAGTAGCAATCTAGCATGTCACTCTAGTCAGAGTTCAACCCACGATGCCCAAACCGAGGTGTTAATCAGTATGATAGGAAACAGAGGCCCCCAACGCTGTGACCACACTAATGGTGCCACCCAATGGCTGTTGTGTAGGACTTCTCCACAAAATGGAAAAGTTGAAAGTAGTTGGAGAAAATGCACTATTCTGCCAGGAGGCAGTGTACCATTAGAATTGTTTATGTAACTATTTAAAATGTTCCACAAGTTATACTATTGTCGTACAGAGTGTATCTTCTTTGCTTTAATATAGGAAGTTTCTGTAATTTGGGCTCACTTTCTACAGTACAGAATTCATAAATACCCCAATTATTTATTGCACATAACTACATAAGTACAGAAATTCTTAACAAAATGAGAGCTTAGCACATTAGAAGTTCACAAGTTGCTTAAGTTTCTAAGACATGGATTATAAGATTTTAATTATGACTTACTACTCTTTGAGATGTTTCCTAAGTTAATTCAAAGAGGGGGTTCCCATCATCTTGATCCTGATATCTATTTTTTTGTTCAATAAATATTTATTGAGCACTTGCTATGAGCCATGCACTGAACTAGCAGATTCATGGCAGTGAGCAAGTCCAGGGTAATGCTGCCTTACTGGTGTGGGGGCTGACGTGGTGATCATAATGCCACCCACAATGGTTGCCCCCAAAATGGAAGATTCTGACAAAGTTAGATAAAAAGGAGTCATTTGGGGTTTTTGTTTGTTATTTGTTTGTTTTGAGATGGAGTCTCATTCTGTCACCCAGGCTGGAGTGCAGTGGTGTGATCTCGGCTCACTGCAACCTCCGCCTCACAAGTTCAAGTGATTCTCCTGCCTCAGCCTCCCAAGTGGCTTGGGATTACAAGCGCCCAACACTACGCCAGGATAATTTTTGTATTTTTAGTAGAGATGGGGTTTCACCATGTTGGCCAGGCTGGTCTCGAACTGACCTCAAGTGATCTTGCCTGCCTTGGCCTCCCAAAGTGCTGGGATCACAGGCATGAGCCACCACACCCGGCCTGTTTTTGTTTTGTCTGTGTGTGTGTGTGTGTGTGTGTGTGTGTGTGTGTGTGTGTGTGGTCTGGGCTGCCCTGGGGCTGGAAATTTGTTGTAAATCTGACTGGAGAGAGAAAGGGCTTTTATTTTTCTTTCTCTTTTAAGAGAATTGATAGCTGTGTAAGTGAATCACTGATCTGAGGACTTGAGCTTAAGCCTCAATTGGTTTCACCAAGGTCACTGATCAGTTGCAGGGAAGCCAGTTCATGAAATCCCACATTTTGACTTCTCAAGATATTCACTTGACCTTGAAAACATTCTTGTTGATGCCATGTGGGTAGAAAACAAATAAAATATTTGAACAAAATGTTTGCATCAGTGACTCCAAATTGACACAAACTCTAGGTTGTCAGGGATGAGAAAGCTCTCTAAGGCTCATTTTATTTAGTGCCTGCAGGGTTTTGTTATTCTCTGCTAAAGGATGACAAGTAGAATGTTAATCAAAGAACTGACATCCTTCAATTTACTCTTTTCTCACTTTTTACCACATTCCTCTTTCTCCCACAACTCCTATTACCACTCCCACCAGTGCCAAAGAAGTGTAAATGAAAGGTTTCACAGTTTTTACATGAATAATGTGGGGGCAGATACTGTTACTTTCATCAACCACATTACAGCAAAGTCAAATTGTGTGCCCTTTTATGTTAAATTTTGAACTTTTTAACACAAGAAAAAATCATTTTGATAAAGGTTAATGCCTCCTTAATATTTATACACTTGAATCATATTGAAAATGCTTTTAAAATTCTGAAATCTTGAATTAATATGACAATGTGCAAAGACTGTGTGACACCATTTGTAATTCATTAGCTTGTATTTTACAATATATTAGCATCAAATGTGAAATACTCTGTCATGGTCCTGGCAAGCCTGTGAGTTTCATCTTAGTCTGTTGTCTAGAACTTTAAGATTTTGACATGGATGTCCAGAGACAATTCCAAATGATTCTTGCAGATCAGGAATAAGTTAATTTATCTGGAAACTTGCTAGGTATAATTCATTACCTTGAGAAACATGCTTACCTAGCAGCCATCCAGCATATGTTTGTCTAGTTTAGAGCAGATTTTGAACACCAGACTGCCATAATGTGAATGAATTGTGACATGATCCTGGTAAATTGCGGACAGCATCTGCTGTACTGCACCTGGCACGTGTCCTTCTCCCATAGTGAGTCTGCAGATGATTAACGGTCCTTAAAATTCACATTATTTTGAAATAATGCCTGGATAACCCCACATGCATCGTTAACAGCTCCTGGAACAGATGGAAATCTAACAGTGTCATAGATTTCATAAGTTTGTTTTTTGCTGATGTTAAAACCCTCTGGAATATTTATTTTAATGACCTGTTCTTCTGGGAATCTGAAAAGTAATCTCTGACTGACAGACACACACAGTGTCTGAAATGTAGTAATTTAATGGCTAAATTTAGTTTGACTATCCCTTCAACTATTTAAGTCTTAGTTATTAAAAAATTCCCAAATCGTCAGACATCCTTTGACATCATAGAGCATTCAGAGTTCCTCTGAGCTTGAATACTTTTGTAGGGAGCATAGCACAGAGTTTATGTTTAAAAATATTTATAAGGATGTTTCTGGTTTTATTAATAAAGAGAAAGCTGAACTGTCTGAATTTTAGAATTGACGGAGTTGCTTCATGTTTATTATTAATCTCTGTGACTGATCTAGAGCTGTACTATATTTTTGACCCATTGTGTAGTGTGTACACTCAAGTATATGTCTGTGTGTGTGTGCACATGTGTACAGATCTTTATGGGACAAGGCAAACACATTAGTGAAAGCCCAAGCATGGCCTTGTCTTTGTGATCATTATTGTCTGCACAATTCAACTTGGTTTTGCTTCCTCCTTCAAGCATTGACAGACAACTTTGCTCTCAGCCTCATCCTGCCACGCTGCTTCATCGCTCCAGTACCGTGTCAGGAAGTGCTAATTTCTCCCTCCCCATGTATGGTAATAAAACAGTAGCTTTTAGCTAGATACACCGTTGTTCATGCAAAAATTCCATTTTCCAGTCTTCTTGCAGCTACATGTGGTCAAATTACCTCATTTAGAGAATAAGACATAAATGGAATTTCATGGAGTGCATGCACTGTCCCTCTTGGACCCTTTCCATAACCTGCTGCCTGGAACACACCAGCTCAACACCTTGGGCTCCAGCAGCCATCTTGTGCAAATGTTGAGTGAGGTCCACACAGTAAACAAGAAGGAGCCTGGTTCTCTGACAACTAGGGGACCTCACGAGTCTGCCTATCTTTTGTTGTTTCATTTTTCTTGAAGCTTTATTCTGTACACAGATAGTCTCTAGAGCAATATTTTCTAAATGATACGCAGCTTCTTAATGCCTTTCTCTGACTAGATGTAATTGTTCCAGCCTCAAATTACCCAAATGGATTCCTATGTATTCTGAACCTACCTTGGCACTGCTCTTAACACCGGTCATGCTTTTTGATTTTTCTAAGAGAATACAGGGTAGTCTATCCGTATTCTTTCTATGTTTAAACACTATTTATAGGAATTCTAAAAGTTGTAAAATATGCCACATCAGTATTGAGGAAATTTGGTGCAATGAAGTTATCTTACAGATCACTGAACCTGCCCATATCATTTTACAGATGAAAGAAATGGGACTCAGAGGATAAGTGATTTAACCAGTGTCACACCATTGGTTTGGCAGAATTTGGGGTCCTAGGCCTTCTGGTGCTTTTTCGAACATTGTACCATTACTCCACATTGTTCCATATCTCATTTACCACACACTGCCTAGGTCTTCCTCTCATGGCCTGAACTATCATCTCCTTTGAGACTTTGAGGGGCCAGAAAATTCATGCTATAACCTTTTGCCCTTGCACATTAGCCATGTGATCCATATAATGATGAGGCAGTTATAATCAAATTCCAGGAAATATGAAAGTGCCATTGAAAAATGTCAGGAGATTTTAACAGATCCTGTGCTTGATGGGAACAAGTGTTCTTCTTGAATCTTGTACAACAACTCATTTTCATCAAAGAACAAATAATCCTACCACTGCAGTAGTTGAAATGAAAACAGAGAGAGGAAGCCATGATAAAAGAGTGACAATAAGTCCTTGTAGATGGCTGTTAAACATCATCCAGATAATTCTGGTATTCTATTTTTCTATCACAAGGTTTTTCTTTTCTCTTCCTTTTAGTAATCCCTTTTCTGAAGCTGTTCAAACCTCATTAAGTTGTCATGTTGTCATGGTAGCCTCATCTCGAAATGTGAATTAACTATATACTGACCTGAAGGAAAATGATTTTCTTATGAAGTTATATGCCAATACTGCTAGAGAAGAGATATACACTATTTTGAAAACTCTCAGCAATAAAATTCTGTTAATCGTGGTGCTGTAAAGCTTTGAAGTATATCTTTATGTTAATGTTGAGAATATTTTTTAAATTCTAAATGGCTTTTTTCAACTGTA
Source organism: Homo sapiens (assembly GCF_000001405.40). Classification (NCBI taxonomy): domain Eukaryota; kingdom Metazoa; phylum Chordata; class Mammalia; order Primates; family Hominidae; genus Homo; species Homo sapiens. The sequence goes on from NC_000011.10 coordinate 93,298,713, forward strand.
GCAATTTCACTGGAATGCTAGAGTTCTACAGTAGTGACTATCATCCTTTAATTAAGTTGGTTTTCAGAGTTAGGTATACAGGGATATATGTTCTAGTTTGGTGTACCATAAAACATATTTTGGGCTTTTTTCACTTAAGTTCAGAAACGCAAGGGCAGGCCTGTAAAGGATTATTTCCTCTTAGGCCAAGAATGGCAAATGGTTTTCTTCTGAGGACCCAAATCTTATATGCCTAAAACTGGATTCTGGGAAGTATTGAGTCTGTCTCCAGGCTCCAGAGAGAGAGAGTTCTTATCAATTAGTAATGTCTCCCACAGAGAAAAAAAAACAGTGAGGTAGCACCCATGTGGCGCATTTACTCTCACCAAAAGATTGTCCTCATTGTCCCTTTGTTTTCTTTCTTTTTGTTTCAATTTTAAATTTTATAAGACATATATAAATACATATATATCTTTTTGACTATATATATATATAGTCCTCATTGTCCCTTTGTTTTCTTTCTTTTTGTTTCAATTTTAAATTTTATAAGACATATATAAATATATATATATATATCTCTTTTTGACTATATATATATTTTTTATATATATATAGTCATGTGTGTGTGTGTGTCTGTGTGTGTGTGTATGTGCAGGCAAAAATACTCAATTTCTTATAGACCTGGCCTTGCATTTCTGAACATATGTGTGTGTGTGTGTGTGTGTGTGTATACATATGTAGTTAGTCAAATAGTTTTAAAAGGCTTATAATGAAAACCAGTAGTTACCTGATCTACCTTCCCTGCCCCACATTTTCACTCCCAAAGGTAACCATTTTGAAGTTTTTTTTTTTTTTTGAGACAGAGTCTCACTCTGTCACCCAGGCTAGAGTGTAGCGGTGTAATGTCACCTCACTGCAACCTCCACCTCTCAGGTTCAAGTGATCCTCCCACCTCAGCCTCCAGAGTAGCTGGGACCACAGGCATGTGCCACCACACCTGGCTAATTTTTGTATTTTTTTTTTGTAGAGATGGGATTTTGCCATGTTGCCCAGCTTGGTCTCAAACTCCTGAGCTCAAGCATTCCACCCACCTCAGCCTCCCAAAATGCTGGGATTACAGGCGTGCCATGGCACAGAAGTTCTTTGGCTATGCTTTTGGTATTTGTCACTGTACTACTCAGGGTTGTCAGTTGCAAACTACAAAACTGACAATGAATATTATGTAGTTCATGTTGATGCTAAACTTCCAAGAACAATGGTTAAAAATGTGGGGCAGAACTGTCCTAAAAAAAGAAACAAATTCTACCACTACTTTCCCTGCTAATGCTGTTAGGTTGGTGCAAAAGTAATTGCGGTCTTTTTCATTAAAAGTAAAAACTGCAATTATTTTTGCACCAACCCATGGTTGCCCTCCAAAGCAGAATGATTCTGTCCAGCCCACATCAGCAAAACGTTTTCCATGCAGGGCCACCTTTCTCAAGTTGTTCACTTCTGTGTAAAAATCTCATGTGCGTGAGTCTGGTAGTAAGGCCTAGGTCACAGGTGTCTGTGCTAGCTGCAAATGACACTGCAGAACAGAATTTTCTGGGTTAATTTTGGGAAGACAAGACTCATACATCAGAAAGTTCCCCAAATATAATAAGATGTTGTTTAGACAGGGCCAGAGCAAGATGGCCAAATAGAACCCTCCAGCAATCATCCCCTCCCCATCCCCGCAGGAACAACTATTCATAGAAAATTTTGATTCTTTCATTAGAATCAAAAATCAGGTGAGTGATCACAGTATCTGGTTTTAACATCAAGGAAAGAGGCAGAGAATGTGTGTGCTTTGGGGAGAAAGAGCAAAACGATTATGGAACTTTGCATTGGAATTCAGTGCTGCTCTGTCACAGTGGAAAGCAATGCAGGTAAGAATTTGACTGATGCACATGGAGGGAGCATTTAGACTAGCGAGGGCTAGTCTAATTGCCCTCCAGAGGAGTTGTCCATCCAGGCAAGAGAGAGAGAGAGGGAGAGATTATGGTAGAAAATTTATACAAAGAGATAATAACAGAAAACTTTCCAAACCTAGAAAAATATATCAATATTCCAACACAAGAAGGTTATAGAACGTCAAGCAGATTTAACCCAAAAGAAGACTACCTCAGACATTTAATAATCAAACTCTCAAAGATCAAAAATAAAGAAAGAATCTTAAAAGCAGCAAGAGGAAATAAACGAATAACATATAAAGGAACTCCAAACTGTTTGGCAGTAGACTTCTCGGTGGAAACCTTACAGGCCAGGAGAGAGTGGCATGACCTACTTAAAATGCCGAGGGAAAAAAATCCTTTATCCTAGAATATTATATCCAGTGAAAATATTCCTTAAACATGAAGGGGAAATAAAGACTTTTCCAGACATACAAAATTGGAAGGATTTTGTCAGCTGAAGAGAGTTCTTCAATCTGAAAGAAAAAGACATTAACAAGTGTTAAGAAAACATCTGACAGTAAAAAAAAAAAAAGAAAGAAAGAAAAGAAAAGAAAAAACACTCACTGGCAATAGTATGTACTCAGAAAAACACAGACTATTAAAACATTGTAATTATGGTGTGTAAACTACTCATATCTTGAGTAGAAAGACTAAAAATGAACCTATCAAAAATAATAATCACCAGCAACTTGTCAAGACATAGTATAGAAATAACAAAAAGTTAAGAAGTAGAGGGTTGAAGTTAAAGTGTAGAGTTTTTATTATTAATTTTTCCTTTGCTTGTTTGTGTGTTTGTTTTTCCAATCAGAGTTAAGTTGTCATCAGTTTAAAATAATGGGTTATAAGATGTTATTTGCAAGGCTTGTGGTACTAAGCAATACTAAGAGGAAAGTTTATAGCAGTAAATGCCTACCCCAAAAAAGTAGAAAAGCTTTAAATAAACAATCTAAAAATGCATCTTAAAGAAATAGAAAAGCAAGAGCAAAACAAACCCAACATTAGTACAAGAAAAGAAATAATAAATATCAGAGCAGAAATAAATGAAATTGAAATGGAAAAAATACAAAAAAATCAATGAAACCAAAAGTTGGTTTTTTTTGAAAAGATACACAAAATCAATGAACCTTTTAGCCAGACTAAGAAAAAGAGACCTAACTAAATAATATCAGATAAGAAAAAGGAAACATTACAGCTGATACCACAGAAATTCAAAGGGTTATTAGAGACTACTATAAGCAATATATGCCAATAAACTGGAAAACTTAGAAGAAATTGATAAACTCCAAAACATATACAACCTACCAAGATTGAACCGTGAAGAAATACAAAATACCAAACTTGAATAGATCAATAACAAGGAATGAGATTGAAGCTATAATAAAAAGTCTCCCAGCAAAGACAAGCCTGGGCTCCAATGGCTTCACTGCTGAATTCTACCAAACATTTAAAGAACGAATGCCAATGCTACTCAAACTATTCCAAAAAACGGAGGAGGAGGAGGGAGTACTTCCAAACTCACTCTACAAGGCCAGTGTTACCCTGATACCAAAACCAGACAGAAACACATCAAAAAAGGAAAACTACAGGCCAATATGTCTGATGAGCATTGTTGCAAAAATCCTCAATACTAGCAAACTGAATTCAACAACAGATTAAAAAGATCATTCATCATGAATGGCCAAATGGAATTTATCCCAGAGACGCAATAATGGTTTAACATTTGCAAATCAATTAATGTGATACATTCCATCGACAGAATGAAGAACAAAAACGATTTGATCATTTCAATTGATGCTGGAAAGGCATTTGATAAAATTTAACATTCATTCATGATTTTAAAAAAACCCTTAAAAAACTGGGTATGGAAGGAACATACCTCAACACAATGAAAGCCACATATGAAAATCTATAGCTAGTATCATACTGAGTGGGGAAAAACTGAAAAACCTTTCCTCTAACATTTGGAACATGACAAGGATGTCCACTTTTACCACTGTTATTCAACACAGTACTGGAAGTCTCGGCTAGAGCAATTGGACAAGAGAAAGAAATAAATGGCATTCAAATTGGAAAAAAAGAAGTCAAATTATCCTGTTTGTAGATGATATGATCTTGTATTTGGAAAAACCTAAAGACTCCACATGCACACTCACAAAAAAACTATTAGAACTGATAAATTCAGTAAAGTTGTAGGATACTAAATCAAGATACAAAAATCAGTAGCATTTGTATATGCCAATGGTGAACAACCTGAAAAAGAAATAAAAAAAGTAATCCCATTTACAATAGCTACAAATAAAATAAAATACCTAGGAATAAACTTAACCGAAGTAAAATCTCTCTACAATGAAAACTAAATGTTGGGGCCATGATGGCTGATTAGAAGCAGCTAAAGTGTGTGGCACTCAACAGAGCAGAACGAAAGGGGTGGGTAAATACAGCACCTTCAACTGAAACATCCAGGTATTCACATTGGGACTGATCAGGGAAACAGCTTAACCCATGGAGAATGGAGAAAAGCAGGACAGGGCAGCAGCCCACCTGGGAGCAACACAGACCCAAGGGAACCCCCACCCCCAGCCAAGGGAAGTGATGAGTGAATGTGCAACACCAGAAACCCCGCTTCTCCCGTGGATCTTTGCAACCCTTGGATTAGGACTCCCCTCGTGTACCCACTCCACCAGGGCCTTGGGTCTGATACACAGAACTGTGTGGAGTCTCAGCAGAGCAGCTGCTCAGGTACACACGGAGACCCAGGAGCTTTACATACTCCACCCCAGGATCCCCTGCAAAGGTGACTGCAACTCAGGCAAGGTGGGAGATCTGTACATACATCTAGGAAGGGGGCTGAATCCAAGGGGCCAAGCAGCATCAGCTTACAGGTCCTTCTTCTATGGCACCTCACAAGATGAGACCAACTGACTTGGAATTCCAGCCAGCCACCGGCAACAGGGTACTGCCTACCTGTGACAGGATAGAGCTCCCAGGGGAAGGGGTGGGCCACCATCTTTGCTGTTCCAGCCTGCAGGCTTTGGAGAGTCCAAATGGACTGGACAAGAAGGGGATCCCCCAGCACAGCACAGCTGCTTTACCAAAACATGGGCAGACTGCTTCTTTAAGTGGTATCCCAATCCATTCCTCCCCACTGAGTGGGACCTCCCAACTGGGGCCTCCAGCCACCCCCGCCCATATCCTGTGGCTGACAGAGTTCTGATTTCTCATGGGACAGAGTGCCCAGTGGGAGGGGTGGGCCACCACCTTTGCTGTTTAGGCTACTTAGCTGTTCCAGCCTGCAGGCTTTGGAGAGTCCAGACCAAATGGGGCAGAGGCGGTACCCCAGCACAGCATGGCTGCTTTGCCGAGGTATGGCCAAACTGCTTCTTTAAATAGGACCCCAGTCTATTCCTCCTCACTGGGCAGGATCTCCTACCTGGGGTCTCCAGCCACCGCTGCCCATGTCTCCAGCGACCCCTGCCCCTACAGCTGATGGAGTTCTAATTTCTCCCTGGGACAGAGTGCAAAGCTTGAAGGGATCCCCCAACACAGCACAGTTGCTCTACCAAAAAGCAGCCAGACTGCTTCTTTCTTTTCTTTTTCTTCTTCTTTATTCTTTTTAAATTTTTTAATTTTTTTATTTTGAGACGGAGTCTCACTCTGCTGCCCAGGCTGGGGTGCAGTGGCATGATCTCAGCTCACTGCAGCCTCTACCTCCCCAGCTCAAGCGATTCTTATGCCTCAGCCTCCCAGGCAGTTAGGAATACAGGTGCACACCACCATGCCCAGCTAATTTTTTTTTTTTTTTGTATTTTTAGTAGAGATGAGGTTTCACCATGTTGGTCGGGCTATCTCAAACCCCTGAGCTCAGGTGATCTGCCCACCTTGGCCTTTCAAAGTGCTGGGATTACAGGCATGAGCTACTGTGCCCAGCCAGACTGCTTCTTTAAGCAAGTCCCTGATCCCATTATTCATGACTGGGTGAGATGTCTTCCCAACTGGGGTCTCCAGCCATCTTCTATGAGTGTATTTGGGCCAGCAACAGGTCTGTACTCCCCTGGGAGGGAATTCCCAGAGCAAGGGCCAGGCTGCCATCTTTGCTATTTTATAGTCTTCACTGGTGATACCTTTAGGCACTGGAAAATCCAACATGACTAGGGTCTGGAGCAGACCCCCAGCAAACCTCAGTGGCCCTGTGGAAAAGTGGTCAGAATGTTAAAAGAAAAACAAACAAAAACCCACAAAAAAACCCCATCCAAAGGTTAGCAACCTCAATGATCAAAGGTAGATAAGCCCATAAAGATGATAAAGAATCAGCACAAAAATTCTGAAAATTCAAAAAGCCAGAGTGCTCTCTTTCCTCCAAATGACCACAATACCTCTCCAGCAAAGGTTCAGAACTGGCCTGAGAATGAAATGGCTGAAGTGACAGAAGTAGGCTTCAGAGTGTAGATTAAAAAAATGAAATGAATTTTGCTGAGGTAAAGCAGCATGTCATAACCCAATGCAAGGAAGCCAAAAATCATGACAAAACAATGCAGGCGCTGACAGCCAAAATAGCTTGAAGATTGTCTTTCTGAAATAAGACAGACAAGAATAGACAAAAAAGAATGAAGAGAAATGAACAAAACCTCCGAGATATATGGGATTATGTAAAGAGACCAAATTTATGACTGATTGTTGTACCTGAAAGAGGCAGAAATAATGGAACCAATATGGAAAACATATTTCAGGATATCATCCAGAAGAACTTCCCTAACCTAGCAAGACAGGCCAACATTCAAATTCAGGAAATGCAGAGAACCCCAGTAAGATACTCTATGGGAAGATTATCCCCAAACCACATAATCATCAGATTCCCCAAGGTTGGAATGAAAGAAAAAATGTTAAGGGCAGCCAGAGAGAAAGGCCAGGTCACCTACAAAGAGAATCCCATCAGACTAACAGCAAACCTCTCACCAGAAACCCTACAAGCCAGAAGAGAGAGGGGGCCAATATTCAACATTCTTAAGGAAAAGAAATTCCAACCCAGAATTTGATATATAGCCAAACTAAGCTTTATAAGCAAAGGAAAAATAAAATCCTTTTCAGACAAGCAAATGCTGAGGGAATTCATTAACACCAGACCTGCCTTATGAGAGCTCCTGAAGGAAGCATGAAATATGGAAAGAAAAAACCATTACCAGCCACTACAAAAACACACCAAAGAACACAAACCAGTGGCACTATGCAACAACCACATAAACAAGTCTGCAAAGTAGCCAGCTAGCATCATCATGACAGGAAAAAATCCACACATAATAATACTAACCTTAAATGTACATGGGCTGAATGCCCCAATTAAAAGATACAGAGTGGTAAACTGGATAAAGAATCAAGACCCATTACTATGCTGTCTTTAAGAGACCCATCTCACATGCAAAGACACACATAGGCTCAAAATAAAGGGAGAGAGAAAATTTTCCTGAGAAAATGGAAAATAGAAAAAACCAGGGGTTGTAATCCTCAGTTCTGACCAAACAGACTTGAAACCAACAGAGATCAAAAAAGACAAACAGGGGCATTACATAATGGTAAAAGGTTCAGGTCAACAAGAAGAGATAACTATCCTAAATATACATGCATCCAACACAGGAGAACCCCAGATTCATAAAGCAAGTTCTTAGAGACCTTTAAAGTGTCTTAGATTCCCACACAATAATAGTGGGAGACTAACACTTCACTGACAATATTAGACAGACCGTTGAGACAGAAAATTAACAAAGATATTCAGGACTTGAACTCAGTTCTGGATGAAGCAGACCTGAAAGATATCTACAGGACTTTCCACCAAAAACAACAGAATGTACATTCTTGTCATCTTCAGGGCACTTACTCAAAAATTGATCACATAATCAGAAATAAAACACTCCTCAGCAAATACAATACAACTGAAATCATAACAATCTCTCAGACCATAGTGCAATCAAATTAGAACTCTAGACTAAGAAATTCACTCAACGCCATACAACTACATGGAAATTGAACAACCTGCTCCGGAATGACTCCTGAGTAAATAATGAAATTAAGGCAGAAATCAAGATGTTATTTGAAACTAATGAAGCAAAGACACAGTGTACCAGAATCTCTGGGACAGAGCTAAGGCAGTGTTAAGAGGGAAACTTATAGCACTAAATGCCCACATCAAAAAGCTAGAAAGATCTCAAGTTAACAACCTGACATCTCATCTAAAAGAACTAGAGAACCAAGAGCAAAACAAACCCCAAAGCTAGCAGAAGACAAGAAATAACCAAGATTAGAGCTCAACTAAAGGATATAGAGATACTAAAAACCTTTCAAAAGATCATTGAATATAGAGGGTTTTTTCTGAAAAAAAAAATTAGCAAAATAGATCATTAGCTAGACTAATAAAGAAGAAAAAAGAGAAGATTCAAATAAACACAATGATAAATGATAAGGTGGATATTGCTACTGACCCCACAGAAATAAAAATAACCATCAGAGAATATTATAAACACCTCTATGCATATAAACTAGAAAATCTAGATGAACTGAATGAAATCCTGGACACTCATACTCTCCCAAGACTAAACCAGGAAGAAATTGAATGCCTGAACGGATGAATAACAAGTTCTGAAATTGCAGCAGTAATAAATAGTCTACCAACCAAAAAAATCCCTGGACCAGGATTCACAGCCAAATTCTGCCAGATGTCCAAAGAAGAGCTGGTACCTCTGGGAAAATTCAGCTGTGAATTTGTCTGGTCCTGGATTTCTTTTTTCATTCCTACTGAAATTATTCCAAAAGTTTGAAAAGGAGGGACTCCTCCCTAATTCATTCTATGAGGCCAGCATCATTCTGATGCCAAAATCTGGCAGAGATACAACCAAAAAAGAAAACTTTAGGCCAGTATTTTTGATGAACATCAGTGCAAAAATTCTCAACAAAATACTGGCAAACCAAAGCCAGCAGCTTATCCACCATGATCAAGCAGGCTTCATCCCCAGGATGCAAGGTTGGTTCAACATATGCAAATCAATAAATGTGATTCACCACATAAACAGAACTAAAGACAAAAGCCACATGATTATCTCAATAGATGCAGAAAAGGCTTTTGATAAAATTCAACATCCCTTCATGTTATAAACTCTCAATAAACTAGATATTGAAAGAATATACCTCAAAATAATAAGAGCCTTATATGACAGTCCACAGCCAATATTATACTGAGTGGGCAAAAGCTGGAAGCATTCCCCTTGAAAACTGGAATAAGACAAGGATTCCCTCTCTTACCACTCGTATTCAACATAGTATTGGAAGTTCTGGCCAGGGCAATTAGACAAGAGAAATAAAGCCTATTGAAATAAGAATACAGGAAGTCAAACTATTTTTGTTTGCCAATGACATGATCCTATATCCAGCAAATCCCATTGTCTCAGCCCTAAAACTTCTTAAGCTAACAAGCAACATCAGCAAAGTCTCAGGATGCAAAATCCATGTGCAAAAATTGCTAGCATTCCTATACACCAACAATAGGCAAACTGAGAGCCAAATCCTGAATAAACTGCCATTCACAATTGCCACAAAAATAATAAGATACCTAGGAATACAGCTAACAAGAGAAGTGAAAGACCTCTTCAAGGAGAACTACAAACCACTGCTCAAAGAACTCAGAGATGACACAAACAAATGGAAAAACATTCCATGATCATGGATATGGAGAATCAATATCATGAAAATGGCCATACTGCCCAAAGCAATTTATAGATTCAATGCTATCCTCATTAAATCGCCATTGACATTCTTCACAAAACCAGAAAAACAACTATTTTAAAATTCATATGGAATCAAAAAAGAGCCCAAATAACCAAGGCAATACTAAGCAAAAAGAACAAAGCTGGAGGCATCACATTACTTGACTTCAAACTATGCTACAGGGCTACAGTAAACAAAACAGCATGGTACTGATACAAGAACAGACACACAGACCAATGGAACAGAATACAGAACCCAGAAATAAAACCACACACCTACAATTATCTGATCTTTGACAAACCTGACAAAAACAGGCAATGGGAAAAGGATTCTCTATTTAATAAATGGTGCTGGGAAAACTGGCTAGCCATACGCAGAAAATTAAAACCGGACCCCTTCCTTATACTGTATACAAAAGTTAACTCAAGATGGATTAAAGACTTAAATGTAAAACCCAAAACTATAAAAACCCTATAAGAAAACCTAGGCAATACCATTCTATACATAAGAATGGGGAAATGTTTCATGACAAAGACACAAAAAGCAATTGCAATAAAAGCAAAAATTGAAAAATGAGATCTAATTAAACCGAAGAGCTTCTGCACAGCAAAAGAAACTATCAACAGAGTAAACAGACAGCCTACAAAATGGGAGAAAGTTTTTGCAATCAATGCATCTGACAAAGGTCTAATATATTCATCATCTATAAGCAACTTAAACAAATTTACAAGAAAAAAAACAACTCCATTTAAAAGTGGGCAAAGGACGTGAACAGACACTTTCACGGGGCCAAAAATCATATTGAAAAAAGCTTAACATCACTGATTATTAGAGAAATGCAAATCAAAACCACAATTAGATACCATTTCACACCAGTCACAATGGGTATTATTAAAAAGTCAAAAAATTAAAGATGGTGGTGATGTTGTGGAGAAAAGGGAACACTTTTACACTGTTGGTGGGAGTATAAATTAGTTCAACCATTGTGGAAGACAATGTGGGGATTCCTTAAAGACCTGAAAACAGAAATACCATTTGACCCAGCAATTCCATTACTGGGTATATACCCAAAGAAATATAAATCATTCTATTGTAAAGACACATGCATGCCTATGTTCATTGCAGAACTATTCACAGTAGCAAAGACATGTAATCAACCTAAATGCCCATCGATGATAGATTAGACTTAAAAAATGTGGTACATATACATGATGAAGTACTATGCAGTCATAAAAAGAAATGAGATCATGTCCTTTTCAGGGACATGGATGGAACTGGAGGCCATTATCCTTAGCAAACTACCCACAGGAACAGAAAACCAAATACTGCATATTCTCACTTATAAGTGGGAGCTAAATGATGAGAACACATGAATACATAGAGGGGAACAACACACACAGGGTCCTATCAAAGGGGGGAGGGTAGGAGGAGGGAGAGAATCAGGAAAAATAACTAATGACTACTAGGGTTAATACCTGGGTGATGAAATAATCTGTACAACAAACACCCATGACACACGTTTACCTATGTAACAAACCTGAATATCCTGCACACGTGCCCCCGAATAAATAAACCCTTTGAACATTATTTGCTTAGAGACAACTTGAAAGAAATTTGTGAAAATTGTGTAAGTTTTTTTGTTTTTTGTTTTCTGGTTTTTTTTGTTTGTTTGTTTTTGTTTTTTGTTTTTTTTTTGAGATGGAGTTTCGCTCTTGTTGCCCAGGCTGGAGTGCAATGGTGCAATCTCAGCTCACTGCAACCTCCGCCTCCCAGGTTCAAGTGATTCTCCTGCCTCAGCCTCCTGAGTACCTGGGATTACAGGCATGTGCCATCGCGCCTGGCTAATTTTGTATTTTTAGTAGAGATGGGGTTTCTCCATGTTGGTCAGGCTGGTCTCAAACTCCCAACCTCAGGTGATCCACTTGCCTCAGCCTCCCAAAGTGCTGGGATTACAGGCATGAGCCACCGTGCCCAGCTGAAAATTGTGTAAGTTTTTAAAAGATCATTTACCTTGATTAGAAGAAACACATAAAAGCATTTCAGAATATTCTGTTTTTAAATAAAAATTCAAAAGTGAAAAAAAGAAAACTATAAAACACTGATGCAAGAAGTTGAAGAGGACACCAAAAAATGGAAAGGTATTCCATCTTCGTGGATTGGAAGAATCAATATTGTTAAAATGTCCATACTACACATAACAATCTACAGATTCAATGCAATCCCTATCAAAATACCAAAGACATTCATCACAGCAATAGAACAAAATGATCTTAAAATTTATATAGAACAAAAGACCCAGAGTAGCCAAAACTACCCTGAGCAAAAAGAACAAAACTGGAGAAATCCTACTGCCTGACTTCAAATTATGTTCCAGAGCTATAGTAACCAAAACAGCATGTAGTGGCATAAAAACAGGTACATAGGCCAAAGGAACAGAATAGAGAATCCAGAAATAAACCCACACATCCACAGTAAACTCATTTTTGACAAAGGTGCCAAGAACATATGTTGAGGAAAGGATAGTCCCTTCAATAAATGGTGCTGGGAAAACTGGATATCCATATGTAGAAGAATGAATCTAGACCCCTATTTCTCACCATATACAAAAATGAAATCAAACTGGATTAAAGACAAATCTAAGACCTCAAACTATGAAACTACTAAAAGAAAACCTTGGGGAAACTCTTCAGGGCATTGAACTGGGCAAAGATTTCTTGAGTAATACCCCATAAGCATAGGCAACCAAAGCAGAAATGGACAAATGAGATCACATCAAGTTAAAAGTCTTGGCCGGGCATGGTGGCTCACGCCTGTAATCCCAGCACTTTGGGAGTCTGAGGCAGGCAAATGACGAGGTCAGGAGATTGAGACCATCCTGGCTAACATGGTGAAACCCCATCTCTACTAAAAATACAAAAAAAAAAAATTAGCTGGGTGTGGTGGCACATGCCTGTAGTCCCAGCTACTCAGGAGGCTGAGGCAGGAGAATCGCTTGAACCCGGGAGGCAGAGGTTGCAATGAGCCAATATGCACCACTGCACTCCAGCCTGGGTGACAGAGTGAGACTCCATTTCAAAAAGAAAAAAAATAATATTTTGCACAGCAAAGGAAACAATTAACAAAGAAGAGACAACCACAGAATGGGAGAATATTTGCAAACTACCAATTTGACAAGAAACTAATAGCCAGAATATAGGTTACTATAGCTCTGTAGCATAATTTGAAGTCAGTTAATGTGATTCCTCCAGTTTTGAACAACTTAATAGGGAAAAAATGTAATGATCCAATTAAGAATGGGCAAAAGATCTGAATAGACATTTCTCAAAAGAAGACATACAAATGGCAAACAGGTATATGAAAAAGTGCTCAACATCATTAATCATCAGAGAAATGCACACCAAAACTACAATGAGATAGCATCTCTCTCCAGTTAAAATGGCTTTTATCCAAAGGACAGAGAATAACAAATCCTGGTGAAAATGTGGAGAAAAGGGAACCCTTGTACACTGTTGATGGTAATGTAAATTAGTACAACCACTGTCTAGAACAGTTTGGAGGTTCCTCAAAAAAACTAAAAATGGAGCTACCATGAGATCCAGCAATCCCACTGCCAGCTACGTACCCTAAAGAAAGGAAATCAGGATATCAAAGAGATGCCTGTAATCTCATGATTATTGCAGCAGTATTCACAATAGCCAAGATTTGGAAGCAACCTAAGTGTCCATCAACAGACAAATGGATAAAGAAAATGCAGCACATATACACAGTGGAGTACTGTTCAGCCATAAAAAAGAATGAGATCCTGTCATTTGCAACAACATAGGTGGAACTGGAGGTCATTATGTTAAGTAAAATAAGCCAGGCACAGAAAGACAAACTTCACATGTTCTCACTCATTTGTAGGAACTAAAAATTGAAAGAATTGCACTCGTGGAGATAAAAAATAGAATGATGGTTACCAGAGGCTAGGAAGGATAGTGGAGTGGGGAGAGAAAGTAGGATGGTTAATGGGCACAAAAATATAGTTGGATAGAATGAATAAGATCCAGGATTTGATAGCACAACAAAGCAACTACAGTTGACAATAATTTATTGTACATTTAAAAATAATGAAAAGAGTATAATTGTTCATAACACAAAGAAATAATAAATGCTTAAGGTGATGAAAACCCCATTTACACTAATGTGATTATTACACATTGTATACCTGCATTAAAATATCTCATATACCCCATAAATATATACACCTACTATGTACCCATAAAAATAAAAAATCATTGTTTAAAAAGGATGTTGTTTGAAAGATGCTGGACACCCTTAAAAGAAATGATGAATGCCTACCACAGCCTCCATGTTTTTAATAAACAAGCTTATTCTATACTTTTTTATTTTGCATTTCAGATATTGTCTAGGCACTCTTCACTGTTGAAGTTACATCATAACTTCCCTGAATACCCCCACAGGATTTTCACTCATCCACTTATACATAGCTACACCATATGTATTAGTCTATTCTCATGCTGCCAATAAAGACATACCCGAGACTGGGTAATTTATACAGGAAATAAGTTTAATTGACTCACAGTTCCACATGGTTGCATTGGGTAAATACGCTCATTCCAAATAGGAGAAATTGGCCAAAATGAAGGGGCTAAAGGTCACATGGGAGTCTGAAATCTAGCAGGGCAGTCAGATCTTAAAGCTTCAAAATGATTTCCTTTGACTCCATATCTCAAATCCAGGTCATGCTGATGCAAGAGGTGGACTCTCATGGCCTTGGGCAGCTCCACTTCTGTGGCTTTGCAGGGTACACTCCCCCGCTTCTGGCTGTCTTCACAGGTTGGCATTGAGTGTCTGTGGCTTTTCCAGGCACATGGTGCAAACTGTTGATGGATCTACCATTCTGGTACCTGGAGGACAGAGAGCCCCTTCTCACAGCTCTAGTAGGCAGTGCCCCAGTGGGGACTCTGTGTGGGGACTCCAACCCCACATTTCCCTTCTCCACTGCCTTAGCAGAGGTTCTCCAGGAGGCCCCATCCCTGCAGCAAACTTCTGTGTGCCCACAGGCTCAACACCATATGAAAGCTGTCAAGGCTGGACTTGCATCCTCCGAATCCATTGGCCCAAGGTGTACCATCATAGCTAGCCACAGCTGGAGTGGATGGGATGCAGGGGGAGCTGGACCCAGCCCACAAAACCATTTTTTCCTCCTAGGCCTCCCAGCTTGTGATGGAAAAGACTGCAGTGAAGACCTCTGATATGCCCTGCAGACATTTTCCCCATTGTCTTAGTGATTAACATTTGGCTCCTCATTACTTATGCAAATTTCTGCAGCCAGCTTGAATTTCTCCTCAGAAAATGGGTTTTGCTTTTCTATGGCATAGTCAGGCTGCAAATGTTCTGAACTTTTATGCTCTGCTTCCCTTTTAAATATAAGTTCCAATTCCAAGCCATATCTTTGTGAATATGTAAAACTGAATGCTTTTAACAGTACCCAAGTCAATTCTTGAACACTTCACTGCATAGAAATTTCTTTGGCCAGGTACCCTAAATCATCTCTCTCAAGTTAAAAGTTCCATAAATCTCTAGCTCATGCCTGTAACCCCAGCTCTTTAGGAGGCCGAGATGGGCAGATCATGAGGTCAAGAGATCAAGATCATCCTGGCCAACATGGTGAAACCCCGTCTCTACTAAGCATACAAAAATTAGCTGGGCATGGTGGTGCATACCTGTAGTCCCAGCTACTTGGGAGGCTGAGGCAGGAGAATCGCTTGAATCCAGGAGGTGGAGGTTGCAATGAGCTGAGATCGTGGTACTGCACTCCTGCCTGGCACAGAGTGAGACTCAGTCTCAAAAACAAAAACAAAACAAAAAGAAAAAAACAAGTTCCACAAATCTCTAGGGCAGGAGAAAACTGCTGCCAGTCTCTTTGCTAAACATAGCAAAAGTCACCTTTGTTCCAGTTTCCAATGAGTTCCTCATCTCCATATGAGACCACCTCAGCCTGGACTTTATTGCCCATATCACTATCAGCATTTTAGTCAAAGCCATTCAACAAGTCTCTAGGAAGTTCCAAACTTTCCCACATCTTCCTGTCTTCTTCTGTGCCCTCCAGACTGTTCCAACCTCTGCTTATTACCCAGTTCCAAAGTCACCTCTACATTTCTGGGTATCTTTACAGCAGCACCCCACTCCTGGTACCAATTTACTGTATTAGTCCATTATCATGCTGCTAATAAAGTCATACCTGAGACTAGGTAATTTATAAAGGAAAGAGGTTTAATCGACTCACAATTCCACATGGCTGGGGAGGCCTCATAATCATAGAAGAAGGCAAAGGAGGAGCAAAGTCACATCTTACATGGCAGCAGGCAAAGAGCTTGTGTAGGGGAACTCCTCTTTATAAAACTGTCAGAACTCATGAGACTTATTCACTATCACAAGAACAGCATGGGAAAGACCTGCCCCCATGATTCAATTACATCCTACTTGGTCCCTCCCATGACACATGAAAATTATGGGAGTTACAATTCAAGATGAGATTTGAGTAGGGACACAGCCAAACCACATCACCATATTTTCAGAGAGATTACTATTGCGGCTTACATTATTTTGTCTATGCAAAACTTATTTATCTGAGCCAAGTACTCTGTTAATTATATTCCTTTCTTGTATAATGTTATATGTTCCCTGGAATTAATAACCATCTTATTTTTTCCCATTTGATAGTTTTAATTAATGCATTCTAAATTTTATTAAAGAATTATAATCTCCACTCAAAACATCAAACATATTGAAGATTATGTCAATTTTACACATATTACTTCCTCCTTTCCTCCTGGAGGTTCTGTCCTCCTCTTCAGTCTGGGCCAGTTACATTCAAGGATGCAACACAGCTGTTGCCTTGGGAATCTTCTTTTGCTGTCATCCAGGGAATTCCCTTTGACTCTCTTGAGTGAGGTCCCTGTTCCTTGGATTCCATATCTTGCCCTTTCTTAGTTTACTCTTTACTTAATGAACACATCCTCCTTTAGCTTTCTGAGAAATGATGCATAGAATGTAAATTTGCTGGGATCTTGTTTGCCTGAAACTGTCCTTATTCTAACTTCACACTTTATTAGTTGTTAGGGTACAGATTAGAGGTTGGAAACAATCTTCTCTGAGAACTTTGAAGACATTGCTCCATTGTTCTGCAGTTTAACTTGCTTTAAGAAGTCTGACAATATTCTGATTTTCAATCCTTTGTATGTGAGTTTTTTAAAAAATCAGGATGCTTCTAGGGTCTGCATGTTCGCAGTGTTCCAAAATTTCATGATGATGTACTTCTGCATGAGTCTACTTTAACGTGGGATGCTGAGTAGTTCGTGGGGTTCATTCAGTCTGGAAATATGTCCTTTCATTCTGAAAAATATTAGATTATTTATTTGACAATTTCCCCCTCCATTTGCTCTGGTCTTTTTCTGGTATTGATATTATTCAAATGATAGACATGTAGACTTTATGTTTTCTCTGTTATTTTACATCTTCTTCTTGTTTTTGTTTCTTTTGTTTCTTGTCTACATTTTTAAGACATTTTCTTAATCCTTTCCATAGAACATTTAAATTTTTGTTTCTTGCATCACATTTTAAAATGTCTAAGACCTTTATTTTGTTTTTCAAATATTGACTTTTTCTAACTTTTTGTGTGTATGTCATGGATGTAACACCTTTTCTTATTTCCCTGATGATAGTTTTTTTTCTTCTACTTCCTACGTGATTTGTTTTGTTCATGTTACCTTTTTCTTTGTTTTGGCCTTTCTGATGTTAAAAGTTTTTCTGAAATCTCTTGTCATTCTTATTTTGGCTCATATTAAGAAAGAAGCCAAGCCAGGTGCAGTGGCATGCACCTATAATCCTAGCCACTTGCCTGGTTGAGGTGGGAGGACCACTTGAGCCCAGGATCACTTGAGACTGAAGGAAACAGAGATAGTACCAGTGAGATCCTCATTTCTGAAATAACAATTTTAAAAAATAACAACAATAAGGAGAGAGAAGCCTTACAGTTGTGTCTGTGTGAGAAAATAGGGCTTATTAAAGACTGGGCTTCACTGAAGAATAATTGACTCCCGTTTCATTGAAGGACTCCCCAACTGTCTACATTTTGTTTTGTTTTGTTTTGTTTTGCTTTGCTTTGCTCTTGGGCTGATCATTTTCTTTTTAGAGAAATCCACCAATCTCCTGCCTTTAAATATGGCTGCGAGAATTCTAAAGCTGAGCTATGGAAGAGATTGTTTAGAATAGAGACTTTCAGCTACTTTCCCTGTTTTTGGTATGGTATTCTTATTCTCCTCTCTACCTAATGCCCTAAGTCCAGAGTTCTCTGGCTTGACATCTCCAGAGAGTAAACCTCTAATTTTCTGCCAAGGTCAGAAAGAGAAAGTTGCCTGACTGGGGGTGGTGCTACAGAAAGGATCTGGGAAATAAACCGTGTCCTAAATAGATTTTAAATCAATCCTCTTGTTTTCTTCTCTACTTGTGTACCTTACATTCTGAAGTACCCGGTGCTTTCGACTTCCAAGATTGTTTTTGGAAATCCCTGACTTTCACCCTCGTGGGCTTCTATTTCAGCTTCTTCTGATCTGCAAAGGCAATTAACATGCATCAGCTTTCCAGCAGTCAAAATTATATTGTTGTTGTCCTCTCTTATGTTTTCTCTCTCTCTCTATCTCTCTGTCTCTTTCTGTCTCTTAAATGTGTGTGTGTACACACAGCCTTTACTGACACTGTAGTGGAGTTTCAGAAGGGAAGAGTAGGTAAAGCATGTTTCAGTCTGCCATGTTTCCATTTTAACCAGAAGTCCTTTGTTTTCTATTCTATCTTAAAATCTTGTCAACATTTACTCTGTAGTAAAGCAAATAGAACTGAAGTTATGTTTTTCATAATTTACATGGCTGATTTTATCTACTTTGAACAAATCAGATCTTCAGTAGTAACTAAATTATTTTTCTCTTGCACACTTGATTATTATCTTGAGACTTCTGGTGGATCATGCCCTCATGTCCATTGTCCTCCAATCTCAATTCAACATTTATAGCTGAGTAAACATTCTCCTCTTGGTAAGCACAGTTGTTAATTGTGTAAGCTACACATGCTTATTTTAGAAAGTTTTTAAAACATGGAAAAACACAAGTAGAAATTTTAAAATGCATAAATTAATATTCTATCAAAAGTAATATTTAAAACTCATTCTTCTTCTCTTATGTCTCACTAGGCTCATTCCAACTGCCTAACATATCTCTGTAAGAACTATCAACATTTCGGTCTGTAGGTTTCAAGAAATCTTTATGTTTTTACCCATGTATGCAAGGTTAGATTGCTTTCTCCCAAAACAGAATCATGTTATACATATAGATATAAAACTTGCTTTGTTTTTTTACATAATAATATATCAACGTTTTCTAGGTGAAAGGTTAGAACCTAACCCCCATCTCCTGAGTGTGGGCTGAACATTGTGACTCACTTCTAATAGACAGAATGTGGCAGAAGTTATAGTGTGTGACTTCTGAGACTAGATCATAAAAGACATTGCGGCTCAATCCTTGCTTTCTCTCCCAGATCACTCACTCTTGGGGGAGCCAACTTCCATGTCGTGAGACCATTCAAGCAGCCGTAAGGAAAGGCCAACATAGCAAGGAATGGAGGCTTCCCGTTAATAGCCAGTGAAGAACTGTGGCCCTTTGCCAATGTATATGTGAGTGAGCCATCTTGGAAGTGGGTCCTTGGGCCTCCTTCAAGCCTACAGATGACCGTAGCCCTTACTGACACATTGACTGTAATCTCATGAGAGACCCTGAGCCATAACCACCCACATAAGCTGCCCCCTGACACCTAACCCATAGAAACTGTGACATAATAAAAGGTGTTACAAGCTACTGTGTTTTGGAGTAATTTGTTACACAGCAGAAAATAACTGATACAGATTTGACACCCCAAAATAGGTGCTGTCATAATAAATACATAAAACTGTGGATGTGTCTTTGGAACTGGATGTGGGCAAAAGCTGTAAAGGCTTTAAGGGAGAGTATTAGAAAAAGCCTAATGAAACTGTTAATAGAAGCCTGATGGCTATAGGAAGGCTAAAGGTAAAAGCTAAAAGAAAAGTTAGAAAAAGTTTATTGGAACCTGAAGAAAAGGGATCCTTAGGATATAGTGGCAGAAATTTTGCAATACTATTACCTGTGGTAATGTGGAAAGTAGAAAATATATCCAATGAACTGAGTGATCTTCCCAAGGAGATAGCCAGGCAAAGTGCTGAATATTTCACCTGGTTTCTTCTTGATACTGAATGTGAGAGGAAGGAGATAAACTAAAAGAAGAATTGCTAAATGTGAGAAGCCATTACTTGATAGTTTTGAAAATCTCCACCATCTCTAGATGGCAAACAAACCTAAAATAAAGTCATGGCTTCCCAGCAAAAATCAAATTCAGGGCACTGATGGAAAGATATGTTCCAGAGATGAAGATGAGAGTGTGGCTGCAAAATACTTTGTTTACAACCTCAGAAAGATGTAAGATGGTGCCTCTGAGAACCACTCAGTGAAACAACAGAGCTTTGAACAAGCTTAAGGGTATTGTCCTTCCACAGTTCAGCAGAAGCCCAAAGTAGAGAATAACTTTCCTTGAAAATATTTTGGGGTATGACTTTTGTCTAATGAAGTGAGCTCAAATAAGGTTCATAGGGGATTCAGAAAGTTTCTAAGAATAATGATATTGACAGAAATGCCATCAGCTTAGACTGAAGGGAACAGAGATAGTACACAATGAAAAGAGGTATTTGAAATTCCAAAGTTTTCCTGAGAAAACGGCACAGCTCCAAAACAGTCTATCTTTCAAGAGGAAGGAAAGATTAATCAGAGGAGAGAACCAATAAACCAAAGGATACAGCCAAGAGCCATGGAGAACCATTCCTAGGAAGTTCCTTGAGTTAGAATCAAGAAACATTGAACATGTGCCTGGGTGGATTTCAGAATTGCTATGGACCAGTGATTGCTTTAGGCTTCCCATTTTTCCACTATTTGAACAGGATTGTCTACAGTTATCTTATGCATGTTGGATGAGTATGTGGGTAACTTGTCTCTTAAACCCACAGGCCTTGAGTTAAAAGGCACTGTACTCAAGGAGCTGCACTTAAAAAACACTAGAGAAGCCGCATTCACATTTAGGTCTGATTAAGATGGCAAATTTCTAGACTTTTAGCTGATGTTGTAAAAGATTAAGACCTGGCACTGGGAGTTGGTATGGAAGAGGGTGAATATATTTTCCATGTATGAAGAATGTAAATAATTTGTAGCCAGAGGACAAAGAGGAATAGTTTTAAAATATGTCCACAGATTATTCAACACTTCTCCCTCCAAAAACTGAAGCCTAATTTGCCACCTCTTGAGCTTAGACTGGATTTGGGGATTCAGTGCTAATTGACAGAATATTGTAGAAATGATATTGTGTGACTTCTGAGACTAGGTCATAAAAGGTATTGCAGCTTTCTTGTTTTTAATTAGTTTTTAAACTACAAATAAAAATTGTATGTATTTACCATGTACAACATGTTTTTAAATATGTATATATTGTAGAATGGCTAAATTAAGCTAATTAACATATGCATTACCTCACATACTTATTACTTATTATTTTTTTGTGGGGGCAGCATATATCTTTCTCTCTTTTACATGACTTTCTCTGCAAGAAGTCAGTTGCCATGGCATAAGTATGCTCAATTAGCCCTATAGAGAGGTCCATGTTGTAAGGGACTAAGGTCCTCTGCCAACAGACATGTGAGTGTAAATATAGGAATATACTATTCTGTTGCACTCCTCCTTCCCTTTTATGTGATTATAAACAATACTGCAGTAAACCTCTCTGGCTCCCTCTCTGTCCCTAAAGAGAAAATATATCATTATGTTCTAAAGATATCTTTAGATCTAAAGATATCTTTATGTTCCCATGATATTATTTCTGTAAGATAAATTCTTAGAATTGCTAGCTATGCACATTTTAAATTTAGATAAATATTTTCAAATTACTCAAATATTGCCAAAAATAATTGTAATAATTTACACACCTCCAAACAGTGGATGAGAGTATGCCTGTATCTTTGCCAATTTTAAATGTTACTAGTCTTTCTAATTTTTTGCAATCCTATAAGAGAAAGTATCTTATAATTTTATTAATTTATATTATTTAACTATTGGTGGCAGTGAACATCTTTTTGTATGTTTGTGGTTTGAAAAAAGTACTATAATTATTTAGATGAAATTCTCTTTGCATGCTCCTAACCCTTGATCTTTCTTCTTTCACAATGCCTAGCATATAGTTAATGTTACATAAATATGCAGTTTTGAATAAATGAATGAGTGAATATATAAAATTCAGACATGCAGAAAGTCTTCACTTAACCCCCTAGTTTTGACTTTTAACTGGGCAAAAATACTTTAGCAATCAATTAATTTAATTATCTTTTCACTTCCCCTTTATCACTATTCAATATATACCATTCAAGTGTCTTCTGGGTAAGCTCTTTATCGTTACAACTTGTTCTGGCTAATTTGTTTCTAAAGGAAGCCATATACTTATTCTCTCTGAATATTTTTTAAAACAACAGAATAGTTATATAATAAATAATAGTAATAATAGCAATAACAATAATGACGCTACCTGATAGGTGTGTTATATACATAACTGACCTAATTTAATCTTTACTACAGTCCTGTAAGTATTGCTATTCCCACTGTAGAAACAAGGGAACTAATTTTTGATGAGGGCAAATAAATTAGCCATACTCATTTAGCTATTAAAAGGCAGATTTGGGATTCAAATTCTTGTTGTCTGAATGCAAAGTCCACATTCTTTCTACAATGCTCAGCTGGCTTTCTTAGAAATAAATCATTTGTAGAGTTGTTTTCTCATATTGTATGTTCAAAAAAAAGAGGAAGATTCAAGAAAAGAAAAATATTCACAATTTTAAAAGATGTAAAATGAAATTAAATATTTTTTCCTGCCTGGGAGGGCTTACTGCTATTGATTCTTTTTTCAATCAGTACTGGAATGAAAAAAAAGATTAAGTAAGATGAAAAAACATTTTCCTTTCCTTCATGGTTTACAAACTTAATTCAGCTATCAACGGGCAAGTGACTGATACCTAGTTAAAATAAGAAAATGCAATTGAAACATTTAATCATGAAAAGAGAAAGAAAAGGGAATGTGGTTTCTTCTCACAATGATTGCTCTCTATCATCTGAGGATTTACGTCAAGCTGAGGAATTTCTCCCAGTCAGTTCAGAAATAGGACTGCATGGTGGATTTTAACACAACACTGTGATAATTAGACTGATGCCTTCTTTACAAAGCAATTTACACACTTTCAGAGATAATCTGGGTTTCTGGGTGTTGAGGTCACCTCAGACTGAAGATAGGTATCCTTTTCAGGTGACATTCTGAAATGTTCCAACAGAATGATGTAAATTTACTCTTTAGAGAAGATAACTCCCCAAAATTATCAAAAGTTGTTTTCTAACAAGGTTTTTACAAAATCATTGCATTTTGAAGTGCAACCATATGGGGAATAAATGCTACTGTATGTGAGGACATTATGAACTAGGTTTCATGTGTAAGCAACTGAAACATGTCTAAGAGTTTTATAATCTTAGTCTGGGAAAAGGAAAAGAAAAAATTGTTGTTGTTATTTTCTACTGTATGTGGCAAGCTCATGTTCCTCAGATGTGTCCTAGAATAATGTTTTATAATAGGTATTACCACATATATTCAACAGCAGCAGCAACAATGCTAACATGCTTTATACCAAAAACAAAAAAAAAGGCATAATGGTGGCAACATGACGAGTGGTCTTACAGCACAAACCTAAGTAATGAGGACACTGAGAGTCATTTTTCTTCAGCCTGCATGTTGTTCCACCTGATCATTGAAGGCTGACACTAAAATGGGTAAAACATTGGTATCTCTCTAAAACAGGTGCCGCAGTCTCAAGGTAATGACAGAATGTTTATTTATTAATATTTGTTTGAAGTATTTGCTCATATATTCCTAGCTCAATTTTATTCAGCCAACTGCATATTAACATTGTTTATAGGGTAACCAGAAAACATGACACTCAGAGATATACAGAAATTAATTCTCAATTCATGGAAGTCATTTCAGTAAAATTAAATAATAACAACAAAAATAACAGTTGAATTTCCTAATACAAAACTCTTGTTCTAAATGTATTTTAAAGACATGTTCTCTTATTTTATAAGTGGCTATATTGTATTCTTTAATTTTTCTCGAACATCACTATTTATAACAGATGGAATCTGATCTTGAATCATTATTTATTTAACTCATTCATAATTTCCCCATTTTGTTTCCAAAAATAAAGAGCTGAGGAAACTTAAAAGATGTTTATAGATAATGAAATATTTTTTAAAAATTAAATAATGTAAAAAGGACTTCCAATTCTGGTAGCATGTTTGATTAGATACGCTGAACAATCTAATTGAAACAAATAAAACATTATAAAAATGTAAATATCTTACTGAGTTTGAATGAAATAATAGAATCAATAGATTTCATAACCTAAGTTATGTGAGAAGTGAGAAGAGGAACCCCAACAAGGGAGTGAATGCTAAAAGAAACTTTTGCTCTGAGTGTTTCTGCTTACACTGTGGTGGCTACGTGCAGAAGGATAATAAGACATAGGGCCCAAGACCAGCCCAGGTGAAGATTTCAACAGACTTCTGCATAAAACTGGGATTCCAAAAGCCTACCTTCACTGTAAAAGTAAATAAGATCAGGCACAGTGGCTCACACCTATAATCCCAAAACTTTGGGAGGCTGAGGCAGGAGATTCACTTGAACTCAGAAGTTCAAGACCAGCCTGGTCATCACAGAGAGACCTGTCTCAACAGAAAATAAACAAATCAGCTGAGCATGGTGGCATATGCCTGTGGTCTCAGTTACTCAGGAGGCCGAGGTGGGAGGATTGCCTGAGCCCAGGAGGTCAAGACTGCAGTGAGCTGAGATCATGCCACTGTACTCCAGCCTGGGCAATAGACCAAGACCCTGTCTCAAAAAAAAAAAAAAAAAAAAGTAAATGAGTCTCAAATCGTGAACCTTAGTGTATGCAAATTTAAAAAATATTTAGGAGGCCAGAAGATCCCAAAAGAGAATGGAGAATGTGACAAAACATCCTAACTGTATTACAGATTTGTAAAACAACTTCACTAAAAGAGGAAGACGGAAAAGGTACTGATTTAAGTAACTTTGGAAATGAGTGAAATCTATTGAGGCTAAAGGCAAAATTTACTATATATATGCACTGTACTCTAATTGATAATGTCCTGTTCCATATGGTACAGGTTAACAATTCTGTTAGTGTTATACACCTATACAGCAGTTGTGCAGTTAAGTAAATGGATGGAAGATCATGGGAAGCCACTTTTTTACCATTGGAGTAGGAATTTACAGATAAGTAAGGGGAAGAAGCTAGAACAATCTGTGTAACAGAGTTGGAGATAACAGTGTGAACTCATGTCCTTTTAGCTTAGATAAACTCATGTCTGTTTAGATACAAATGGTTACATATAGAAATACTTACAGTTATTTGTATATACAAAGGTCAGTATTACACAAATATATTTCCTTGTTCTGTCAGCTGAGAGGGTTTAGGAACAAGAATAATCAAGTCGCAAGGAGTGTTCCTAGTGCCCAGGTACTGGTTTATAATTCATTGTTAATAAGTGCTCCCTGAAGACAGAGCTGATTGCAGGAGCAGGAAATATACATATACAAGATGAGACTGGGACATCCTATAATGATAGAAAGTAATGAAGTTCTCAAAACCAAAAATCCCACAATGATGAGGTATGTCAAAGGAACATGGGAGCCAACTGGAAGAGCTCCCAATGACCACAGCTGGAATAATATGAGAAACTAAATTTGTTTATTTTCTCAAACAAAGTAGCCTTGGATTATAATTCAAAGTATACAATAAATATCCATGTGTCCATACTGATATAAATAAATGTGGGAGATGAGACAAATCTTCCATGCAGAATTCCAAATAATTGATATATACACTTTACCCTTTGGAAGGCAGAGCATAACTCCCTACCCCTGAAGCGTGTGCTGCACACAATGACTTCCATTCAAAAAGTACAGTATGGAAGTGGGGGAAAGAGTAACTTTACACCGGAGAGAGCTGACAAACACCATCTCAACCCGATGATCAAGGTCAACATCAACAGTCATAAATCAAGTTGATAGTATGTACCCTTGATACAATGTGATGAAAATGGCAGTTAATTTCTGTGAGTTTCCTTCCAATCTAATCATGAGAAAAACTGCAGACAAATTTCAATTAAGGGACATTCCATAAAGTACCTAACAGCTCTCTTCAAAACTGCCAAGATCATTACAAAACTCTTGGAAACTGTCACAGCCAAAAAGTGCCTAAGGAGACATGACCACTATTTAGTGTGGTGTCCTGCAACTGAAAGGACATTAGGTAAAAACCAAGAAAATCTGAATAAAGTATTAATTTTGGTTAATATTATCAGTATCAGTTTATTAATTGTAACAAATAGACCAGACTAATGTAAGATGTTAATAATAGAGGCTACTGGATGTGGGGTAGATGGGAGCCCTCTGTACTATGCTAATAATTTTATGTAAATCTAAAACTGTTCTAAAATAAAAAGCTGATTTTTTTTAAAAAGGCAGAAAAATTCAACAGTAGAAAACATGCCTATTTTGACTTTGGCACTGGGTGAAGAAAAACTAAGAAAAGGAAAAAAAAAGTTTTGGAAATTTGTATCATAAGCTGACTCTAACACTTATTTTTCATTCATCATATTACCTGTGTTGTCTGGAAAAGCTCCTGTAAAAAAAATTAATGTAAAGTAGTTTAGAGTTGGTGATACCCCCAGACAATTCTCATAAGAAAATGCAAAATCAAAAAATTCAGCCTCCATCCTGGCCTCAAAGATGTCCCAGAAATAAAGCTTCCCCTCAAAAGTATCTCATAGTTAAAAATTATAAACCCACACAAGAAAAAAGACAACATGAGTAAGAGCTAGCAGTAATATATCCAAAATATTTTAGAGACTGGAATCATAACACGCAAAATAAAATAGAAAATTCTTATTAATATGCTTTAAAAGTTGAAATAAAAAAGTAAAAGAGAAGCTTGAAAATTTTGGCAAAGAAATGGAAGTTATATAAGATGACAGAGATTACCTGCAAAATCAACAAATTAATTTTTTTAAATTTCAAATTCAACAAATACTTTTTGAGTTCTTCCTATGTGCTAGGGCATGTATTAAATACTTGCACATATATTATCTATTTTTACTTTCATAACAACAAATAATTCTATTAATAAGTACCAAAGTTATAAAAAACTTCATAATAAAATATTTTATTATTTTTCAATCTGGATACTTTTTTCTGTTCTGTTTTCCAATTCACAGGTTATCCCTTCACCTGTACCAAATCTATCATTATTCATATCTGTTGTGTTCTTATTTTTGGTTATTAGTAATTTTTTTCTAGTTTTAGAATTTCTATTTTTCTTTTTGTTCTGGCCTTTGTATTTGAGAAGTTATTTCTAGGAAAATTCCTGCTTGCTTCTTCCAGGTATCTTAACCTACCAGTCTAGTATGACCCTATTCTGAGTTCAAAGATGGAGGTTGTCCCAAATTACAGATGATTGCAAGCTGGCTGTGAGTCAGTAGGAGTACCGATTTATTTCCACCTCACCATTTTCCTGAGGGTAAAGTCATCTGGAGCCCCAGCTTAAAGACAGGGGATGTTTATTTATTTATTGAGCCCAGGCTTTGTCTTCTGCCCCTTTTTTTCACAAGACTATCAAACGGCTGCTCAGTTTTGCAGCTGTTTCTTCCAGAGCATCAAATGCCTTTGAAAGCAGCCTTAAGTGCTGGGCTCACTTCTCTAGGTTCATGTCTTTTCCTATATTTTGACCCAGTAATTTCCATCATATTAGCTAGTGACCCGAAAGGTTTCTGCAGAGTTGAGCTCAGAGAAGAAGTTGACCCAAGTGAAAAGAGGCCATTAAGCAGGCAGGCCCAACTTTCCTCTCTGGTTACAAATTTGTTTTTCCCATTAGGGCCCTTTCACTTCAACATTGTCCTAGTCATGAATGGCTCCAGGAAATAAGTATTACATCTTTAAAACTTTAGCTCACGACTATACAAAAATCTTTCTCCTTTAGCTCCCCTTAATATCTGAAAAAGGATGACATTTTCAAAACCACAGTGTCGAAACTCTAAAAGTCCATAAAAAGTAAAAGTAGAGAATTTTAGAAATCATAATAGCCATTTTTTCAAAGAATTTGGCTTTGTTTTCTGATCCTCAAGTGAAACCTGGCGCTTCTAAAGTCCCATCAGGAGGAGAAGCAGCCCTGATAGTGATGATTGACAGGCCTAGCAGGCATGACACAATGAAAGGCCTCATGCTGCCTGGTTAAGGGCTCAAATTTATGTATTTCTCTTCAGACGTCTAATGCCTATCGCAGCCCAGAGCAGGTTGGTAAGGATACTGAGGTAGGACATTTTCAAAATCTCTCTCAAATCACCCCCAAATAATTAAGAATCTCTCTCTTTGCATTGCCCTTCACACTTTAATGAAGAGCTTTAGGACATTGACCAGGCACCCATGTTCTCCAGCTTCCCTGTCCAATATGATAGCCACCAGTCATGTGTGACTATGAAGCACCTACATGTGGCCAGAATGAACTGATTCAGCTTTAAGTAAAAACTATGCAAAAAATATATAAAATATCTCAATAATTTTTATATTGACTAGGTGTTAAAATGATATTTTAGATATATTAGATGAAATAAATGTGTTATTAAAATAAACTTTATCTGTTTTTTACTTTTTAAAATTTGACTACTAGAATATTTAAAATTATACAAGTGGCTTGCATTATATTTCCATTGGACAGTGCTGCTCTAGGTGATCTTAGTTCTAAATACTGAATCTCTTCCTGCTGAATGGTTATTTTCTCAACTAGAATGTGTATTAAGCATCTCCAGAAAATTCCTTTGAAAATGTTTGCCATTAACTAACAATGAGACTAATCAAATAATTATAACTCTTTGGATCTGAGTTTCTTCACATCCAAAATGAAGAGGTTAGACCAGCAGTCCCCAACCTTTTTGGCACCAGGGGGTATGGTTTCAGGATGAAACTGTTCCATGTCAGATCATCAGGCATTAAATTCTCATAAGGAGTGCACAAACTAGATCCCTGGCATGTGCAGTTCACAATAGGATTCGCGCTTCTATGAGAATCTAATGCCACCACTGATCTGACAGGAGGCAAAGCTCAGGCCGTAATGCTTGCCCGCTGCTCACCTCCTGCTGTGTGGCCAGGTTCCTAACAGGCCACTGGCCAGTACCAGTATGCAGCCCAGGGGTTGGGGACCCCTGGGTTAGACTGTATCTCCTCTACAGTTTCTTACAATTCTATGATTATTTCATCATAATTGTTTTAAAAAAATTTTTAAGGTATGTTCTATGCATAATGGTATACTTAGTTTTTAAAATTATAATGAATATATATAATTTTTAAACTTGCTTTTTAAAAAATATAAAAATAAATATTTCCTTGTTGATACAAAGACAGACATGAAGTTATTTTATATAGCCACGCATATGCTAAAGTTGCACATTCATTTACTATATTGCTATTATAAATTTTCCCATGAAATGATTTTGTTATGAAGGTTTTTAAATTTTAAAGGTTTAGCCTATTGCTTTATTATTTATTCCCTATAATTGGTCCCTTAGCTTTTCTTCCAAAGGTCATCCTTATTCTTCATCCATTTATGCCCCCTATATTCTCCTTTGACCATTTCCGGTTACATTTTATCTTATCCTCATTTTGCCATGTCCTCCAATTTTCTTTCATGACTAAGCTCTCTTGTCAACTCTCACTAACCCTGTTTAGGAAGATTTCCACCCTGGCCACACTCTTCCTCTCCTTTAGACTGGAGCTTTCCTGGTCTCATCCCTTTCAAAACAAACTTACCTGAAAATATCTAATAATAAGGACATTTCAAGGTGAATTCAAGTCTTTACTGTTACTTCTTACTAGCAGGGTAGGGAACAGGTATTTGCATTTTAAATCTTAACTCTCATCCTGAAATGAAAACCTTTATTCGTATTAAATTGAATGGGATGTTCCTATTCTATATTTAAATTTTCCTAAAATCCATTATAGTATGTGTCTTCTTAAATGTTTTTGCAAGCATTCCCCTGCACCTATTCTTCTATGTGAAAACATGAAACCTGGCCGGGCGCGGTGGCTGACTCCTGTAATCCCAGCACTTTGGGAGGCCGAGCCGGGTGGATCACGAGGTCAGGAGTTCGAGACCATCCTGGCTAACACGGTGAAACCCCGTCTCTTCTAAAAATACAAAAAATTAGCCGGGCGTGGTGGCGGGTGCCTGTAGTCCCAGCTACTCGGGAGGCTGAGGCAGAAGAATGGCGTGAACCCAGGAGGCGGAGCTTGCAGTGAGCCGAGATGGCACCACTGCACTCCAGCCTGGGCAACAGAGCGAGACTCCGTCTCAAAAAAAAAAAAAAAAAGGAAAACATTAAACCTACAGTTTGCTAAGGAAGATCCTGACTGCTAAAGAAACCGACTCAACCTTAATGTTTGGAGAACACTGGATTTGGAGTAAGATGATCTAGGTTTACATCTTGATGTATCATCCATTTCAAGTGCAAATCCATGGACAAATCCATGGACATATCCTTCATTCTCTCTAAGCCTGGGTTTCCTAATCTTCTGAAAGAAGCTATTAATAACACCTGATACACTTGCTGAGTGTATTTCTGAGCCTCTAAAGAAATAATGAACATGGAAGCACTTAGCAATGTTACATAGCCTTAGTGATCTTGGGCATCCTGAGATTTCATTAAATTTCGTTCCTAGTTCCATTTTCCCTTCCTTGGGTTAGAAAAAATACATTGACCCATTCAATTCAGATAAGAATAAAGAATATACGCGTTTTCAGAATAATGAAAAGTTTCAAGTTAAGATAACACAGTCACTCTCTTCATGCAAACATGAGAGCTATGAAACACCTGTTAGAACTGATATCCCAGGTGACCGTATACAATTCATCTATGAAGCTCAATTTGTCAAGAAACAGCATAATGGTTTTATAAAATTCAGATGGGACCTGGACGGAGGGATGTGGGTGCGCATTAAATTCATAGAATATTAAAGTAGCAAATTAGCGTTAAAGTGATGAAAGTAAAGTGCAAATAAAAGACTTTAAGAATTAAGTAGTCGACTCCATGTGTTAGGAAGGAATTATTTGGTTAAAATAAATCAAATACAAAATTCAAGTGCTTAAAACAAATCACTCAAGATGTCAGTTGGAAAACATATATTCTTTCCTATTATTTCCTCTATGAAATGGAGACAGAAAATCTGTCATCAATGACTCTTGGAATTTGGTGGAAAAAGGAAAGAATCTGGAATCAGTCCCGTTGAGTTTCGTTCCAGCTTCTCCTCTTAGAAGCTATTCTCTTCTCCCTGAAGGGAGGCAACACTGTCCGTTCGCCTGACTGGCAGTGTTTTAAGGACCCATCGCGCTTGACGGGAAAGTCAGGTACAAGCTGATGCTGTTATCACCACAGGAACCAGGGGCTGAGCGGTGAAATCCAGCTCCTCCCAGCTGGAAGACGCTAGGGTGAACGGAGATAAAAGCAGTTCTCTTTACCCGAAGTTTATTTCTTTTTCATGCCACTTCAAATTTGGGTAAGAGGAAAGAGGGCCAAGGGGATTTAAGGAACCTGGATGATGAACTCCCCAGCGGTTTACAGTTCCTTCGTGATCTATTTGGTTCATTCATTCAACAAGTATTTCCGGGCTGCAGCTTGGGTGCCCAGCCTTGGGGTAGGCAGTGGGACTACAAAGAGGAAAGGACCCAGAATAGAGGGGGCACTGGACGTATAACTGCGGGACAGCGAGGTCGCGCTCGCGCGGGGTGAGGTTGGAGGCAGCCGAGGAGCCGCACAGGGCAGCGCCTGCCGCCGCCGCCGCGCCCATCCCCCACTCCGACGGCCACGAGTTCGGGCCGCGACGTCCCCATGGCAACACGCGGCGGCGCCGCGCGCGGGGAGGGAGAGGCCCAACTGCCTCGTTGGTCGCGCGGCGGGAGGGCCCAGGCGGCGGGAGCGCGGCGGCGGGTGGCGGGGCCCCTTGGGGCGGGCCTGGCGGGGCGGGAGGTGACATACGCGGTCCTGCGCCCTCGCCTCAGACCTCTCGGGCGAGCGCGGCGCAGCGCAGGTAATGGCTCCTGGCCTTCCCGGCCCCGCCTCGCCCCTGACCCTCACCCAAAGGCCAGGCTGCGCGGGTCCTCGAGCGGGACAGGGGAACCCCAAAAGGGCGGCCGCTCTGCGGGAGGCTGGGCTTGAACCGAGCGCGGGTCCTGGAGGGGCGCGTGGCGCGGGGACAGAGGCTGGGAGGGGAGGCCCGCGCTTGCAAATCCAGAGCAGAGCTGCGCCCTAAGTTAGAAGGACTGGGCTTCAGTTGTGTGGCCTTGGGCAAGCCACTTAACTTGTCTGTGCCTCAGTTTCCCTGACGTTTAAGTGAGATATTTGAGAATCTACAAAACCATTTATTGGTCTGCTCCTTCTGGTCAAGTTTTCCTTCACCATCCCTGCTCCTCTCCGCTCTGTCTCTCTTAATTCCAGGGTCTCTCTTAAAACTCTTCGATTTGGAAGTGATGTGAGCTCGAATCTTCCTCCTCTTTCTACCTCCTTGAATGTTCTTTAATTGACTTTTATTCAGTGATTCGGAGGAGTTGAAGTCCTTTTCAATACTTTCTCCAGTTATCGTCATAGATTATTTTTTAACTAAAATTGTGTTACTGAGAAAAACTTTTTTTTTTTTTTTACTTTAGGCAAATGCTAACATCCCTATTTTGTCAAGAGGTGAGCCAGTGCCCATAGAGCCATTGAAGAATTTCAAGATTTCTTTTTAAAGGCATTCTTAGCCTTTTTGTCCTAAATCTCATAGTTATAGTCATCCTAACAAAACCCAGATAGGGCCAAAGAAAGAATGTACTCAAATAAAGGCACACCTTTAGGGGAACCACAAGAATAGAAAGTTTGAGAACATCTGGCTAGAATTTCTCTTTTAATGGGAATTCTGTTTTACTCATTCTCATGTACTGAGCCGTTTGCGAACAACGTAGTACAAGCTATTATTCAATAAGTAGTAAATGGATGCTCATTTTAGTCCGTACCACATATTTCAATAAATCACTAAGTCAATATCGTAAATGCATAGGGGTCGCTAAACAAAAAACTCAAGTTTGGGAGGCCGAGGTGGGTGGATCACGAGGTCAGGAGTTCGAGACCAGCCTGATCAACATGCGAAACCCCGTCCCTACTAAAAATACAAAAATTAGCCGGGCATGGTGGCGATTGCCTGTCCCAGCTACTCAGGAGGCTGAGGTGGGAGAATCGCTAGAACCTGGGAGGCAGAGGTTGCAGTGAGCTGAGATCGTGCCTCTGCACTCCAGCCTGGGCCACAGAGCTAGACTCCGTCTCAAAAAACAAACAAAAAACCAAAACAGAAAACTCAGGTTTCTATATTTTGTAGGATCAAGAGCTACTACACAGAAAAACTCATACTAAATGGTTTTTGCCAGTAGCAAAATTTTCATGTTTTATAGGTTAAAGAATATAAACATTTTAGGAACTTGTATCATTTTCCTCCTAACAGATTAAAAATCAAGAAATATAAACCAGATGTAGCAGTTTCTTGACATGGAGAACCAAGCCCATAATACGATGGGGTAAGTGCTGAGAAATTTCTGTTTAATAAGTATGTGCTTAACTGTGCCAAAAACTTCCTGAGAACACATGAATTTTGAAATTTACTATTAATAGAAGGATATGCCAATTATTTTTGGTGAGGCGGATGAGAGGAAATATGAAGTGACTGTAATTAAGGATTATAATGCGAGACTTTCTGATTTTGACACTACAGATCTGCACTCAAAAATCACTGTTTTCCAACTTTTAGTGACTGTCCAATATCTAAGGGTGGTGGATGCGGAGGCAGGCCTCGTGTGCTCTTCTGTTACCACAATGCAACCTTTCTTCGCCAGCTTGCTCCTTTTTTGCCGCATTGAGTATCTCAAGTTTCCCTCTACTCTTGCCCCTTAAGGCTGAACTCAACACTTAAACATAGCCTGAGAATAGATGCAACTCCGTAAAAACATCATCAAGAACTAGATATCTTACCAAAAGTTTCACGAAGAGATAAGAATAAAATTTGTATAGCATTTGTCATTGTAGAAAATCAAATTCCTGTTTACAAATATCTGTCCTAACTCTTTACCTGCTACCTGCATCACAGAGTTTTCTCTTCCTATTGTTTCACTAGCCAACTGACCACTGGCTGAACACAGAGTTTGGGGAATGAAGGGGTGAAGGGGTGGTTGTATAGTGCCTAATCTTGATTGCAACTGACTTTGGCGCTAGTCACACCACTTCAGGTGTCTCACTTTCAGAAATTCTGCCCAGACCATAACTTTGATGTCAGGCTGAAAGAAAGCTGCACAAGTTTGGATAATAATCATAGCTATCACTTTTTAGCTCCCACTGCATACTCCTTCTTACAACAGCCCTGCTAGGTATTATTCTCATTTTACAACTAAGAAAAGTAAATATATTCGAGTACAGTCTAAGCTCTTATAACAAAGAGACTCCAAAAACAGCAGCTTAAATAAGATTGAAGATTATGTCTGTTTCATATAGTCGTCACAGGTGCTGCGCTCACCCAAGATACACGGACCAGGATTGGTTTGGCAACTCTGCCATCTTCATTAATGATTTCTATCTCTAGGACCAAAGTGGTTGTTTCAGCTCCCACCATCATAAGTGTGCTCTGCCATCATGACTGTGCTCCTTCCATAGGGAAGGAGAAAGGCAAGAAGAGAGAGTAAGACCTTTTCTTTTAGGAGTATAACATGGAAATGGCAGGTCTCGCTTCTGTTCACTTTCCATTGGCCAGAACTTTATCCCAGAGTTACAACTAGCAGCAAGAAAGGCTGGGGAATATGGTCTGTAACTAGGTAGCCATATGACCAGATGAAGCTTAGAAGTTCTAGAACAAAGGAGGAAGAATGGATATTGCTGAAAAACTAGCATCCTCTACCACATTGAGGCTCAGAAAGGTAGAAAGACAAAAAAAGCAGGAGCTCATCCTAGAATATACACCAGGTTAGTAGAGAAAGTAGGATTTGAATTCAGGTATGCCTGGCTCCAATCCCTGTGTTCCTTCCTACATTGGAAATGGATGGCAATGAGATGCAGGGAGCAGCCTGCCTGGTATCCATAGCAGAGCCAGGTTAGGATTCTGGGTTAAGTATGTGTTGGGTCCCTGGTGTGATGATAGCACTAAGAGCTAAGATGCAGATTGAAGATGTTGAACCTAAGGTTGGGTCCCAGATATCACTTCACTCCTACAAATCCAAGGCCATGGAGTCATTTAAGAAACAGACCTTGTCTTTAAAGAACTTAGAATTTAGTAAGGAACAGTAGAACTTGTTTGGGTATGGTGTAATTACAACCCCCCAAGTTAATGAGAGTTTTTAGAGGTTTTCCTGAGGTACTGTTCCACTCATCACAGTAGACATGGGTCCACACACTGCCTACCACGGTCTCCAAAGCATGGAGACCCCAGGTTGGCATTGCCTCAGTCCCACATGCTATTGAGAGTTATGTATAAATCTAGATCATGAATACAATAAAACTTCATCATCAGGGACTTGTTATGTAGCTTATTAAACCATGTCATCTACATATACAGTAATGTTTTGTGGAGCAGCCTACATTTAACAGATACCTATTTAGAGTCTACTGTGAGCTACTTACTGGTCTAGGCACCAGGAAGGTAGCAGTGAACAAAATAGACAACTTCTTCTCAAGGGGCTTATACCATAGTGGAAGAGACAGATAATAAACGTATAAATTTGTATCATATGGTGATATGAAGAAAAATAAAGCAGGCTAAGGGTGGGAAAAATAGAGAGTGTGAATGGAGTGGTCAAATAAAGATACTTTGGTAAGGCAGCATTCGAGCAGAGATTATATCTGGGGAAAAGATTACACAGAGCAGGAGCAGAAAGTGCCAAGGCCTATGGTGGGAGCTTTCCCACAGAACATTTTCAGTGTGAGTGAATCAATATTCTCTGATATCATGGTTATAACCGGGTTTGATGTTAATTTATCCATGATTTCTTCCAATTATAGGTGTTTGTATTTGTGCCATAATAATCTAAACTCCTTGTAATTGAAACTCAATTTTATGTTTGTTCTTTTTGTTTTTA
This sequence comes from Homo sapiens, assembly GCF_000001405.40. Classification (NCBI taxonomy): domain Eukaryota; kingdom Metazoa; phylum Chordata; class Mammalia; order Primates; family Hominidae; genus Homo; species Homo sapiens. The sequence continues at coordinate 93,334,830 of NC_000011.10, forward strand.
AAGTGTGTTTCCAGAACATAATTATAGAATAAGTGATCCCTTTTATTGGCCTTTTTAAGAAAACCTTCTCTAGGTTTTGCTTTGTTTTTGTTTTCTTATTCATGAATTTCTACTTACTAGTTTTCCCTTTTATGGTTTATTCTATCTTGTTCCCATGGGTTGAAAAATGTGCTTCAGTTATTTTCATGATTTCTGGATTTCATGATTTCTTTAAATAATAAAAGCATGTAAGTTTCCTCCTGAGCACAGCTTTGCTGCCTGCCATAGGGTTAGTGTTCTCACCATCATTTTCTAAATAATCTATCATTTCAAATTTGATATCTTCTTTGACTCAAGAGATATTTACAAAATGTAATTTCAAGGGGCATTTAGTTATCTTTTTATTATTACTTTTTAATCTTTCTACTGTCATAGTCATAGGATATGGACTATATGATTTTGACTCTGTCAATTTCACTAAGATTATTCTTGTAGTCTATTGCAGGATCAACTTTTATTAATGTCCTTTGGGTATTTGAAAACACATGTATGTTCTCTTTTGGTTGAGTAAAAAGGCTAAAAAAGTTATATAATCAAACATTTTAATTGTTGTTATTATGTTTAACTTGTGTTTTTCAAGTACAGTTACATTAATTTTTGTTTATTTGATCTGTCAAATTCTAAGGAAGATCTTCACTATAATTGTAGTTTGTCTAGTCCTTCTTGTATTACTAACAATTTTTGGTTTACATATTTCAGTGTTCTGTTGCTTGATGTGTCAAGGTTTATGCGTATATCTTCTCAGCATATTATATGATTAACATTATAAAATATAGCACAAGTATAAACTAATGTTTTCTGTTTTAATTCTACTTTGCCTGATATTAATATTACCATCCCTGCTTTCTTTTTAGTTTACTTTAATCAATAATATCTTTGTTCATCACCTTGTTTTCAACCTTTTTTAGGTCATATCAAGTTTTTCTCCACATATAAATAGCATATGGTTAGATTAACAAATAGAGGCCAGGTGCAGTGGCTGACGCCTGTAATCCCAGCACTTTGGGAAGCCAAGGCAGGTGGATCACCTGAGGTTGGGAGTTCAAGACCAGCCTGACGAACATGGAGAAACCCCGTCTCTACTAAAAATAAAAATTAGCCTGGTGTGGTGGTGCATGCCTGTAATACCAGCTACTCAGGAGGCTGAGGCAGGAGAATCATTTGAACCCGGGAGGCGGAAGTTGCAGTGAGCCGAGATTGTGCCATTCCACTCCAGCCTGGGCAACAAGAACAAAACTCCATCTCAAAACAAAAACAAAAAACAAAACCCAAAAAACAAATAGGAAGCATAGCTGGGGAGACCTCAGGAAACTTACAATCATGGCAGAAGGCGAAGAGGAAGGAGGCATGTTTTATGTGGCCAGAGCAGGAGGGAGAGAGAGAGAAGGGGGGAGTTGCATCTCCTGAGAACTCACTATCACAAGAACAACAAGGGGGAAGTTCGCCCTCATGATTCAGTCACCTCTCACCAGGCCCCTCCTCCAACACTGGGAATTACAATTCGACATGAGATTTGGTTAGGGACACAGAGCCAACCATATCAGCGGGCTTATTGACAGTGGTCTTTACTCCATAGTCATCAGACTAGGCAGTTTCCTTGCAGGACCCCAGGTCACTCTCTTTCAGTCTTTTGTCTCAGGCTAATCAGATTCCAGAGAATTCTAATTTCCTACCTGGAGAGTATACCAGCATTCTGGGAGCTGAAAAGGATGAGGGGGCTGAATTCAGACTTACATTGTTGACCTTAACCCCCCCAGTTTCCAGTACAGTGGTCCTGCCATCTACTGTACCTGGTGTTCCCCAACCCCAGTCCAGAGCCTTTCTGTTTTAGCTTCTCCAGAGAATATGCCTGGATTCGAATGCCAGTGAGGAGATCTAGGAGTCAACCCCTTCTTAGCCATTCCTCCTGTTTTCAGGCTGACACTCACTTGCTACTTCCAGATGTATCTAGTTGGTTTGCTACTTGGCTTTGTCCACTGCTAGTTCCTGTTATTTTTATCCTTCTAGGTTTGACCTTCTAGGTTAAAAATATCCCTTTACTTTGTGTTAGTAGGATTTGGGGAGGGAACAAAATGTGTGTGCATACATCTTCAACCAAATTCTCATTTTTCTCTACTGAATCTTTTACTGTACCTTTTATTCTGTGACTTTTATCTTAGCCATTGATCTCATTCATAGAATCTTGTCAAATGCTTCCTAAACATCTAGGTACTGCTACGTGATCCACCAGATTCTTCTTATCTGCTGTGAAAGTCATTATTTTCAAAGAACCAAGGTAGATGAATATTAAATCATAACTTCTTGCATCTGATTCAAAAGGTCCTTTAAAACTATACTCTTTTTGTGTGCATCTTTCTTAACCCTTAAAGTATTCTTTCCCTCTGAGATATATTAATCATCTTTACTTTACTTACCAGGTTCTTGACTTTATGAATCATAACTTTACTTACCAGGTTCTTGATGAGTTAAACACAGTTTTAATTACAGTTTATAAAATAAAATCTAATTTTTCTGATGTAAGTCAACATATTGGTACCTGAATAAATTATATATTATTTTTGCACATTGAAAATTCTTTTTAAATTTGGTTAATTCCCTTGCTTTCTGGTTAGCCCAGACTGTACCCCCTTACTCTCCCTCTCTTCATACTTTATTCACCTCCCCCCATATACACGTATATTCCTCCCCAGAGTAATCAAACTGGACAAGTTCTTCCAGTTTCTTGTATCTCTGAAGAAGAAACAAAGTAAAGTACATCTGGGTTAAAATCCTGACATGTCAAACTTGACGGTAGACTCTGAAATGTTAGCAGTGCTGAGTGACTGTAGGAATTAAATGCATGTTTTTGAAAGGAAGGAAAGTTATTAGGAAGGAGAGAGAGGGAGGAAGGAAATAAGGAAAGAAAGGGAAGATTTCTACAAGAGACCTAATCAAACTGCTAGTAAGTTTAAGGAAAGATGAAAAAGTACCACTGTGTAGGATAAATTTGCACATACGTTTCACAGGAAAATCTTTACAAAAGATTAGTTACAACATACATTTTCTTAAAAATCTGATATGTGTGAATGTAGATATGTACATCAGGTGCATCCCACCTAACCTGACCTGGTTGTCTATGGTGCTTAGTTGTATGGCACCTTGGAACCACCTGGGACTTTGTGAGCCTCTAATCAGAGCACTGGTGAAACAGAGAAGTGCTAAAAACATGAATATTACAGATATGTGATGAGTGCGTTTGTTCTCTCCCCAAAAGAAAGAAGCAGTCTCATTGGACAGCAGTTAGTATAAAAGTTGTACCCTCCTTGAACTCAAGAAGCAGAAGGAAAAGGAGAAATAGAGACAAAAATAGAAAAGCTGGCAAGAGAAGTAGCAACACAAGTATCAGTGGTAATAAGAACGTTAAGAAGTTGGTCCTATAACACTATAGGCCAGCGTATTCCAGGGGCCCTAGCTCTGTTCAGCAATGTTTTGTCTTCTCTTCTGTCACACCACAGGGACAAGCACAGTGCCTGACATAGGGTAATTATGCAGTCAACTTTTTTTTTTTTTTTTTCCTGAGGCAGGGTCTTGCTCTGTCACCCAGGCTGGAGTACAGTGGTGTGATCTTGGCTTCCTGCAATGTCAGCCTCCTGGGCTCAAGCAATCCTCCACCTCAGCCTCCTGAGTAGCTGGGAGGTACACACCACCAAGACTGGCAATCTTTTTGTTTTGTTTTTTGTAGTGGTAGGGTCTCACTATGTTGCCTAGGTTGGTTTTGAACTCCTGGACTCAAGCAATCCTCCCACTTTGGCCTCCCAAAGTGCTAGAATTACAGGCATGAACCACTGCTCCCAGCTCAGTCAACATTTGTTGAATGAATGAGTGAACTGAAAGAATGACAGCTTATTAAAGGCAATAAACTGTCAAACAACAGGGAAATAAAATATAAATACCAATTTCAAAAGACTAGAGAAGAGTTGAATCAAGAGTTCAGAATTAGATAGAAATGAGGTTGTATAAAAGCAGGGTGTGAAAAAATGAAGAGAATCCAGGACTATTTTCATAGATACACTTGGGGTATTGAGGACTTGCCTTTTTAATTGGAGAATGTATGGGGAATGGTTACATAGGAATGGCTTCAGCCAGGGACAAAACATACCCATGTGCTTTCATGGACTCTCCAAGGGTAACATACTAAGACTCACAGTTTTCACCCTTAAATGTTATTTAAGTTAGGTTGTGTCTTGAAATCAGAAGATACATTTGGCTATTATTCCCTGTTTCCTCTAAAAGCAATTATTAAGTTATTGTTGCTTCTTATAATAGAAAGTGTTATAGAATGACAGAAATATGTTTCACATGTTGCCATATTAAAGCACAAACATATATGGCATAGCCATTTATGGGGAAATCCACTGGCCAACCCATAGTGCCGTGGAGTAACTATACCTATAATCTGTACAAATGCTAGAGTACAAGATGAGCAGCACACAGCTAGGTGCACTATACAATCCATGCAATGAAATGGTTTCCAAATTTTCTCTAAAAAGGAGAAAGGGGAAAATGCAAATACTTTATGCTAATCTTATAAATCTTCAAGTTATACACTACTTAAAATGGTTCAAGAATAGGAAAATAAAAAGATGAATCAACAAAAGAGCTGGCTTATAAAGGACAGCTAGTCAAATTACCCATAGAGGCTATCCATTTATATTAGAAACAGGTGGCATATGAGGCATAATTGGTGCAATGGCCCAGGGACTCAGGAATATCCAAATCTTGCCTCAAATCACCAACAACCCCAAGGGAGACTTACCATAGCAAAGGAACGCAAGACACTTTGAGTGGTAATGATAACGAGGGAACCCACCTTACACAGTGTCGGAGGAGGCCACGTAGGAAAGAGTAATGAGGCATCCCTACCCGTCCCAGCCAAGGTGGTATCAGTGCAGAGCTACTAGGGGCCTGAACTGTCACCCCCACCCAGCAGTAATGAGGAGTTCCTCCCTCCAAGTGGCAACAGAGGCTGAGTCGAGAACCTGAACTTCCACCACTGTCTGGCAGTAATGAGGTGGCATTCTATTCCCCTGCTGGAGTATTGTCAGAAGGGGTCTGCTAAAACACAAAATTCAAATAAAAACCAGAAGCTCGTAATATAATACCCAAGCAAATTAGGGTTCCTATTTTTCTGGAGGTGGGAAATTTAGAGCTGATACTATGGCTCTGCGATGGTATCAGAGACCTCATTGGAGCTTACAGTCTAGTGGAGGGAAACAGATTATAGCAAATAAATAAATCTATATTATGTTGGGGGTGGTAATAATCACTATGTAGAAAAAGTAAGCAGATTATGAGAATAGAGAGTTACAGAGTAAATCTGGTTAGGTGACATTTGAAGAAAGACCTAAAAAAAGTGAGAGATGTAGACATCTGGATATCTGGGGGAATGGCATTCCAGGCAGAGGAATCAGCAAAAGCAAAGCTTCTGCAACAGGAACATGATTGACGTTTTCAAGGAACAGAAAAGAGGCCAGTTAGAGAGGAGGAAGCAAGGGGGAAAGTGGTAGGAGATGACCTCAGAAAGGCAAATAGGGCCAAGTCCTGAAGGGCCTCACAGACCTTAGTCAAGGCTTCAGATTTCACTGTGTAAAATGGGAAGTCACTGGAGGACTCTGAGCAAGGGAGTGACATTTTCTGACTTAATATTTTAAAAGGCTCGCTCTAGTTGCTATGGGAAGAATAGACCATAGGAGGGTAAGGGTTGAAAAGGCAGACAAGCTAAGCTGTGGGAGATGACAGTAGATCAGATTGATAGATGTAGACATAGTGACAAATGGGTTTGTTTTCATGAAATAGCTGACAATGTTATAGATCCTGGATTGGATATGGAGTGTGTGAGAAGATGATGAACAAAGGATGGTCCAAAGACTTTTGGCCTAACAGCTGGAAGGGACAGAATTGTCATTTATTAAATAAGGAAGACTGGAGAAAATGCAAGCTTGGTTTGAGATGCCTGTTATATATCCAAGTGAAGACGTTTGTCGTATGTCCAAGTGAAGCTGCCTGTATGTACACCTGTATATAGCTGTTTGTGGTCACCTTATTGTTTCAAGATAGCTGAACCATCTACAACATCATATCTGCCTTCCAAGAAGGAAGTAGAGAGAAGGCAGTGGGTAAAAACAAAACAGTGTATGCAGCATTCTTATTTTGGGTTCCTAGAGAAGCCAGCTCTGAGATAAGAATTTGGATATACATTGTTTATTTGGGATATGAAGATATGGTGTAGGCTGGGCATGGTGGCTCACGCCTGTAATCCCAATGCTTTGGAAGGCCAAGGCAGGAGGATTGCTTGGCACCAGGAGTTTGAGAACAGCCTCAGCATCATAACAAGACCCTGTCTCTACAAAAAAAAAAAAAAATTAGCTGGGTGTGGTGGCACACACCTGTAGTCCCAGTTACTCAGGAGGCTGAGGCAGAAGGATCACTTGAGCTTCTTCCTCATTTTCTCTCGCCTCCGTCATGTAAGAAGTGCCTTTTACCTCCTGCCATGATTCTGAGGCCTCCCCAGCCATGTGGAACTGTAAGTTCAATTAAACTTCTTTTTCTTCCCAGTCTCAGGGAAAGCAGCATGAAAACAAACTAATACAGGCAGGTATGGGGAGATACTGTAAGTCTTTAGACAGTGAGGTTACTATTAGTCATATACATAGTAATATCTTGGGTCTTGGAGGGTCTATTGAGTTTCAAACAAAATGCTTAGTATAACAGCTAGGATTATAGCAACTGTTAAGAGCCCAGGAGTTCTAGTCTGCAGTTGCGTATGACTGCTCTACTGCACACCAGCCCGGATGACAGAGTAAGACCCTGTCTCTTAAAGATGCGGTATGTTAGTTTCCTATGGTTATTATAATAAATTGCCACAAATTTGGTAGCTTAAAACCAAAATTTATTCACTCACAGTTCTAGAGGCCAGAAGCCCAAAATCAGTATCAATGGGCCAAAGTCAAAGTGTTGGCAGGATTGCCCCCCTCTAGAGGCTCTAGGGGAGAATCTTTTCCTTGTCTCTCCAAGCTTCTGGTGACTGCCTGCATTCCTTGACTTGTGGACTCCAATCTTAAAGGCCAGCATCTTCGGGTTTTTCTCGGCTTCATCCTCATCTCCTCTTTTTCTCTGTGTGTCAAATCTCCCACTGCCATCTCAAGATTCTTAACTTACGTGAACCTCTCCATATCAAGATTCTTAACTTATGTGAAGATCTTTTTTCCAAATTAAGTAACATTTACAGTTTATAGGGTTAGGACCTGATTATCTTTGGGGACAATTTTTCAGCCTACTTCATATGGGAATAGGAAGTGAAACAGGGAAGGCAGGTTACCGGCTACCACTGTGGGTGACTGAGTCAAATCCTGACGGGGAAGCTCTGGAACCCAGCACAAATCACACCCCACAAGAGTTCTCCCAGCCAAGTAAAAAGTGAATATTTACACACCAATAGCGCACAGTCATTGACCAAAGTTGCTCCTGGGAGGGTTAATTCTCTGTCACTTCTGACTTGTCACAGAGGCAGCAAAGAGGACTCTAGCTGCAAGAGAAGGCACTGAGGCAAAGGAATGCAAGTTTTGTCCACAGGAAACCAGGCATGTGTCCTTAAGTGGTCACCATCAGGGATGTGTAGGGTACCCACAATATCTGCTGCAGCCCTCTTTTAAATAGCCTTTTGGCACCTTCCACTTATATTTCATAGGACAGATTTTGTTACATGTCCATGCCTAGTTTCAAGGCAGACTGGGAAATGTGGTTGTTTCTTTAGCTGGTTGCATTTCCTCTCTGAATAATATCAAAGTTCTGTTAGTATGGAACAAAGGAAGGATAGATATTGGGTAGGAAACTAGGAGAGAATCAATAAGGCTGACTCGGACCAAGGTTTATCACTGTTTATGGTGAGAAGCAGTCAGAATTTAGGATATATATTGGAGGTGGTGCCAGTAGGACTTACTGTTGTTGTGGGATTTGAGGGAAACACAAATCTAGGATCATGAGGGGTTTTTATCTCGAGCAACTGGTAGCAGTGGCAGCAGTTAAAGAGATGGAATGGACTGGAGTGGAGGCAGGTTTGTGGTGCAGGGAGTCTAGTGCTCTGTTTTGAACATGTGAAGTTTGAGGTGCCTCTGGCCATCCTCTGGACATGTCAGTGTTGAATAGATGGTTGGACATAGAAGTCTTCAACTCAGATGCTTAAGCTGCAGATACACAATTAGAAGTTATCAGAGCTAGCTGGCATAAGAATGAGGTTCACTGAAATTTCTGACATTCCAAAAGCAGTATATTAATTAAAACGTTGTCTAGATTAGAAAACAGATTTTATCAATGTGTGCCTAATTCTTCCCTGTGGGATCCAATGAAACAGCCAGCTCCAGGTTTAATAGAAAAAGGGTAAAATAACTACCTTCAAACACACTAACACTGCAGTCACTCATCAAATAGATCTTCTAGCAAGAAAGAACTTAATTGTCCTAGAGACTGGCTTACAGAACCCAGTAATACATGTGTAGATCAACATTTGTTTATTATTAATTGCATCATACATTTATGTATGTCAATATGCAATAGGAATTAAGGTACATAAGTTTATGAGGAGAGTGAAGCTATTTGTATTTTTAGAAAAATATAAAGATCGCCCTGAAGAAAGAGATTAGTGCCTGCTAATATTTCACTGTTGTCTTCTCTCCTCTAATCTGTGGACCAAGGGGTTACTTAGAATGTGAGAAGTTATGACAGAAAAAGTTTATCTGTAATACAAATATTTTAACAGATCTTCTGCTCTTTTTAGAACATAAAAAAATGCAGCTTTAAATTTGTATGAGCCTATAATTCTGATAAAACAATTGGTAGGGACTTGGAGGCTATGGCGTTGTACTTTATTTCTATAAATATGTCCTTGTTATTATGATGAAGCCTTTAGAACAAGGCCTTTATAAGTACATTTAAGCACTTTTTTTTAGAATAATGAGGTTTATACCTTATCCATGTCCCAACATTAAGCTTATTGCAAATGAGGGAAATGAATGGATTGAATGTGAGCCACCATCTCAATTATGTAATAAAAATAGGCATTTCAATGCTGCTAAGTTAGCAAACACTAATGATGACAGTAACATTTTTTGGATGACAAAAAAGTGCTTGAGGAAAAGCTATTTTTGTCTATGACTCAATAATTAATTTTAAACAAGAGTTTTCATGAAACTATGACCTAAAAACCATAAAATAATACATCTTTCACTTTAGTGTTTTAGAACAGACAGTTGACTAAAGAGCAGACTGACATCACAGACGTATCTATGAAAGTGGGCTCTAGGACTTCTGCTGGGGGTTCTCCCCATTTGACCTTGTGTATGTCTCGGGTCTGATACAGGATTTGGTGTGCAGAATAGGGTCTGTGAGCCACCAAGAAAAGTTAAATTATATTAGTATAGCCTATTAACTAAGGCAAATAAGTATGTAATATATTTTTGAGTGAGTTTCAGTAAAAGATTTTGAAAAAGTTAAGACCTAACTTAACTGCTTATCAGCCTTTGAAAACTCATTTTCATAGACTATTCCATGTTTCATGACATAGTCTCCTGTCTCTCCTCTCTATGCTTCTTTCTTCCTAATTCCTCCCTCCTTCCCTTCTTTTTCTCCATGATGACATCCATATCTGTCTTTTAAACCCCTCTCCCACGCTCCACACCCATTTCTATTTTAGATATCTCATGTATTCCAAACTGAATTCACTCCTTTGTTTAAATGTAGCATTTAATTACTTATTTTTCTTAGTAGAATTTTTCTCATGCTGTGTTTATTTTTCAAATTGTCCAAATATTTTTATGGCTTAAATATTTTAGAAAATATGCCCATTGATTTGGGAGCTGATAAAACACTTCTGAAAGTCATAATGGCATGTCTTGCCAATGTGAAAATGGAAGTAATAAAATTATCCCCAAAGGCTGTAATTTTCCTTTTTTTTTTTAACTTTTTTTTTTTAAGTTCAAAGGTGCATGTTGAGGTTTGTTATCTAGGTAAACTTGTGTCATGGGGGTTTGTTTTACAGATTATTTCATCATCCACATACTAAGCCTGGGACCCATTAGTTATTTTTCCTGAGGCTTTCCCTCCTCCCATCCTCCATCTTCTGATAGGCCTGAGTGTCTATTGTTCCCTTCTATGTATCCATGTGTTCTCATCATTCAGCTCCCACTTATAAGTGAGAACATGTGACATTTAGTTTTCCGTTCCTTTGCTGGTCTACTAAGGATAATGGCCTCCAGCTCCATCCATGTTACTGCAAAGGACATGATCTTGTTCCTTTTATGGCTGCATAGTATTTCATGGTATATATGAACCACATTTTCTTTACTCCATCTACCACTGATGGGCAATTAGGTTGATTCGTTGTCTTTGCTATTGTGAATAGTGCTGCAGTGAACATAACATGTGCATGTGTCTTTATGATAGAACGGTTTGTATTCCTTTGGTATATACCCAGCAATGGGATTGCTGAGTTGAATGGTATTTCTGTTTTTAGGTCTTTGAGGAATCACCACACTGTCTTGAACAATGATCAAACTAATTTCCACTCCCACAAACAGTGTATAAAATGTTTCTTTTTCTCCACAACCTGGCCAGCTTCTGTTATTTTTTGACTTTTTAATAATACCCATTCTGACTGGTGTGAGATGGCATCTCATTATGGTGTTAACTGACATTTCTCTAACAATCAGTAATGTTGAGCCTTTTTTCATATGTTTGTTAGCTGCATGTATGTCTTCTTTTGAGAAGTGTCTGTTCTTTGACCATTTTCTAAATGGGGTTGTTTGCTTTTTTTTCTTGTAAATTTAAGTTCCTTATAGATGCTGGATATATTAGACCTTTGTCAGATGCGTGGTTTGCAAATATTTTCTCCCCTTCTGTAGGTTGTCTGTTTACCTCTGTTGATAGTTTCTTTTGCTGTGAAGAAGCTTTTAAATTAATTAGATCCCATTTGTTAATTTTTGCTTTTGTTGCTATTGCTTTCGGTGTCTTTGTTATGAAATTTTGGCCTATTCCTATGTCTAGAATAGTGATGCCTAGGTTGTCTTCCAGGGTTTTTACAGTTTGGGGTTTTACATTTAAGTCTTTAATACAGCTTGAGTTAATTTTTGTATATGGTGTAAGGAAGGGATCCAGTTTCAATCTTCTGCATATGGCTAGCCAGTTCTCCCAGCACCATTTATTGAATAAGGAGTTTTTCCCCATTGCTTGTTTTTGTCAGGTTTGTTGAAGATCAGATGGTTGTAGATGTGTGGCCTTATTTCTGGATTCTCTATTGTGTTCCATTGGTCTATGTGTCTGTTCTTGTACCCATACCATGCTGTTTTAATTCTTGCAGCCCTGTAGTATAGTTTGAATTCAGGGCACAATCTTGGCTCACTGCAACCTCCGCCTTCCAGGCTCAAGTGATCCTCCCACCTCAGCCTCCCCAGTAACTGGGACTACAGGTGCACATCACCATGCCCAGCTAATTTTTTGTATTTTTTTGGTAAAGACAGAGTTTCACCATGTTGCCCAGGCTGGTTTCGAACTCCTGAACTCAAGTGATCTGCCCACCTTGGCCTCTCAAAGTATTGGGATTACAGGTGTGAGCCACTGCACCTAGACTTTCATACGAATTTTTAAAGAACTTCTTTCTGTTTTTTTCTAGTTCCGTGAGGAATGTCATAGGTAGCTTAACAGGAATAACATTGAATCTATAAATTGTTGTGAGCAGTATGGCCATTTTAGTGATACTGTTTCTTCCTATCCATGAGCATGGAATGTTTTTCCATTTGTTTGTGTCATCTCTGGTTTCTTTGAGCAGTGTTTTGTAATTCTCATTGTAGAGATCTTCCAGTTCCCTCGTGAGCTGTATTCCTAAGTATTTTATTCTTTTTGTGGCAGTTGTGAATGGGATTGTGTTCCTGATTTGGCTCTCAGCTTAACTGTTGTTGGTGTGTAGGAATGCTAGTGACTTTTGCACAATGATTTTGTATCCTGAGACTTTGCTGAAGTTGTTTACCAGCTTAAGGAGTTTTTGGGTCAAGACTATGGGGTTTCTAGATATAGGATCATGTCATCTGCAAACAAGGATAGTTTGACTTCCTCTCTTCCTATTTGGATGCCCTTTATTTCTTTCCCTTGCCTGATTGCCCTGGCCAGGACTTCCAATACTATGTTGAATAGGAGTGGTGGGAGAGGGCATCCTTGTCTTGTGTCTGTTTTCAAGGGGAATGCTTCCAGCTTTTGCGCATTCAGTGTGATGTTGGCTCTGATTATTTTGATGTATGTTTCCTTGGAACCTAGTTTATTGAGAGTTTTTAACATGATGCTGAATTTTACTGAAAGCCTTTTCTGCATCTACTGAGATAATCATGTGGTTTTTGTCTTTAGTTCTGTTTATGTGGTGAATCACATTTATTGACTTGCATTTGTTGAATCACCCTTGCATCCCAGGGACAAAGCCTACTTGAGCGTGGTGGATAAGTTTTTGATGCGCTGCTGGATTCCATTTGCCAGTATTTTGTTGAGGATTTTTGCATCTATGTTCATCAAGGATATTAGCCTGAGGTTTTTCTTTTTTTGTTTTATCTCTGCCAGGTTTTGGTCAGGATGATGCCGGCCTCATAGAATGAGTTTGGGAGGAGTCTGTCCTCCTCAATTTTTTGGAATAGTTTCAGTAGGAATGGTACCAGCTCTTTGTATGTCTGGTAGAATTCAACTGTGAATCTTTCTGGTCCTGGGCTGTTTTTGGTTGTTAGGCTATTTATTATTGATTCAATTTCAGAGCCCATTGTTGGTCTGTTCAGAGATTCAGTTTTTTGGGGGGGTTTTGTTTTTTGTTTTTTCGTTTTTTTAGGCGGAGTCTTGCTTTGATGCCCAGGCTGGAGTGAAGTGGCGTGATCTCAGCTCACTGCAAGCTCTGCCTCCCAGGTTCACGCCATTCTCCTGCCTCAGCCTCCTGAGTAGCTGGGACTACAGGCGCGTGCCACCACGCCTGGCTAATTTTTTTGTATTTTTAGTAGAGACAGGGTTTCACCATGTTAGCCAGGATGGTCTCCATCTCCTGACCTTGTGACCCGCCCACCTCAGCCTCCCAAAGCGCCGGGATTACAGGCATGAGCCACCGCACCCGGCCCAGAGATTCAGTTTTTTCCTGGCTCAGTTTTGGGAGGATGTATGTGTCCAGAAATTATCCTTTTCTCCTAGATTTTCTAGTTTATGTGCATAGAGGTATGTATAATATTCTCTGACGGTTATTTGTATTTCTGTGGAGTCAGTGGTAATTTCCCCTTTGTCATTTCTAATTGTGTTTATTTGGATCTTCTCTCTTTTCTTCTTTGTCTAGCTAGCTGTTTTTTTATTCATTTTTTTCAAAAAACCAACTCCTGGATTCATTGATCTTTTGAATTGTTTTTTATGTCTCTGTCTTCTTCAATTCAGCTCTGATTTTATTTATTTCTTGTCTTCTGCTAGCTTTGGGGTTGGTTTTCTCTTGATTCCCTAGTTATTTTAGTTGTGATGTTAAGTTGTTAAATTGAGATCTAACTTTTTGATGTGGGCATTTAGTGCTGTAAAATTTTCCTCTTAACACTGCCTTAGCTGTGTCCCACAGAATATGGCATGTTGTGTCTTTGTTCTCATTAGTTTCAAAGAACTTCTTGACTTCTGCCTTAATTTCATTATTTACCAAAAAGTTATTCAGAAGCAGGTTATTCAGTTTCTATGTAATTGTACGGTTTTGAGCGAATTTATTAGTGTTGATTTCTAATTTGACTTTTTCCCCCACAAACTTGTTTCTGCACCTCTGTTTTCCCATTGTTAGTGGGTAAGCTAATCCTGAATCCCAGTTTGTCCAGAACAGTAACTGTTTATACCTAGTGTGCTGGCATAATTATTATTAGTGCTCCTTTCACTTTCAAAATTGTCCTGGTTTGGCTAACAAGTCATATGATCATTATAGCAATGTATCTGATGATGTATATATATACATACACACGCAGCAGGTAATGCTTATCAAGTCTGCAGCTCACGCAAAGCTGGGAGATATAGATATAGATAATATATTCTCTGATAGAAACAGGATCCCAAACATAAGCTCAGATGTTACCTCATTTAGGAAGACCTCTGTGATAGCCTACCCTCTGCAAGTCTGTATTCAGTATGCCTCCTTTTTGAAAGCCCGCATATATTCATCAGTCTTTTATTCTGCCTGCCTGCCTTGCAAATCTCTCTATTCACAGGCAATTGCTCTTTTGTCTCTGTTTTCCCTGTACCTTACACAGTGCTTAATGAATGTTTGCTGAAAGAACTAGTGATGATGACCTACAATGAAAGACTGAAACTATCAAGCTGAAATTTAATAAGGATAAATACACAGCTCTACCATTGGACCCCTCCTCTCAAAAAATTAAACAAGCACAAGATAGTGAAAGGTGGCTTACTCATAGCATGCATAAAAAAGAAATAAGATTTTTAGATAAGAATAAACCCACCTTGAAACAATGTGATATCTGCTTTACCCTTTCCTCTCCCAAATCCAACTAATGTGATCTCCATCTGGTTAAATAAAAGTATATGGCACCTAAACCAAAGGATCTGTGAGACCCCCTCTGAGCTGATTAGACCATACCTGTGGTATTATCTTAAAGTTCCAAATGGTATGTTTCAAGGATGAAATTGACAAAAAAAAAAAACTTGTTCAAAGAAGAGCTAGAATTAGAAGGGTCTGAAAATCTTACCATAGTCATCCTTTTTTTTTCATTCAGCAAATGTGTATTAAGCATCTAGTATTTTTCAGGCAGTATACTGGATACTGAGTATAGAGTGGTGAAGAAAAAATCTCTAGGAGCAATAGAAGGAAATAAAAATATTTGTGGAAATAAATAAAGACCACCCAAATGAAAACAACTGAAGGTATTTATTTATTCAGAGCTTGCTATACCAAGGGAGTCACCCACTATCACTTGCATTTAGCAGAGACTCAAAGGGAGGCAGAGGAGTGGGAAAGCTTTAAGGTAAAAAAAGGGAAAAGGGTTCAGGTGTGCCCTCATTGGAGGGTGTTGGCATGTAGAGGCTGGAGACAGAATAACTAAAAGTGGGGCACCCTAGGGGATTGTTTTGAGGAGTATATTTGGCTTTCTCTAGTTTGTCCTGAGTTGGAAGTGGGGACAGAAATTAGGGAAGATGGCAGTCAGTGATCAAGCCCTGACCATTTTGGGACAATTGCTGCAGATTTTGTGGCTTGGCTTTCTGGACTGGTTGTGTTGTTGCAGAAATTATGGGTCAGAGTCTACTGTCATATGGTCTGATTATTGTCCATCCATATATTCAGTCTCTAATATTGAACACTGACAAAAGAAGAGGAAGTACACTCAAAACTGTATTTGACACACTGATGACTGTATTCAGTACTTTAAAGTCTACTGTGTTGAAAAGGCATTTGTCCTGAATGGTCTCAGTGGAATCATTGAGATCAGATTAGGACCAATGGATGGAAAAGTTCTTCAATATAAAAAAATCTGTCTAAAACACATTACTGTCTAGCTACAATCTCAGACAGTAGTTACCTGTTAAGAGAAGAATTCAGACCTAGGATGGATAACTTATTTGCAGTGATATTGAAAAACAGGTCACAAACTTTGGCATGCTTCAGAATCACTTGATACTTTTGTTACTGATGCAGCATCTTAGGGTCTGTCCTAGACCTGCTGAATCTGATCAGTAGTGTATGATAGATGATTCTCTTAAGAAATATTTGTAGAGGGGCAAGGTGCGGTGGCTCACACCTGTAACCCCAGCACTTTGGGAGGCCGAAGCGGGAGGATCACCTGAGGTCAGAAGTTTGAGACCAGCCTGGCCAACATGATGAAACCCCGTCTCTACTAAAAATAGAAAAAAAAAAATTAGCCAGATGTGGTAGCACATGCCTGTAGTCCCAGCTACTCGGGAGGCTGAGGCCGAAGAATCGTTTGAACCCAGGAGGCGGAGGTGGTAGTGAGCCAAGATTGTGCCACTGCCCTCGAGCCTGGGCAACAGAGCGAGACTCCATCTCAAAAAAAATTATATATATAATTATATATTTTTATATGAAAATTTATTTTCATATAAAAATGTATTTTAATAAACATATATTATATTTTCACATAATATATACATTTTATATATATTATATATGCTTATATATGTAAAAAATATATATGTATTCATAGAGGGAATGCAAACACTGGATGGGTAGTTGGGGTAGTTGGACTAGTTGACTTGTAAGAGTTCTTCCATCCTGAGAGTCTAACATTCTAACTTCTGCATAGCATAACCATAACCAGGAAATAAACCATTCATTCACTGAACAATATTGATTGAGTAGATTACATTATGTCCAGACTCTGCTGTAGGCCTTATTTTAACTTCCTTAGCATGGTACATTCTTACATGCCAAAAGTTAGCAATTAAAAGAACTCATTCATTCTTTAGAGATTTATTGAGCGTCTACTATGTGCTGTGGTACTATACTAGGCTCTGGTGAGATGGTAATGAACCAGACTGATATAGTTATTTTTTCCTAGAGCTTACATTGACATAGTTCTTTTTCTTCAGAGTGGAAAAAATAGACAAAATCTATTTACAGTACAAGGTGATACATGTTGTCATGAAAAAGAAAAATGGTGTGGAAACACCAGGCCATAGTTCTATTCTTTCCCCCTACAATTCCAATTAAATTTCAATCTTAAAATTCAATCAAGTTATTTATAGAGGAATTAGTATACATCCTTTTGTCAGATTTATTTTAGGTTTTAAGTAAAAATTGAAAGCCTCTGGGCCTAACATTCCTCCAGGAATGCTAGGAGAAGACTTCAGAATGGCACTTTGTACTTAAAACAAACCTCTCTGATGTCAAAACTGGTGAATATCATATTGAATAAACCAAAGGAACATCATCTTTTTGGGCTGACTCTGGATATCTTAGAAAATGATTCTGGAAATTCTAAATTCTTTGGATTTTAATATCTGTTTCTAACCTTATTGCAATGGAGCAAATTTGTACTGTATTTTTCAAGCATGTTCTTATTCAAAACACTGTGTCTTTTGCTGTGTGGTATACAGGAAGACACATTAAATGGGAAGCAGCTGCCTAGGATCTAGTTCTGGCTCTTCCATTAATTAGCTGTGTGATCTTGGGCCTCTCTGAGCCTGAGTTTTATCAAAATGCTAAATGATCCTTAATTAGCTTTAAAATTCTGATTTGGTGAAACTAAATGGAGGAAATGCTGTCATGTGGCACCTGCCTCTCCCTCCTGTCCTCCTCCCAGCCACACAAATACATTAGAAGCCTCACTACCATCATTGAAATGGATGCTGAAATAACTTGCTTTTCTAATCTGGACGTTTGTATGTTCCTTAGGCTGAAGTGTAAGACCTCAATAACTACCTGCTTATCCAGTCTGAGTGACTGGACTTACACCAGCTCCCTGGAGAATGCTTCAGCTTCTTTGAAAAAGAACTCTGTAGTGAGAGCACTTACCAATCTGTCTTAACAACAGTTGCTATAGTCCTAGCTGTTATACTAAGCATTTTGTTTGAAACTCAATAAACCCTCCTGGACCCAAGATATTACTATGTGTATGACTATTAGTAACCTCACTGTCTAAAGACTTACAGTATCTCCCCATACCTGCCTGCCTTAGTTTGTTTTCATGCTGCTGATAAAGATGTACCTGAGACTGGGAAGAAAAAGAGGTTTAATTGAACTTACAGTTCTACATAGCTGGGAAGGCCTCAGATTCATGGCAGGAGGTGAAAGGCACTTCTTACATGGGGGAGGCAAGAGAAAATGAGGAAGAAGCAAAAGTGGAAACCCCTGATAAACCCATCAGATCTTGTGAGACTTATTCACTATCACGAGAATAGCATGGGAAAGACTAGCCCCCATGATTCAATTACCTCCCCACCCCAGGTCTCTTCCACAACACATGGGAATTCTGGGAGATACAATTCAAGTTGAGATTTTGGTGGGGACACAGGCAAACCATATCATTCCAACCCTGGCCCCTCCAAATCTCATATCCTCACATTTCAAAACCAATCATGCCTTCCCAACAGTCCCCCAAAGTTTTAACTCATTACAGCATTAACCCAAAAATCCACAGTCCCAAGTCTCATCTGAGACAAGGCAAGTCCCTTCTACCTATGAGCCTGTAAGATCAAAAGCAAGCTAGTTACTTCCTAGATATAATAGGGGTACAGGTATTGGGTAAATGCAGCCATTCCAAACAGGAGAAATTGGCCAAAACAGAGGGGTTACAGGCCCCATGCATGTTTGAAATCCAGCAGGGCAGCTAAATCTTAAAGCTCCAAAATTATCTCCTATGACTTCAGGTCTCACATCCAGGTCATGCTGATGCAAAAGGTGGGTTCCCATAGTCTTGGGGAGCTCTGCCCCTGTGGCTTTGCAGGGCACAGCCTCCCTCCAGGCTGCTTTCACAGGCTGGCATTGAGTGTCTGTGGCTTTTTCAGGTGCACAGTGCAAGTTGTTGGATCTACCGTTCTGGGGTCTGGAGGACAGTGGCCTCTTCTCACAGCTCCAATAGGCAGTGCCCCAGTAGGGACTCTGTGTGGGTGTTCCTACCCCACATTTTCCTTCTGCCCTGCCCTAGCAGAGGTTCTCTGTGAGGGCCCCGCCCCGAAGCAAACTTCTGCATGGGCATCCAGGCATTTCCGTATATCTTCTGAAATCTAGGCAGAGGTTCCCAAACCCCAATTCTTGACTTCTGTGCACCTGAAGGTTCAACAACATGTGAAAGCTGCCAATACTTGGGGCTTCTATCCTCTGAAGCCACAGCCCAAGCTCTACATTGGCCCCTTTTAGCCATGGCTGGAGCAGTTGGAACACAGGGCACCAAGTCCCTAGGCTGCACACGGCATGGGGACCCTGGGCCTGGCCCATGAAACCACTTTTTCCTCCTGGGCCTCTGGGCCTGTGATGGGAGGGGCTGCTGTGAAGGTCTCTGACAAGTCCTGGGGACATTTTCCCCATGGTCTTGGGGATTAACATTAGGCTCCTTGCTACTTATGCAAATTTCTGCAGCTGGTTTGAATTTCCCCTCAAAAAATGGGTTTTTCTTTTCTACTGCATCATCAGGCAGCAAATTTTCTGAACTTTTATGCTCTGTTTCACTTTTAAAACTGAATGCCTTTAACAGCACCCAAGTCACCTCTTGAATGCTTTGCTGCTTAGAAATTTCTTCTGCCAGATACCCTAAATCATCTCTCTCAAGTTCAAAGTTCCACAAATCTCTAGGTCAGAGGAAAAATGCCTCCAGTCTCTTTGATAAAACATAACAAGAGTCACCTTTACTCCAGTTCCCAACAAGTTCCTCATCTCCATCTGGGACCACCTCAGCCTGGACCTTATTGTTCATATCACTATCAGCATTTTTGTCAAAGCCATTGACAAGTCTCTAGGAGGTTCCAAAATTTGCCACATTTTTCTCTCTTCTTCTGAACCCTCTAAACTGTTCCAACCTCTGCCCATTACCCAGTTCCAAAGTTGCTTCCACATTTCGGTTATCTTTTCAGCAACGCCCCACTCTACTGGTACCAATTTACTGTATTAGTCTGTTTTCACACTGCTAATAAGGACATACCCGAGATTGGGGAGAAAAACAGGTTTAATTGGACTTACAGTTCCACATGGCTGGGGAGGCCTCAGAATCATGGGGGGAGCCAAAAAGCACTTCTTATATGATGGAGGCAAGAGAAAATGAGGAAGAAGCAAAAGTGGAAACCCCTGATAAACTTATCAGATCTCATGAGACTTAGTCACTATCATGAGAATAGCACAGGAAAGACTGACCCCCATGATCCAGTTACCTCCCCCTAGTTTCCTCCCATAACATGTGGGAATTCTGGGAGATACAATTCAAGTTGAGATTTTGGTGGGGACACAGCCAAACTATATCACTGCCTGATCCAATTCCTTAGAAACAGACACCAGCCATATCATGCCAAATTCCTCTCCTTGAGGAGCCATACTATAGCCCAGTTGGTACCCTTGAATCTCATCCTACCTAGCCCAGGCTTGCTCTTCTGTCCTTAACAGACAGGAATGATATCCCAGTTTGCCTCTGTCAAACCTTCTGAAGTTATGATAGACATAGGTATATGTATGCCTATATGGAAGAGCATTGATCCTGAAGCTAAGTCTTATAATTTTTCCTAATTAGCATATTCCTTAGAATTAGCCTACTCTAAACAATGTTATTTTAAAAAATTAAGTATATATACACTGTTAGTTCTGAAATTGGCTTTATTAATTTTAAAAATTAACCTTCAGCTTTTGAACTTATTCCTATTTAAATAATTGAACAATTTCAGGAAATAATGTTCAAGCTATGCAGAGCAATGTAATAATTTTTTTTGCCCTCACATTTCACTACTTTAAAATGTATTTTACTTTCCTACAATTGCCAGAACTTCTCCTTGTGAGGCTGAGCTTCAGGAATTAATGGAACAAATTGACATCATGGTAAGCAACAAGAAAATGGATTGGGAAAGAAAGATGCGGGCTTTGGAGACACGATTAGATCTTCGGGATCAAGAATTGGCAAATGCACAAACTTGTTTGGATCAGAAAGGTCAAGAGGTACTGAATACATATGTTAACAAATTGCTAATTCATCAGACTGTTACATATAGTATTCTATCAGAATATGTTTTTATTATACATACTTTTTATCAGGCATCAGCAACAGCATTTATTGCTTGAAATTCTGTCAGCAAATTATAGGCTAAATGTATTATATCAAATAAGTGAAAATCAGAACCTAAATCCATAGATGTTTGCTGATAGAGACAGATACATAGTGTCAATGCCATCTGTAAAAGTAAGCAAATATTTAATATATATGTAAAATATTGTTTGCAAGTAAAGATGTAAGTACTCTTGCTGCTGCAGAAACAAAGAAGTAGTCATCAAAACTGTGGACAAGGCAGAGTTCAGTAACATTTGCTTCTTTGAATATGCTGGAAAAAATAGAAGTAAGATGTCAAGAATTGATAATAGGACAAAGGAGAAAAGAGTTTGGTAAAGGGGTGTGTGTATACCTGGGACACCCACTTAAGAGGAGTTCCCTTAGTCCCTCTAGGCTGCTCACTGCCAAGCTGGTGGTCATAGAAGAATATATGAGTGCTCTCAGGCCTGCGAAGGCATTCAGGAAAACCATATGCTTTATTTGATGTGGACTTTGTGTCTGTGAGTTTTTCTTTTGGGAAAAGAAATGTTTAAAGGAAATGTTTGCTAGTTATATACCGTAACAAAACATCATTAGTTAACTTGTTCATCAACCATTTTTCTACCTTTATTGACTTCTCAGTGGAACTTAGTTTTTTGGCATAGTTAACTATATTATTGTTTGGCATAGGTAACTTAGTTATTGGCATCTAGTTTTCCTTCACAGTAGAGGTAGGTCATCAAAACATGGCATATGCATTCTTCTTCTTTTAGCTTTTATATGTATACTGACACAGATATGTAAACAAGTGCCTCATCTGCCTTTTAAAGAGACAAATTATATAAGCCAAATCCTTAGGAACTGCTCTTAGACAATTTTCTTTTTCTTTTTAATGTATTAGTTGTTATAAAAATGTATCAATTATTTCATAATACCACTAAAACAGAGATCCTCTTGAAGGTAATGGAGAAAAAAAAAGCTGAATTATATTGGTAGAGGTTTTGCTTGGAATGATGACATAGCCTCCCAAAAGGATAATGCAAAGTAAATTCTAACCCTGAATTTTAAATGTGATGATGATAAGGATCTTTTGTTAAACATCCGTACTGTCCTAATGTGTACCTTGTGGAATAGTGCTAGCAATGTTTGGTTTTTGTGAATTTAATTATTGATAGCTATTTTAAGAAGTGCAGTACAAATATTTACTCTTGGTTTGGTACAGCCATTTTATTTGAATTGTTCTTCTCTTTTGCACATTTTCTGATTTTGTCAGGCAAAATTTAGAAAAAGCAAAATTAAATTTTATTCTTCATGCAGGTAGGGTTACTTCGACAGAAATTGGACAGTCTGGAAAAATGTAATTTAGCAATGACTCAGAATTATGAAGGACAACTACAAAGCCTAAAGGCTCAAGTAAGAAAACTTATTATAATTTAATATCACACATTTTGATATATTTTTTTTTACCTGTAGAGTTGTGTTAACTTTAAACTGTTTTCAGTATAAACAAATGTCTTGTATTTTAATTATAAGCTTGGTCATGTCTTTCCCTGTTTTATATGCATTGATTTTGTCTCTTACTAGATTGTTGTCTTGCTATATTTTCTGTGCCTCTGTTAGCACAGTAGTAGACAAATGGCTTTCTATTTCTCAAGAGACTTGTTGATGAATTAAATAATAATTAGCTCACAAAAAATAATTCTGTGAGCAACAACAAAAAACAATTATTTTTTGTGGTTATTACTATCTAATAAAGATGTTCTCAATTCTGTGATAATTTAAAATGTGGAAGTTTGCTGTTATGAAATAGATAATTGAAATAATAAAACTGGTCTTTATTACCTTGTTACTGGTAGGACTGTTTCTTACATGATAGTGCTTCTGCATATGTATTGAGAAGGATACAGATTTCTTTTTCACTTATCCCTGTATCTTCACACAAAGAAGGCACACAAAATGCCTTCTTTACCACAGATAGCACGTAGGGTAATAATCATTTGAGTATGTCAAATGTAGTAGATGCTATATCTTTGCTTAACTTAGTGAATGAATCAATGGGAAATATGGTTTGATTATGAAATTTTACTTTATGACCAACTTTTTTTGGAGTACAAATATTTCACATATGATAATTTAATTAAAGGAGCCTAAGCAATTACTGAACCTTTTTAAATACGTTTTAGGAGGTAATTAAGCCATTAAGATTGAAATATGAAACATTTGATGCCATTTAACAGATGATTTTACAAGACTAGTTCTTAGTCTACCTAGACATTTTGCCTATAGTTCAAGTAACTGCCACTGTATGGTAGCTTGAGTTATAAAATTATATATGGTTTTTACTAGCTTAGACTCTGAGCATTTAGCATGTAAGTCACCTCAACCTTTATTTTTCTATGAAGATAAGGCTGTAAAACAACAACATAAACATTAAATCATTACATATTGGTCAATATAAATAAAGAGATCACAATCTGTAGTAGGTTTGAAAACCACACAGAAATCTAGAAAGTTAGGTGCCATCTCTAAGTTGTATTTAACCAGTTCAGTCACTGCTTTCCAAATCTTTCATTTCTGTTTGGGTATGTTTTCATCGTGTTAAAAAGTTCTTGGCTTTGTTTACAGGCACCAAGCAGTCATTTAATATATGAATCCTTGCCATTTGATGCTTTGCCGCTCTATTTTATTATTTGGCTGATGGCTGGTTTTCAGTGCTAACCAAAAAATATCTTTATGGTAACTTAATAAAAATTTGTTCTGTGGAAAACACTGTGAGTTTAGGAAATGCTGTTTAAGCTAATGCTGGCCAAGTTAAGACTCCTCCCCTCCTGGAGATTAAGGGTACACATTAGCATATTACAGGCCATAAGAAGTCCTGCCTTAAACAAACTGATTTAGCCTTTCCAATCCATCGTGTTCCAAAGATATTGGACAATGGAGCTCTTCTTTTTATTTATTTATTTATTTAATTGAGATGGAGTCTTGCTCTGTCGCCCAGGCTGGAGTGCAGTGGCATGATCTCCCCTCACTGCAACCTCCGCCACCCTGGTTCAAGTGATTGTCGTGCCTCAGCCTCCAAATAGCTGGGATTACAGGTGCGCACCGCCACACCCAGCTAATTTGTATATTTTTAATAGAGATGGTGTTTCGCCTTGTTGGCCTGTCTGGTCTTGAACTCCTGACCTCAGATGATATGCCCACCTCAGCCTCCCAAAGTGCTGGAATTACAGGCGTGAGACACCATGCCCAGCCTCTTCTCTTTTTTTAAGCTAAAACATTCTGATACCACTGTAAACAGGGGTTTCGTGGAATACACTGGGAATGCTACATTATTGTTGAGAGCCACCTATTTTCACTGCAGTTTTCTGCTTCTCTTTTTCTCTAGTTAAAAGAAAAAGAGGAAGAAAGGGAAGGAGAGCAAAAGAGAAGGAAGGAGGAAAGTAGGGGAAAAGAGAGAAAAAGAAAAGTACTATGTACTTGATTCGGTTTGCATAAAGCTAGTAATATGCTGTTTTTCTAAGCAGAAAATGGTATCTTGTGGCTAACATGCTTTTGTTGCTGCCAGCTCACTCTACAGCTTCTTCCTTTGAAATTTCTGGTTTATTTACAATTTCATTTTCCTGAAACATCTTAAGGATACACTTTACCACACCCTGCCTTGAATAACTCAACTCTGTCAAAGCTTCCTTTTAGAAATTGCTTTCCTTTTAAAAAGGAGTTATTTTTTTTCCTTCTAACTATTATAAAACTATAATTTCAAGTACATAAATTTGAGGCTTTTGCTTGTGGAATAGATATACTCTTCCCTATCCTCCGATTAAATTGGACATCATTTATAAAACAACATAAGACTCTGAGAAGTGGAGAGAAGAGACAGATTGGCTAAGGACCTTGGGACTCAAGAATGTCACAATAGTGAGTTCCCTAGGATTTGTTTTTGCCTCATATATCTCAGACTGAGTAACAGAAGCTGGCAAACCAGTTATGCCAATGGGTGCAAACAAACAAAAAGAGCCCCAAGGAAAGTCTGCTCTCTCCAGCCAAAAGACCAGAAGAGAGACAGCCTACCAAGATAATACACTTTTAGATAACAACCTCTCTACTCCAGCCTAATAAAACAGAAAACAAACAAACAACAACAACAACAAAAACTATAGCCCCACTGCCACCTACAAAGGCTTAGTGGAAAAACCTAGATTTCTGCCTTCACTAAGCTGTAACAAGGTAACCCGGGCCCTCTTTCCTGGGTAATGTCTGAGAAGACTGAGTGGAGAGCCAGGACTTTCATCCTCACTAGACATTAACAAGGCCCTCATCAACCCATCGTGACATTGGAGAGCCTGGACTTCTACACCTACCTGGTGGTAAGGAGGCACCTCTCCCTGTCTACTCTCGGGTGGTATCATAGGAAGGCTGTTGAGGAGTCACCACTGCTTAGTGGTGACAAGTTCACCCACCCCCACTATAGTATCACTGAAGGCCATGTGAGAAGAGTTACAAGGCACCCATGCCCCTTCAATCAAAGTGTATTAGTGAAAGACTAGTGGGGAGCCTGAACTCCCACTTCCAATCAGCAATAATAAGGAGCACCTCCCATTGGATACCAACTGAAGCCAAGTGAAGACTTGGACATCCACTATCCCCTGGCAGTAATAAAGGGGCACTCCATTTTCCCTTCTAGAAATTGTCAGAGGAGGACTGCTAAAACACAATATTTGAATAAAATCCAGAGTCTCAAAACACAATACACAAAAATGTCCAGGTATCAATAAAAATCATTCATTATAGAAAGAACCAAGAAGATCTCAACTTGAATAAGAAAAGACACTCAACAGATGCCAAGGCCAAGATGCCACATGTTAGAATTATCTGATTTTAAAGCAGCTGTTATAAAAATACTTCCATGAACTATTACAAATATGGCTTGAAATAAATGAAAAATTATAAAGCTTTAGCAAATAAATAATATAAAGAACCAATTAGAAATTTTATAACTGAAAAGTATAATAACCAAATTTAAAAACTCAATGGATGGACTTAAAAGCAGAATGAGGAGGACAGAGGGAAAAGAATCAGCTCGAAGATAATACAATAGAAATTATCCAATCTGAACAACAGAGAGAAAGAGTAAAAGAAAATGAACCTTGGGGACATGTAGTATGATAACAAGCAATTTAAAATTTATATCATCAGAGAACCCAGAAGGAGAGGAGAAAGATGGGGAGGGTGAAAAAGCATTCAAAGAAATAATAGCTGAAAAGTTACAAAACTTAGCAAAAAAAAAAAAAAAAAAAGTAAACCTGCAGATTGAAAAGCTGAGTGAACTTCAAACAGGATAAATCAAAAGACAGCCATATTAAGACACATCATAGTCAAAGTTCTGAAAACCAAAAGACAAAGAAAAAAATCTTGGAAGCAGCAAGAGAGAAATGACACCTTAGCTATTGGGGAAACCAATTCTGATAATGGTGGCTTTCTCTCTGGAAACGATGGAGGCTTTCAAGTGCTGAAAGAACAGAGCTTTCAACCCAGAATTCTATGTCTGGCAAAAATACCCCTCAGGAATGAAGGGGAAATTAAAACATTCTCAAACGAAGGAAAACTAAAAGGATTTGTTGCTGGCAGACCTACCCTAAAAGAATGGCTAAAGAAAGTTCTCTTAACAGAAAAGAAATGATAAAGAAGGAATCTTAAGACATCAGCGAAGAAGTAAAAACACCAAAAAGAGTAAAAAACATGGGGGGAAATGCAATAGACTTTCCTTATCCTCTTGTATTTTCTAAATTTTTTGATAGCAAAAAATTATAACCTTGTCTAATATGGTTTTCAGTATATGTACAGGAAACACTAAGATAATTGTGTTATAAATGGAACAGAGTAAAAGAACATAAGGAAAGTAAGATTTCTACACTTGAACTGGAAAGATGTCAAACACCAATAGACTGTGATAAATTATGTAAATATAGTGTAATACCTACAGCAACCACTAAAAAAGATCTACAAAGAGATATACTCAAAAACACTACAGATAAAATGGATTCTAAAATAATGCTCATGTAATTCACAAGAAGACAAGAAAGTGAAAATAGAGAAACCAAAAGCTAGAGAACAAACAGGAAACAAAAAAGGGCTTAAGCCTTGACATATCAATAATTACATTAAATAGAAATGGTCTAAATACACCAACTGAAAGACAGAGATTGACAATAAATTAAAAAATGACAAACTCACTTCAAATATAACTATATAGGCAAGTTGAAACTAAAAAGATGGAGAAATATACCATGCAAATATTAATAGAAAGCAGAAGTGGTGCCAAGATAATTCAATAAAGAAAGATTAGTCTCTTCTACAAATGGTGCAATGACAAGAGGATATCCACATGCAAAGGAACTAAGTTGGAGCCCTACCTTAAACCACAGACAAAAATTAACTCAAAATGGATCAAAGATCCAAATGTAAAACCTAAATCTAAAAAGCTCTTAGAAGAAAACATAGGAGTAAATCTTCATGACCTTGGATTAGGCAATGGTTTCTTAGATATGGCATCAAAAGGACAAGCAACAAAAAATTAGACAAATTTGATGTCATTAAAATTTTAAAACTTTTGTGCTTCAAAGGACACCATCAGGAAAGTGAAAAGACCCCCAGCAATGGGGAGAAAATATTTGTAAACCATATATTTGATAAGGGACTAGTATCTAGAATATATGAATAACTTACTAATTAATAATAAAAAGACAGATGACCAAATTTTAAAATGGATAAATATTTGAATAGATATTTCTCCAAAGCAGATATATGAATGGCCAATAAGCACATAAAAAATGCTTAACATCATTAGTCATTAGGGATATGGAAACCAAAACCACAATATCCATTCACATCCACTAGGATGGTTATAATAAAAAAGAAAATAACAAGTGTTGGAGAGGATATGGAGACATTGTAACCCAATGTATTGTGAATGGGAATGGAAAATGGTACAGCCATTTTGGAAGACAATTTTTCTGTTCATCAAAAAGTTATTAAAGTTACTATAAGATCCAACAATTCCACTCCTAGGTATATACCCAAGAGAAAGTAAAACATGTATCTACACAAAAACTTCTATGTAACTGTTCACAGTAGCATTATTTATAATATCTCAAAGTGGAAACAACCCACATTTCTATCAGTTGATGAATGGATAAACAAAATGTAGTGTATTTATGCAATGGAATATTATTCAGGTGAATTTTATAGTAGGTGAATTATATCTCAATTTAAAATTATGAGGAAAAAAGCAGAAGTGGCTACTTTAATTAATCTGATAAAGTAGACACCATTGTTCATAGCATTATTTACAGTAGACAAAAACTGGAAAAAATCAAAATGTCTCAATATATGAATGGTTAAACAAACTGATACATTTATACCATGGAATACTATTCAGCACTAAAAAGGAATTCATGCATGGCTTTCACATTAAGCTGAGTGAAAAAAATACAATCCCAAAAGGTAATGTGCTGTATGATTTCTTTTTATAACATTCTCAAAATTATAGAGATGGAAAACAAATTAGTGGTTTTCAGGGATTAGGGGTTGGGGGATGAGGGGACTAAGTGTGATTCTAAAGGGATAGCATGAAGGAGATCTTTGTGGTGACAGAATAGTCTATATCTAGATTGTGGTTGTGGTCAGATAAATCTATATATGTGATAAAATGGCATAGAACTATATACATATATTGGTCCAATTTCAATTTCCTGGGTTTGATGTACTGTGGTTCAATAAGATGTAAATATTGGGGGAAACTGGGTGAAGAGAACCTGGGACCTCAGTAATAACTTTGGAACTTCCTGTAAACCTATAATTATTTTAAAATAAAATGTGTAAACAAGACACATTTGAAAACAGATACATGAGTATAGAAATTTCCTCACAAATGTTCATAAACTATGCTACTTTGAATCTATTATTTGAAGGTAGAACAGGAAATGGAAAAAATAATACAATGTTATAAAAAGAATTATCATTAAGAAAAATATTAGATCAATTTTGATATTAAAATTTATTTAAACGTATCCACATGAATAAGTGGCTTATGTTACTTATGTCTTTTAAATTAATACATATTCTGTTTTCTTAAGTAAGGTATAAGCTAGTTATTTTGTAGATTTACTGGATTTAAAATTGTAAACACAAGACGGCACTAACTAAAAGTAAGAAAAAAACTTGTTTTTTAAAAAAATTGTGAGCTTTGCTGCATATGATTAAAACAAAATTGAACAAGCCATTTATCAAGTGAATAATTGTTTAACTGTGCAGTTAATGAATCTCGAGTTTACATGAAAGCTGAATTGTGTTCAGCTTCAATAATTTAGTTTTAATAACTGGTTCTGTCTTCACTAATTGAAACATTTAAGCTTTACTGCACTTTCTAATCATGACAAATTTTCAAAGAGGTACACAGGAAAAGAGATATAGTGAAATCAGGTTAGAAATAATTGGTAATAGTAAAATGTTAACATTTTCTGTGATTTACAGTTTTCCAAACTAACAAATAACTTTGAAAAACTGAGATTACATCAGATGAAACAAAACAAAGTTCCACGAAAAGAATTACCACACCTTAAAGAAGAAATACCCTTTGAACTGAGCAATTTGAACCAGAAATTAGAGGTGAGATATATTATCTTAGTTTCTTCATGTGTATTAAAGATTGATTCCTATTGTTGTGGGCTATTTGTCTCTAGTGTCCACAATGGTGTCTTCAGTTGTGGTAATAAACACTATTACAAACTAACTTCTCACTGAATATATTTTCTTAGTGCACCTTCCCCTCAGGCACTTAGTGAATTAAAACATCACTTTGATGTATACATCTTTTGCATATATCAGCATTTTGGGAGATTAAAAAAAAAAGAGCCAAAAAAGTCAAAAGAAACTGCAGCTGTTGAGTAAAATTGAAGGACACCCCTGGGGTCAGTTAAAGTGAATATCTAATAAATCTTTTAATGGCCATTTAGCTATTAGGTAGTTAAATCCCAATGAAGCCTCATCACAGTTTTTAAAACAGGGCTTGAAGTTTCATGGTTTTTTTTCTTTAAAGGCATAATGTCACTCCAATTCAATTGCCCCAAAGCATTCAGAATTTCTAAAATTTTGGTCTCTAAAAAAAATTCACTATGTCCTCATAACTATATATATCTACTATGTACCCACAAAAATTAAAAACAAAAAACTTTAAAAATACACTGTGTCGTTGATGCACTTATTCTTATCTTCTTCGTTTTCCAACCTTGGAAAAAACAAACCAGCTATTTTTCTTCCCTGTGTTCTTGAGCATTCCTCCTACAAGTCATGGAACAGCAGAAAGATTACACTATAAATTCCTATCATCTACTTTTACCTGGATTCTCAGTACTGCCCAATTATTATTTTTTAATTGACTTCAAGTTGACCCTTATGTTATCCCACTTAATTTCTTTCATTTTTCTCAAGCCCTAAACCCCAGCATCCCTCCCCTTGCCAGCACTTTTTCATCTTTAATTAAAAAGTCCTTCTACTTTAAAATATCTTAAAGAGCAGAAAAAAATTAAATCCGGGATCACAGCCCTAAAATCGGCTTATTATAAGATCTTTGTAGGAAGTCCTAGATTTTAATCTTTAAAAGTCCAGCACATTTTACATGCTTCTGAATAATACATAGTTTTTTAAAAAAACAAACTTACCATCACTAAGTAAGTTGGCCCTCTAGGAAAATGCACTGTGTTGTACTCCCAGGCTCTTGCAGTGGTACAACCAGACGGGCTTCAGAAATATCCTGACCTCATGGAAGATGCCGATAGATGTGCACTGTAATATACATGTGCTTTCACTGAAAATGAAGAGATTGAGTCACTAATATTCCATTCGACTGACTTTTCATGGGCTTTTGTGGGAGAACTACATTAATAAAAATTTTTCAGACAAAAAAAGCCTTAAGTTAGTATCAAGTACTTTGTGTATGCACATTTTACATTTAGGAAACTAAATATTTACGTTATATATATGTAATGAAATTATAGTGGAAATTAGTAGCAAAATATTTTGATATGTTTGCACTTACACAAAAGTTTTTAAAGACTCTATGCAGATATACAGTTTAACTTGAAATAATTATAAAAACACTTCATGTACCTGTTTTTACTTATAGCCATCTGATAAATTAATGTGTAAGAGATTGGCCCTTCCAGTTTTAGTCTGCAGGTAAACCTGTTTTACCTTTGAGGTGTTTAATAGAAGTATAGTAATAGCAGTGTACCACATGTAGTAGTCAAAGAACATGATCACTGATAACTGAAAACAGGCCTTGCCTGACTCATGTGTTTGCCCTGTGACCTTTAGGCAAGTTGTTTGCCTCACCAAGATTCCATGTTGTCATCAGTAAATGGGGTTTAAAATACCTTATATGTAACATTGTTGTTATGGTGAAAAAAATTTAGATGCACACTGAAGCGTTTAGGGATGAAAACACACGAGGTCTAGAAGTCACCTTAAAATATACCAACAAAAAAGGGTGAAGAGATAGGAGAAGTAAAGATGGACTAAGTTGATGGTAGTTAAACTGGGTGAAGGGTACATGGAGGTTTGTTTTACTCTGTGTGTATGAAAATCTTCATAATAAAAAGTTAAAACCGTTTTACAGGTGAAGGTCTCCAACATATAGTAATCACTAAAGACCATCTCCAATATTTATTAGAGGGCTTTTTAAAACATCTAATAATACAGCTATCAAGAGAAACTAATTTTAATGACCCTGATCCACTCTAAACCTTAAAGATCCAGAAAAACTTTTCCAGCCATGAAGAACTTACTGTTGGAGGTCCAGGCAAATCTACAGACCCTCTGAAGCCTATCGTGACAACTCCAGTCTCTATAAAAACCCTTATGAAGCTCTCTAGGTCCCTGCATGGTTCCATACTATTGGATATATTGCGCTGACTCGCTAGTTGTGAAACCAGTACATCTGAGAAGAATAAGGAAGCCAGGATTGTCATAAGCACCTGCTGATATGTTTGTGACACACATTTCTAGCTATTCTTGGCCACGCTTCTACCTGTTGTAGTATTTATAAGAAGTTGAGGTTAATGCTTCTGCCTCTAAAACATCCTGGGGAATATTTATTTTCAAGATTATTTGAGGTTAATGAGTAAGAAATGCTAAATATTTCTATTATCTAAAACCTGTGAACAGCTTAAGTCAATCTTGCCCAAAATTTGACTTCTAACTCCAAAGATTCCTTTTTAAATTAAAAGTAAACAGAAATTTTTTAAATCTAGATTGCATTAATTTGAAATGTTAGCTATTTTCTACTAGAACCTCATTTTATAAATTTGCCATTATTGCTAAAGACCCTGTTTTTATGTACCTAATTTTTGTATGTCGAATGTCAGAATCGAAGTCAATAACTTTAAATGGACTATCTCCATTTATCATAGTAAATATAGTCTGTTTATCATGAGCTACTGTTATATGTGGAGGGTCTTTCCATATTTCTTCTTCGGCCTTAATACCATCACTTAATATCAGGTCACCCACCTTTCATTAAAGTAAAAACTTCCTAATTTATAGCCTTCCTTCACTGATTGTTTAGGCACTTATGGATTTTAAAAACTAAAATTTCCTTAAATGTTCTTTAAAATTATTTCTGTATAGAAAATATGAAATGCCATGTTCTTCTCATTTTAACAAAATAAAGCTTTCATTCTCTAAATTAGCATTTGTTTTCCAGCATTGCCAATCCAGTCATTTCAACCATCTTCAAAACAATAGTAACCACTCTGACTATAATGAACTGTTCCAATTTGATATATTGTGGGAAATAGCTAAGATAATCATAAAATCCTCTGCATGGCTTTTATGTGTCAGCATTATTGTACTTAACATACTGACATATTGTAAAATTATTTGTTTGTGTGTATAGTTCCCTACTTTATTATATATTCCTTGATTTTTTCTTTCAAAAATTTTTTTAAATTATGAAATAGTTCCAGATTTTCTTCTTTCCACAGAACCTGGTGGACATTAACTGCTAAATAAATATTACTGAATTGAGGGTTGAAAACATCACTACATTCATGCCATGTTTCTATATGCAATAATATACAGCCATGGACTTAGTAGCTATAAAGTTTGTTTCCAACCATGTTGTTTTCTTTACAACATTTTTTGAGAATGTTTAAATTCTAGGAAATGCCAATACTGTACCATGTTTTTGTTCGTACATTCATGTAATATAAGTGGCACCTGGCACTTTGTCAGGCACTGTGAATGGTACAAAAGTAATAAAGAGCCCTTACCCTCAAGTTGTTTAAAGCCTGGACAGAAAGATAGGATATAAATGGTCAGCCCTAGGCAAAATGGAGAAGCAGCGATGTCTTCTTTGGCATCCCCAGAGCTATATCCTTTGCTCATGTTATTAAGATATGAACAGATAATCATGCTGTATAACTGCACTACTTGAGCAAAAACTTGAAGAACTGATCCTGCTTTATCAACCTGCTTCTACCATTTCTTTCCCAGTTATACCAATTGGTACTGCCTAAATGAGGCCTGGCCATGGCCACAAGGGGCAAAGTCACTGTCTTAGTTAGTTCAGGCTGCTATAACTAAATACCATAGACTGGGTGGCATAAACAACAGACATTTATTTTTCACAGTTCTGGAGGCTGGTAGTCCAAAATCAGAGTGCCTGTGTATTAATCCATTCTCACACTGCTATAATGAACTACCTGAGACTGGGTAATTTATGAAGAAAAGCGGTTTAATTGACTCACAGTTCCACAGGTTGTACAGGAGGCATGGTTGGGGAGGCCTTGGGAAACTTAGAATCATGGCAGAAGGCAAAGGGGAAGCAAGGCATGTCTTCACGTGGCCAACAGGAGAGAAAGAGAGAGAAAAGGGGGAAGTGCTACACACTTTCAAACAACCAGATCTCATGAGAACTCTATCAAGAGACAGCACTAGGGAGATGGTGCTAAACTGCTAGAAACCACCAGGCTGGGCGCAGTGGCTCACGCCTGTAATCCCAGCACTTTGGGAGGCTGAGGCAGGCAGATCACGAGGTCAGGAGTTTGAGACCAGCCTGACCAACATGGTGAAATGCTGTCTCTACTAAAAATACAAAAAATTATCCGGGTGTAGTGGCACGTGACTGTAATCCCAGCTACTCAGGAGGCTGAGACAGGAGGATCACTTGAACCTGGGAGGTAGAGGTTGCAGTGAGCCAAGATCGTGCCACTGCACTCCAGCCTGAGCAACAGAGCGAGACTCCATCTCAAAAAAAAGAAAAAAGAAAAAAAAGAAACCACCCCCGTGCCCACCAGCCACCCCCCAACACACACACACACTCGGGATCACAATTCAATGTGAGATTTGGATGGGGACACAGAGCCAAACCATATCCCCCAGCATAGTCAGATTCTGGTGAGGGCCCTTCTCCTGGTTCACAGATAGCTGTCTGCTCTTTGTATCCTCAGATGGCAGGGAGAAAGAAAGAGAGAGGAAACAAAATCTCTCATAGCTCTTCTTATAAGAGCACTCATCCCATTCATGAGAGCTTCACTCTCATGACTTAATTACCTCCCAAAGGCCCCATTTCATAATGCTGTCACTTTGGGGTTTAGGCTTGACATATGTATTTGTTGTGGGGGACACAAACATTCAGTCCTTAATAGTCACTAAATAAGTCCAAGCCCCACCCTCTAAAAAAACAAGAGGAGAAATTTGGCAACTGAGTGAATGAAGGAAAAAATATTTCGTGTCAAGAAATAGAAAGAAAGTAGTGGCAAATGCAAAAAAAAAAAAAAGTTGTTTGAAATTCCCTTATTAGTAATAAGTATTTGTTATAAGACAGACTTTTTACATTTTTAACAATAAGTGACAAATTCTGTATTTTCCTAGCAAAAATTAGAGATGGTAAAAAATCCAACATGAATGATTTGACACCTTTTCTTTTGTTTGTTTTCCCTAATAGGTAAAGAATGGATTTACGGCCGGGCGCGGTGGCTCACGCCTGTAATCCCAGCACTTTGGGAGGCCGAGGCGGGCGGATCACGAGGTCAGGAGATCGAGACCATCCTGGCTAACACGGTGAAACCCCGTCTCTACTAAAAATACAAAAAATTAGCCGGGCGAGGTGGCGGGCGCCTGTAGTCCCAGCTTCTCGGGAGGCTGAGGCAGGAGAATGGCGTGAACCCCAGGGGGCGGAGCCTGCAGTGAGCCGAGATTGCGCCACTGCACTCCAGCCTGGGCGACGGCGAGACTCCGTCTCAAAAAAAAAAAAAAAAAAAAAAAAAAGAATGGATTTACTTTTTTTTTCTCAGAATGAAGATGTACAAATGAAAGAAGCCTTATTTGCTGTACTTTAAAATGAATAACATTTTTAAATATGTTTGTCTCCCCACTTTTTAAAAGGAATTTAGAGCAAAGTCAAGAGAATGGGACAAGCAAGAGATATTATATCAGACTCATCTGATTTCTTTAGATGCTCAACAAAAATTATTATCTGAGAAGTGTAATCAGTTTCAGGTAAGTTATCTAATACTATTCTCTAAATCAAAAGCAGAAGTTAAATATTGGTATCTTTACCATTCACCAGTAATCTATTTACAAACAGACATGCCAACTAAGAAAAAACGAGAGTAGGTCCAAAGGTGGGTACAGTCACAAGTGCATAGAATATCTGTTAATGGTGAGTTTAGTCTACATGTCTCAAAGGATGGAGCTATTTAAAATTCCATTGTTATTGTGTCATTAAATAGCATATGTTTTTGCATGCCTACAGGCAAGGCACTCAAAGAATTTACGATTGCTTGCTTTACTTTGTATTTCCCTGGCTACTTGTAAGACTGAACATCTCCTCATATACTTTTTAGCCTATCTCAGGTCTTTCTGTGAATTGCCTATTCATAAACTTTGCCCATTTTTCTTTTGCATTGTTTGCCCTTTTCTTATTGATGTGTAGAAGTGTTTGTACACTAGGAATTATTAACTCTGTTACATGCATTGACAACTTTTCCCCTACAATCAAATTGTTTGTTTTTATTTATTTTTGGTTATAGACTTTTTTCAACCATTGTATAATTGAATTTTTTACACCTTCTAGATTTTTTTTCTTGCTTAGTATGGCTTTACTACCACTAACCTCCTTCTCTACTCTACATCTTTGCTCTGAGGTTATACAAATATATTTTCTCTATATGCCATCTGAAATTGAAATTTTAAAACAAATATAAGACTGAATTACAAAGACCCAACTTTCATTATGTAGTAACATATTTAAAGATATTCCTACTAATTCTTTTCTATCATTCTTGAACTTCATGTAAGCTTAAATATGACATTCTTCATTTGAGTTACACAGTTTTTATATTTTTCAGAAACAGGCACAAAGTTACCAAACTCAACTAAATGGTAAAAAACAGTGCTTAGAAGACAGCAGCTCTGAAATTCCTCGTTTGATATGTGACCCAGATCCCAATTGTGAAATCAATGAAAGAGATGAGTTCATTATTGAAAAACTGAAATCAGCTGTAAATGAGATAGCACTAAGCAGGAATAAATTACAAGATGAAAATCAGAAGCTCTTGCAAGAACTGAAAATGTACCAAAGACAGTGCCAGGTGAAGATTAATTTTTTTTCAACTAATATTGTCCATGACTTGTATAAATGGTAACACATATAGAGATTAGAATGATTAGAATGGTAGTTTTCTATTATTAATATATGTGAAGATTCCATTCATATTTCCTCTTAGTAATTCGCACTTGATGCGTAGATTCAATAATCCCATAAGTATGTTACCACACTTAGAGTGCACTTTGGTTCTGCGGTGGCATAATAATAATGTATTACCAGTGCAATATAATAGTGGTCACTTACGGACCTCTATGCCTTTAGCCATGTACTACCCTCTTCCCCCACTATTTTCTCTTACCCTGTGTTTCTTTGACTCAGAAGAATCCTGGGTTAAAGATACAGGAAATCGTGAAGGGTTCAACAATTTAGTAACCTCAGTGAGAGCTATGGAGATGACTCCAGTGATTTATCACTGGTAATCTTATCATAATCATTTATCAAACAGTAACCTAGAATTTATTTTTAGGTAACTTTCACATTGACAAATATGATTGATGGTTTAACAAGCATTAATTTTTTTTCTTAACTGAATAATGTTTTTTTCTTTTTTGTCTATTTCTTGCAACCTTTAGGAAGGTTATACAGCATTCATCAAAATTGGTCATTACCAATTTCTTTACAAAATATGTATTTCTTTTTTTTTTTTTTTGAGACGGAGTCTCGCTCTGTCGCCCAGGCTGGAGTGCAGTGGCGGGATCTCGGCTCACTGCAAGCTCCGCCTCCTGGGTTCACGCCATTCTCCTGCCTCAGCCTCCCAAGTAGCTGGGACTACAGGCGCCCGCCACTACGCCCGGCTAATTTTTTGTATTTTTAGTAGAGACGGGGTTTCACCGTTTTAGCCGGGATGGTCTCGATCTCCTGACCTCGTGATCCGCCCGCCTCGGCCTCCCAAAGTGCTGGGATTACAGGCGTGAGCCACCGCGCCCGGCCCAAAATATGTATTTCTTATTCATCAGTACTTGAGACGTTCTTTTATCTCCCATTTTAGGTTTTTTCTCCCACCTCCAAATATTCAGCCTGTTTCTATCACTTCCTCCATGACAGTTGGCCGATATCTTTTCCCCACTCTATTCCCTCGTCTACCTAGCATACATGATTGAGGTAAGGTCACTGCCTGAGAACTTCCATTTCATTTCCTTGAGATATACCACCCCAAGATCTTTTGCCACTTAAACTCCCAGGGTCATTTCTTAGTCCTCAGCCAACTCCTCATTCCCCCACCGTGCCACATCATATTTGGGATTATATAGGGAGTTAGTCCTTTAACTTCTTTCTCTGCCAGCATCTACTGTTCTATGTTCCTCTTTCCCCATGCTTGGTAAGGGACAGAATTCAAGGCTCCCAGTCTCTCCCATTCAGAGGCAATTGTAAGACATACATATTCCCCACTTCAAACTCCAGCTTTAAGGAGGGAGGTCTTATTCTAATACAAGTTAGAATACAGATGTAAACCAATAAAGAAAGCTAATCTACAAACACTAAATGCAGAGGAAGCCAGAAATAGTCTGGAAATAGCAAAGGTATTGATGGTGTTTTCTCTGGCTTCATTCTAATATAAATGAGGTTAGCACTCATTCATCTGCTCTAGAGGGTGCCTAGGGGCTTCTAAGTGCTTAGCATCAGCCCACCTCCGACTGTCTGAGCTGTGTTTGCATGACTGCGGGTCATGCAGTGATGGGGTCTTTCCTTCTCAGAGGCTGCTGCCTTTTGCTTCGCTAAGTATATGACAACTGGTCATGCTTTCTATTTAAAGGCAACCTATACTTACATTTTGCAGCTGTCTTTGTACTGCTGGAATCTGCATCAGAATCACATTCAGTAAATAAGAAAATTGTTGTTCTTGGTACTTCCCAAGTATTCTCCTCTAGGCTTGGGGTCATCCAGTGCCAACCAAAGCATTCTCTGCTTTGTCCCTTCTTCTTTTGGCAGGGGAACAGGTGGTGGTGGTTGGTTACATAAATAAGTTCTTTACTGGTGATTTCTGAGATTTTGATGCACCCATCACCTGAACAGTTTACACTGTACCCAATTTGTAGTATTTTATCCTTCACCACCCCCAACCCTTTCCCCTGAGTCCCCCAACATCATTCTTATGCCTTTGAAGCCTAATAGCTTAGCTCCTACTTATGAGTGAGAACGTAAGTAGGAGCAATAACAAAATGATGTTTCGTTTTCCATTCCTGAGTTACTTCACTTAGAATAATGGTCTTTAATTCCATCCAGGTTGCTGCAAATGCCATTATTTTGTTTCTTTCTATGGCTGTGTAGTATTCATATATATATACATATATATATACGTATATATATTTATATATGTATATATATACGTATATATATATATATATATATATATACGTATATATATGCCACATTTTCTTTATCCACTCATTGATTGATAGGCATTTGGGCTGGTTCTATATTTTTGCAATTGCAAATTGTGCTGCTATAAACATGCATGTGCAAGTATCTTTTTCATATAATGACTTCTTTTCCTCTGGGTAAATACCTAGTAGTTAGATTGCTGGATCAAATGGTAGATCTACCTTGAGTTCTTTAAGGAATCTCCACATTGTTTTCCTTAGTGGTTATACTAGTTTACATTCCCACCAGCAGGGTAAAAGTGTTACCTTTTCACCACAACCATACCAACATCTATTATTTTTTTGATTATGGCCAGTCTTGCAGGAGTAAGGTGGTATTGCATTGTGGTTTTGATTTGCATTTCCCTGATCATTAGTGACGTTGAGCATTTTTTCATGTGTTTGTTGGCCATTTGTATATCTTCTTTTGAGAATTGTCATTCATGTCCTTAGCCCACTTTTTGATGGGATTGTTTGTTTTTTTCTTCCTGATTTGTTTGATCTCCTTATCAATCCTGGATATTAGTCCTTTGTCAGATGCATAGTTTGTGAAGATTTTCTCCCACTCTGTGGGTTATGTGTTTACTGATTATTTATTTTGCTGTGTAGAAGCTCTTTAGTTTAATTAGGTCCCATCTATGTATCCTTGTTTTTGTTGCATTTGCTTTTGGGTTCTTGGTCATGAAGTCTTTGCCTATGCCAATGTCTAGAAGGGTTTTTCCAACGTTATCTTCTAGAATCTTTATGGTTTCAGGTCTTAGATTTAAGTCTTTGATCCATCTTTAGTTGATTTTTGTATAAAGTGAGAGATAAGGATCCAGCTTCATTCTTCTCCAATTATTCTTGCCAATTATTCCAACACCATTTGTTGAACAGGGTGTTCTTTCCAGACTTTATGTTTTTGTTTGCTTTGTCAAAGATCAGTTGGCTGTAAGTATTTGGGTTTATTTCTGGGTTCTCTATTGTGTTCCATTGGTTTCTGTGCCTATTTTTATACCAGTACCATGCTGTTTTGGTGACTATAGCATTATAGTATAGGGTATTTGGTAATTTGATGCCTCCAGATTTGTTCTTTTTGCTTAGTCATGCTTTAGCTATGCAGGCTCTTTTTTTGGTTCCATATGAATTCTAAGAATTTTTTTCTAATTCAGTGAAGAATTATGGTGGTATTTTGATGGGAATTTCATTGAATTTGAAGATTGATTTTGGGAGTATGGTCATTTTCACAATATTGATTCTACCCATCCATGAGCATGGGATGTGTTTCCATTTGTTTGTGTCATCTGTGATTTTTTTCAGCTGCGTTTTGTAGTTTTCCTTGTAGAGGTTTTTCACATCCTTGGGTAGGTATATTCCTAAGTATTTCTTTTTCTTTTCTTTTTTTTTTTTTTGCACTATTGTAAAAGAGGTTGAGTCTTTATTTGATTTTCAGCTTGGTCACTGTTGGTGTATAGCAGTGCCACTGATTTTTGTACATTGATTTTGTATCCTGAAACTTTACTGAATTCATTTGTCAGTTCTAGGAGCTTTTTGGATGAATCTTTAGAGTTTTCTAGGTATATGATCATGTCATCAGTCAACAGAGATAGTTTGACTTCTTTTTTACTGATTTGGATGCCCTTTATTTCTTTCTCTTGTCTGATTGCTCTGGCTAGGACTTTCAGTACTATGTTGAATAGAAGTGCTGAGAGTGGGCATCCTTGTCTTCTTCCAGTTCTCAGGGAGAATGCTTTCCCCATTCAATATAATGTTGGCTGTGGGTTTGTCGTAGATGGCTTTTATTACCTTAAGGTATGTCCTTTCCATGCCAATTTTGCTGAGGGTTTTAATCATAAAAGGATGCTGGATTTTGTCACATAATTTTTCTGTGTCTATTGAGATGATCATGTGATTTTTGTTTTTAATTCTGTTTATGAGGTGTATTGCATTTATTGACTTGCATATGTTAAACCATCCCTGCATCCCTCATTTGAAACCCACTTGATCATGGTGGATTATCTTTGTGATATGCTGTTGGATTCAGTTAGCTAGTATTTTGTCCAGGGTTTTTGCATCTATGTTCATCAGGGATATTGGTCTGTAGTTTTCTTTTTCTCTTATATCCTTTCCTGGTTTTGATATTAGGGTGATACTGGCTTCACAGAATGATTGAAGGTAGGATTCCCTCTTTCTCTATCTTTTAGAATAGTGTCAGTAAAATTGGTACCAATTCTTCTTTGAATGTTTGATAGAATTTAGCTGTGAATCTGTCTGGTCCTGGACTTTTTTGTTGGCAATTTTCATATTACTGTTTTGTTTTGTTTTGTTTTTTAAACAGTGTCTCACTCTGTTCCCCAGGCTGGAGTGCAGTGGTGCAGTTTCGGCTCACTGCAACCTCTGCCTCCCTGGTTCAAGCAATTCTTCTACCTCAGCCTCCTGAGAGCTGGGTTTACAGGTGCCTACCACCACACCCAGGTAATTTTTGTATTTTTTAGTGTATTTTTGTGTTGTTGGCCAGGCTGGTCTCGAACTCCTGAGCTCAAATGATCTGCCCGCCTTGGCCTGCCAAAGCGCTGGCATTACAGGCATGAGCCACTGCACCCGGCCTATATTACCATTTCAATCTCCCTGCTTGCTCTCGTTCTTTTCAGAGTTTCTGTTTCTTCTAGGAGTTTAATCTAGGAGGGTTTAATCTAGGAGGGTTTACTCTGGGAGGGTTGTATATTTCCGGGAATTTGTCATCTTTTCTAAGTTTTCTACTTTGTGCTTGTAAAGGTGTTCATAGTAGCCTTGAATGATCTTTTGTATTTCAGTAGTATCGGTTTGAATATCTCCTGTTTCATTTCTAATTGAGCTTATTTGGATCTTCTCTCTTCTTTTCTTGGTTAATCTTGCTAATGGTCTATTGATTTCATTCACCTTTTCAAAGAGCCATCTTTTTGTTTCATTATCTGTTGAATTTTTTTTGTTTCAATTTCATTTAGTTCTGCTCTGATCTTTGTTATTTATTTTCTTTTATTGGGTTTGAGTTTGGTTTGTTATTGTTTCTCTGGTGTCTTGAAGTGTGATCTTAGGTTTGCTATTTGAGTTCTTTCAGACTTTTTGATGTAGACATTCAATGCTATGAACTTTCCTCTTAGTACTGCTTTTGCTGTATCCCAGAGGTTTTGATAGGCTGTGTTACTATTATCGTTCAGTTCAAAGAATTTTTTAATTTCCATCTTGATTTCATTGTTGACCCAATGATCATTTGGGAGCAGGTTATTTAATTTCCATGTATTTGCATGGTTTTAAGAGTTCCTTTTGGAGTTGATTTCCAATTTTATCCCACTGTGGTCTGAGAGAGTACTTGCTATAATTTCAGTTTTCTTAAATATGTTGAGACTTGTTTTGTAGCCTATCTTATGTTCTTTCTTGTAGAATGTTCCATGTGCTGATGAATAGAATATATATTTGCAGTTGTTGCATAGACTGTAAATATCTGTTAGCTCCATTTGTTCTAGGGTATCATTTAAGTCCATTGTTTCTTGGTTGACTTTCTGTCTTGATGACCTGTCTAGTGCTGTCAGTGGAGTATTGAAGTCCCCCACTATTACTGTGTTGCTGTCTATCTCATTTCTTAGGTCTAGTGGTAATTGTTTTATAAATTTGGGAGCTCCAGTGTTAGGTGCATATATGTTTAGGATTGTGATATTTTCCTGTTGGACTAGTCCTTTTATCATTATATAATGTCCCTTTTTGCCTTTTTTAACTGTTGTTGCTTTAAAATCTGTTTTATCTGATGTAAGAGTAGCTGCTCCTGCTTGCTTTTGGTGTCCATTTGCATGGAATATCTTTGTCTGCCCCTTTACCTTAAGTTTGTGTGAGTCCTTATGTGTCAGGTGAGTCTCTTGAAGACAGCAGGTACTTGGTTGGTGAATTCTTATCCATTCTGCCACTCTGTATCTTTTAAGTGGAGCATTTAGGCCATTTACATTCAACGTTAGTATTTGGAAGTGAGGTACTATTATATTCATCATGCTAGTTGTTGCCTGAATACTTATTTTTTTCATTGCATTATGGTTTTATAGGTCCTGTGAGATGTATGCTTCAAGGAGGTTCTATATTGGTGTATGTTGAGGATTTCTTTCAAGATTTAGAGTGCCTTTTAATGTTGGCTTGGTAGTGGTGAATTCTCTCAGCATTTGTTTGTCTGGAAAAGACTGTATCTTTCCTTCATTTATGAAGCTTAGTTTCACTGGATACAAAATTCTTAGCTGATAATTGTTTCATTTAAGGAGCCTAAAGATAGGATCCCAATCCCTTTCAGCTTGTAGGATTTCTGCTGAGAAATCTGCTGTTAATCTGATAGGTTTTTTTTTTAATAGGTTACCTGATGCTTTTGCCTCACAGCTCTTAAGATTCTTTCCTTTATCTTGACTTTAGATCACCTGACGACTATGTGCCTAGGCAATGATCTTTTTGTGATGAATTTCCCAGGTGTTCTTTGAGCTTCTT
This sequence comes from Homo sapiens, assembly GCF_000001405.40. Lineage (NCBI taxonomy): Eukaryota > Metazoa > Chordata > Mammalia > Primates > Hominidae > Homo > Homo sapiens. The sequence continues at coordinate 93,378,134 of NC_000011.10, forward strand.
GTATTTGGATGTCTAGATCTCTAGCAAGGCCAGGGAAGTTTTCCTCAATTATTCCCTCAAATATGTTTTCCAAACATTTAGATTTCTCTTCTTCCTCAGGAACACCAATTATTCTCAGGTTTGGTTGCTTAACATGATCCCAAACTTCTTGGAGGCTTTGTTCATTTTTTTAAATTCTTTTTTGTCTTTGTCAGATTGGGTTAATTTGAAAGCCTTGTTTTCAAGCTCTGAAGTTCTTTCTTCTGCTTGTCCAGTTCTATTACTGAGACTTTCCAGTGTATTTTTGAATTTCTCTAAGTGTGTCCTTCATTTCCAGAAGTTGTGATTTTTTTAATTTATGCTATCTATTTCTCTTTTTTGATTTCTTAAAGTTGGTATTCACCTTTCTCTGGTGCCTCCTTTAGTAGGTTAATAATTGACCTTCTGAATTATTTTTCTGGCAATTCAGAGATTTCTCCTTGTTTTTGATCCATTGCTGGCGAGCTAGTGTGATCTTTCAGGGTTGCTGAAGAACCTTGTTTTGTCATATTACCAGAATTGTTTTTCTGGTTCCTTCTTATTTGGGTAGACTATGTCAGATGGAAGATCTGGGGCTCAAGGGCTGTTGTTCAGACTCTTTTGTCCCATGGGGTGCTCCCTTGATGTGGTGCTCTCCCACTTTCCCTAGGGATGGATTCTCTTGGCCCTCCTGGCATGTTCCTACAGTAGTTCTTGGAGCAAAAGTTCATGATGTGTCTCTCCAGACACTGCTATGTCTGTCCAAGTGGGAGCTGCAAGTTAGTCCTGCCTCCCATCTGCCATTTTTCCCTGCTTTTTCTCTTCTTTAAGTCTTTTTGGATTTGATCCATACAAATCAATGTTCTGCTCAGGCTCATTTTGCTCTGTTCTATTTAGTTTGCCTGAAACATATTTCACTAGTAGGCCCAGTTATCAAGTCTGGTTCTACCCTTCAGTGAAGTTCACCTTCTTCACTAACATCAGTTCCTTTTAATATCCCCAAAAATAATTCTATTGGGGCCATTTACAGGATCCAAGAGCGGCCCTTTTTCAGGCTGAGAGTCAGCTTTTGTTTTTGGCTCACTTGTGGGATAGAAGTGGCTACTTTTACACCTGTATTCTTTGGGGAAAAAAAGATCCTCTGTACCTCTTTCTTGGCAGTATGACTGACTTTCTCTATAATGCTTTCCTTGATCAACTCCACCTTTCTCCTCCTCAGAACTTTATTGTTTATATTTTTCCAGGAAGTAGAATGGAGAATCTTGTTAAAAGAAAAAATGCTGCAAACAGGGAAAGACTGTACATTGAGGAACATTATTATAACATTCCTAGCTAGGATCACCATCTCTACTCTCCCTCCAAATAAATGCCTTAAGCCTATGCTTCTCACACTTATCACAATGACACACTCCTGGTGGCAAGGAGAGGGAGAGTGCATGCAACTTGGGAGTCAATGTGTAGCAGGAAGTAAGAAGAATCAAACCAGCTGCTGGCCAAGGTTGCCCTGTCATTTACTGATATTATTTAATTAACTTACTCTTCTGACCCAAGTTCAACAGGATGTAACTTACCACACTTCTTCCTACTCCGCAAAGATTTCTACAGACTTCTAGGGGCTTACATGCACACCTGAGAAGGCTCTGTGGGTTGCCTGGGCTAAGGAAAGTCCATGTTACCTATTTTGATTTTTTCTTATGGTATTTATATATTAATGTACTTAATAATTTATTAATGTTCCTGAATATAACTAACAAAATTAAAATCCAGCTACTCATAGAAGTCAATATAATTGTGAAGTCTTTTTACTTATACTAAAGGTTGCAAAACAGCAGTACTCATTGCCTAATTTTTATGACTTTCATTTAAATTAGTGGCTCTATACTGCAGTGATTTTTCCTTCCACGTGATATTTGGCAATGCCTGGATACATGTTTGGTCACCACAACAAGGAAAGGAGTGTGACCAGCATCTAGTGGGTAGAGGCCAGAGATGCTGTTAAACACCCTACAGTGCACAAGACAACCCTACAACAGAGAATTGCCCAGTCCCAAATGTCAATAGTGCTAAAATTGATCAACCCTTTTGTAATTTTGAAGTGAGTCATTTTTCTCATATTCTTCACTAGTAATTCTCTAACTTCATTTTGTGATGTTTTCCGTAGCTAATAACAACTACCTGTGTGGCTTGCATTTGTGACTCACATATTTTTAGTGGATAGAACTTGATTGAGAAATTTCATCCTGCTCTGTTTTTTTGGGTTTTGTTTTGTTTTGTTTTGTTTTGTTTTTGAGACGGAGACTGGCTCTGTTGCCCAGGCTGGAGTGCAGTGGTGCAATCTCGGCTCACTGCAAGCTCCACCTCCCAGGTTCACGCCATTCTTCTGCCTCAGCCTCCCTAGTAGCTGGGACTACAGGTGCCGGCCACCATGCTCGGCTATTTTTTTTTTGTATTTTTAGTAGAGACGGGGTTTCACCAAGTTAGGCAGGATGATCTCAATCTCCTGACCTTGTGATCCACCCACCTTGGCCTCCCAAAGTGCTGGGATTACAGGAGTGAGCCACCGCGCCCGGCCAGCTAATAACAACTTTTAATGTGACTGATATTTATACTGATTTCTATGAGGAAGTTTACCAATATTATTTTTTTACAAGTATTTGTTCATTTAAAAAAAATTAGTTATCCTTGGATCTAGGACCATTATTAAATTTGAACTAAGAATCTGCATTTTATATTTTACAAAAGAATCACATGTATTAAAAATCAAATCAAATTATTCTGGACCATGTTTTATGAAAAACAAAATCTGTTGTAGAACTAATGAAAAGATTTTGAAAAGTAATTTGGTTCAAAAACTTTAAGATGTCTGAAAGATTTCTACTCTCAGGAAAACACTAAGTATTTTTCATCCATTTAGGTAAAAATCCTGAATATATTGCATTAATTTAGCTTTTCCTCTGTTTCACTTCCAAATTTTACTCACGTTTCATTCTTTAGGATAAATCTAAATGAAAATACATCAATTATTTATATTTGATAGTTGATTTGAAGGTTTAGAATCACTGCTCCTCTCAAACCATTAGGCAAACCTCTAACTAAACAGATGGGCTTTAAACATGTTTTACAAAATTTATATTTTACCAAATGGGAATAATTAGAGGTAACTGATACTATAACCAATATATGTATTTGGAAAGAAGTTTCTCTTCCCTTTTCACAAAACTGTCGTGACAGTGTTCCACATCATACACATAAATGCAAAAAGACAACAATTTACATCTGAATTACTGTCATTTCTTATATGTAAAATTCTCTTTGTTTATGGCACACTTTAATAGCAGATGCATCTCAATTTTCACATGAATCACATCTCATTTGTCTTTCCACAACCTTGAAATGTGTCAGTATGCTTATTAATTTCATTGCATATATTTATTCATTATGCTACACTCTACATGTTTTTTAAATGTGCAATATTTTTCCTGGGAAGTTAATGACAAAAATAGATTGCTCTGCATTTTTCTAATATCTATGACAGAAAAGCTAACCTTTTTTTGTTTGCTTGTTAATGTGTCATTAAGGTGCTAGAGCAACATTGTCCAGTAGTAATATAATGTAAGCCACAAATATAATTTAAATTTTCCTACTAGCCGAATTAAAAGAAGTCAAGAAAAATGAGTGAAACTAACATATCATAACAATATATTTTATTCAACCCACTATATATCCAAAATATTATCATTCTAAAATGTAATCAACATATAAAAAGTTACTGAGGTTTTTACTTTTTTTCATACTAAGTCTTCAAAATCTGGTGTGTATTTTATGCTTCCAACATATCTCATATTACATGCTAAGTATTCATCTGAAGTACCTGATCTGTGTTTAGATCCCATACAATTTTACAGTTAAAAAAGTTGATTTACATACTTAAGTTGTTCCAAACAAACTTGAAAATGTTCCAGTAACTGAGTCAAGTACCAAAGAATCATTTTCCTCAATATTTGCACCCACATTCACAAATAATTGATTTGACTTTCATGCAGAAGCATACTAATTTTAAAACTACATCTCAGTTAAATCAATTCACTAATTCTTGTGTTAATTTAGTATTAATCTTGAATTCAAGGTCAAAAAACAATTTTAGATTTATCAATATCAAGAAAGCCTTCAAATTTTTCTTGTACTTTTGCAGCCAATTTACATGCTGTCATTTGTAAGTAAAATACTTTGCATATTCATTCACATGTCAAATCATTATTACTCATTTGTATTATGAAAAGTTTGAATTTTAACATATATGCTTGTACCTGTGTAGTTAGGTCATGAATAAGCTTTTTTCCTGTCAATGGTGTCTCCAAATTTCACTCTTACAGATATTATTTTCTAATAACAGTAAACAAATATATTCTATTATTACCATATTTTACAGAGTTTCAGCTAACCCTAGCCTGTGGCAACACTATATTTTATAGGCCTAAGGTTAGAGCTTTTTGTGGACTCCCCTTCCCCAAGTGAAAGCAGATGCACTTTTCTACATGCAACTTCATATTTGATTGCTCCCTAGTGGCAAATTTGCAAACCAGGGAGCCCACATAGTGCCTTCTTCAACTGGGCAAAGTTATGGGAGACATTCACATTAAGTCAATTTGTATTTCTGATTGGTAATCTATTGTTTTGCATTTCTTTTATTATTGAAATGTTTAATCTTGCCTGAAAAATCTCCACTGTTCAAAACGGAGGCTTTATCCAAACAAGTCTTTATCCAAACAAGTCTATTAAGTCACCAATTTGAATCTTTTTATATTTATTTCCAAGGTGGCTGGGAAGTTCTGGGGCTAAAGTAATGCTACTATGCCCCTCACTGAACACAGGCCTCCTGGAAAACAGCATATATTTAAGGCTTGGTAAAAATAAATTATCTGGGAACTCATTATATCCTATATATTCTATACAATTATTCTTCTAGGCTTTGTGAACTTCTGTATAAGAATTAATAAATAAGAAAGCATATGTCCACATAAGAGCTTATACATTAATTTTCATAACAGCATTATTCATAATAATCAAAAAGTAGAAACAACCCAAATGTCCATCAACTGATGAATAGATAAACAAAATGTGGTATATCCACATAGTGGAACATTATTCAGCCATAAACAGGAATCAACCACTGATACATGCTACAACATGGATGAACCTTGAAAGCATTATGCTACATTAAAGAGGGCAGTCACAAAAGGCCACATAGTGTATGACACCATTTGTATGAAACATCTAGAATAGGCAATTCCATAGAGATAGAACATAGATTAGTGGTTGCTAGGAGCTGGAGGAAGGGGAAAATGGGGAGTGACTGTTAATGAGTATCAGGTTTCCTTTGGGGATGATGAAAATGCTCTGGAATAAAGTAGTGGTGATGTTCAACTTTGTGACTAAATTGAAAACTGCTGGATTGTACACTTTAAATGGGCGAATTTATGGTATGTGGATTATATTTCAATGAATATTATTAATAATTCAATAATATTGATTATATTTCAATGAATATTCAGTATATCTATATATTAAGAATTATTGAACAAACAATTTTTTAAAATATAGTGTTTTCTATAGCCTTTACTAGCAGAGAAGACCCTTGCCCTTAGAACCTCCCATCCTGTCTTTACCAATACACTAGAGGTCTATTTAACTTTGAGTGGAAGGGATTATTTTTTCATCCTGAATGTTCTAATTGGACTAGGAGTCAAAAGATCTGGATTTTCCTCTTCCAAAATCTGGTAGTTATGAGTTGTGTAACTTTGGATCAAGTCTGGCATTCAATTTCCTCATCTGTAAAAATGGCAATGGATTTGATGACATAAGTCAGGCATTTTTTAAAGACATTAATTTCCTTGTATAATTGTGTGGAAGGGACCTGATGATATTAAAAGACTCTTCCATTGCTGTCTCCTAGAGAACAGCCAAGTACTGCTGCAGAAAATCACCCAACAGGCCATGGTCCCCAACCTCAAATGAGCACTCAACACTGCCCAGCAATCCGGCTTTTTTTCTCCAAGTAGCTAATTCTTTCATTGCCATTGTAAGCCATTTAAACTCTTCACCACTCTCAAAAATCACTCCTATACCCTGCACTTCTCCTTCTACTGTTAGAACATGATGTTACTTTTTACTTCACAGAGAAAATAGAAGCCAAGAGATAGCCAGTCTCTTAATATCCCCTTAGCTAAATGCATAAACTTGTCTGCATTCCATCTTCCTTCCTTCCTGTTACAGAGAGGAGGGCCTTACTTTTGCTTTAGGCAATTCTCCCAATGTGCTTTGAGGGTCATCCTATCCACCTTCTTAGGAACTTGACACCACTCCTTTTACCTCTACTCTCTTCTAATGGGTCCTTGCCAACAACTGCTAACCTAGTTCCAGCTTCTTTTATTAACAAAATAAAACATTGAACCCAGAGGATTGCTGGTATTTCCAGTTACTGACTAAAGAATAGCTGCCATTGGGCAAGGGTTGAATCACAGTTTATAATTCATTTTGTTGGCCAGCTTTGCCATTAGCTTATTCTTGATTATTATCTTTTTACAATTTGAAAGTATTTGTATTAATTAAAATTTCATGCATTGTACTTTCTTCATACTTTTATGTTTCATTCTTTCATATTCACACTCAGTGTCATATTTGTGTGATGATTTGATTATTCTTTGTCTTTGCCACTAGATTGTAAGTTCACTGAGAACAGGTTCTGTGTCTGTATCCCCAGAGCACCTAATAAAAACTCAGTAAATATTTGTTAGAAAAAATGAATGAAGGAGGCCAGGCGCAGTGGCTCACGCCTGTAATCCCAGCACTTTGGGAGGCCAAGGTGGGAGAATCACAAGGTTAGGAGTTTGAGACCAGCCTGATCAACATGGTGAAACCCCATCTCTACTAAAAATATAAAAATTAGCTGGGCATGGTGGCACGAGCCTTTAAACCCAGCTACTCAGGAGGTTAAGGCAGGAGAATTGGTTGAACCCGGGAGGCAGTCGCAATGAGCCAAGATCGTGCCACTGCACTCCAGCCTGGGCAACAGAGTGAGACTCCATCTCAGAAAAAAAGAAAAGAAAACAAAAATGAAGGAATGGAATTCTATGAGACAGAACAAGCAAAGGACTAAATATCAGTTTGTTTAAAATTAGGCTGGTTTATAGATGTTAAATATTTTTAAATGCATTGTACGTTATGATAACCAACAATGAGCATGAAATTTTTTGATGTTTTTATTCAGGCCATGGAAGCAGGTCTCTCAGAGGTAAAAAGTGAGTTACAGTCACGTGATGATCTCTTGAGAATTATAGAAATGGAACGATTGCAATTACACAGAGAATTATTAAAAATAGGAGAGTGCCAAAATGCTCAAGGAAATAAAACAAGGTATAATCTTTATATTTGACAATCTGAGAGAACTGTTCAAAACATGATGTTTGAATGTTTTTAAGAGTTTTATATTTGAAATGAGAATATAAAGTCTATTTTGTATTAACATGTTAATTAGTGGGTAATATTAAATATTAAAAATAAAATTTATGGTTATTTCATTTTCAAAATTAACATCTTCACTTACCTAGAAAATTATATCATGTCCTGATTTATGGATATTTCTGTCACACTGAGTCAGACCTGGTGGCTCCTAGCACTTTGGAAGGCCGAGGTGGGAGGACAATTTGAGCCCAGGATTTCAAGACAAGCCTTAGGCAACATAGTGAGACCCTGACTCTTCAAAAAAATTTTTTATTACCTGGGCATGGGGGCACACACCTGTAGTCCCATCTACTTGGGAGGCTGAGCTGGGAGGGTCGCTTGAGCCTGGAAGGTCAAGGTTGCAGTGAGCTGTGATCGTGCCACTGTACACCAGCCTGGGCAACAGAGATCCTGTTTCAAAAAAAAAAAAGATATTATACAAAAATAGTATAGAACTGGTATTCAATTATGTATACTCAGAGAAATAAGATTTATTCTATATTTTTAAATGCCTTTGTTTTGATTGCCTATACCTGATGTCAACATTTTCACTTGTACATATTGTATTTATTTTGGCCACCAAACTCGCCATCTTGTCTGTTCCATTGAGGGTTCTTCTTAAAACAGATTTTTTTTTCTCTTTTAAAATCAGACAGATATTGTATATTCCATAAACACAAAGGAAATCAGACAGATATTGTATATTCCATAAACACAAACAAAATGGGACTGCTGAGGATTGTTAAATGTTTGTGTGTGTGAATAGACAGTTTGACTGCTTTAATAGTTCATTGATGCTCTTATTCTCATAGAACTTGAATCTTTCTCAAAATCAGAAAGCTAATGCCAGATCAATGATAGGATTTTAAAAATTGAATAGCCAAATAGGGATGCTTTATTGAAAGATTGTTATATTGTTTTAAAGGCAATAATTATTTCTTCAAAGTTGTGAGACCTTCAAAGTTGTGAGACCTGCTAGCATTTCTTTGAGGTCTATGCTTAATAACAAATGGCAACTTAAGATCCCTAAAATGACCTATTTGTGTGTCTCACCAAGGATGGTGACAGAATGCCTATTAGCCAATCTGCATTATCGAATGCTCTGTATACAAGATGTATACTATCATCACTGATTACTAATCAATCTGATATTTATTACATGTAGTGCTGTTCCAGTATGGTGAGTAATGTCTTCACATGAAGAAAATATATTCCTAAAAACATAAGACATTTCACAGAAGAGCACACCAATCAACCCATGTCTAGCTCTGGCTTTGTGAAGAGCATTGTAGGTACTTTTTATGGTGCTCTTAAGACCCATGCTGAATTCCAAACAGTGCCAACAGCCCTTCAATACACTATTTGATCTAAAATCTTGCACTTATTTATATATTTGGCCAGTAAAAACTTTTTTGTTCTGCCTGTTTACCATCCTCTATTTAACTTGGCATTTATTTTGGTCTCCAGACTACAGCTTTCTTATCCTAGAATTCAGTTCTAGAATTCTGAGATTTGATGAAAAGGTATAAGTTTAACTTTTCACAACTTCCATTGTATTTTAGAATTCTTAGCCTTCATCTTTTCCACTAAAAGAGTCTAATTTTTTTAGTTTGTTCTCATATGAATGCTGTTCTATCAGCTTTATTGTTTTGGTTTATTTTATTTAGACTGTTGCTTCTTTGTAGTTGTATCAAAGTGAAATACCCCAGACTACTGATAATAGATGCATAGTAGTTTTATAAAAGTAGCATGGTAATGTTCTTATTCATTTTCAGAAACTTTCTCAATAATGCTAAGCTTTTGTTAGCTTTTTCTATTTTTTTTTAGTTGTAGAAGCACCCTGGGTTGATATGTTCTGAGAGTTATTAAACTAATTTCATACTCTTGTTCTACATGACAAATAATAGTTCCCTTATACATGTACATTAGCATTTTATATTATCATGATTACGGTTTTCTTCTATTCACTTGTCCACATTGGAGTTTGACATTTGTTTCATTCACTCACTGAATTTTGCAAGACCACCATGAGGATTTTAGCATTCAATTCAGCATTCTACTTCCTGAAATTGCTTAGGAAGAATTAAAAAATATGGAAATTTTTCACTCATTTCAAATTATAGGAAATAATGAAAACTTAAGACTGATCCTGAAATAATATTTTAGGAGAATATTGGATAAAATGGAAAATGCTCACAATATATTACTAAGTAGGAAACAAAAGGACACTGAAAAATAATGTGTATAGTATGTTCTAATTATATGGGAAGTGTATATTTCTTTGCACACATATATGCATAGGGAAAAATATATTTACCGCACATAAAAATGCTAATGATGGTTTTTCCTGAATGTTAACATTACAGCAGTATATTATACTCTGATATACTTTGTTATCCACAGTTAACATATATATTTGATAATCACAAAAAAAGCAATCTAGTCTAGATACATGTAACTCAGGGATATCACTACCAACTTAATACCTTTTATAACAGATCCTCTATTTTCAATCTTTAAATTAGCAATTTCTTTATCATTACTCATATTTGGGTTTTTTATTTGTGTGGTTGAAATTTCTGAAGGTGTGAAATCTTCTCAAAAGTTATCTGGAAACCTAAAATTGTACTCACAAGTGGATATGTTCCTCAAAACAACAGACTCCTCCAGAATAGTCAAGCCTGACTTCCAGTAGAAAGCATGCTGCTTCCCCTACCTGGTTATCTTTATTTTTGTGTTTTTGTGATTTTTATTTCACTGGTTTGTCTCATATGAAAGTGAACATTATCTGCTTAGACATCTTCAAACCTCCTGTGGGTATTATACTCTTTATACTAGTTTCTGCTTTTCTCCTCTAATATTAATATGTGGTTGCAATTCCACTTTATAAATTAAGCAGCCAAAGAATAGATGTATTTGAGTACTCTCTGGTTAGACTGTCAGAGTTAATGATGTTTTATCTCTTTTATAGAACAGTTGCTCCCCTTAGACTTCTCATGACATAGTTCCTTTCCACAATACATTAGCAAGTTGGGTGTGTTTCCTTTTTTTAAATGGGTTACCAAGCTATTTTATTATAGCATACAGTCTTTTCTTTTTTCCCAAAATCTTATCTACATATGCAATCCCAGTATTCTGCCAATTTTTAATGTATAATTGAAATTCCTTATTAATTGCTTCCTTTCTTCCATTGAAACCATTTGCACTTAAAGATGTAAATACTTATGGGATCTGAATGTATTAGAACTTGCAATTTCTGTAACTAAAAATGTTTCCAACAAAGTAATGATCTATCTCCGCAGCCTGTAATGGTCTAAATTAACAATATAATCGTTACAATTTATCAAGTTAAGCTTAATTTTAATCATTATTTTATGTTTAATTTGTAGACTTGAATCATCTTATTTGCCTTCTATTAAAGAACCAGAAAGGAAAATAAAAGAGCTGTTTTCAGTGATGCAAGATCAACCAAATCATGAAAAAGAATTGAACAAGGTATGAAAAATAATGAGCTCCATTCTTCCAGGTAGATGTGAACTCTTTACATACAAAGGGAGTTAAAAAAAAATCTTTCTTCTCACTCCCTTTGTTTTCCTTCTGTATTTTTTTGTAAGGTGATAATCTACCAAGCTGCTAATTCCGACATTTTTCTGTGTGAGACTACAAAAAACACAAACCTTAAGTTATCACTGTGCTACTGGGAGACTGCCCACGACACGTGGAGGGTGGAGGGCTGGAGGCTCCATGATAGGTGGCTTATAGCAAGAAAGTTGAGAGCACAGACTCTGGTGCTCAACCACACACGTAAGCTTGGAGAAGTTTCCTGTGCAAGATACTGAGGAGCCTCATTTCTAAGGTGGAAATAATTGGTACCTACCTCATAAGTTTGTGATGAGGATTAAATGAGTTAGCTGCTAACTAGCAGTTAACATGTGCCAGGAACTGTTCTAAGGACTTAAGAAATCCTACTTCATTTATTCCTCACAAACATCTAATGAAATAGGTCTTAATATTACCCTCCTTTTACATTTGAGGAAACTAAGGCACCAAGAAAAAGTAACTTTCTTCAACATTACACAGCTATTAAGTGGCAGAGGCCATGTTTCAATCTAGGCAATCTGGCTCCAGTATCCATACTCTTACCCTAAGGTAAAATCTATGAGATAATGCACTTAAAGTGCTTAAAATAGGATCTAGCTCAGAGGAAGTATCTAGTAAATATTGGCTCAGTAGTTATTTATTGCACCCACATTTTTTCACTGAGCACCTAACATGTGCCAGGAACTCTGCTGGAGCTAGAAATACAAGGATGAGTAAGTCCTGGGCACTGTCCTTAAAGAGCTTGTGGTTCTTTACTCTCCTACAAAGAGTATGATTCTCTCCTCCCTCTAGTACAATCCAGTAATGGCCTTCTTTCTGTGAATTTATCATAGCTATTCTCCACCTCTCTGGTCTTTAGGTTTGAGGATCAGGCAGAATATTTAATGCTATAAAATCTAAACAATTAAAAGTTAAATAAACCTGGGTGTGGCTTTGAATTATCAATTAGTGCACTGCATAGTGCTTGACACACAGTAAATTAAATACTTAGAGAATGAGTTAATATTAAGGCTAAATTTTCCCATAAATATATAGGGTCATAAATTCAGTTGTTTGTACAAATTTAACAAACATTTGTTGAGTATCTAGGAGAACTATAGCTATTCTGCTAATTTCTATAGGAAACACAATAATATGAAAGACAGGTACTGTCTGCCAAAGAGTTGACTGTCAGAGAACTAACAGAGGTTAAGTAGAGAAAAGGTGTTATGAATCAGTGATCATTTTTCATATATTTTGAACACTTTAATGCCATATAATCCCACAAAATTTATTTTGCTGACTTAAAAATATAACTTTGAAAAACTCTTTTTTACTGGTGTCCCCAGTGAATGATAAAAGATTGGTTAAAGCCACCTAAAGTATAGTTACATGATTCTTAACCTCATAGATTTAGATAAAGTAATAAAACTTTGAGTAATATAAAGAATCTACTGACTTTGCACAGTTTTGACATGGTGGGAGAGAGTATGAGGCACAGAATTCTTTATAGACCCTTGGAGGCCACTAAATACCAGAATGCTGTGCAAAAAAAAGGTAACAAATGAATTTTATATAAATAGCTTCCAAGTGGCCGGGCATGGTGGCTCACACCTGTAATTCCAGCACTTTGGGAGGCTGAGGCAGGCAGATCACCAGGTCAGGAGTTTGAGACCAGCCTGACCAACATGGTGAAACCCCGTCTCTACTAAAAATACAAAAATTAGCTGGGCGCGGTGGCAGGCGCCTGTAATCCCAGCTACTCAGGAGGCTGAGGCAGGAGAATTGCTTGAACTCGGGAGGCGGAGGTTGCAGTGAGCCGAGATTGCGCCATGGCACTCCAGCCTGGGCGACAGAGCAAGACTCTGTCTCAGGAAAAAAAAAAAAAAAGCTTCCAAGTGTTTCTGAAGAGCATTTTAATTCTTTTGTAATAAAACTAACAAGAGCTATGTATTATGAATCTTGCAAGTATTTTATTTCTTTTCCTTTTTTCCAGTCTAGAACTGTTTTAGCCATTTATTTTGTGATAACATTCACATTTTCAATAAACCAAAAGTCATTTGGAGTTCAGGTAAATTAGTTTCTTCTTTCATTAAGAAAGAAGTTTTGCAGTATAGTATGTTGTGTTAACATCTAAATATTGTGAAAATAATAAAAATAGTTTACTCCTTTTTCACAGTAGTATATTCATTTTTTTATATTTTAAAAGTTCCATTTTGGCCAGGTGCCGTGGCTCACGCCTGTAATCCCAGCACTTTGGGAGGCCAAGGTGGGCGGATCACGAGGTCAGGAGTTTGAGACCATCCTGGCCAATATGGTGAAACCCTGTCTCTACTAAAAATACAAAAATTAGCCAGGCATGGTGGTGCTCACCTGTAGTCCCAGCTACTCGGGAGGCTGAGGCAGGAGAATCACTTGAACCCGGGAGGTGGAGGTTGCAGTGAACCAAGATTGTGCCACTGCACTCCAGCCTGGGTGACAAAGCAAGACTCCATCTCAAAAAAAAAAAAAAAAAAAAAGTTCCATTTTAAGTGGAACAGGTTAAACTATGCCAAAGGGATGCGATCAGCAAAATCCATACTGGGACAAACTATAGACTGACCGTGTTATTTCATCAAATAAATTGGAAGGTAAAAACTTGGAGACAGAAGAGATTTAAAGGAGATTTGTAATATTGTCCTCCGGGTTAGGATACTTGTGCTCGTGTCTCTTAGTTTCCGCCTTGTTCTCGTTCCTGTGACTCTTTTTTAAAAAAATCTGTTAAATGATGAGGTTCGATCATGTGATTTCTAAGGTCATATCCAACTCTGAAACTCTGAATATGCTGGTAATATGAATAGAATCAGATGAAGGAAGGGTTGGTGGCATAAAGCCTGATGGTGATCACATTTGCCTCTGGACATGTGTACTTTCCATGTTAGGTCACCCCACTCTAAGTGCCATCCCCTAAAACACAGCTTTTTCTGATCTCACTCTAGGTGTCATCCCCTAAAACCCAGATTTTTCCAATCTCTCTGTAGGTGTCAACCCCTAAAACTCAGGTTTTTCCAAATGTGAACCACCTTCCACACCTTCCAGGACCCTTCCCACAGAGGTTGCAGAGCACAATAGTTCACAGGTCCTGGAATTAGACTGCCTTTCACAAGAAATGTGATGTGAAAAGTTATGCACCTTAATTTTCTAATCTGCTAAATACAGTAGTCTGCAAAATAGAGAGACATTGTGGGGATTAAATGAGATGATGCATGTAAACTACTTAGAACACACAAAAAGAGAGGCTTTAAAAAGATATATGAGCCAGTCACAATGAATGGATCATGTTTAGATACTAATTCAATTAAACTTAAACAACATTTATTATATTTTTGAGACAAGCTTAAATTTGAATACTGCCTAGATACTTGATGATATTAAGGAATTCTTAATCTTTACAGACATTGTAATAACATTCTGGCTACATTTAAAAAAAAGAGAGAGCCTTGTTCTTTTAAAGATATATACTGAAATGTTTAAAGGTGAAATGAAAAAAAAAATCCATTTTAAAAAAGTGCCCTGGAGAAAATTCATGTTTCTTTTGTGGCTAGCCTCTACTTAACTCTCCAGCCTTATTTCTCAGAGCAGCTAACTCCTAGCTACCCTAAACTCCTTTTAGTTCACTGAGTGTGCCATGCTTTCACTCACTGAGCTCTTTGCCTGGGATCCCTCCTCCTTCTCCTCCCTCCTCTTCCTCCTCCTCCTCCCTCCTCTTCCTCCTCCTCTTCCTCCTCCTCCGAGCCCTCCTCCTCCTCCTTCTTTCTCCTCCTCCTCCTCTGAGCCCTCCTCCTCCTCCTTCTACTTCTTTCTCCTCCTCCTCCTCCTTCTTCTTCTCTTCCTCCTTCTTTTTTTTTTTTTTTTTTGAGACAGGATCCTGCTGTGTCATTCAGGCTGGAATACAGTGGTGCAATCAGGGCCTACTGCAGCCTAGACCTCCTAGGCTTAAGGGATCCTCCCACCCCAGTGCCCCTTCCACCCGACTAACTGAGACTGAATGCACATGCCACCACACCCGGCTAATGTTTTTACTTTTCATAGAGCATCTATATGTTCTATTTTTTTCTATGCCTTTTTATTTTTTTTATTTTTATTTTTTGAGACAGGGTTTTGAGACAGGGTCTTGCTCTGTCACCCAGGCTGGAGTGCAGTGGCATGATCTCAGCCCACTATACTGCAACCTCTGCCCCCTGGGTTCCAGGCATCCTTCCCACCTCAGCTTCCCACACAAGCCACCACGCCCGGCTAGAGCATCTCTAATTGGCATTCATTCATCCTTCAGTTTTGGGTCTGATGACCCTTCCTCTGGGAATCCTATCCTGTCATCCCTAGGCTGGGTTAAACACACTGCCACTACATACTGCTGACACTAATTGCTACACTGTGTTGTAATCGTCTATTTTTCTGTTTCCCCAATGGACTATGATTTTTTTTTAGACGGATGATTATGTACTTTAAGTCTCAAGAATTAGAAACAGTAATGGTTTCTAGAAAGATGCTAAGAGGCTAGACAAAGACAGCAGTTGTAGGAATGGAGACAGAGGCAAGACTTAAAAGAGGTTGAAATAGAATGGACAGAATTCATTGCCTGACCAGGTTTGGGAGGACAAGGGTGGAGAGGAGTCAGAGACAATCCAGAGGTTTGTAACATGGAAGCTTAGCCAAGATTCAGAAAATAAGAGGCTTAAGTAAGGGAAGTGATGAGTTTTCATGAAGACATTGTTTGAAGTTTACTGTAATGTGATTCTGAGAAACAAATGTTTAGTTACAAACAGTACAGCCTATTTTAGTTTTAAAAAAGCACTGAATTTAAAGCCAAGAGTCCTAGATTCCAGTCCTAGCTTTGCCGATTATTAGCTTTATGACTTTGAGCAAATCATGTAACCATTTTAAAGCCAATTTTTTTCTCCATGAAAATGCTTGATAATACTTTCTTTACCTTCCTCTCAAAGTGGTTATCAAAGTAGTATCAGTCATAGGTGATGATTTGCATACAACAGAAAATAGAAGTGAGAAATGAAATGTTGGAATTGGAAGGAAAAAAGGTAATGAGTCATTATTATATGTATCTGTTTTTAATTTAGCATTGATCAGAAAAGGAGGGTGAAGTGGGCCCTGACAAAGTTTCAGAATAGAAGGACTGAACATGGCCAGTAAAATTTTAAGCTACTCTATAAATAAAAGGATTCAATAATATTTCCAGTCTCTATCTGCTGCAGATAAGAAGCCAACTCCAACAGGTGGAAGAGTACCATAACTCTGAGCAGGAAAGAATGAGGAATGAAATCTCTGACCTAACAGAAGAGCTTCATCAGAAGGAGATCACTATAGCAACTGTCACAAAGAAAGCTGCCCTTCTGGAAAAACAGTTAAAAATGGAATTAGAAATAAAAGAAAAAATGTTAGCAAAACAAAAGGTATGCAAGCAGGCAGAATAGCACTTGTCTAGGGCACATTCTTGCTCAGTGCCAATAGTAGCCTTCATTATTGACTAATGAAAACATTACATTTCTTGGTATTATTTCTGAGACTAGCTTCACAGAAATGCTTTGTGGTGTTACATAAAACCTTTCAGAGATAACACAAAGTGTCACCAACAAAAAGGACTAGGGAAATGACAGTGCAAGACAATTTCATTAAATCTCATCTTTCCATTTTCTTGTAACCTATATTCTGATCACCTCCCACAGTACACTCTAATCAAATATTTCTTCCTGAGTATGTTTTTCTGTATTTCTCTTCCATTAACATTTTTATCTTTAAAAAAAAGTCTCTATTCCAGCTCTTCTTCAACACTTCCTACCCCTCCCCCACACTTCATGTATTTCTTTCAGGCTTTTTACAAATGGATGTTGAAACATGAAAATTAGTTCATATTTACTGAACATGCAGTCAATGCACAGCATGGTACGTGAGGAAAAACAGCAATTGTAACATTCTTCTGTTAAAATACTACAAGTAACTTCTACATCCTTCCTTTCCTTCCTGCCTATTTATTTTTTAAATTCCCTCCATCCCTTACTCATGATCAAATGGATGGCCTACTATTGAGAGCACAGGGTTTATCTGCTTTTTTACCCCAAATCTAAAGGTTTTGAGAGCATCATTTAATAATTTTCTAGGCATATGAGGGTCACTTCACAAATAACATGACTAAAATCGTGAATTATGAAAACAGAAAAGATTTAGCCTTTGCCCAGTTGTAAGCCTTAAACCGTGATTTATTGTTGCAGTACACAGGAAAACAGCACAGATGGGATAATCTCTTTGGTTGTACCTGTATAGGCAGGGATATTTTACAGGTGTTAACAGTGATCTGGCTAGTTGGATTATGAATAATTTTTATTTTCACCTTTATATTTTTGTACGTTTTCTAGGTTTTGTCAATGAGCATAAATTGGTAATTTACAAAATTAAATCTTTTTAAGGCACGTGTTTTATACAGAAATGAGTCCTAGAGAAGTAAAAGGACAGATACCATATCCAAGTCCTGTCAAGTAGAATAAATCAGGGAAAGATAAAATAAATTGAGAGACAAAATGAAGTAGTCACTAAAAAAGATGGAATTTTGGCAGAAATATCAGAACAAAATTAAACATGAAAGTTATGTATTGCCTATTGTAAAAATTAATCAGGTGTTGAATAAATTTAATGGACAGTTACTCAAACATGCTTTTAACATGTGCTTTTTCTGGTGACAATTTGCATACAATAGAAAATAGAAACCAGAAATGGAATTTTGGGATTGTAGGACAAAACTAAATGAATCATTATTGAAAGTATATGCTTGTAGTTTAGCATTGATCAGAAAAAGACGTAAAGTGGTGCCTGCCAAAGACAGGAGAACTAAATAAGAATACCTGAATGTTATTGGTCGTACCGAAGAAGTGTTTCCCTTCATTACACTTAGAAAATATTTGTATTCACAAGACAAAATTTTAATAGAATTATGAGTTTTTATTATGAATTTTACATTTGCCTTTTATCTGCTAATTTCAGGTCTCAGATATGAAATATAAAGCTGTCAGAACTGAAAACACACATCTAAAAGGAATGATGGGAGATTTAGACCCCGGAGAATACATGGTAATATGCTGACATCATTCAATAAATTGAACAAAGAGATTACTGAATTGGTCACGATTAACCTAGACATCATTTATTGAGCACTTGCTGTGTGTTAGACATGAAGGAGTTGGGTGGTAAATTATCTTGTGCTTCAGTTGAGGTTACTTTTATCCTCAGGCTAGAACATTGGAATGTCTGGTTTTCTCCCTTGTTCTTTGGTTGGATTGGGCTCAATTCTGATCATTTCCCTCAAATATGCCAAGCATGCTATTTCCTTGCTTTTCTTCTTGCTGTTGCCTTTGAAATCCTACATCCTATGTGGCCTGATTCAAGTGCCAATCTTCCCCTCAACGAAGCCACCCCTGAAACCCCAGTCAGAATGAATGCCACATTTAGTTCGTATTTTGTTCTGACTTGTTTTGTTGCTTGTCACTTTCCCAGTGGATGGCAAGCAGAGAACCATGTCTTATTGGTGTTTGTTTCACCAGTACCTCACATCTCAGGCATAAAGTAAGTGTTCAATGAGTGTTGGTTGATTTAAAAGAGGGAGAAATAAATGAATTATTCAGGATAAGGACTACTGGTTTTAACCAATGGCTCTATAGGTTTACACAAAGGAACTTAAACAGGCTCTGTGCATCCCCTTTCAATTGTTTAATGTAACAATAGAAAATTGATTTTATATGAGAATTTTTATTTATTGAATGAATGAAATATCATTGTTAACTTGTTTATCATTTATTTGCTCTGAGAAAATTCTAAAATAATTTTCTACCATATGAGGAATGGAAATGATAAGAGATGAATATGTTAATTACTTAATTAGGCCTCAGTTTCCTTAGCTATAAAATGAGGGAGTTGAATTAGACATTCTCCATTGGCCCTCCTTAAGCTATGATACTATATTTCTGTGATATTATATACTTGTTCTCATAATGGTCCATATTCTAGCATCAAAAGAGTGCAAACATTCTGGAAGCATTCTGTCTTCTTCTTTGGGCATGGTTAATGGATCCTGTGATTGGAGTACAGATGGATAAAAAGTAAGGCATAAGTGATTTTCCTATTTGTTACATTAAAAAAACTGTGTGTCATCTATGACATTTTTATTTCTAAATGCTGAACACACAAAAAGTTAAATCAGATCCTGCCTCCGTGAGTGCTTTTTTCACTCACAAAATGGTATTTGTATTTTTTTTACATTTCAATTTGAATGTTTTTAAGTGTATATTCTGGGTCGTCACAGCCCCCACTGAGCCTGCCTAATTCTGGCTCCTTTAGGTGTTTGACTTTGTTCACCTTTTTGTGTTTTTAAGAAATAGCAGACACAGAGATGTATAAAGAAGCTAATGATCCACAACCCTATCCCAATCCAAAGCTATCCAGTGCTAACGAATTAGTGTTTGTTGTAGCATTCTGTAACTTTTTGCTTGCATATGCACACATAAGGAGGAGATGGGTTGAATGTTCTTTTACAGAAATAAATGTATAATATATACATTATTCCAAAACTGCCTTTTGACAGTCCATGAACACCTCTACAAATCAGTAGATGAACATCCCTTTATTTTTCCTAATTTCTTAGAAAAAATATATGAGCATATAAGATATACATAATTTTTTATAAATTTAATCATAACTTACATAAGGGCAATTTTAGTGCAGTCACTTTGTTGTTGCTGCTTGCTTTACTCCTCCCTCTTTCCTCCACTCATCTACCCGCATTATACCCCCTCCTCTAGATGATACATGTTAACTACTTGGTATGTATTATTTTAAACTTTTTCAGATATATATACATATAGTCATATAGTACCTATTTGGGGATTTTATCATCTTTTTAAAGTTGAATCATAACACGTACTTCTCTGTGTCCTGTTTTTGTTCACTCAACAGTATCCCTTGGAATCTTTCCAAGGTAACTAATTTAAGCCTATTTTATTTTTATAATAGCTTGATAATATTCCATGGTGTGTATCAAAATTTATTAAACTATTTTTATACTTATTTCAAGGATAATTTATTCCACTCTGTTTCCAGAGTTTTGCCCGAATGAACAGTACTGTAAGAAAAATCCTTATACTTACACCTTGGAATAGCTTCCTAGGAGTAAAATTGCTAATTCAAAGGATATGTGTGTTTTAATTTTAATAGCTATTGTTAAATCATATGTCTACCATCTTTGTATGAGTACCTTTTAAAATTTCATTCTTGTAGGCATAGGTGTTATAGGTCTTTTTAATTTTTGTCATTCTGATGGTTATAAAGTAATTTCTCAATAGCTCTTTAATTTGCATTTCCCTGAGTACCAGGTGAACATATTTTTGTATATTCATTGACAATGTGTACCAATATCAATTAGATATATCCTTTGCCCATTTTTCTTTTGGCTTATTTGTCTTTTTCATGTCAAATTTTTTTTTTTTTTTTTGAGATGGAGTCTCACTCTGTCACCCAGGCTGGAGTGCAGCGGCATGATCTTGGCTCACTGCAGCCTCCACCTCCCGGGTTCAAGCAATTCTCCTGCCTCAGCCTCCCAAGCAGCTGGGATTACAGGCACATGCCACCATGTCCAGCTAATTTTTATATATTTTTAGTAGAGATGGGGTTTAGCCATGTTGGCCAGGTTGGTCTTGAACTCCTGACCTCAAGTGATCCACCAGCCTTGGCCTCCCAAAGTGCTGGGATTACAGGTGTGAGCCACCCCGTCCACCCTCATGTCAATTTTTAACAATGCTTTTCCAAATCTGTTGTTTGTAACTTTGTTTATGACTTTTTTTGGCCATGCAAAATGCTTTAAACTTCTACTTGATCTCTTTGTTTATAGCTTCTGAGTTTCCTTCCTTGACTAACAGGGTCTTCTTGTTACATATATATATATATTTCTTCTAAATATATATAGCTTCAGTTTTTTTTCAAAGATTATTATATCTTTCATCCAAGTCTTTAATCCATTTATTTTGCGTGGGATATAAAATGGAAACCAAATTTAAATTTTTATGTAAACATTAAGCTCAGTTTATTTAGTTTCTCCTAGTAATTTCCTGTTGGATCCTATTTGGAATTGAAGTAAGTTTATAGATTAACTTTGATTTGGCATTTTCATTATAGTAAATTTTTCCATCCAAGAATGGCTTTCCATTTCTTCATATTTTATGTTTTTCAAAAAGATCTTACCATTTTCTTTGTACAGGTTATGTCCTTTTCTTTTAAAATGTATTCCTAGGTGTTTTTTAAGGATGAGTTTGCTGTTAAAATAAAAAAATAAAAAATAAAATAAATAACAAAATTTATTCCCAAGTGTTTTGCAATTTTTAGTACTGTTATGAATAAAATATTTTCCTTTTTTCAATATCTTGGAACTTATTGTTAATATAGAAAAAATACAAATTATCTTATTAATTTAAGTAGGCTTTTTACTAGAGGTTTCTTAGGCTTTTCTGAGATACAAAATCATATCAACAAAAATAGATAGTCTTATCTCTTTTCCATGGCTCATAGTAGGTTTTTTTTCTTTTTGATCATATACCATTTGCTAAAAACTCCAAGAAAATGTTAAATAATTATAGTGCTTGCTGGAAAGTTTTCTAGTTTTTGATTTTAAATGATGTGGTTTTAGAGTTTTCCTGTTTCATATATTTGTTCTTAATTTATGGTCTTAGTTATATCTTTTTCTATTTTACTTAGAGTTGTTATTAAGAATTGCTGCTGGTTTTATCAAATGCCTTTTTAGGAAATATGATGTTATGTGGGTTTTGTTTTTTAATTTATTGATGTGTAATAGACTATGGTTAACAGATTCCCCAATATTGATCCACCTTTGAGTTTTTGGAATAAACCTTTTTAGTCATAGTCTCAGTTTGATAGGGCTGCTGTAACAAAGTACCAAAAGCTGGCTGGCTTGAAACAACAGAAATTTATTGTCTTACAGTTCTAGAGGCTTGAAGTCCAAATTCAAGGTGTCAGCAGGGCTATGCTCTCTCTGAAACCTGTAGAAGAGAATGTTTCATTGCCTCTTCCTGAATTCTGGTGGTTTGCCAACAATTGTTGGCATTCCTTGACTTGTAGATACATCAGCCCAATCCTCTGTCTTCATATGGATTTCTCCCTGTACCACTGTCTTCTTCCTGTGCTTCTTCCCATCATCCTCTCTCCTTATGTGTCTGTTTCTGTGCCCAAATTTTCCCATTTTATAGGATGCTAGTCCTACTGGATTGGGGCCCACCCTAGTGACCTCATTTTTACACTATAAAGACCCTATTTTCAAATAAGGTCACATTCTGAGGTACCGAGGGTTAGGATTTCAACATGTCTTTTTGGGAGTGGCACAGCTAAACTTATAATAGCCATATTTTAGGAATTTTGATATACTATTGGATTCTATATGATAATATTTTATTTAGAAATGAAGATCTGCAGACTTCCAGTTTCAAAATGGTGGCATGAAAGCAAGCTGGCTTCATTCCCCCCACAGAATACCAAAAACAAATATGCAGATAAAGGCTATATATGACAAACTTACAGCTAACATCATACTAAATGGGGAAGAATTGAAAGCCTTTCCTCCAAGATCTGGAATAAAATAAGGATGCCCATTTCACCACTTTTATTCAACATAATACTCGAAGTCCTGGCCAGAGCAATTAGGCGAGAGAAAGACACAAAAGGGCATCCAAATTGGAAAGGAAGAAGTCAAATGAGCCCTGTTCACAGACGATATGATCTTATGCTTAGAAAACCCTAAAGACTCCACCAAAAAACTGTTAGAACTGATAAACAAATTCAGTAAAGTTTCAGGATATAAAAACATACCAAAACAAGTAGCATTTTTATATGTCAATAGTGAATAATCTGAAAAAGAAATCAAGAAAGCAATCTCATTTACAATAACTACAGAGAATATGAAATACCTAAGAATCAATTTAACCAAAGAAGTGAAAGATATATACAAGGAAAACTATATATCTCTGATGAAAGAAATTGAAGAGGATAAAAAAATGGAAAGATATTCCATTCTCATGTATTGGAAGAGTTAATATTATTAAAATGACAATACTACTCACAGCGATTTACAGATTCAGTGTGATCCCTATCAAAATGCCAATGACATTCTTCAAAGAAATAGAAAAAAAACTATTCTAAAATTTATATGCAAACACAGAAGACCCTGAATAGCCAAAGAAATCCTAAGTAGAAAGAACAAAGATGGAGACAGTATACTACCTGACTTCAAAATATACTACAAAGCTATAGTAACCAAATCAACATGGGACTGGCATAAAAACAGACACATAGACCAATGGAACAGAATAGAGAACCCAGATATAAACCAATGCATTTACAGCCAATTAATCTTCGATAACCACAATGAGATACCACTTCACACCCACTAGAATGACTAAAATTAGATATATTGAAAATAATGTATTTTCAAGAATATACAATAGGGAAAGGACAGCCTCTTCAATAAATGGTGCTGGGAAAACTGGTAATTACGTGTAGAAGAATAAAACTAGACTCCTATCTCTCACCAAACAAAAATCAAATAAAAATTGATTGAAGACTTAAATCTAAGACAGGAAACTATGAAACTACTAAAAGAAGACATTAGGGAAATACTCCATGACTTTAGTCTGAGCAAAGATTTTTTTGTGTAAGTTCTCAAAAATACAGGCAATCAAAGGAAAAATAGGTAAGTGGGATCATATCAAGCTGAAAAGCTTCTGCACAGCAAAGAAAAGAATCAACAAAGTGAAAAGATGACCCACAGAATGCAAGAAAATATTTGCAAACTATCCATATGACAAGGAATTAATAACCAAAATATATAAGGAGCTCAAAAAACTCAATAGTAAAAAAAAATAATTTGATTTAATAATGGCCAAAAGATCTGAATAGACATTTCTCAAAAGAAGACATACAGATGGCCAACAGGTATATGAAAAAAAATTCAGTATCACTAATCATCAGAGAAACGCAAATCAAAACCGCAATCAGATATCATCACATTCCAGTTAAAATGACTTTTATTTAAAAAGACAGGTAATAATGGATGCTGGCAAGGATTTGGACGAAGGGGAACCCTCATACACTGTTGGTGGGAATGTAAATTAGTATAGCACCTATGGAGAACAGTATAAAGTTTCCTCAAAAAACTAAAACTAAAACTATGATATGGTCCAGCAATTCCACTACTGGGTATATATCCAAAAGAAAGGAATCAATATATAAAAGAGATACCTGCACTCCTGTGTTTATTGCAGCATTATTTTCAATAGTCAAAATGTAGAATCAACTTAAGTGCTTATCAGTGGACGAATGGATTAAGAAATGTGGTATATATACACAATGGAATATTATTCAGCCAGAAAAAATAAAAAATAAAAAATAAAATCCTGTCAGTTGTAGCAAATGGATGAAACTGCTAGAGGTCATTATGTTAAGTGAAATAAGCGAAGCACAGAAAGACAAATATTGCATGTTCTCACTCATATGTGGGAGCTGAAAATGTGGATCTTATGAAGATAGAAAGTAAATTGGTGGTTACCAGAGGCTAAGAAGGATAGGGAGGAAGGGAGAATGAAGAGAAGTTGGTTAACGGGTACAAGTATAGTGTTTGGAAATATTACCTATTGTTCAACACTAGGTAACATATATGTATGATCTATTATACATTTCAAAATAGCCAAAAGAGAATAATTTTGTTTCTAGCATAAAGAAAAGACAAATATTTAAGGTGATGATACCTCAAGTACACTGATTTGATCTCTACAAATTATTTAAATGTACTAATTTATCCTATGTACTCTGAAAATACATCTATTGTGGATCAATAAAAGAAGAATTTAAAATCTGTGTGTATAAATGAGATTTGTATATGGTTCTTTTTCTACTTGTTTTAAGGTTATACTATATTTATAATATAAATTGAGAACTTTATGAGTTGTTTAGAATAGTTTAAGTAATATTGTAAGTATCAGTTCTTTAAAGGTTAGAAAGAATTTAGCTGTGAAACTGGACCTGGTAAATCTTCAATTATTTTTCCACTCTCTTTTAGAGTACTTGGTATATCCAAGTTTCACTACTACTACTTAGAAGTACTTTGTAGGTTATTTCAGTAATTTGTATTTTTCTAGGAAATCAGTTTCAACTTGTTTTATTATTACTAAAGGTAGTAATGTCCTACAGTTCTTTTTATCTCTTCTATATTCTGTTTATAATTCCTTTCTTATTTCTAAGCTTGTATAGTTTAGCATGCTCTCTATTTTTTGTCTTAACTCTGACTCACAAGTGATTTATTTTATTAGCATTTAAAAATATTGGCTTTTGGATTTATTATTCTTTTCATACATTTTTCTTAATTTTATTATTTTTAGTTTCATCAGTTAATTTTCTCTTTCTGCTGTTTTATTTGGTTATCCTTTCTCAATGAAGAAAATTTATTGAAATGAAGAAAACTTTATCATATCTATTATATATTAAAATTTCATAATTAGGAAAAAATCCATAATTAGTTAATTCTTTCTGAAATAATTGGAATGCATAAATATAAAATTAAATAATTGGTGCTGAAATTTTACGTCAGGCAACAGAAACAAGATATTTACATCATTATTTTTGTCTTCTAAAATATGTGCTGTTTGGAAAATATTAAAATAATAACTTTTTCCTTTCTACAAGGAAATTACTGATCTTCAGGTTGGTTATTTCTAACCAATTATAGCTTTGAGAATCTTTCTGCTTGACTACCTATGAAGCTGCCTGCTCATTTCCACTTAGAGAATGAAAGTTTACCACAGGCAGCCACCCAGTTCTAGGAATGCATGGGGTTATGCAGCTCCCATTTGGGGAATGTACTGATGGGACTAACTACCTGGTATCTAAGGTTTCCTGGGTGTCAGTGAGGGACGTAGAATAGTGGAGAAAAGTGAAGGGTTTTCTCTTATTCTGCTCTTGGGTAGCTAACAAATAATCAAGCTTATCGTCGTAGGCTTTTTAATGCCATATTTACTTAGTCCTTCAATTGTATTATTAATTTTTCTTTTATTTAAGAAAGTTGTAATAAAATCAGATTTAATTAGAACTCAGAATCTGTGGTAATTTTTAAGAGGACTAATTTGCTTTTCACCATCCGTAAAGTTTTCTAAATAAAATAGTAACATAAAAAATTAGTACCCTTACAATGATTAAAACATCCATTTACGTACTGAAAATTAACATACCAACTACAAAACATCATTAAAGCCAGTCTTTCTGTCAAAATGCTTTTTTAGCATAATTGTTACTGTTAAATATGCATAAGAAGAAAAACCATACATGCAAAATATTATTTAGACACTTCAGTAATTAAGCCAGCCTCATCCTAATCTGTTGAAGTAAATGAGCACCAGGAGGTTTTGCCATTTCAAGAATAAAGAAATGGATTAAAACTATCAAACTCTAAAATTTTGAAAGAAAACAAAAGTTGAGTAAATGGGTAAAAAGAATCCATTAGAAACACAAGAGGTGGGGGTGGATATATTCCTGAAATCATTAGAAATGCATTTAAGAAAAATATTAAATTAAATGAGAGGGACCCAAAAAAGGGTTTTGTAAAGGAAAATGTACTCTTAAATGTAAAACATGCAAATACATTACCTGTGTAATTCTTTTAGTTCATGCTCACAACACTTATTTAATTATGGTACATTTAGGAAATTGCAGGGTTTTAAAAATCATTATTATCATTCTTAATTACTTTAAACCAACATTGGATAAAAAAAATCACAGATTAAATCTAATTTTATAGGAAAAGCTTAAACAAAATTTTAACTAAGCAGCCGACCATCAAGAATTCTGTACTTTGACTGGTAGATATCTTATTAAGAGTCAAATTTTGAGTCTTATTCTCAACCCTTTTCAACCAGGTCTGCCCATATGGTTATTTTTCCTTATGGAGGGAAAAAATGTATAAGACCCTGCCTCCTTTATTTTTATCACAAATCTACTCTAATTTTAGAATAAGCACTCCTTTATCTTCTAAAGCAAGAGACTACAGATTGCTCTTTTATCTGCATTTATGCCTCTCAAAAAGAATAAATGTTGAGAAATCCTAAAGGCAGAGCTTAATAAGCAGAGAAATACCTTCAATGGCCTTCCTTTTTCAAAGAGCACCTTGGTCAGTAGCTTTAGAAGCATATAACCTTCCCTGTATTGATTTGTGGAAAAGTTTGCCCTCCTGAAGCATTTTCTTCCATTCAAAAATGAGACTTTGCTACATATTTACTAAACCTCCATAATAGGTAGTAAGCGGAAAATGTAGTAAGCAGATTTGGCCTTTGAAGCAAAAAATGAAATATGTAAACATTTTAATACCTAATATGTATGTATTTCTGCACTTATTTATTACTATTGATACTAATATGACAGTATGTAAATAATTTTCAATGTGCAATTAGTCAAAAATTTTACAAAACTTAGGATGATTTTATGGGATGCCTTTATGAAAGGCACTCAAAGCTTTAAGCTTAGGAACTTAGTTCTAAGCTGTAATCATTCATTGTTTTATAGACTTTGAACCATAGATATTTGGAGCTTCGAAAAAGATGTTTTACTCAGGTTATTTTTGTATGCTAAAATATTACCGTTTTGAAAACATAGAACTATTGTTTAAACAGCAGCTACACAACTCACGTATATTCGAATCTGAGGAGTAGAAAGAACTGTGTAAAATCATTTAGAGCATTTTTCATGAGTTTTTATTGTGAGAATATATCCTATTTTTTAAAATTCTGTGAAAAGTTTAGATACTCCCTAGGAAACTTCTTATGTTTAATTGAAATGGCCTCAGCTAATCTTTATTCTTACTCTAAACCTCTCATTTTGTAATTTAGACATGCTTCATATTCTATTCTGAGGACACACTAAAATTGAGTGTCTCCTACCAGGTAGTGAAACTTCATAAGGAAGATACATTGCTCAGAATTGTGTAGAACTGGCACAATCTCAACTGTAAGATCAGTAAGATGGAATGATCTGGAATCAGACCGCAATCTATATTAATTTAGTATATAATTTGCTGAATCATCCAACAGTGGAGAATAGATATTTTCATCAATATGTGATTAGAACAATTACAATAATTACTAACTTTAAGTCTTTTCTCATTTTGTACAAAATTAATACCAAATAACTAAATAATTAAATGTAAAATAATGAAATTATAAAACAAATAGAAGAAAATACAAGTGAATATTAGCTTTTAGGATGAAAAGAAAAAATATAAAAGCAAGGAAGAAGTCACAAGGGAAAAAGACTGACAGATTTCATTAAATAAAAATTGTAAAAAACTTTGTGTATAAAATATATCACACACTAAAATTAAAACTTAAAATCACATGGAAAACATATTTTCAACTAACTTAAGAAACAGTAACTTAGGATTAGTACACCTAATGTAAAAAAAATTCCTTCAAATTAGTAAGAAAAACACAGACACCCTAATGAGAAAATAAGCTAAGGATACAAATAACACAGACACCCTAATGAAAAAATAAGTTAAGGACACAAATAGACAATTGACAAAAGATAGAGTAAAATTTGCCAGGAAACATATATATTCTACTTCACTAATAGCTAAATAAAAGTTACTATTTTTATCTATCAAGTTGGCAAATTTAACGAAATGGTAATATTGAATGGTTGTGAGTGTAGTAACACAGGCTCCTTAATACATTAGTGGTGGGTATTTATGAGATTGAAATGTATAAGATTTATAGGGGAGGGGGCTGGACATTTTTAAATCAAGGTCTTCAACAACATTCACACAATTTAACCCAGTGATCCCACTCCTTGGACTCTAGCTAAAGAAATATAGAACAAGATTTATGTATAAGGAAATCAACACAGTGTTAATTATTTTGAAAAAAAAACTGAATTCAACAATAGAAGAATGGTTAAATGAATTTATTATTTAAATAAAAATTTCTATGTTTAGGTATGTTCAGATACACAAATACTTATACAAGTTTGTAGCCTAGAAACAATAGGCTTTACCTTACAGCCTACGTGTGTAGTAGGCTATACCATCTAGGTTTGTGTAGACACACTGTATGATCACATGATGAAATCAGCTGATGTCGCCTTTTTCAGAATGTGTCCCCATAATTAAACAACATATGACTGTATATTGATTATAATTTTCTAAGTAGGCATACATTATAATTATATTGATACTTTATGTTGATATTGTATTTTCTACTGGTAGGAAAAAGACTAGAAAGATATAAATATAACTGTTAATAGCAGTTATCACTGAGTGTTGGTAGTATGGAATATTTATTTTGTTCTTAATACCTTATATTTTCTATAATGACATATATATGATTTTATGTGCCCATATATTAATACATGCCCATCTTAATCAGAAGAAAATTCTTTTAAAATTTAAATGCATGTTATTTCCAGTTCCATTATTAATCAACACTAGAAGGTATATCCTATGAACACAAAAAAACTTGAAATCTAGCTAATTTGTTCTGTTAGGTTGGTGCAAAAGTAATTGCAATTTTGCCATTGAAAGTAATGGCAAAAACCGCAATTACTTCTGCACCAACCTAAATAGATACAGAGAGCAACAATGCATAGAGTAAACCTTTTCTGTTTTGGGGCATGAGCAATATTGTATGTATTGCACCATCCAACAGTGGGGATGATGCAATACATACATCATTGCAAATGTGTTCCACAACAGCTACCTCTGGGTATCTGCTTGTTGTGAGGAGGTGAGGGGGTGGAAAGGAGCATTTAGAAAGTGAGCAAGAGTACAGCCACATCACTTGGCTCAAATGAAAGGGCCTTTCCAGCACAAGTCTCCAAACACACAGAAAATATGCATTACTTATAAGGGGCAGTTTATTCAATGATAGTTTATTTTATTCTCTAGAGTATGGACTTCACTAACAGGGAACAGTCAAGGCATACATCTATTAATAAACTGCAATATGAGAATGAAAGGCTCCGAAATGATCTTGCAAAACTTCATGTCAATGGAAAATCAACCTGGACTAATCAAAACACCTATGAAGAAACAGGAAGATATGCCTATCAAAGCCAAATAAAAGTGGAACAAAATGAAGAGAGGTATGCTGGCTCCATTATATAAGGGCATAAGTTTAAAAACATGTAATTAAAATTTATTTTTAAAGAATTCAAATTATAACTTTATACGCTTTCTCTTCTGTGGTTTAAAATTTATAATGATAATGCAGTAGATGAGTAGATAATGTAGGCTAGATACATTGCTTTATAAGAAATTGTGTCGATTTGAAATGCGTGGAGTGTTACAGTGGATTTTAGTTTGTTAGTCATCTCAGATCTTTTTGGAAGCTGAGGTGGTATACAAAACATACAGATAAGTAATTTTACTTTTGATGTCATGGGAACAGAGAAAACTAGATTTTAATAGGTATATTGTTCAAACAAAATAGAAAATGTAGGAACATGTCACTTTTCACCTACCTTCAATAATAGATACACTTTCTTTTTTTGTTGTTTTTGTTTTTTGGGGTTTGTTTGTTTGTTTGTTTTGAGATGGAGTCTCGCTCTGTCGCCCAGGCTGGAGTGCAGTGGTGTGATCTCGGCTCACTCCAACCTCTGCCTCCTGGGTTCAAGTAATTCTCATGCCTCAGCCTCCCAAGTAACTGGGACTACAGGCCCCCGCCACTACACCCGGATAATTTTTGTATTTTTAGTAGAGACAAGGTTTCACTATGTTGGCCAGGCTGGTCTCTAACTCCTGACCGCAAGTGATCCACCCACCTCAGCCTCCCAAAGTGCTGGGATTACAGGCGTGAGCCACCACACCCAGCCAATAGATACACTTTCCATTGACATTCTAGCAGTGGCAACAAATTATTGGTCATTTTGTAGAGAAGGAATCTATGGATGTATAAGAGGTTTTCTCCAAATGAAGAGAAGTGTATGGAAAATCATTATCGGCTGTCCACATTATTCCCATACTCTGTAAAAGGTCTTATTCAAAATTAAAATCTATCAAGCATAAAAATAGGCTAAGTTATTCAATTTTAATAAAAGATTTATGGAGTCATAAGTCTCTGAAAGCCTTTTACTGTTTTCCCAAACTTGGAAAATGCTGAACAAAATAAGCAAGTTTATTTTATACAATATTTCTCAGAGCCATTAATATGTTAACTTACACTGTGATTGTCCAACAAGGGATATTGTATGCAGCACTCCCCAGACATATTTGATATCAATTTATTATTTCATTTCATAGTGCCAAGAAACGGCAGATTAGTAGGTCCAGACCCAACTTCATTGCAACATTTGCTCATAAGCTCATAATAGTTAGCATGAAAAACCTTCTATTTTGTTGTTACATAACAGAAATAATATTCACAGCCCTGGAAAATTTTCTTAACCTTTGTCACCCTCGATTTTCTATCTGACAAACAAGGTTAATAATTGTAAGATTTTCATAAGGATTATAGGAGAAAAACCATACACAACTTGTAGTTCCATAAATGTTAACCATTATTACTAACAAAATTGTTAGTATTTATAATAATATTTCTCCCACAACTTATGGTACATAAAAAGTATATTTGGGCAAATAGACAAATGGCTGAATCTGACATAGCCTCAAAGATAGTTCTGTGGGGGAGAGGTGGTGCCAGACTCATCTTTTTAAGTAAGCATACTCAGCTCTACAGGTAGATAAATCCGTAGGTCCATGGGATATATTAAAAAAAAATGTTCAACATAAAACAGATGTTCAACATTCTTATGGGTATAGTACAGCCCCGTCCTACTTTCAGCACCTCAGCCATGTGTATATTAGAAGGATATATTGTAGCCCCATGCAGGAAACAGTAACCATTCAAAAGTACCAAATTAATAAACCCTTTTCAGGTAAAGAAGCGAATGAAGGAGGACTGACTGCCATCCCTAAAAAGCATCATGGTGGGGTGCTGTGGTGGGGTGTTGGTAGTGACAGCAGCAGCAGGATAAAAGCAGTGTAGGAAGGATGAAAGAGGTCGCTGGGCATGGCCATGGACCAGTTCTCTGGTGAATGTGTCCATGTGAAGATCTGTCCAAAGGAGTGTAATCCTGATTTTGGTGTAAGAATATATGTTCTAATATGGAATAAATAAGCTTTACAGAGTACTTATGGATTCATTCTCCATTGGTCAAATTATGACTCCCATGTACTGTATATAGTTGCCTCATTGCGAGAGAAAAGCAAACCCATGAAGAACACTATAAAGGGTCACCTGCGTATGTTAGTCACTGATCTGTATTGAGCACCCACTGGGTACAGAACACTATTTCCTGTTCGTGCTAGTTGAGAATAACTTTGAAAGCTTTAGATGGAGATACCAGGTGTTGTTATTTAAACAAAAAGACAGTTACTCTGCCTTTTATTATTTTTAGAAAGTATTTTTATTGTTTGGGTTGCCCCCTTTTTTCTCTTTGTCAGGCAGTACAGAATGTGTTAAAAGTATCTAACAAAAACAAGACAGTAGGGGACACAAAAAGCAACATAAGAGGTAAAATGCTCAGCAGGAGATTATCCTAATAAGCAGTTTAGGCTGCTATTCCTGCTGCAAAGCCTTGTGTCCTGCCAGTTTCATTTGTTGAAAGTTTCATTAAATTTGTTTTAATGCCTTGTCTGATTTCAGTGTTTTCCAGTGACCTGTTTTTTAAAAGAAACAGTATTTCAAATGTTCTGAATAAATTATTACCATGTAAATCCTACTGTGGGGAAAGAGTTGTTGAGATGCAAGGACACTGTGAACTCACCAGTGAAGAGCTGCAAAGCAGATATCTCTCTGTTAATGCTAGCAACTGAAAAATGAAATCATCTTTTTTTCCCTCACAACACAGCTCAGTGAAGTGAAACAGTAAAAAACTATGTATGTATATTTGTTAGGCATAAATTAATCAAAAACATACAAAGTATCTTTACATATCAATGGCTAATGCAGTGAGGTCTTGTTAAAGTATTTGAGGAAGGAAAAAGCATTTAGATAAAAGTGTATGAAGAAAATGTTCCACAAAATGTTAAGATTCATAGTCTAATTTTAAGGCAATTCTTACTTTTAACTGAGGAAGACTTATATAATACATTCTTAACCTTTTATTCACTCTGAAGCAACTCGGTTTTGTTGTTTTTAATGCTCACTCACTTAAAATGTGAAGCATTTTAGGATATTCTAAAGCATTTGCTTTCTAGTAAGACAGCTACTTAGCACTTTCTTAAAAAATATGAGTGAGAGGTGATTGAATTTGGTGTGGATGTTTTAAATATTGTTTTTAAAAGTTAGAGTTTTGAAGTTTCAGGATAATTTACAAGCTAATTTGGAGTAGTGGTATCCAGAGCTATTAATATGTAACTAATTTTAATGACAAATCAATTTTGTAATAAATGGAGTTTTATCTCTATATAAGACACATACTTAAAAATGAATTTATGATTTTAAAAGTTGTATCATGTACTAGACAGATTTTAGCAGTCAAACAATCATTAAAATGGCTTCAAGTCTAGCTAATAAATTAAGAGTTTCTAATACTAAAAAACCACAGTCAGCAGGTTTGTAATAACCACTCACAAGATCTCTTGTCAAGGAATGAATAGACATCTAGAAGCCTGAATCTGAGAATGTTTGTACTGTGGTTTTGCTCAATAAGGAGCAAAACATAGGTTGACAGTTCTAGTACAGGAAACAATGAGCAGTTCATGGAATAGGGAGTTTAGTGGAGTGTTGGAAGGTGAGGCTGGAAAAAGGTAAAGAAGGAATCTTGCTCCATGCTAAGGACATTATCCTATGGCCAAGGGGAATATTAATGGAGGGACAGGACTGGATGTACATGTCCAACAAAGCTGAAAATTGTGAAGTGTTGACTCAAGTCTCAAGTGGACAGAGTTCTGTTCCCCAGCAAAGCAACTGGGGCCTGCTATCCTGGTGAAATCACGCAGCAGCCTTGGAATAGGCCTGTGGAAAAGATCATTGAACAGATCAGCTTGTGAGAGGATATTAAAAGCCTTCCAAAATCATTTTTAAGATAGCTTTTAAATTGATATGCATAGCACTTTATGCAAGGTGGTTTTATGAAGTATTTGAATAGCTGTATTCTTGAAGAAGAACTTGTCAGATATAAAGGTGATTTAAAACAAAAGTACTTTACTTCATAATGTCGTCTCTACATTTTATTGATCTTACACTAAAAAGAATGTCCCTATATAAATGTTAGTAATTAACACCATAAAACTTTATCTGTACATCCAAAGCAAAATGGATAACTAAGATAATTATTTAGATAATTTAGCACAAATAATACTTTGCCTGAAATCTCTGTGAGATAACAGAGAGATATATACTTCTTGAATCGCTACTAATTTTTTTTCACCGTGCTTTGAAGTATAGACAGTAACCTCACTCAAAAGGTTCAGCTAAAGATTATATGCAGATATACTATGCAAATGTTATAATTCTACTTGAATTGTGAGATGTTTCATCTTATGGTGCACATCATAAACCATGTTATTTCAGTTTAATTTGCTGTTCTGTTTCCATGGTAATTATAGTTTGGGAGAATGAGTAAAAAAAAAAGATACATCTCAAGATAAGCAAAAATGGAAAACATGTTGTATTTGTTTTTGTGTACTAATTTACAGATGCCTCACTTAACTTTTAATGCTATTTGTATGCATAGCTTTGAAAATATGATTTGTATAATAAGAAACAAGTCTGTAAATTAGATAGTCTTTGGATAAGACCAGAGAAAAGTAATGTGAAAAATTTTTTAACTAGGTTAAATTAAACTATGAAGGCTTTGAAAAGGGCTAATCAATACCTGTGGAGAATTTGAACCATTAGTAAAAATAAATAATTTCAAATTGAAGGGATTTTCGTTTTGATGGTCTTTGATGATTTTTTTTTTTTTTTTTTGAGACGGAGTCTCTCTCTGTCGCCCAGGCTGGAGTGCAGTGGCGCAATCTCGGCTCACTGCAAGCTCCGCCTCCCGGGTTCACGCCATTCTCCTGCCTCAGCCTCCTGAGTAGCTGGGACTACAGGCGCCCGCCATCACGCCAGGCTAATTTTTTTGTATTTTTAGTAGCGACGGGGTTTCACCATGTTAGCCGAGATGGTCTCGATCTCCTGACCTCGTGATCTGCCTGCCTCAGCCTCTCAAAGTGCTGGGATTACAGGCGTGAGCCACTGGGCCCAGCCTCTTTGATGATTTTATTACATCTAAACCTCAGTTTCATGAAAGATATTTATTTAATCCCAAACAGCCCATACTTTTAGGACCTTTTTTGTAAAACTTTAGGATAAATTGGTTTGTTACATGTTTTCTTATTCATTTGCTTAGTCAACAAACCAAAATTCAAAATCTCAATGTTATTGTTTTCAGTCTCATTTTCTAACCTATGTTTTAGCACAAACAAATTCCATGCTGTATGACTTTCACTGAAATAGTGGGGTTTTTTAAGTCAAGAAAATCTGGATTTGAGTCCAAAATCTAAAGACATCACTTCCTAGCAATTTATTCTGATTTAAAAAGTAAATAATTAGACGAATAATTGAACTTTTAAATCTTAGTCTCCTCATCTGTGGATAGTATCCAGCGTATTAGGGTTATTTTGAAGATCAGATTAGTTTAATAATAATAATACCTAATCTTTACTAAACATTTACTATGTGCCAGGCATTGTTTTCTAAGTGTTTTACATATATTAATCATTCAACTCTCATAACAACCCTTTTATAAGTGAGAAAATTAAAATCACAGAGAGATAAAGTTACCTGCTCAAGATCACACAACTAGTAACTGGAGGAGCTTAGGAGATGGTGTAAATTGAAAGCATGTTTTAAATTATCAAAATCTATAGAAATTAGAGTTATTCAAAGACTTGTTGGCTGGGCGCACGGTGACTCATGCCTGTAATCCCAGCACTTTGGGAGGCCAACGCAGGCGAATCACAAGGTCAGGAGATCGAGACCATCCTGGCTAACATGGTGAAGCCCCATCTCTACTAAAAATACAGAAAATTACCCTGGCGTGGTGGCGGGCGCCTATAATCCCAGCTACTCAGGAGACAGGAGAGTCTCTTGAACCTGGGAGGCGGAGGTTGCAGTGAGCTGCGATCGCGCCACTGCACTCCAGCCTAGGCGACAGAGCAAGGCTCTGTCTCAAAATAAATTAATAAATAAATAAATAAAATAAAAGACTTGTTTAGCATAAAAAATAGTATAATTCTGTTAAGAAAGCCAGTGAGGTTAAGTGTAAAAGAGAATAGAAAAAGAGTATCTATTTAGAACTGTCAAGGGCAACAGTGTAATTACCTGTTTGGAGACTTTTCTCAAACTGCTTTACATTATTAAAATAAATGACAAAGACATAGAAAAGTATAACACAGAAAGGGAAGCAATATAGGCAATAAGGATCACAAAATATTTTTAACAGTTGTTAAGTTTTCTGCTTCATTTTTAATCATTCTAAGTCCTTTAAATGAAATAGAAATTATTCATCAGGAAAGTCATATTCAAAGAAACACCCAGGTAACAAGCCCAAACATTTTGTTGTGCTTTCCCCCTACTTGGACATCTGAGAGATTAAAATCCTTAGCTACATAAATAAACATGTGTCCTTGATAGCAACAACAACAACCATTTCTTCTCTTTTAGACTTAGTCATGACTGTGAGCCAAACAGAAGTACAATGCCTCCCTTGCCACCTTCGACATTTCAAGCCAAAGAAATGACAAGTCCTTTGGTTAGTGATGATGATGTATTCCCACTGGTGAGTTGCTGGTTGTGGGCTTTTTTTTTCTTTAATGGGTTATTGCTTTACTCTTACACTGATGTCAATAAACTGACGTACATAGTAGTTCGTTTGTTTTTAATCTCACTCCTTGAATAGGACTCCAAGATGGGTCTGCGAGCCATTTGGCCATACCTATCTACAGAAGGAAAAGATATCCATAATATTTCCTAAAGTGTTTCAGTCAATGATTATTAACCTCTAATGCAGGCCAGAATTACTGGAGATGGTGTTTTTTAAAAAAAATGCGAGTGCTTGGGACTCACCCTTCAATATTCCATGAGTCCTCAAGGATCCGTATATTTTAAAGAGCTACAGTGATCTTTTGGACTGGTTTAAAACATCTTTTCTATTGACTCTGCCGTAAGTGTAGACACAGGTACAAATCATAAATGGACAGCTTGATGAGTTATCACAAAGGGAATGTAACTACCACCCAAGTAATGATCAGACATCCCCAGCACTCCAGAAGCCCCACTCATGTTCCCTTCCAGTCTCTACTTCTGCTTGCTCCCGACATAACCACTATCCTGACTTTTAGCATTATCGATTTGTTTTGCCAACTTGTAAATTTTATATAAATGATATCATATGATATATATTATTTTGTTTCTGGCTTCTTTTTCTCAACCTTGTTTTTTAGATTGATCATCACCCATATTGTTTTATACAGCTGTAGTTTATTTTTGTTTCTCTATACTAATCTATGGGATATAAATACCACATTCAATGACAATAAAATTCATTCATTCATTCTACTATGGATGGACATTTGAGTCATTTCCAATTTGGGGCTATTACAAATACTGCTGCCAAAAAATTCTTTTATGAGTCTTTTGGTGCATGTGTATATACATTTCCACTGGGTATGCATACCTAAAATGGAATACCGAGGTCATAGGATATGAATATGGTCAGCTTTAGTAGGTACCGCCAAACTATTTTCCTGTAGGAGCCAATGAATATCTCAAGTAGCGTATAAGAGTTGTCCTTGCTCAGAGCAAACACTTGCAAAAGCTAGCAGAAGGCAAGAAATAACCAAAATCAGAGCAGAACTGAAGGAAATAGAGACACAAAAAACTCTTCAAAAAATTAATGAATCCAGGAGCTTGTTTTTTGAAAGGATCAACAAAATTGATAGACTGCTAACAAGACTAATAAAGAAAAAAAGAGAGAAGAATCAAATAGATGCAATAAAAAATGATAAAGGGGATATCACCACCGATCCCACAGAAATACAAACTACCATCAGAGAATACTACAAACACCTCTACGCAAATAAACTAGAAAATCCAGAAATGGATAAATTCCTCGACACATACACTCTCCCAAGACTAAACCAGGAAGAAGTTGAATCTCTGAATAGACCAATAACAGGATCTGAAATTGTGGCAATAATCAATAGCTTACCAACCAAAAAGAGTCCAGGACCAGATGGATTCACAGCCAAATTCTACCAGAGGTACAAGGAGGAACTGGTACCATTCCTTCTGAAACTATTCCAATCAATAGAAAAAGAGGGAATCCTCCCTAACTCATTTTATGAGGCCAGCATCATCCTGATACCAAAGCCTGGCAGAGACACAACCAAATAAGAGAATTTTAGACCAATATCCTTGATAAACATTGATGCAAAAATCCTCAATAAAATACTGGCAAACCAAATCCAGCAGCACATCAAAAAGCTTATCCACCATGATCGAGTGGGCTTCATCCCTGGGATGCAAGGCTGGTTCAATATACGCAAATCAATAAATGTAATCCAGCATACAAATGGGACCAAAGACAAAAACCACATGATTATCTCAATAGATTCAGAAAAAGCATTTGACAAAATTCAACAACACTTCATGCTAAAAACTCTCAATAAATTAGGTATACATGGGACGTATCTCAAAATAATAAGAGCTATCTATGACAAACCCATAGCCAATATCATACTGAATGGGCAAAAACTGGAAGCATTCCCTTTGAAAACTGGCACAAGACAGGGATGCCCTCTCTCACCACTCCTATTCAACATAGTGTTGGAAGTTCTGGCCAGGGCAATTAGGCAGGAGAAGGAAATAAAGGGTATTCAATTAGGAAAAGAGGAAGTCAAATTGTCCCTGTTTGCAGATGACATGATTGTATATCGAGAAAACCCCATTGTCTCTGCCCAAAATCTCCTTAAGTTGATAAGCAACTTCAGCAAACTCTCAGGATACAAAATCAATGTGCAAAAATCACAAGCATTCTTATACACCAATAACAGACAAACAGAGAGCCAAATCATGAGTGAACTCCCATTCACAATTGCTTCAAAGATAATAAAATACCTAGGAATCCAACTTACAAGGGAAGTGAAGGACCTCTTCAGGGAGAACTACAAACCACTGCTCAATGAAATAAAAGAGGATACAAACAAATGGAAGAACATTCCATGCTCATGGGTAGGAAGAATCAATATCATGAAAATGGCCATACTGCCCAAGGTAATTTATAGATTCAGTGCCATCCCCATCAAGCTACCAATGACTTTCTTCACAGAATTGTAAAAAACTACTTTAAAGTTCATATGGAACCAAAAAAGAGCCCTCATCGCCAAGTCAATCCTAAGCCAAAAGAACAAAGCTGGAGGCATCATGCTACCTGACTTCAAACTATACTACAAGGCTACAGTAACCAAAACAGCATGGTACTGGTACCAAAACAGAAATATAGATCAATGGAACATAACAGAGCCCTCAGAAATAATACCGCATATCTACAACTATCTGATCTTTGACAAACCTGAGAAAAACAAGCAATGGGGAAAGGATTCCCTATTTAATAAATGGTGCTGGGAAAACTGGCTAGCCATATGTAGAAAGCTGAAACTGGATCCCTTCCTTATACCTTATACAAAAATCAATTCAAGATGGATTAAAGACTTAAACGGTAGACCTAAAACCATAAAAACTGTAGAAGAAAACCTAGGCATTACCATTCAGGACATAGGCACGGGCAAGGACTTCATGTCTAAAACACCAAAAGCAATGGCAACAAAAGCCAAAATTGACAAATGGGATCTAATTAAACTAAAGAGCTTCTGCACAGCAAAAGAAACTACCATCAGAGCGAACAGGCAACCTACAAAATGGGAGAAAATTTTCGCAACCTACTCATCTGACAAAGGGCTAATATCCAGAATCTACAATCAACTCAAACAAATTTACAAGAAAAAAACAAACAACCCCATCAAAAAGTGGGCGAAGGACATGAACAGACACTTCTCAAAAGAAGACATTTATGCAGCCAAAAAACACATGAAAAAATGCTCACTATCACTGGCCATCAGAGAAATGCAAATCAAAACCACAATGCGATATCATCTCACACCAGTTAGAATGGCAATCATTAAAAAGTCAGGAAACAACAGGTGCTGGAGAGGATATGGAGAAATAGTAACACTTTTACACTGTTGGTGGGACTGTAAACTAGTTCAACCATTGTGGAAGTCAGTGTGGCGATTCCTCAGGGATCTAGAACTAGAAATACCATTTGACCCAGCCATCCCATTCCTGGGTATATACCCAAAGGACTATAAATCATGCTGCTATAAAGACACATGCACACGTATGTTTATTGCGGCACTATTCACAATAGCAAAGACTTGGAACCAACCCAAATGTCCAACAATGATAGACTGGATTAAGAAAATGTGGCACATATACATCATGGAATGCTATGCAGCCATAAAAAATGATGAGTTCATGTCCTTTGTAGGGATATGGATGAAGTTGGAAATCATCATTCTCAGTAAACTATCGCAAGAACAAAAAACCAAACACTGCATATTCTCACTCATAGGTGGGAATTGAACAATGAGAACACATGGACACAGGAAGGGGAACATCACACTCTGGGGACTGTTGTGGGGTGGCGGGAGGGGGGAGGGATAGCATTGGGAGATATACCTAATGCTAGATGACGAGTTAGTGGGTGCAGTGCACCAGCATGTCACATGTATACATATGTAACTAACCTGCACATTGTGCACATGTACCCTAAAACTTAAAGTATAATAATAAAAAAAAAAAAGACAGAACTGTGGCTTGGATAGCAGCAAGACAGGCAGATCCCCACACTGCTACTGCTCAGACCCAAGGCTTATACAGCTTCAGGAAAGCAGATGCGCTCTTCAGCAAGACAATTAAAGGCAACCTTCCAGAACAGGCAAGAATGTGCTGTGTGTCATAGCCTGTACTTTGTATGATAGCATCAAGGTTGCTTTGTTCTTATGCTAGTTGAAGTAAACATTAATAAAGTGAAAACCAGGAGGCAGTCATGGGGCTAATCAGAAGTCAACATGGCAGATTAGCATTCAAAGTGGAGTCACTTTTGCCTCCCCTGGTGCTGACATTGAAATGGGTCAAACCACCTAGTTTTATTTTCTAGGCACCACCAACTATGAGTTGCATGACTTTGCACAAGGTATTTAGCCTTTCTCATTTCCGTTTCCAGAGATGAAATCGATCTCAAGGGGCATTTTAAGGAGTAGTTTCAAGTTTTAAAGGAGATTAAATATATTAAAGTTTTTCAAGAACTGCAAAGTACTGTATAAAGAACTATTACTGTTTGTGTTTATGTCAACAGTTGGACTTCTTTACTCTTTATGTTGGCATGAGAAATTTTCCTTCTCATGTTTTCCATTTTCTGGGAAAAAAATAAAAATAAACAAAACACCTTCAAAAAAATAATAAAATAAAATAAAATAAAATAAAAATTAAAAAAAAAACAGGCTCTGAAATTGTGGCAATAATCAATAGCTTACCAACCAAAAAAGGTCCAGGACCAGATGGATTCACAGCCGAATTCTACCAAAGGTACAAGGAGGAGCTGGTACCCTTCCTTCTGAAACCATTCCAATCAATAGAAAAAGAGGGAATCCTCCCTAACTCATTTTATGAGGCCAGCATCATCCTGATACCAAAGCCTGGCAGAGACACAACCAAATAAGAGAATTTTAGACCAATATCCTTGATGAACATTGATGCAAAAATCCTCAATAAAATACTGGCAAACCAAATCCAGCAGCACATCAAAAAGCTTATCCACCATGATCAAGTGGGCTTCATCCCTGGGATGCAAGGCTGGTTCAACATACGCAAATCAATAAATGTAATCCAGCATATAAACAGAACCAAAGACAAAAACCACATGATTATCTCAATAGATGCAGAAAAGGCCTTTGACAAAATTCAACAATGCTTCATGCTAAAAACTCAATAAATTAGGTATTCATGGGACGTATCTCAAAATCATAAGAGCTATCTATGACAAACCCATAGCCAATATCATACTGAATGGGCAAAAACTGGAAGCATTCCCTTTGAAAACTGGCACAAGACAGGGATGCCCTCTCTCACCACTCCTATTCAACATAGTGTTGGAAG
This sequence comes from Homo sapiens, assembly GCF_000001405.40. Lineage (NCBI taxonomy): Eukaryota > Metazoa > Chordata > Mammalia > Primates > Hominidae > Homo > Homo sapiens. The sequence continues at coordinate 93,420,553 of NC_000011.10, forward strand.
TTCTGGCCAGGGCAATTAGGCAGGAGAAGGAAATAAAGGGTATTCAATTAGGAAAAGAGGAAGTCAAATTGTCCCTGTTTGCAGATGACATGATTGTATATCGAGAAAACCCCATTGTCTCTGCCCAAAATCTCCTTAAGTTGATAAGCAACTTCAGCAAACTCTCAGGATACAAAATCAATGTGCAAAAATCACAAGCATTCTTATACACCAATAACAGACAAACAGAGAGCCAAATCATGAGTGAACTCCCATTCACAATTGCTTCAAAGATAATAAAATACCTAGGAATCCAACTTACAAGGGATGTGAAGGACCTCTTCAAGGAGAACTACAAACCACTGCTCAATGAAATAAAAGAGGATACAAACAAATGGAAGAACATTCCATGCTCATGGGTAGGAAGAATCAATATCATGAAAATGGCCATACCGGATGGCCGAATAGGAACAGCTCCGGTCTACAGCTCCCAGCGTGAGCGACGCAGAAGACGGTGATTTCTGCATTTCCATCTGAGGTACCGGGTTCATCTCACTAGGGAGTGCCAGACAGTGGGCGCAGGCCAGTGTGTGTGCGCACCGTGCGCGAGCCGAAGCAGGGCGAGGCATTGCCTCACCTGGGAAGCGCAAGGGGTCAGGGAGTTCCCTTTCCGAGTCAAAGAAAGGGGTGACGGTCGCACCTGGAAAATCGGGTCACTCCCACCCGAATATTGCGCTTTTCAGACCGGCTTAAGAAACGGCGCACCACGAGACTATATCCCACACCTGGCTCGGAGGGTCCTACGCCCACGGAATCTCGCTGATTGCTAGCACAGCAGTCTGAGATCAAACTGCAAGGCGGCAACGAGGCTGGGGGAGGGGCGCCCGCCATTGCCCAGGCTTGCTTAGGTAAACAAAGCAGCCGGGAAGCTCGAACTGGGTGGAGCCCACCACAGCTCAAGGAGGCCTGCCTGCCTCTGAAGGCTCCACCTCTGGGGGCAGGGCACAGACAAACAAAAAGACAGCAGTAACCTCTGCAGACTTAAGTGTCCCTGTCTGACAGCTTTGAAGAGAGCAGTGGTTCTCCCAGCACGCAGCTGGAGATCTGAGAACGGGCAGACAGACTGCCTCCTCAAGTGGGTCCCTGACTCCTGACCCCCGAGCAGCCTAACTGGGAGGCACCCCCCAGCAGGGGCACACTGACACCTCACACGGCAGGGTATTCCAACAGACCTGCAGCTGAGGGTCCTGTCTGTTAGAAGGAAAACTAACAACCAGAAAGGACATCTACACCGAAAACCCATCTGTACATCACCATCATCAAAGACCAAAAGTAGATAAAACCACAAAGATGGGGAAAAAACAGAACAGAAAAACTGGAAACTCTAAAACGCAGAGCGCCTCTCCTCCTCCAAAGGAACGCAGTTCCTCACCAGCAACAGAACAAAGCTGGATGGAGAATGATTTTGACGAGCTGAGAGAAGAAGGCTTCAGACGATCAAATTACTCTGAGCTACGGGAGGACATTCAAAACAAAGGCAAAGAAGTTGAAAACTTTGAAAAAAATTTAGAAGAATGTATAACTAGAATAACCAATACAGAGAAGTGCTTAAAGGAGCTGATGGAGCTGAAAACCAAGGCTCGAGAACTACGTGAAGAATGCAGAAGCCTCAGGAGCCGATGCGATCAACTGGAAGAAAGGGTATCAGCAATGGAAGATGAAATGAATGAAATGAAGCGAGAAGGGAAGTTTAGAGAAAAAAGAATAAAAAGAAATGAGCAAAGCCTCCAAGAAATATGGGACTATGTGAAAAGACCAAATCTACGTCTGACTGGTGTACCTGAAAGTGATGTGGAGAATGGAACCAAGTTGGAAAACACTCTGCAGGATATTATCCAGGAGAACTTCCCCAATCTAGCAAGGCAGGCCAACGTTCAGATTCAGGAAATACAGAGAACGCCACAAAGATACTCCTCGAGAAGAGCAACTCCAAGACACATAATTGTCAGATTCACCAAAGTTGAAATGAAGGAAAAAATGTTAAGGGCAGCCAGAGAGAAAGGTCGGGTTACCCTCAAAGGAAAGCCCATCAGACTAACAGCGGATCTCTCGGCAGAAACCCTACAAGCCAGAAGAGAGTGGGGGCCAATATTCAACATTCTTAAAGAAAAGAATTTTCAACCCAGAATTTCATATCCAGCCAAACTAAGCTTCATAAGTGAAGGAGAAATAAAATACTTTATAGACAAGCAAATGTTGAGAGATTTTGTCACCACCAGGCCTGCCCTAAAAGAGCTCCTGAAGGAAGCGCTAAACATGGAAAGGAACAACCGGTACCAGCCGCTGCAAAATCATGCCAAAATGTAAAGACCATCGAGACTAGGAAGAAACTGCATCAACTAATGAGCAAAATCACCAGCTAACATCATAATGACAGGATCAAATTCACACATAACAATATTAACTTTAAATATAAATGGACTAAATTCTGCAATTAAAAGACACAGACTGGCAAGTTGGATAAAGAGTCAAGACCCATCAGTGTGCTGTATTCAGGAAACCCATCTCACGTGCAGAGACACACATAGGCTCAAAATAAAAGGATGGAGGAAGATCTACCAAGCCAATGGAAAACAAAAAAAGGCAGGGGTTGCAATCCTAGTCTCTGATAAAACAGACTTTAAACCAACAAAGATCAAAAGAGACAAAGAAGGCCATTACATAATGGTAAAGGGATCAATTCAACAAGAGGAGCTAACTATCCTAAATATTTATGCACCCAATACAGGAGCACCCAGATTCATAAAGCAAGTCCTCAGTGACCTACAAAGAGACTTAGACTCCCACACATTAATAATGGGAGACTTTAACACCCCACTGTCAACATTAGACAGATCAACGAGACAGAAAGTCAACAAGGATACCCAGGAATTGAACTCAGCTCTGCACCAAGCAGACCTAATAGACATCTACAGAACTCTCCACCCCAAATCAACAGAATATACCTTTTTTTCAGCACCACACCACACCTATTCCAAAATTGACCACATAGTTGGAAGTAAAGCTCTCCTCAGCAAATGTAAAAGAACAGAAATTATAACAAACTATCTCTCAGACCACAGTGCAATCAAACTACAACTCAGGATTAAGAATCTCACTCAAAGCCGCTCAACTACATGGAAACTGAACAACCTGCTCCTGAATGACTACTGGGTACATAACGAAATGAAGGCAGAAATAAAGATGTTCTTTGAAACCAACGAGAATAAAGACACCACATACCAGAATCTCTGGGACGCATTCAAAGCAGTGTGTAGAGGGAAATTTATAGCACTAAATGCCTACAAGAGAAAGCAGGAAAGATCCAAAATTGACACCCTAACATCACAATTAAAAGAACTAGAAAAGCAAGAGCAAACACATTCAAAAGCTAGCAGAAGGCAAGAAATAACTAAAATCAGAGCAGAACTGAAGGAAATAGAGACACAAAAAACCCTTCAAAAAATCAATGAATCCAGGAGCTGGTTTTTTGAAAGGATCAACAAAATTGATAGACCGCTAGCAAGACTAATAAAGAAAAAAAGAGAGAAGAATCAAATAGACACAATAAAAAATGATAAAGGGGATATCACCACCGATCCCACAGAAATACAAACTACCATCAGAGAATACTACAAACACCTCTACGCAAATAAACTAGAAAATCTAGAAGAAATGGATACATTCCTCGACACATACACTCTCCCAAGACTAAACCAGGAAGAAGTTGAATCTCTGAATAGACCAATAACAGGCTCTGAAATTGTGGCAATAATCAATAGTTTACCAACCAAAAAGAGTCCAGGACCAGATGGATTCACAGCCGAATTCTACCAGAGGTACATGGAGGAACTGGTACCATTCCTTCTGAAACTATTCCAATCAATAGAAAAAGAGGGAATCCTCCCTAACTCATTTTATGAGGCCAGCATCATTCTGATACCAAAGCCGGGCAGAGACACAACCAAAAAAGAGAATTTTAGACCAATATCCTTGATGAACATTGATGCAAAAATCCTCAATAAAATACTGGCAAACCGAATCCAGCAGCACATCAAAAAGCTTATCCACCATGATCAAGTGGGCTTCATCCCTGGGATGCAAGGCTGGTTCAATATACGCAAATCAATAAATGTAATCCAGCATATAAACAGAGCCAAAGACAAAAACCACATGATTATCTCAATAGATGCAGAAAAAGCCTTTGACAAAATTCAACAACGCTTCATGCTAAAAACTCTCAATAAATTAGGTATTGATGGGACGTATTTCAAAATAATAAGAGCTATCTATGACAAACCCACAGCCAATATCATACTGAATGGGCAAAAACTGGAAGCATTCCCTTTGAAAACCGGCACAAGACAGGGATGCCCTCTCTCACCGCTCCTATTCAACATAGTGTTGGAAGTTCTGGCCAGGGCAATCAGGCAGGAGAAGGAAATAAAGGGTATTCAATTAGGAAAAGAGGAAGTCAAATTGTCCCTGTTTGCAGACGACATGATTGTATATCTAGAAAACCCCATCGTCTCAGCCCAAAATCTCCTTAAGCTGATAAGCAACTTCAGCAAAGTCTCAGGATACAAAATCAATGTACAAAAATCACAAGCATTCTTATACACCAACAACAGACAAACAGAGAGCCAAATCATGGGTGAACTCCCATTCACAATTGCTTCAAAGAGAATAAAATACCTAGGAATCCAACTTACAAGGGATGTGAAGGACCTCTTCAAGGAGAACTACAAACCACTGCTCAAGGAAATAAAAGAGGAGACAAACAAATGGAAGAACATTCCATGCTCATGGGTAGGAAGAATCAATATCGTGAAAATGGCCATACTGCCCAAGGTAATTTACAGATTCAATGCCATCCCCATCAAGCTACCAATGACTTTCTTCACAGAATTGGAAAAAACTACTTTAAAGTTCATATGGAACCAAAAAAGAGCCCGCATTGCCAAGTCAATCCTAAGCCAAAAGAACAAAGCTGGAGGCATCACACTACCTGACTTCAAACTATACTACAAGGCTACAGTAACCAAAACAGCATGGTACTGGTACCAAAACAGAGATATAGATCAATGGAACAGAACAGAGCCCTCAGAAATAATGCCACATATCTACAACTATCTGATCTTTGACAAACCTGAGAAAAACAAGCAATGGGGAAAGGATTCCCTATTTAATAAATGGTGCTGGGAAAACTGGCTAGCCATATGTAGAAAGCTGAAACTGGATCCCTTCCTTACACCTTATACAAAAATCAATTCAAGATGGATTAAAGATTTAAACGTTAAACCTAAAACCATAAAAACCCTAGAAGAAAACCTAGGCATTACCATTCAGGACATAGGCGTGGGCAAGGACTTCATGTCCAAAACACCAAAAGCAATGGCAACAAAAGACAAAATTGACAAATGGGATCTAATTAAACTAAAGAGCTTCTGCACAGCAAAAGAAACTACCATCAGAGTGAACAGGCAACCTACAACATGGGAGAAAATTTTCGCAACCTACTCATCTGACAAAGGGCTAATATCCAGAATCTACAATGAACTCAAACAAATTTACAAGAAAAAAACAAACAACCCCATCAAAAAGTGGGCGAAGGACATGAACAGACACTTCTCAAAAGAAGACATTTATGCAGCCAAAAAACACATGAAGAAATGCTCATCATCACTGGCCATCAGAGAAATGCAAATCAAAACCACTATGAGATATCATCTCACACCAGTTAGAATGGCAATCATTAAAAAGTCAGGAAACAACAGGTGCTGGAGAGGATGCGGAGAAATAGGAACACTTTTACACTGTTGGTGGGACTGTAAACTAGTTCAACCATTGTGGAAGTCAGTGTGGCGATTCCTCAGGGATCTAGAACTAGAAATACCATTTGACCCAGCCATCCCATTACTGGGTATATACCCAAATGAGTATAAATCATGCTGCTATAAAGACACATGCACACGTATGTTTATTGCGGCACTATTCACAATAGCAAAGACTTGGAACCAACCCAAATGTCCAACAATGATAGACTGGATTAAGAAAATGTGGCACATATACACCATGGAATACTATGCAGCCATAAAAAATGATGAGTTCATATCCTTTGTAGGGACATGGATGAAATTGGAAACCATCATTCTCAGTAAACTATCGCAAGAACAAAAAACCAAACACCGCATATTCTCACTCATAGGTGGGAATTGAACAATGAGATCACATGGACACAGGAAGGGGAATATCACACTCTGGGGACTGTGGTGGGGTCGGGGGAGGGGGGAGGGATAGCATTGGGAGATATACCTAATGCTAGATGACACATTAGTGGGTGCAGCGCACCAGCATGGCACATGTATACATATGTAACTAACCTGCACAATGTGCACATGTACCCTAAAACTTAGAGTATAATAAAAAAAAAAAAAAAAAGAAAAAAAAAAAAAAAAAAAGAAAATGGCCATACTGCCCAAGGTAATTTGTAGATTCAGTGCCATCCGCATCAAGCTACCAATGACTTTCTTCAAAAAATTGGAAGAAACTACTTTAAAGTTCATATGGAACCAAAAAAGAGCCCACATCGCCAAGTCAATCCTAAGCCAAAAGAACAAAGCTGGAGGCATCATGCTACCTGACTTCAAACTATACTACAAGGCTACAGTAACCAAAACAGCATGGTACTGGTACCAAAACAGAAATATAGATCAATGGAACATAACAGAGCCCTCAGAAATAATGCCGCATATCTACAACCATCTGATCTTTGACAAACCTGACAAAAATAAGCAATGGGGAAAGGATTCCCTATTTAATAAATGGTGCTGGGAAAACTGGCTAGCCATATGTAGAAAGCTGAAACTGCATCCCTTCCTTACACCTTATACAAAAATTAATTCAAGATGGATTAAAGAGTTAAATGTTAGACCTAAAACCATAAAAACCCTAGAAGAAAACCTAGGCAATACCATTCAGGACATAGGCATGGGCAAGGACTTCATGTCTAAAACACCAAAAGCAATGGCAACAAAAGCCAAAATTGACAAATGGGATCTAATTAAACTAAAGAGCTTCTGCACAGCAAAAGAAACTACCATCAGAGTGAACAGGCAACCTACAAAATGGGAGAAACTTTTCACAACCTACTCATCTGACAAAGGGCTAATATCCAGAATCTACAATCGACTCAAACAAATTTACAAGAAAAAAACAAACAACCCCATCAAAAAGTCGGCGAAGGTCATGAACAGACACTTCTCAAAAGAAGACATTTATGCAGCCAAAAAACACATGAAAAAATGCTCATCATCACTGCATCAGAGAAATGCAAATCAAAACCACAATGAGATACCATCTCATGCCAGTTAGAATGGCAATCATTAAAAAGTCAGGAAACAACAGGTGCTGGAGAGGATGTGGAGAAATAGGAACACTTTTACACTGTTGGTGGGACTGTAAACTAGTTCAACCATTGTGGAAGTCAGTGTGGCGATTCCTCAGGGATCTAGAACTAGATCCCTATATACCCAAAGGATTATAAATCATGCTGCTATAAAGACACATGCACATGTATGTTTATTGCGGCACTATTCACAATAGCAAAGACTTGGAACCAACCCAAATGTCCAACAATGATAGACTGGATTAAGAAAATGTGGCACATGTACACCATGGAATACTATGCAGCCATAAAAAATGATGAGTTCATGTCCTCTGTAGGGACATGGATGAAACTGGAAACCATCATTCTCAGCAAACTATCTCAAGAACAAAAAACCAAACACCACATGTTCTCACTCATTGATGGGCATTGAACAATGAGAATACATGGACACAGGAAAGGGAACATCACACTCTGGAGACTGTTGTGGGGTGGGGGGAGGTGGGAGGGATAGCATTAGGAGATATACCTAATGCTAAATGACGAGTTAATGGGTGCAGCACACCAACATGGCACATGTATACATATGTAACAAACCTGCACATTGTGCACATGTACCCTAAAACTTAAAGTATAATAATAATAAAATTAAAAAAAAGTTTTATAACAAAACCATCACATGTTTTAAGTGTACAATTCCAAGTTTTTAAAGTGTACTTACAGACAGCCATAATCACAATCTAATTTTGAAATAACCTTACCACTGTGGAAAAAGAAATTCATCTCTTTTGTATTTACTGATTTCATTACCCTGGTCATAGGCAATCATTAACCTGTTTTTATATATAAGCCTTTTATTAAAAGTTATTTTAAGTGAAATCATAAATTAAAAAGAAAAAGAGTTGTCCTTGCTCTACTGTCTAACACATGGTAATATAGGCCTTTTTAAATTTAGCTATTATGGTCAGTGTGTAGTAAGATCCTATTGTGTGGTTTTAATTCATGTTTCTCTGGTGAATAATGAGACTGAGCACCATTCATATGTTTATTGGCCATTTTGATATCCATTATAAAATATCCGTTCAATTTCCTCACTTAATTTTCTGTTGGATTGTCTTTATTATTATTGATTTATGGGTATCCTTTCTATTCTTGATATAAGCCCTTTGTTGCTTATATGTTGGTTTTGCCTTGTAATAGTAGAGACTAGAAGTAAAGTTAAGCTATTTTGGTAGAAGAATGCTTAAAACCATTAGCTTTTGAAGTATTAGAGATGTCTAAAGCCCTGAAATGCTCTTTTGTGTTCATCTCAACATAAAATGCCAACATTATTTGAACAGACTAAAATACATACCAATAATGTAAACTAAATAAAATTCCTCATTTAAGTTATGAGAAATTCTAAGGGGACTTTGCAAATTCTGCATCAATAAAACTTTGATCACTAAGGACTTAAAGTAAGCACATATTTCAGTCAAGCAATGGAAAAAGTTGCTAAATACTCCACTGTGCTAGTGTCAGATGATTTTAGGATTTTTAGGATCACAATTAGTGTCCGCTCAAATATCACCTTATCAGAGATGCCTAAGCAACCAGTCCACAATAGCACCTTCCTCTTCACTCCCTGCCCCTCATCTTGCCTTTTTTCATAGCACTTCACTATGAGACATTTTGTTGCTTGCCCTCCCTCCTTTAGAATGTATGCTCCATGAAAGCAGGGGGTGTTTTCTATTTTTGTTTTTGTGGTAACCCAACACCTAAAATAGGGTCAGCACTAGTAGGCACATAAAAGACATGCAGAAGTATCTGTTGATTTGATTTAATAACATGGGGCTTCCTTCTATCTCTAAAATTCTACATTACTCTTTTAAGGAATTCCTAACCTCCAGAGTAACCAGGAGAGAAAATTCTCAACTCTTCTAGGAACTGGGCATGGGGAACCTAATCTGTGATGGAGGCCTTAAAAATCCTACGGGAAGCCACTGTTCTAGGTCTAGTGGTTTCCATCTTCTAATGCATTTTGACATCCACATCAGTACCATTCCTATCAAGACTACTGCCGATCTTCTAGTTGCTAATTAAATGCACATTCTGAAGTATTCATCTTTCTTTCTTAATCTTGTTGTCTTGATACTCTTATGTTCTCTGGCTT